>NC_000012.12:91835128-92460128 GCF_000001405.40 Homo sapiens
AAACACTGAAACCACTTCAAGGATTTGGTAAGTATATTTTATCACCATTCTATTAGTTTCTTGGGGCTGCTATAATAAGTTACTACAAATGTGTTGGTTTAAAACAGCAGAAATGTATGCCGTCATGATTCTGAGGACCAGAAATCTGTTATCAGCATCACTGGACTAAAATCAAGGTGTTGTAGGGCTGCATTCCCTCTGGAGGCTCTAGGAGAGAATTCTTTCCTTGAATCTTTCATCTTCTGATGGCTGCTGGCAACCCTTGGTTTGTGGTTGCGTCACTTCAATCTTCAAGGCCAGCATATTGGAATCTCTCTTCACTTTGCCTTCTCCTCTGTTGTGTACTGTCAAATCTCCCTCTACAGCCTCTTTTGCCATCTTATAAGGATTCATACATTTGCATTTAGAGCCCACCCTGATCTTCCAGGATAATCTCTCCATCTCAAGATCCTTAACTTAATCAAATCTACAAACACCCTGTTTCCATGTAAGGTAACATTTATAGGTTTTGAAAATTAGAATCTGATATATTTGAGGGACCATTATTTAATCTACCAATGAAGGGTGAAATTTCTTCATTTTGAGGACTGCTTCTTAAAGCATATTGATGTGATTCTATTTCAATCTCAGCTCTCTAATCTAAGAGTCAAAACTCTTTTCTAATTACCCCAAATTAAAATGCATTTCTGTTAGTGGATGTGTTTCCCTTAGCTAAAGTTGTATGCACCAATAAGTCAAACTATTACCCAATATGCTCTTTAACCTCCAGCAAATAATGAGCCTATCAAGACAGTGCAGTCTATTAAGGTTACCCTGATTGCCATTATTGGAAGAAATACACCAAGATTTTTTTTAATTACTCAATATATCATTCTATGTTTGAAAATAGACATTAGGCTTTCTACATTTTCACAATGGAATAATGCTTCAAACAAAAAAAACCTGTCCCAAATGTCTACAAACAGCCTGAACTAAAATCTAGCAAGACAATATTTTATTTGGATGGTTCTTATGTCCATATTTATATTTGCATCATTACTATAATTACTGTTATTTTAAGTGACAAGAAAGTGCTACACTAGGATGTAGGACTGTTAAAAAGAAAAACCTTAGACAAATTACATTTAACAGAGTTCAACTGAGCAAATAACAATTTGTGAATTTGGCAGCCTCAAACTAGAATAGGTTCAGAGAGATTCCAGTGCTACCTCATGGTTGAAAAAGATTTATGTACAGAAAAAGAAAAGTGATGTACAGAAAATGAAAGTGAGGTACAGAAACAGCCAGACTGGTTACAGCTCTGTGTTTGCCTTATTTGAACATGGTTTGAAGGGCTGGCCACCTTTGATTGGCAGAAACGCCATGACTGGGACAAGAGTAGGTTACAGACTATTAGCACATCCAGTTAGGTTACAGGTGACTATGTACAAAGAAAGTTTTGGCCTAAGTTAAAATATATAAGAAGGCAGTTTTAGACTAAACTTAATTTAACAATTCCCCCTTTTGGTCAACCTCTGAAAATTGGGAGGTTGACCAAAAGTTTAGGCATTGACATCACCCTGTCACTACAGTAAATGTACTTATTTAGTCTCAATAGTAGAACTGGGAAATAGTAGAACAGTAGATTTTTTATAAGGTGGATAATGGTTAGAGTAGATGGGGGACCTCCTTGTCCTGGAATCTCCTGTTTATAGAAGAACAACAAAACCTGGTCTGTTTTAGGACCTATCCACTTCCTTAAAGTTTCAGTTTGATTATGTTGCATTTAGCATGAGTGACTCCATTTTGGTTTTGTTCGGTCTGTTGAGGACAGGTCAAAACAATGGCCTTTCATAAAACTTAGATGTTTAAAAATTTTCTCCTTTGGGTTAGGTTTCTCTTTTAAGTGAGAGTGTGACAAAAACTTAGGGCTTTAGCACCACTCTCAGTTACCATCTTTTTGGGTTTCTGGTCTCATCACCTCATTTATAGGTTATGGTATTTTCATAATCACACATTTCTTTGACTATTTATTGTTTCAGTCAAAGAGAGGTCATTTGACATTTTACAGATGGCTCCATACAAACATTTAAAATTTTTGAGGGAATGTGGTGTACCATGGAGACAACTATTATAACTATCAGGAGAATAATACCAAGAGTTTGGAGTATGCTCCTTAGCCAGGGTCCCCATAAGCCAAACCAACTAAAATCAAATATATCAAATAATGAGCTAGATAAAGAGTCTACTAGTTTTAACCAAACAGCCTGTTCATTAATCTCCTCAACTGATTCTCTATAATACACAATGTATTCCTCATGTGCAGCTAGAAGTATCAGCAACTGCACAGATATTTCTCTGTTTAGCCAGTAAGTAATCTAGGGCAATTCTATTATATAGCACAACTTTAGTAAGAGAAATTAAAGTCTGTTGTGTAATCATAGCCTTTGCAGTAGAATCTGCTGTAGAGCCTATTATAAGGGACACATTTCTAGTCATTGCTTCATTTACCCTAAACCATGGAAAAAGAGGCCTAATAAATGATGCCCATCCAGAAGAGTGAAGGCCTCTTGGCAATGTTCTCTTTAACCTACGATATAGGTTAAGAGGAGTGGACCAATGTTCTGTTTCTCAGTGATTAAGAAGGAACAAAGGTTTTACTAAAATTTCCCACCCACATTAGCCCTTTATCATCCATCTGTCAATACATAAGGTTGTTCATGTATAAGGTGGGTTGCAAAATCCTCCACAAATAAAAGTACATCCCATGAGTACACACAAAATGTCCATTTTTGAGTTCTATTGTTTATACAGACATAAACAAGGAAAAATTGAGAGATAAGAGTTTCATGATAGCAAGGAAGCCTTGACTTGTGATTGTGGGATAAAGCTATCCATGTCTAGGATATTGTCTACTTCTGGGGAGAAACTTCTCCAGTTAGCTTTACCTTAAGGTCTCCAGTGAAGGTTCACATCTAAGAGTCTGGAGAAGTCCTTCTGAATTGCGAGATTATTAACCCAAGATCCAAGATCCCAAAGTTTTGTTGCAGTGTGGGTGGCAAGGGCAGTCTTTCTCTGATGTCATTCTCAGAAGACTCAATCTCTGGGTGGGTTCTAGAATGTAAAGGATTTGGTTGTCTTCAGCCACTGGACAATAAAATACTTTCTTTACCTGGTGAAAATACACTGTGGCATAAGGCATTAAAGCCTTCCAGCATTTAGTCATATTAGAGTTTAGGAGCAGAAGACACATGAGATTTTATTTTTAGGAGCATAGGTTCTCCAGTGACTATTTCGTGAGGGGTTGGTCAGCTTGTATTTTCCCCTGGAAGTAGATCTTATTGTCATCAATCTGCAATAACTTTGATCATGGCTATCCAATTAATTCAGTTGCCTTTGCCTAATGTTATTGTATCTGTAATACATTATTTAACAATTTTATACCTTGACTAGTGAAATAAATGCCTCTATCACTGGAGATTTTGTTACAAATTTCTCATGCTAAAAACACGTCTTCCAATAACCTTTTAACTACTATTATAACATCTGCATTCTTACCCCGGAAAGCTTCTATACAACCAGAAAACATACACTGAAAATTACAATTGAATGAAATCCCTCTATAAATGTTTGAATGGCCCGTCAGATAGCAGAGATGTACCTGAAGTTTTGATTGTTTTCCCAGGATTATGGGTTTGACAAACCAAACATTCAATTTTGATTATTTTATCTCTTCCATGAAGATTCATGGTATGTAAAGCTTTAAATAATGAAAGCTTTAAGAACTCAGAAGAATCAAGCAGCAGACCAGACTCTCCATGAGTCCAGACTTAACACTGAGTTTATATCCTCCTAAATATCAATTTTGTTTCTCCAATTAAGGTGGATAACACTGTCTATTAGATGGGTTATCATAGGTAATTTCACTTGGACCATGGAGTTATTCAAATTGCCTAGCTAAACAATTTCAGTACTGGCTGATTTAGCACGAAAATCTGGCAAAGTGTTTTCTTGATATTTAATTAATTTTTGCCCTGCTTAGGTTAACATTTTAAAAACCAGTCAGTCTCTTTATTAAAGTTCTGGGAATTCTTTCCCAGACCAAATGATCCTGAAGTTATCAGAAACCTACATTTCAGATTGCATTCTTTTCATGAATCTTTTTGAAAACACAATACACTAGAATTTTATATGCTTGTAAAGTTTTTGAAACTCCGTTAGAATTAAGCAATTAACTGTGTAAATGACTTTAAATGATTATACTTAAAGACGCAATCACAAATAAGTTTGATTATTTCTCTGGCCTATAATAATTAAACATAATAACCATAATTATAAGTGATAGCATATACCCAGACATATCAGAATGTTAGGAGTCCCATACACTGTTGGAATATATATTAATAACATATTCATAAAAATATAACTTGAAGAAGGTTAAACATTATTTTTTATTTGACAATGCTTTCTGTGTAATTTAACACATCAATTAAGCCTGCTTATTATCTCTCTTTTGTATGCTACAAGAGCCCTCCATAGCATTCCAAAGCTAGAGGTCAATAAAAAGAATTTTGAATTTATAATTTGATTTTGGGGAGCCTGTCAAGCATATCAGAACGCTTGACCAAATATGTTCAAAACACTTGACCAAAACAAGATCACACACAGTGTAAAATAATAGTTATTCATTTAGCCAAAATGATAATTAAAAATTTTATCAGCTACTCGGGAGGCTGAGGCGGGAGAATGGCGTGAACCTGGGAGGTGGAGCTTGCAGTGAGGCGAGATCACACCACTGCACTCCAGCTGGGGCGACACAGCATGACTCCATCTCAAAGAAAAAACAAAAATTAAAAAGCAAAACCTTTATTCTTTAGTAGAGAAGAAACTCGGTTTTCCAAACAATCAGCAGACCTGAGAAAGACAGCATGAGACATAATTTGTCTCTCCTTAATTCCTCTCTTTTTTGTTTTGTGTGGTTTACTGAAAAGGTAAACAAAAATATTTTACTGTGTCTTATTAATACTATAAAACATTTTGTTCAAAGATAAAACCAAGCATTCCTTTTTTGTGTGTATTATCAATAAATACTAAAGCTAATTTTAATAAAACTTTATAAACAAATCTATCCCATTTCAGTCAGCTTTTGATCATACTAGATTTACATAAACTATTTATAATTTCTTATAAGTATTTTTATTATTCTTTTTAGAGATACGGTCTTGCTCTGTCACCTAAGCTGGAATACACTGGCATGATCATAGCTCACTGCAGCCTTGAACTCCTGAGCTGAAGAGATCCTCCTAATTCAGCCTCCCAGGTAGCTAGGACTACAGGCACATGCCACTATGCCTTGTTAATTTCTTTTTATTTTGTTTTATTTGTAGAGAAAGTGTCTCACTATGTTGCCCAGGTTGGACTCAAACTCCTGGCCTGTCAAACAGACACAGGCAGATCTGTTTATTAACAGATCTGAATATCTATAGATTTTCTATGTATGCCATATAACAATAAGTTGCCAAAGTATATAAACTTAAACTTATGTTTAATAATTAATATTCTAGCATTAGACATTTTATGATTATCACTTATTTAATTTAATATAACAAGACTTTAAGATTTTAAATTACTCAAAAGAATTTTGAAATAATTTCCCCAGTCATCCTGGTTGTCAAGTAGCCACATGGCACTTAGGATGGCTATGAGAGGTAGGGCCTGGGTCCTGAATTTACATACCAGGTATGGAGTTCAAGACAAAAGACAGATCTGTGAAGATGATGTATGGAGGATAGAACCCCTTGCAGAAGAGCCAAAAGGCAAAGCTGAGCCAGGAAGAAGGGCCGTATTGGTCTTTATTCTGCCTTGTAGCTGCTGGTTCAGGCATGGAGAAAATGTCCTCAGGTCTCACCATGGTAAACTATCTAGACCCCAGAATCCAGAGGCTCCACACCAAAAGTATAAGCTCACAGTCAAATCAAGAAGTATCAAAAATACCACAGAAACAGAAGTTTTGTGACCTTAAAACATGTGGCAGAAGCAGCATAAACCTGTCTCACCAGTAATTTCAGGCAAAATAGCCTGAATTATATTTAACTGACAATTTTAAAGCCATTTCTATTTTTCCAACAATTTAAAAGCTAGCTTTATTTATCAAATATTATCACTTACACTTAACAACGAACACATGTGGACGTACTGACACAGAAGCAGATCTTATGGGTTCCATAAAAAATTTTTTATTTGCCAGCCAGCTTTTAAAGCATTTTTTTAAGCAAAAATTGACAAATTGGATCTAATTAAAACTAAAGAGCTTCTGCATAGCAAAAGAAACTATCAACAGAGTAAACAGACAACCCAAAGAATGGGAGAAAATTTTCGCAAACTATGCATCTGACAAAGGTCTAATAGCTAACATCCATAGAAACTTAAACAAATTTACAGAGAAAAACAATCCCATTAAAGAGTGGGAAAAGGACACGAACAGACACTTTTCAAAAGACATACATGCGGCCAACAATCATATGAAAAAAGCTCAATATTACTGATCATTAAAGAAATGAAAATCAAAACCACAATGAGATACCATACCAGTCAGAATGGCTATTATTAAAAAGTCAAAAAATAACAGATGCTAGGAAGGCTGTTGAGAAAAAGGAAAGTTTATAAGCTGGTGAGAGGGTAAATTAGTTCAACCATTGTGGAAGACAGTGTGGCAATTTCTCAAAGACCTGAACAGAGAAACCCCATTTGACTCAGCAATCCCATTACTGGGTATATACTCAAAGGGATATAAATCATTCTGTTATAGAGACATATGCACACATACATTAATTACAGCACTACTCATAATAGTAAAGACATGGAATCAACCTAAATGCCCATCAATGATAGACTGGGTTAAAAAAATGTGGTACATATACACTGTAGAATACTATGAAGCCATAAAATGAATGAGATCATGTCCTTTGTAGGCACATGGATGGAGCTAGAGGCTATTTTTCTTAGCAAACTAATGCAGGAAAAGTAAATCAAATATGACATGTTCTCACTTACAAGCAGGAGCTAAATAATGAGAACAAATGGACACATAGAGGGGAACAACACACACTGGGGCCAATTGAAGGGAGGAGGGTGGGAGTAGGGAAAGGATCAGGAAAAATAACTAATGGGTACTTAGCTTAATACCTGGATGACAAAACAATCTGTACAACAAACCCCCATGACACAAGTTTACTTATGTAACAAACCTGCATATATACCCCTGAATTTAAAAGTTAGAAAAAATAAAATAATTTTTTTTCCGTTTAGACTATCGATTTTCCAATTAGCTGTTTTATTGTCTCAGGCAATTGTTAGCAAGGTGATATGGTTTAGCTCTCTTTCCTCACCCAAATCTTATCTCAAATTGAAATCCCCATGTGTCAAGGGAGGGACCTGGTTGGAGATGATTGGATCATAGGGGCTGTTTCCACTATGCTGTTCTCATGACAGTGAGGGAGTTCTCATGAGAGCTGATGGTTTTAAGTGTGGCACTTCCTTGCTCTTTCCCTCTCTCTCCTGCTGCCATGTAAGTCATGCCTTTCTTCCCCTTTACCTTCTGCCATGATTATACATTTAGCAGTGTGAAAATGGACTAATACAGATAATTAGTACTGGAATAGTGGGATACTGCTACAAAGATAACCTGAAAATGTGGAATTGACTTTGGAACTAGGTGATAGGCAGAGTTTGGAACATTTGGGAGGGCTCAGAAGAAGACAGGAAGATCTTGGAAAGTTTGAAACTTCCTAGAAACTTTTTGAATGGTTTTGACCAAAATGTTGATAGTGATATGGAAAATGAAATCCAGGCTGACGTGGTCTCAGATGGAGATGAGGAACTTACTGAGAAATTAAGCAAAAGTCACTCTGGTTATGCTTTAGCAAAGAGATTGGCAGCATTTTGTCCCTGCCCTAGAAATCTGTGGAGCTTTGAACTTGAGAGAGATGATTTAGGGTATTTACAGAAGAAATTTCTAAGCAGCAAAGCATTCAAGAGGTGACCTGGATTTTCCTGAAAGCATACAGTTATATGTGTTCACAAAGAGATTTGAACACATAATTTGAAATTGGAACTTATGTTTAAAAGAGAAGCAGAAAATAAAGGTTTGGAAAATTTGCAGCCTGACCACGTGGTAGAAAAGAAAAACCCATTTTCTGGGGAGCAATTCAAGCCAGCTGCAGAAATTTGCACAAGTAACAAGGAGCTGAATGTTAATAGCCAAGACAATGGGGAAAATGTCTCCAGGGCATGTCAGAGACCTTCATGACAGCCCCTCTCATAACTGGCCCAGAGGCCTAGGAGGAAATATGGTTTTGTGGGCCAGGTCCAGGTCCCTGATGCTCTATGCAGCCTTGGAACTTGGTGCCCTGCGTCCCAGCTACTCCAGCTCCAGTCATAGCTAAAAGGGGCCAAGGAACAGCTTGGGTCATTGCTTCAGAGGATGCAAGCCTCAAGCTTTGGGGCTTCCACATGGTGTTGGGCCTGTGGGTACACAGAAGACAAGAGTTGAGCTTTGGTAACCTCTAACTAGATTTCAGAGGATGTATGGAAACACCTGAATATCCAGGCAGGAGTCTGCTGCAGGGCCAGTGCCCTCATGGAGGATCTCTGCTAGGGCAAGGAAGGAAAACGTGGGGTCAGAGCCCCCACACAGAGTCCCCACTGGGGCACTGCCTAGTGGAGCTGTGAGAATAGGGCCACCATCCTACTGACCCCAGAATGAAAGATCCATCAACAGTTTGTACCATGTGACTGGAAAAGCCACAGGCACTCACCATTAGCACATGAAAGCAGGCATGGGGGCTGTACTCTGCAAAGCTACAGGTGTGGAGTTGCCCAAGGCTTTGGGAGCCCACCCCTTGCATCAGTATGTCCTGGATGTGAGACATGGAGTCAATGGAGGTCATTTTGGACTTTAAGAGTCAATGACTGCCCTGTTGTACTTCGGACTTGCCTAGAGCCTGGATCCCCAGTTTCTCCCATTTGGAATAGAAATATTTACCCAATGCCTATGTCCCCATTGTATCTTGGAATTAACTAACTCGTTTTTAATTTTTACAGGCTCATAGAGGGGACTTGCCTTGTCTCAGATGAGACTATGGACTTGCATTTTTGAGTTAATGCTGGAATGAGTTAAGACTTTGGGGGACTGTTGGGAAGGCATGATTGGTTTTGAATGTGAAAAGGGCATGAGATTTGGGAGGGGCCAGGGGTGGAATGATATGGTTTGGCTCTGTGTCTCCATCCAAATCTCATCTCGTGTAATCCCCACATGTTGAGGGAGGGCCCTGGTGGGAGGCAACTGAATCATGGAGGCAGTGTCCACCATGCTGTTTCTGTGACAGGGAGTTCTCATGAGAGCTGGTGATTTTAAGTGAGGCACTTTCTTGCTCTTTCTCTCTCTCCTGTCATGTAAAACATGCCTTGCTTTCCCTTCACCATCCACCATGATAGTAAATTTTCTTAGGCTTCCCCAGCTATTCAGAACTGTGAGTCAATTAAACCTCTTTTGTTTATAAATTACCCAGTCTCAGGTAATATCTTTACAGCAGTGTGAAAACAGACTAATACACTCAGCATCAGTTTGCCTTAAAAAAAGAAAAAGACTGTTAGGTAAGCCAAGTAGAAAATTTATATCTCAAAAGGATAGGGATAAGACTTGAGGCCTAATTATTGTACCATCGTTTGTTCAAACCAATAATAAAATGTATGTAAAGGCGCATTAAAGAAAACATGGCCAGAAACAGTACCTTAAACAAAGGTAAGAGTTGTTAATGACCTAGTCCTCCCTTTCAGACACCCTTACAAGTGACAACAGCATGTCAAGATAGCCAGATCAATGCCAGAAAGGTGTATTTTATTTCCATATGTGGTCTTTTTAACTTAGCTGTTTCTTAGCTAAAATTACTGAGTTCAGGATGAAACCTATTATGGAATAGGGCAAAGAAAACATTCTCTGTGCATGGATTCAGCAAGGATAGATCAGAGAAGGAAGCAAGCCTTCTCTACTTGAGGGCCTACCTTTTATAAACACTTTATCCAGGATAGCTTTCTTTTCACACTTGAGGCAGGATAGTAACTAAGCTAAAAGGTTAGCAGATTCAAATTTTCTTTTAAGCTTTTTATTTGCTTCTTGTAAAGAGACTTTTAAAAGAGGAAATAGGAAGTTGAAGTAAAAAGTGGATTCCTGCTTTATAATGAAAGTCATGAAGCGTGTGTGTCAGACAAGACTCAGAATGCTAATCAATCACTCAGGAAGCCATTTTAGGAAATTTGGAAGACATTTTAACATTAGTATTCTCTCCCTACTTGAAATTGCCTTCATAACTATATCCACTTCATAAAGAAAAAAGTAAGCAGTGGTTTTCTAGCCCCTAACATGTGAAAAATCTCCCTATACTTTAACTTTGATGTGTATAAGGCAGACAGAGTCTCCAAAACGGAACTCCCTTGGTGATTACAAGGTGGTGGTAGGGGAGGTATAAATAACAAATGCCTATGAGTGCTATTATGTTTTTCATATTTTTGTTACTCTGGTGGGGTTCAATTTTGGCCAAATAAGAATAAACTTTAAAGACCTACTTTTTTTTTTTAAACCATTTTCTATTTTCTAATAACATAAGATTTATTTATTCTGAAAGTCTTCTTAACTTAGTTTTGTAGGAAGTAATTTGTGATTCAATGGAAGGCCATGCATTTCTATAACTCACTCTTCCGCCTTATCAGATTCTGATTCAATAAAAGCTATTTTACAACTTTGTGAGTTGTAGATAACTTATAGCAATGCAAAAATAATTTTCATCTATATACATGCAAATGAATTATGTCCCAAGAGGAACAGCCATCCTTCCTCAGAAAAAAAGTTTTGCCTCAATTTGCACATTTAATCCAATATCCCTGATCTACAAATTTATATTTTTATTGGATTCCCCTTTGAACCAGTATATAAAATATACTTGTTTCCTTCATTATGAGTGAAGAAAATTATTTATTTATTTTTACATATGCTCAGGGAATGGACTTTGCAATGGTGAAGACATCAGTCAACATGCTCTCTCTCCAAAACAATGAAAATACAGACAAAACAACTAGAACTCTTATATAATTGTCAGGACAATTAAACAGGGAGTTAACTGAAAAGCACTAATTACTGAACCTAGTTGACAAAATGAACTATCTGGTATTTTAACTTCTTATTCCCACTCCTCTTTATTCCCTGCTCAGTAGTATGGCAAGCAAAAGTTGATAACGTTGTTGAAAATGCAGAAATTGAACCGCTTTTTCACAGTTTTATTAAAACCTCCATCCCCAGAAAACAGTCAATATTCATCTAAAATTGAAGCTCTCTGAAAAAGCTCTGTTCTCAGAATGTGTTAACTATTTGATTTGACTCAGAGCTTAATTTAGTGGGGGAAAAAAAATGGCCCATCCCTAGGGTATCACCAAAACAATAACAAACTTCTGGCAATAGCTGTTTAAGGCTGTAATTTTCATTATGAAAAACAACTGTATGGCCAGGAATTTCAAAGGAAATGCCAGAGAACTAGATGGCTGTAGGAGGAGTCTGAAAACCTATGACATATTCCTGAGCATATAAAAAGCCATTTTCTGCACAAGTCTGTGTCCATGACCAAGAAACATGTGGGAAAGGATAAGCTGCCAGTCACCCACCTGCAGCTGTCCTTAAGGTCCTACACAAGCAGGAGTTGAAAGTGAAATCTGTCTTGTAAATTGCATGAAGTATGAAAGGGCCCCTTCTCACACAGATCTCTGTGCAAAGGCAAAAGACATGCATGCAAAGTATTTAAGGAAAACTTTTGACCATTCAGAAAATTTACTGACCACTAAATTATCCTGATTCGGATGTGACCCCTAGGAAGCAAGACTTAAAAATAAAAACAATAACTTTAAAAAATATATTTTTTAGCTAGCAGAGAACTTAGTGGCCATTTACTAGAAGAAATACATAACTATATAATTAGTCCAGAAAACTTACTAAACAAATAGCAACAAAAAAATCTGGTACTAGATTTTATGAATTGTTGAGTTTTCAACAAACAAATTAGAAGACATTCCAAAAATAAAATAAAGTGAATAGGAAAGTATGTCACAGTAAAGGGGGAAAAAGCAGTCAACATAAAATGTTCCCGATAGGGTCCACACTTTGGACAGCGACTTTTAATAAGGGATCACAAAATTTTTAAGAACTAGAGGAAAACATGCTCACTTTGGCAACATATATGCTAAAATTAGAACTAAAGGAAACTATGTCTAAAGAATTAAAGAAAAATATGACAACATCATCTTCCCAAGTAGGTAACATCAGCTATTCCCAAGTAGATAGTATCAGCTAGAATAGAGCTGAAAATTATAAAACTAGCCAAATATGAATTCTAGATATGAAAAATCTGGAGTCAAAATATTATGGAGTTGAAAACTCTGGAGTTGAAATACAGATTCTAGAGTTAGAACTAAAATGACAAATCTTCTGCAAAGGTTCAACAACAGATTTGCACTGGCAGAAAAAAAAATCAACACAGTTTAAGATAGGCTAATACAGATTATCCAGTGTAAGGAGAAGAAAGAGAAAAGACTGATAAAAAATAAAGCCTAAAAGACTTGTGGGACACAGTATTCCAATATATGTGTAATAAGAATCCCAGAAAAAGAAGAGAGAGAAAAGGATAGAAATATATTTGAAAAAATAGTAGCCAAAAACTTCCAAAATTTGATGAAATATATGAATCTACCCATCCAAGAAGCTTAATGAACTGAAATACAATAAACTTAAAGAGATCTATACCGAGACAAAACTGACAAAAGTCAAAGGCAAAAAGAGAGCCTTGAAAGTAGCAAGAGAAAAATGAATAATTTCTCATCAGAAACCACGGATCCTGGAAGACAGTGAGCTAATATCTTCAAATTGTTGAAAGAAAAAGACTGTCAACCCAACTTTTTGCATTCAGTTAAACTTTCAAAAATTAATAAATCCCTTTCAGATACAGAAAAAATTAGAGAAAGCACTGCTAGCATTTCTGCTCTGTAAGTAATACTGTGTAAATCCTTAAATCTAAAGTAAAAGACACTACATGGTGAGTAAATCCACCTAAAGGAATAGAACACTAATAAAACTAATTGTGTCAGTAGTATGAAAGACAATATAGATTTTGTGGTTTGCCATTATTTTCTTCTCCTGTTTGAAAAGATAACTGCCTAAAAAATATTATAAAACCATATTAATGGGCTTATAAACTTAAGAGATGCCATTGGTATGGCAAAAATACTACAAAGAAAACAAGAGTAAATGGAAATAAAATGTTTATATTTTACTGAAATAAAATGAGTATTAGTCAAAAGTTCATATGCAACCACTAAAAAGATCATTTAAAACAAATATAAGAAATGACTAGGGAATTACAGAGGTTCACTAGGAAATATCTATTTGGCACACAAGAAGGCAGGAATTGAACAATTGTTGAACAGAAAAGTTGTAAGATATGTAGAAAACAAATAGCAAAATGGCAGACTTAAATACTGCCTTATCAGAAATTATGTTAAATGTGAGTGGATTAAACTTCCCTCTCAAAAAGCAGAGAATGGAAGAAGGGATAAATATTTTTAAAAAACATAATATGGCTATATGATGTCTGAAAAAGATATACTTTAGATTAAAAGATACAAATAGATTGAAAATAAAGGATGTTAAAAGAAATACCATTTAGGGAATAACCTAATGACAGCTGGAGTGGATATACTAATATTAAAAAAAAACAGACTTTAAAATAAAAGTATTTTATTAGAAATAATGAGGGCTATTTTATAATAAGTAAGGTAAATCATGAAGAATACAATTATGAACATTTATGTATATATCAACATTGCATCAAAATATATAAAGCAAAACTGACTAAATTAAAGGGAGAAACAGACAATTGAAAATAATAGAGAACTCAATACTTTACTTTCAAGAAACAATAAATTTGATAGCCAGAATATCAGCAAAAATAAAAAACAAACAACAGAACAGAGTTGAACAGAGCTTAAGCTAACTGGATATAACAAAACCTATCAAGTCCCCAATCCAACAACTGTAGAATACACATTATTCTCCGGAGTATATGGAATATTCTCCAGGATGGACAATATGGTAGGTCATAAAACAAACCTCAACAATTTTTTTTAAATTTAAATAATACAAAGTATGTTCTTTGACTCTGATAAAATTTAGTTACAAAACATCCACAGAAGAAAATTTGGGAAACGTACAAATATTTAAATTAAAAATACACACCCTATATAACCAATAGGTCAAATATAATTAATAAGCAAAATTAGAAAAGACTTTGAGGTGAGTGAAAAGAAAACACAACATACCAAAATTTAGGAAATGTAGCTAAAGCATTGCTTTCAGGAAATTTATTGCTGTAAATATTTACATTAAAAAGAAGTGTGATCTCAAATAAATAACCTAATTTTCTTAAGAAACTGGAAAAACCAGAAAAAACTAAACTCAAACCCAGCAAAAGGAAGAAAATAATAAAATTTAGAGCAGAAGCAAATGAAATAGAGTATAGAAAATTAATAGGGAAAATTGGAAAAACAAAAAGTTAATTCTTTGAAAAAATAAATGGGCAAATCTTTAGCTAGGCTGATCAAGAAAAATTTTTTAAAAAATACTCAAATTACTGAACTACAAATAAAAGAAGGACATCCACTATCAACTTTAAATAAATGAATTATAAAGTTAGATTGTCTCGGTCAAATGAACAAATTCCTAGAAATACCCAAACTAATATTGACTTAAGAAGATAGAGAAATCTAACTAGACCTATAACAAATTAGGAGATTTAATTATTAATCAATAAACTTGGCCGGGCATGGTGGCTCATGTCTGTAATCTCAGCACTTTGGGAGGCCGAGGCAGGTAGATCACCTGAGGTCAAGAGTTCAAGACCAGCCTGGCCAACATGGTGAAACCCCATCTCTACTAAAAATACAAAAACTTAGCCAGGAGTGGTGGCAGGCACCTATAATCCCAGCTACTCTGGAGGCTGAGGCAGGAGAATCAGTTGCGCCCGGGAGGCGGAGGATGCAGTGAGCCAAGATCTCACCATTGCACTCCAGGCTGGACAACAAGAGCAAAGCTCTGTGTCCAAAAAAAAAAAAAAAAAAAAAAACAACAACACTTTTTCTAAGTTAAAGTCCAGGGCTAGATGTTTTCTCAGGTGATTTCAACTAAACTTTTAAAGAACTGATACCAATTCTTCAAAAACTCTTTCAAAAAACAGAAGAGGAACAAAAGAATCCCAGTTATTTCTATGATCCCATTATTACCCTGATACAAAAATCAGACAAAGATATTATAAGAAAAGTACAGACCAATATTCTTTATGAATATGGATGCAAAACTCCTCAACAAAATATTAGCAAACCAGATCCAAAAAAAAAATTTAAAAATATTTTATTCCATGATCAAAAGGGATTTATCTCAGGAATGCAAGGCTTGTTCAACATCTGAAAATCAATCCATGTAATATACCATGCTAATAAAATTAAGGACAAAACCCACATAAATCATCTCAATAGAGGCAGCAAAAGCATCTGACAAAATCCAACACTCTTGCTTTGCTAAAAACATTTTGAAAACTACAAATACAGAGAACTTCCTCAAGCTGATAGAAGATATTTTATTAAAAATCCCATAGCTAACATACTTAATGGAAAATCACCAAATCATTTCCCTCTAAGATAAACAATAAGACAAGCACATCCAAGCTTACTATTTCTGTTCAGCATTGTACTGAATTTCTGGGCAGAGTAATGGGTAAGAGAAAGAAATAAAGAGCATAAGATTGAAAATAAATAAGTAAAACTATTTTCATTTGTAGATAATATGATCTTGTATATAGAAAATCCACTTTAAAAACTATTAGAACAAATAAATAAGTTCAACATTGTTACTGAGTATAAGTTCAATATACAAAAATCAATCGTATTTGTATACACTAGCCATGAATATTCCAAAAATCAAATTAAGAACACAATCTGACTTATAGTAAGAACTAATAATTATATGGAATACCTAGGAATAAATGTTTAAGTGCAACTTGCACAATGAAAAATACAAAAATATTTTAAAATAAATTAAAGAAGATTTTAAAAAATGAAACAATATCCCACATTCATGAGTGAGAAAACTTAACATTGTTAAGATATATTACCCAAATTGATCTACAAATTCAATGCAATCATTATCAGAATTTCAGCTCATTTTCTTGCAGAAATTGATAAGATGATCCTAAAATTCATATATAAATTCAAGAGACTCAGAATAGTTAAACAATCTTGGGAAAAAAAGGACAAAGTTGGTGGACTCACACTTCTCATTTTCAAAACTTACTAGAAATCTGCAGTAATTAAGACAGCATGCTACTGATATAAGATTTTATGTGTATATGAATGAAAGGAATTGAGCTGATAGTTCCAAAAGAAGGTTCTTAGACTTGTGGCCTTTTTTTCTGCAACAAGGGTGCCAAGATAATTCAATGTGCAAAGGATAGTCTTTTTAATGAATGGTGTTGAGAAAACTGTATATCTACATGCAAAACAATGAAGTTGGACCTTTATCTTATACCATATAAAAAATTAGCTCAAATACATCACAAACCTAAATAGAAGAGCTAATACTACCAAACTAAAAGAGAACTTAGGAGTAAATCTTTGTGACCTTAGGTTAAGCACTGGTTTCTTAGATATGATAATGAAAAGCACAAGCAACAATATAGATAGATAGATAGATAGATAGATAGATAGATGATAGAGATATAGATAGATAGATAGATATAGATAGATAAATGAGCCTTCAACAAATTTAAAAAGAGCACCATCTAGAACATGAAAAGACAACCACAGAATGAGATAAATTGTCTGTAAAGCATATATGACATAGGATTTGTATGCAGAATTTATAAATAACTCTAAACAACAATAAAATGATAACCCATTTTTTAAATGGGCAAAGGATGTAAATATACACTTATTCAAATAAGATACATAAATGACCAACAATCACATGAAGAGATTCTCCACATCATTAGTTACTAGGAAAATGCAAGTCAAAACCACAATGAGATACAATTTCACACCCACTAACATGACTAAAAAGACAAGCAATAAGAAAGATCAAAGAGAATTAGGAGAAATTGAAGCCCTCATAAATTGCTTGTGAAGTGTAAAATAGGGCAGACATTTTGGAAAACAGTTTGTCCATTCCTCAAAATGTTATGCATGAAGTTATCATAAGACATATCAATGCCAGTCCTAGATATACCCAAAAGAAGTGCAAATGTATCTCCACAAAAAAATGCATATGTGACTGTTCATAGCAGCATTATTTATAACAGCCAAAAAGTGGAAACAATGTCTAACAACTAGTAAATATCTATATCTATACAATCTAACATCATTTAGCAATAAAAAATAATGAAATACTGATACATGCTACTACTTGAGAACCCTGAATGCATTATGTTAAGTGAAAGAAACCGGTCACAGGAGACCACATATTGTATAATTCCATTTATTTGAAGAGCCATGAACAGGCAAATCCATGGAAACAGAAAATAGAATAGTGGTTGCCTGGGGCTGCGGTGGTGAGCTGGAGAATAGTAACAGGGAATAACTGCTAATGGATATGGGTTGGGGTTTCTTTTTATGGGTTTTGAATATGTTCTAAAATTAGATTGTGGTGATGGTTGCACAACTCTGAACATACTAGAATACTACTAAATGGTAAGACAAACAAGGCTTGTTTTAAGTAAATAATGACAGAAACAATAACAAAAGCTTGCAGAAGACTCAGCTCAATACTACAATATTTTAAGCTTTTTGAAAAAAAAAAAAAAAGAAACTGGATTTTAGGGCTTGAAGTCTGAATTAATGTAATACAACTCCAAACTCCACAAGGATGTCTAATAAATCTAAGTTGATGATTCCAAATTTCTTGATCTGGCAGGTCCTCCTGAGAGCCTATCATCCATCCCTCTGCTCAAGCTCAGATAAGTGGACTATTTTCAGCGCTGTATTTAAACCCATACGATAAATAGTTTAATAAACTCTTTCAGTTAAGGTTACTGGATCTGAATGGGATGCTGAGTGTCAGGGGCAAGAGTTTCTTCCCTGAACCTTTATAATCATAACATTGAATAAGCAGTTCTTGGTAAGAGATGGTGGTAGGGAGACAGAGGAGACAGTGCACCTAAATACTCAGAGGAGAACTGTCAGGGACAGTGCAGGGGTCCCAGACAGAGTGGGAGAGAGAGGGCAAGCGAACAGCAGGTAGAAAGAGGACTGAGGCAAGAGACAAATAGGATAAAATAGTTACAGAAGAATAAAAAGATGAGTCAGGGAAACTTTGATACGACTGAAGGTTTAGAGATGAGAGAGGAAAAAATAGGAAAAAGAAATCAGAGGAAACAAAGAGAACAAAGAGTATTTTAGTTTTTTTATCATCTTTTTTTTTGTCTCCCAAATGTTGACAAATATAAAGCAAAGTAAATCATTTTTCACCCACCACTTACCACCCACCACTTACCCTTGGTTCCACAAGCAGAAGGGGTGTACCATGGAATGAATGCTTGTGTTTCCTCCAAATTTATATGCTGAAGTTCTAATGTGATAGCACTGGGAAGTGGGACCTTTTAGAAGTAAATTGTTTGTGAGGGTGGAACCCCTTTGATGAGATTAGTGTCCACATAACAAGGGAAAGAGAGCTACTCCCTCTCTGCTCTCTGCCACGTGGTCATTATCATCTACAAACCAGAAAGGGGACCCACACCAGACGCTGGATCTGCAGGCAGCTTCATCTCGGACTTCCCAGACTCCATAACTGTGAGAAATAAATAAATGTTGCTTAAGCCACTTATGGTGTATCTATAGGTGACATGCCTATGTGTGTGATAAAGGTTTTATAGCATCCCCAGACCAGACTAAGATGATGTACTTTAAAATGCAATATTCAAAGTGATAAAAATATACAGAAGAATTGGGTTAGTGATAAAGCTGTCTAGTCGTTTACATTGCAGCACTTCTGGAAGAGCAAAGGAAAATTGCTTGCTATTTTCTCATAAGTTAGCTAAGAAATAAATATAAACTATTTTATTTTATCCAATTTACAATTAATATTAACAGTAAAAATAATAACACAAAATAAAACAAAATTCCACATAGTAAACTTTGTTGTTGACTAAAAATGGAGAGAAGCAAAACTTTTTAATAAAATATCTATCTGCAATATTAGATTTAGAATAGATATAATGTCATACAACAAAATTTCCAATTGCAGATGCTATAAATTTATTAATATAAATTTTAAAACTTGATTAGCAGTACATCACTTTCACTGAAAATTTTACATGGAAAATGATTCTGATGAGAATAATTTCAGCAAAATAAAAATAAACATTTAAAAAATTGGGTATGATTTAAGTATGCTAGATAGAAAGTTGGTAAAGGAATTAAACTGGCTTAATAAGAAAAAAAACTTCCCAGAACAAATTTCTTTTTTCCACGTACATTTTTCTCCATGTGCTCTGGAGACATTTCTGAATTTGTGTATGCTGACACATAATGAGCCCCTTTGTGTCTATTTCTGAGTAAGCTTTATTTAGTTGCCCTTCTGATAAACAGTGTAAGTTCAAAAGAATAAGCAGTCCATATTCCCCGGGCTTGGCATGAGGAGGCAGCAGATGATCTAATAGATTTCATTGCTTCTAATTTTTGTGACTAATATAGAGGTTCTGTTTTGAAAGCACCCAGATCTGGCTTCATTCTGGTTTAGATATTTGGAACAAAATGTACTCTTTCCCAAGAGTCACTTTCTCAGAACTATCCTAAGCATAATTTTTAAAGACATAAGTACATCAGGAATAGTTCAGAATGACCATGAAGCTTGCCAAAGACCTGAAGAAAATTGAAGTGGCTTAATTAAATTCAGACAGTGGGGCTAAGAGAAGTTCTTAAATAGTAAGATGAGGGATTCTTTCTATTCCCTGTCCTAAGATTTCCCTATGGAGGGACCACCTCTAGAGAAAGACTCAGGTCTCTTGCCCGTTCTCCTCCCTCAATCCTCTATAAAAGATTGGTAATTTGAAAGAAGGAACTGCTAATACTCTTAATTCTCTTCTCAGCCCCCTGTAACTCTATTTGGGAGCCAGTCTGCCTTCAAGGAAGATGCTATTGCTGCTTCCTATTGCTATAAAATGGACAGGGGTACACTCCCCTCCCCTGCCACTTTTTTCTATTTCAGAAACTCTATGATTTTTTTCTGCCTCTGCCTCGTGAACAGATGGATAAATCTGTTTCATCTCAGGGGGTATAGAACCATTAAGCCCATGTTTCTACATGCACAAGTCATGTTCCCAAACAGACAAAGGTCATATTTTGATGGTCATCCCGACTCCTACTTCTCAATGGTTCCAAACTGAGGCAGGGAGAAGTGGGAGATCAATTATTTACTGCTTACGTTCCAATATAAACCCCAATTTGCCTTCTTCTCCCTTTTCAGCTATTTCCTGTCATGGAAAATGAAGCCTGTGGCGTTTTGTTTATAGTTAGTGTGTGTGTGTGTGTTTGTGTCGTGTTTGTTTGTTTTTCTCCTTATTTTTAGGCAAAGGAAATAAAAGTAAGAATTTGGGATGCAGATAGCATTTTGGAGATCTTGTAGAATTTAAAAGCCATAAGGCTTATTTACATTTAGAAGACATACAATTCTAAGGAAAAAAAAAGAGAGATCCAAACAATGAAAAGAAGCTGAGGGAGGTAGGGCAGAGGGACATGTTTATCAGGAACAGGATCATTTTGTGTAGAAAGGACATTTGAAACAAATATGACGTGTTTTAACATGTAATCTGGGGGTGATGTAAAATATGCAACACTCTCGAATAAATTTCCTCTTGAAGTCTCAGAGTATACTCATTTTTTATGAAATTGATCTTAGATTTGGAAAATTGGTTCTGAATCTCATGAAACTCACCTTTTAAATAAAATTGGCATTGTCAGTAATATTATTACTTTGCAAACAGATTGGTAGTTTTTTTCTGTATTCCCAAATCCTATTGTATTTATTCAATAATGCAATGGAAAATACTCTATAAGAAAAGTATATGTACCTTTCTATTTATGCTCGTATTTACCATTAACATCAATAAGCACCAAAAACTGTTACTGCAATTAAATGTAGAAAAGAATTTTAAAAAACTTGACAAAAAACTCTCTGAAATATGAAAATGAAGAGTCCTTTTCTGGCTACACTGAATGGCCTCTGAGGAGGTTATAATGTCGGTGAAGTTTGTCTTTCAGGGTTCTCTTTCTGTGATTTCTCCTCCTTAGGCATTTTCTAATCTCCTGCTGCCCTTTTAGGCTTTGAACTTGGCCTATTTTGACTGAGGCAAGAGGAAGATAGCATCCCTACCTGTTTTTATTTTTTTTCCCAAACATTCAAGTCTATTTGGCTTACTTTCACGTATCTGTCAAGAAAGAGCTGAAATGCTCCCTTCTCTGAGTTAGAACATTTTCCTTCTCTGGAATGTCCTTCTTTCTGCTTTTACAATTGCCTGTGTATACATAAACAAGGAAGAATAGAAGAGATGTCTCAGCCCAAAAGATAAATCGCAGGTGTAGGAAAAGTCAGAGATGATAGGCCCTTGTCATAACCCCACAATCACTACAGACACAGTGCGCGCTCTGCCTTCCCGTGGGTTTAGCCTTGTTCTATTACTCCATTTCACGCTGGTGAAAACTGTGAGATAGGAGCCCTCGACATGAGTATTCCTCCCCATAAGAGGAGCATGGCTTCACAGAAAATTCACGAATTGTTTTAACCTGTATCTGATGCAAAGTTTCACTGGCATTACTAACAGGTGCACAACCAATTAACTGATTTGAATTTTATCATCATCATTGTCATTGTCAACAGACACTTAATGGGTATCCCTAGAGTGCTGCACATTGCACTAGATACCAAGAGTTCATCTTCTTTCCCCTGGAGGATATTTTAGTGAACAATGAAATAATGAACATCTAGACATGAAAGTGGAAAGACAAGAGAAATAAAAGGAATTAATAATTTGTCTTTAAGTAAAAGGTTGCCTGGACTTTTCCCATGCCTTCCTAATATCAATAATCACAAGTCATTTAAATACATTAAAAGATCTGTTTATACACACACTGAAGAGAGAGAGAGAGCAAGAGAGAGAATGATGATGATGGGTGACAGGCATTAACATCATGCAAATGTACATAAAGATCTATAGATCTGTACAAAGATATACATGGCACATCTATTCTTATAGATCTTTATTCAGACCTATACACAAAGACACAATGTAAAACAAATTTTATTAGCAGCTTTTAATACATTTAAGATAAGTAAATAATAGCTTTTATTTCACTCATGGAAATCAGTTGGGTGACATTAAAGTCTTTCCTAAAACGTCATTTGAAATTCCACATTTAAATGTGGGTTTTATGGTTATAGTTGTAGCAGTCTTGAGTAACATTCAGACAAGAGCAATCACCTTCACTCAGGAACTAAATGATGAAATTTCAAGGCTAAATACAAGTAACTAAGGAAACATGCCAGTCTAGGCCTAATTTAATTTATAGGCCCCAAAGAAGAATAGGATTAGTTAATCTAGTACAAATGAGTTCTCCAAAAAGTCTTTATCTTTAGCCCAGATAATGAGAAGTGAGTAAGCCCAGAACATGTAGAGATCTGAATCACTAGTCAATAAAAGAGTTTTCTGAAGCAGTATGTTAACACTGAACACATTTTAAACAAAATTAAACATTGATGCAGACTGCATTCCTGAGATGCAACCCAATGTTACCTGGGCGATGTACTGGATAACTAAAAGGAGCTTCATACCTAATGAGTGAAATATTTGTCTATCCATTTAAGTGACATACTGTTTTGTTTAAAGTGAGGTTGATTTAAGGACTCTTCAAAGTAAAAAGGGACATTTGTTGATAAAAGAGAATGACTGTCACACAACTTTGTGTAGACATTCTTGGGAGATCGCATTTATCACACATGATGTTCAAATGTACTGGAAGGCTGAGCCTTTCACCTCTACTGAGAAATAGGCATTTGGGAACTTAGTCTCTCTGGCTGCCATCCATTGCCTGCTCACGCTAACAAAGGCAGAACCAATCACATGAAAATACAGCAGAGTGCACCTAGCTGCCAGCCTACTAACAGGAGGTGCCTCTCTTTGAGTCATTGCTTCCAGCCTACTTTCCTTTAAAGTCTGATTCAGATTTGAAGTCCTCTGGTAACCAGCCCCCTTTCTGGATCAAGGTCTTCCCAATCTTTTCTTTCTGGTTTTATGGCTTCATGTTTCCCAGCTTATAGCTAAGACTCCTGGTTCTTACCGCCTACATTGTAATAAGGATTAAATGAGATTTTAAACATAGGAAGCCCTCAGCCAGTAATAGTTGATGCTGGTTGTGTTGCCTCTCCTCCAAAACTTAAGCTAAGCCTACTTTTCTAAACAAGGTGGACTTAGGGAAAGACCAAGATAGGAGAGACTGAAAGAGCTAACTGGCCTGTGACACAAACCTTAAAGACTTAGTCAGTGAAAAAAAAAAAAGGATGATTTATAGGCAAGTGGAGGTAGAGTCACTGCCAGAAACATCATGCAGAAGTAAATTAAAAGTTTATGGAAGCCATCTTCAAGAAAGGCAAGATCAGAGGTAGTAGGTACGGTCAGAACTGATGTAAGTTGTCTCACATTAATAATCTCTATCCCATATGTTCCTCTGTTATGTATTTATTAGGCACTGACTCCTAGTACAGGATTTTTTTTTTTTTTCTGAGACAGTTTCACTCTTGTTACCCAGGCTGGAGAGCAATGGCACTATCTCAGCTCACTGCAACCTCCATCTCCCAGGTTCAAGCAATTCTCCTGCCTCAGCCTCCCGAGCAGCTGGGATTACAGATGCCCGCCACCAGGCCTGGCTAATTTTTTGTATTTTTAGTAGAAACTAAAATCACCATGTTGGCCAGGCTGGTCTTGAACCCCTGACCTCAGGTGATCCACCTACCTCAGCCTCCCAATGTGCTGAGATTACAGGTGTGAGCCACCACACCCAGCCTAGTACAGGATTTGGCTTGAATTATCAGAACCTCTTATGCCCTATCATTGTATCAGTCAGCTTTTCCTGTGTAACAAATTACCCCAAAATGTAGTGATTTCAACTATTTATTTAGCTCCTGAATCTACTGATTAACAATTTGGTCTAGTCAGACCTAGGCTTGGCCGATTGTGCCTGGATTTGCTCAGACATCTGTGATCACCTGGCTACCTTGCTGAGCCTGGCTGGTTTATGATGACCATTTCTGAGACAGCTCAGATGACTGGGGCTTCTCTTGACATTACTTTTCATTCTCCATCAGCCTACCTTCAGTTTTTATCACATGGTGGTGGCAGAGTCCCAATGGCAGTAAGGGCAGATCAAGGCTCAGAACATCCACAGCACCTCTTCTAGCATATTTTACCGGCCAGCTCAAATTCAAGGGGAAAAAAATAAATTTTGCTTCTTTGTTAGAGGAGCTGCCAGGTCACATTGCAAAGAGGCATGGAGTCAGAGAAGGGCTGTATTTGGAGATATTTTTGCCATCTATTACAGCCAATAAATGGATCCAAATTAAAAGAAGTCAAAGGCAAATTTTTCATGCTAGAGAAAGCTATAGTGATGAGCACTAAAGAAAGGGAGCAACAAACACACATAGTGTCTTCACGGATAGATATCAGACATCCCATAACTATGACTATATCCTCAAATTTCATTCTACTAAAATAACATAGCATATATAAGAAAGTATTTATATCAACATACCTTAAAAACTCATTAGAGTCAACAGTGCCTAAATACTTCACAGCAGTTCATCTTTTCTGTAACTTAGGGTAGGATTGGAAAGAGTAAAGAATGATGAATTTTCCCATTGTTTGCATCTTTTGGTGGAGTTATGTTAGGGGAGAAAAGGGATAGCACACAGGAAAGCCTGGGTATAAACTTGAGTGACAGTGTAAACCGCAGTTGTCCTTTTCCAATGGAGAATTCAGAGTTGGCCAAGAAGAGCTAAGTAGAATGGTAAGAGAAGAAAAAGAGAAAATCAGAAAAAGGGAGGGAATGAGTAGCTGTCATTTGGCTTTGTATATTGTTACAGAAATAGTAAAATATTTTTCATGGACATCTACCCTTAAATACCAATAATTTATTGTGCATTTCAAAATAACTAAAGAAGTATAATTGGAATGTTTGTAATACAAAGAAATAGTAACTACTTGAGGTGAGAGATATTTCATTTACCCTCCTGTAATAATTATACATTGTATGCCTGTATCAAAATACCTCAGGTACCCCATAAATATATACACCTGTTATGTACCCATAAAGATTAAAAATAAAAATTAAATACCATTGCCCCCCTCAGTTTTACTCATTGCATAAACATATGTTAAACAAAGAATCAACGTCAAACATTGCATTCACTGTATGAAAGTCAAGAGGTGTGTTGGATCTTTTCTTATATTCAAGTAACTTTCCTCTACTAAAAGAGATGCACCCCAAAACAAATAACTGTAAAACAATAAGTGCCTGTACTAGAGTTCAGGGAGGCACAGCAGAAGGATCCAGAAAAGGAATTTACCATGAGAAGGGACATTGGCAGGAGTGGTTTCTAGAGATGGATGGGGGATAGATAACAAAAAGCATAAAAAGATATCCCAAGACACAAATGTTTGAATCTGCTCTTGAAGAGAAGTGGATTAAGAGGAAAACCTGCAGGGATGCTCAGAATTGGAGAGAAAAATCTTTCAGACAATAGGAACAGAATTAACAAATGTCTTGAGGCATAAGAGAACATTGTTTGTTTGGGAAACAATAATTAAGAGTGGCTAAATTATATAGAACATGAAGAAGTACAAGATTGACCTCTGAAAAACTATTCATTCTGTCCAAAAAAATACCCAAGAATATCCATAAGGTTTAGGTTTTCATCTTGGGTAAAAATAGAAATCATGTGACACTCTTCACCCTCACAAATACATAATATTGAATGACTAATATTTTCACCTCTGTTATCAATGGTTCATCAAAATCTGAAGTCCAGTTGGTAGATAAAACTCTGCCTTAGTCATATTACCTAAACAATTTAAGTTAGAAAACTTTAAATAAATCACGTGTGGGTGTGTGTGTCTGTGTGTGTGTAAATTCTCCCGAGAAAGCTGCCTTTCATTTTTACCAAATTCATTTCTCTACCTTCTAAGGGACTAACCACATTATAAACCCCAGGAGTACGCTATCTTTCCCACAAAAGAGGAAGGGGGAAAAAGATAAATTTCCAGGGATGGTTTTGCACACCAATGACAGGCATAGGTTTCTAAAGGACGGTTTCCAACCTGTTAATAGTTTTCAATACACAACAGCTGCAATCCATGAAAGAGATAAATATTCATGGCACAAAGCATTTATATGTATCAAATGTATATTCATGAACAAATGGCTTCCCCTGCCTTTAATAGTGTTTGTTGTGCAGTCAGTAAAGAATGGACCAAGGTTTCCCTGGCTGCAACTGCTGGGTCTCTACTGCTGCATCTCCTGAATGTCAGTTTTGCAGTGATTATAGACAAGACAATAGCCATGGGAAAAAAACACACAAAATGTGCCCAGAATCACTCCCCACTTGTTCCAGATATTGGATAGCAGAACCAAATATTAATGGCAGATTTTATATGGCTGCCAACTTATTTTTCAGGAAAAGCATTTTACATTCAAGCCTTGTGTAGCCATATGTGCACTATAATATCCATGGTTGACCTTCCTCTTTCAAATATGCTTTGTCACAGCACCAATGCCACCCCAAAGGGCTTTCCTAAGAATACTGGAACAGGAATTTGCATACATTGAATAGCACTTTCAGGTGATCATCAGCATCTGGTTGTCATGCCCTCAATCAGAGTGTTCTGTGCAGCCTGGAAGCAAAAGAATGATGGTGCAAACTATGCAAACCTTTGTTTTTCAGTAAGGTTTGGAAGATGGTATATGTTTCTGAAAATTGACGTATTGTTTAATAAAAGTGTTGTTTGCTCCATTAATTTCTCCAAGAGGGAAGCAAGAATACTATAGAAACAGTGAGGAAATATGCCTTTTGTTGAACAAGAAAAGAGTCATTAGAAGGTTTTAGGGTACTACACAAAGTCTGTTAAATATAAAAACTTAATAATAAAAGAATTTAACTTATAACTTGCATGCAAAGAAGCCCTTCAGTTTTGCAGACAGGATCTCTTACTCCTCTCTCTCAATTTTTTTTGGTCAGCTCCCAGCCTTCCTTTAGGTTCACAAAAAAAATAATTCTGACTCTATCAGAAATGTCAGACTTAGGCCAGGTGTGGTGGCTCACATCTATAATCCCAGCACTTTGGGAGGCCAAGGCAGGAGAATCCTTTGAGAACAGGAGGTCAAGAAATGTCAGACTTCCCCTTTCTTTCATCATTTGCTGTTGTTCCACTATAAGAGATGTGATTTTAAGACCATTATGATAAACTGAAAATATGATTTGAGGTCCTTCTCTCTACATGTTTTCATAAGGGTAACTAGTTATGTCTGAATTTGAGTTTGCAAAGTTAAGTTGCACCTGATGCCTCTCAGTAGACTATGCAATCTATTGCAAAATCTAAGTGTAAACTAGTATAAAATATGAAAAGATTTTAGCTCTTGGTGTTGTGAGACAGAGATTGCATATGATAACTTGTTGAGGAGGAAGCATGTTGTTGGATATGTCAAGGTTCCAGAAATATGGATTGTAGCTGTAATTGGCAAGGATGAAGTGATACAGCTCTCAAAATGAAATGATTTCAGTATCTAAACTATAGTTTCAGTATTTAAAACAACTACTAATTTTTCCTTGGATAGTATTTTGAAAATTAAACCTTTCATAAGAAAATGTTCCTTAAAGTTCCATAAATAAATAGAAGAGGTGCTCTAGAGTGTGGTGTAGACCAACAATTAATTCCTGTACACCTACAATTAATTCCCTAGATCCTTTCCACTTCTGATTCTAGAAATAGGGGCATCTTACTATCATCTTTGTACCCTGTCTCAATGAAATACTTAGTATATGCGTCAGAATCCTTTGTGTCAACTTTTTTACACTCTCCTCACTAACGAAGAGCAGTTCATGTTGCAGCTCAATAGCATATCTTCATTGCCGGTCACCTCATCAGAAGTAGAAAATTAATTTATCTATTTGAATTCTTTTTTCCATGCCTATCATGTTCTTGTACTGTGCTATTTAATATAAACACAGCCCCTTCTCGCAAGATGTTTTTAGTCTAACAGAGAAAATAAACGAAGTAACCACACAGTTAGAAAGCAATATGCATTCAGTAATGCTCCAGTACAGGAAGCAGAAGGCATTATGAGATTTAAAGAGTATCAGACACTTGCCCAACTTCTGACAATAAGAAATCAATAAAGCCTGGTGTTGAACGCAGGTTTATCAAGCTCTTAATATTCTACATGAAATATCGTTGTAGCTGTACCCAAGCTCCTATATAAAGAAGCAGCCTTTTGAGAACAGCCATAGGAGATTCTTCTCCTGCTCCTGTGTTGGATTAGTTAGAAGTATGTCACATGTCTGATCTTAGCCACAAAGGAGGCTGAAGCTGGGAAGTAGAAAACAAGTTTCTCACAACTCACTTGAGCGAGAGTTCCTTTAGCAAAGAACAGAGGCAGGAAGACTTGGGCTGCAAGTGGGGCTTCCTACTCTCATTAGGCTCCTGGCTCTCATTTGGTCCTATAGCCAGGCTCACAGCCCACTGCTTGAATCTAAGGGCTGGAATGAGGCTCATTCCACCCGTTTGGTTCACTGGCCTATGGGGAAACTGGTGCCCACTGGTTCTTGGGACTACACTTGATGGAAAGCTGTTATCTTGGACAGAGAAGGGCGGTGCCACCGTCCCAGCCTCACTCTGGCTTTATTGCTTTGGGTCTCCTACCCTAATATTTGCTGGAGTCTGCACTGGAGCCTTTGTCATTTATTCTACCACCCTCCTCACCTCTCCTGAGCTGGCGGTTAGATTCTCAATCAAATTTTAGTTTATTACCAACCGTGATATCATAGGGAAAGTGATAAACAAATCATGATATAAAAACTAATCACAAAATACCACAACCAATGTATCACAATTGTGGCCAGCTTCAGAACCATCTCCCAAAAGTTTTGATGTGGAGAATGACTTCTTCCCATCACCCAACATTTCCAGATTAAGAGGAGCGTCAGGAAAGAAACTAAAACCAAGATGGAAACTAGGGTAGGGAGAGAAATGGAACTAACTCTAAGCCAAATACTGTGCTGGGCACTTTCTAATACTTGACTTCATCTACATCTCAAAATAACCCTAGCAGAAAGGTATTATTAATTGAGCAAAAGAAGCAGCAAGGTTAAATATCATTCCTGAGATCTCATACCCAACAAGTGCCAAATCCAAGATTTAAGCTCAATTATATGCCCTTTCCACCACTGGAGCTTGCCCTGAAGACAGATGTGTCCTGGCACTCAACTGAAAGAGGAGATAAATACTGAAAATCAGGATTTTTTGTTTGTCTTTGTTTTTGTTTTTGAGACAGGGTCTCGCTCTGTCACCCAGGCTGGAGTGCAGTGGTGCGATCTTGGCTCACTGCAGCTTCGACCTCTCTGGCTCAGGTGACTCTCGCACCTTAGCCTTCCAAGTAGTTGGGACTACAGTGCACACCACCATGTCTGGCTAATTTTTTTTTTTTTCCGGTAGAGACGGAGTTTCACCACATTGCCCAGTCTGGTCTCAAACCCTTGGGCTCAAGTGATCCACTTTTGTCAGCCTCCCAAAGTGCTAGGATTACAGGCGTGAGCCACCATGCCCAGCCTGAAAAGCACTTTGGTGTAGTTTTCCTGCTCCAAGTACAGAACAAGGATGACCAAATATTTTAAAAGAAAGGTAAAAAGGCATAAAATCACACTAAAAATTACTCACATACCAGAAGGAGTTCAGTGCCTTCAAATTACCAGGCCTAAAAGTGTTCCAGGGGATCTGGAACCAAGTTCTCTCCAATCCCCTGAGAAAACTACTTCTCACTGCTCCTTGGGGCTACCACTTTAGGGGAAGCTGTTGTCTTGGTTGGGGAGCGGTGGTGGCCCAGACCCCAGCCTCCCACTGGCTCTGTAACTAGATTTGCAGCATCTTAAATATCACCCTAGTAAAAGGTACCTTTGTAAGTGCTGGTTGTAGTCTAAAAGTCCAGAAGGCCAAGGGAAGGATCAGCTAAAGCCTAGATGGGGAGAGTTAAGCATAGGGAAAAGGGGGAAAAAAAACCATCGTGAAATATGTGGTTAATTTCTGGGATCAGTTCACTACCTTGCTCTGTGACATCATGGGTTGGTACTAAACTGAAAATTGATGGAGAATCTGCATGCTAAAACATTCTGAGGCCTAAAAATCTGCCTCTATAAGTAAGCAAACAAACCAATAAATTTATTTTATACACACACACGCACACATACACAAACATGTGTATATATACATATATACACACATACACATATATATAGACAGACATAGGGAGAGAGAGAGACAGACAGAGACAGATAGAGAGAGAGGGAGAAAGAGAGTCAAAGAGCTTGTCCTGAAGAAATTCTAGAAAGAACTTGCAATTGGGAAAGTGTGAAGCTACTTAAGATCATTCATATTAGGATATTTGCCAGTTGGAGTTCTCAGCAAACATCTACAAGTATAGATGAATGTTACAGTTTTTTTATTGTTGGTCCAGGAAAAGGTGACTAATTTCAAAACTTTTAGGAATATTGCAGCTTCTATATTGATATCCTGAGCCAACATTTATTGTTCACATTCCGCTGACCACCAGTCAAACATCAGGCATTCTGTGCAAGGGGGACCTTGGTGTTTTTGTGCAGAGGGAGAAAAACTTCAATTTTCAGGGAAATTGAAAAATTTGTAAGTGCAAATCATCACATGGGTAGAAGTTAGCTGATCATAGTATATTTACACACCCATTTCAAATAAACAGTGGAATCACTCAGAGTTGCCATCTTGAGCTAAGGACTCCTTCCTGCTAAAAATTCTGCTCCACAGGAACTAGCCGTCTTAGGCAACCTAGACTCAAGTTTAGTCAAGTCCTCGCTGAAACTCACCAGTTTTATAAGGACTTTGGAATTGCTGTGGACAGAAAAATTTGCAATATGACTTCTGCCTCACTGAAGGAACTGACTCAGGAGATACGCAAAAACTGCCTTGAGTGGATTCAAGCTGACATTTGTTGCTCCTATACCACAGAACCCCAAAGCAAAAATGTCTATATGTTTTCCCCATGACTTAGAACTCCATGAAGGTATACAAAAACAAGCAAACAAAGCCAAAAACCGTGACAAAAATGTGTCTGATAGGTATTCATTAAGCACAAAGCTGCCGCTGTTCCCGATGTTGAGCAGGAAGTCATTTCAAGGCAGGGATAGACATGTCCCTTTGGAACAAAAGCTTTCCCGACAAAGGCTGGCACAGGTGTTCACCCACAATGGATATGACCATGACCTTTTCAAAACAGTGGCCACAAAGGCCTGAGGAAGCTGATGTCACCCTCCATATCCGATCATGCCACTCCCCATTTTGAAAAGGCCCATTTCTAGAAAGGTTCAGCAAGCAAGCAATTCTTCATGTAGATCCATGTTCTGGTTGGAAGTCCAACTGGGGCAAATGTAAGAGGTAAATTCTATCAGCTCTGTTGAGGAAGCTCATCTTCCTCCTGCCTGTTTTCCAAATGGGGGCCGTCTGTCCAGCCTCTGAGGCAGACAGGCAGGCAGCAGGTGGCAGAGAAGAAGAGGTGTTGATGCAAAATTAACAGTACATCAAAAACACTGTTTATTGTACACATGAAGGCTCTTGTATGCTCAAGGTGAAGCAAAAAATAAAATCAGTTAACTATTCTGTGTTATGACTCTTTAAGAAATACAGAAAAATTCCCACTTCATTCATCCATTATTTAGAATTCCCAAAATACACAAACCCAAGGGGACTACTATTTAGGACTCAACACTCCTTCCCTGGCCAGGGTATGTGCTCTCTTTATGTCTCATTTACGTTTCAGCATCAGCAAGCTCTATTTTCATTTATATAAGTGTGTACTTTACAGTAGGATGCTATGGCAGTCTCAAAGTTTACAATCGCCATTATTTTAAATAGCTTTATTTACCTTCAATGACTGCCATCAGGAAAGGAGCTACTTTTATCCTTTGTAAAACAGGAATCACTTTGAGGTAGATGTAGACAAATTATGCTCCAACATATAAATTACATGCATTTAATCCTTTTTGAAAGCCCAGGAAAGAAAAGTAGCTGATGCATAAGCACCAGGTCTTGTACTACTAGGGGCTCTTTTGCAATATTCCATTTATTCCTCCCTAAACTCTGTGATATTGATCACATTATTAGTCCCATTTCAACAATATTTAATAATCAAACACAAAACAAAGTAATCTTATTATCTAGTAAGCCTTCGATTTGAGGTTTTAACCCCCTTCTTGATTCTAGAACCACTGTTCCCTTCGTGTTACCAAATTGGAATTTTTTTTTTTTGCATTGTAACACCTATTTGTGCCTGGATATGGTGGCTCATGCTTGTAATCCCAGCACTTTGTGAGGCCAAGGCAGGAGGATCACTTGAGGCCAGATATTTGGGACCAGCTTGGGCAACATAATGAACCCTATCTCTACTAAAAACAAAAAACAAATTAGTCAGGCAAGGTGGTGCATGCCAGGAGGCTAACGCTGGAGGATCCCAAGAGTTCAGGAGTTAAAGGCTGCAGTGAGCTATAATCACACCACTGCACTCCAGCCTGGATGACAGAGTGAGACCCTGTCTTAAACAAATAAATAAATAAACAAAAAGACTCTCCCCCCAAAAAACACCTGTTTGCATTGATTTTTCTCTTACCCTCTCAGTATCTTTCATGAAACATGCGGTTACCTAGGCAGCAGAGGCAGTATTTCAAAAAGGCACGGAGAGAAAGGGGAGTTGAATAAGACGCAGGGCTCTGAAATTAAACAGCAACAACAATATATACTGAGCCAGGAAACCTTATAAACAGAAGAAGAAAGATAGCTGGGGAGAGGAGGAATGAAGAAGAAGGAAAATGGTTATGTTATGACCGCTGAGGGCTGGTTTCAATTTACTTTGAAATGAAGGTCAATGAGAACTAATACCATTCCTTTTCAGATTTCATGTAACTTCTCCACTAGTTGTGTTTTTTTTGTTAACCTCATCTTGTATTTTCTATAAGGGGGAAAAAAACCATCTTTTCGAAGATTAAAGAATTTTTCTGTGGCACCGCAGAGCTGAGGAGCGATTGGACACTGAATGAGGGGTATAGTGAATCTGGCTCCGAGAGAAGCCCTCTAAATGGAATAGCAGGTAGCAGCAATGGAAAAGGCCAAACTAATGATCCCTGAGACTTTCAATAAAAAGAGAATTGCTCAATTTCTCCTTCACTAATATAATAATACTTGACGTTTGTGGGTATTTTCCATGTTTGCAAAACTGTTTTAAGCATATCGTATCTGCTAATAAAATCCCCACAGAATCCTACAGGATATGTACTATGACTATCCCATTTTACAGAGAGAGAAATTGAGGCCCAGAGAAGTAACTTGCCTATGGTTATATGAGCCATCTTTTTCCCATTTTTTCCCTCTCTTGTTTGCTTTACTTCTTAAACCATTTCTTAAGGCAGAGATCTGAGTTTACTTATCTTCCACTTAACTCTTTAATCCAGTAAAATTTAACGTACAGGAATGAAGAAAAGTTAGTTAATGGGTAAAAAAAATACAGTTTGATAGAAAGAATAAGTTCTAGTATTTAATAGTACAGCTATTATAGTTAACAATAATTTATTGTAGATTTCAAAATAGAAGAGTTGCAATGTTCCCAACACACACACACAAAAAAGATAATAAATGTTTGAGGTGGTGGATATCCCAATTACTCTACTTTGATCATTACACATTGTACACAGGTATCAAAATAGCACATGTACCCCCAAACATGCATATATAAATACGATTATTTATATAATAACTAATATATGATAGTTATATATATTTTGAGGTAGATGAGATATTGACTTTTTGACTTTTTAAACGTAATCCTATAGGATAAAATATAGGGAAGGAAGTCAAATTAAAAAATATATATCTAGCAGGGTACCTCACACACACACACACACACACACACACACATATACACACACATATATATGTATATATAGATATCCTGTGTGTGTGTGTATATATATACACATATGGGGTGTATATATATATATACACATATATATACACACACACACACACACATATATATATACGCACCCCATATATATATACATGTATGAGGTATCCTGCTAGATGTATATATATATTTTTTACATATCTGAAACACATTTACATTGTTTTATTTTGGAATAGCACAATTGAGACATAATTCACATACAACACAGTTCACACATTTAAAGTATTCAATTCAATGGTTTTTAGTATATTTACAGAGTTGTATAAAACATCACAATAGTCAATTTAGAATATTTGGGGTGACTGTCATCACCCCAAAAAGAAATTTCATATCCTTTAACATTACTCTCCTTTTCTCCCCAGTATCAGGCAAACACTAATCTACTTTCTGTTTCTATAGATTTGGCTCTTCTGGACATTTCTTATAAATGCAATAATACATGGTCTTTTGTGATAGCTTCTTTCACTTAGTAAAAAGTTTTGAGATTCATCCATGTTGTAGCAAGTATCAATACTTCCTTTTTATTGCCAGATACTATTCCATTGTGTGGATACATGACATTGTATTTATTCATTCATAAATTGATGGATAGCTGGGAATTTACCCCTTTTTTGCTATTATGAATAATGGCACCATATGCATTTATGTCCAAGTTTTCATGTGGACATATATTTTCATTCCTCTTAGGTATACACCTAGGGGTAGAATTGCTGGGTTAAATGTTAACTCTACGTTAACTCAAATGTTAACCTTAGGAAGAATTTGTAGATAGTTTTGCGAAGTGGTTGCACCATTTTACATTCCCATCAGCAATATAAGGAATAGACTTTCTCTGCATCTTAACCAACACTTGTTATTATCTGTCTTTTTAATTTTAGTCAATCTAATAAATGTGAAATAGTATCTCATTGCGGTTTTGATTTACATTTCCCTAATGGCTAATGACATTGCACACATTTTTTTATTGTATTTATTTATTTATTTGAGACAGAGTTTCACTTTTGTTGCCCAGGCTGGAGTGCAATGGCACAATCTCAGCTCACTGCAATCTCTGCCTCCCAGGTTCAAGCAATTCTCCTGCCTCAGCCTCCCAGGTATCTGGGATTACAGGCATGCGCCACCACGCCTGGCTAATTTTGTATTTTCAGTAGAGACAGGGTCACTCCATGTTGGTCAGGCTGGTGTCGAACTCCCGACCTCAAGTGATCTGCCCGCCTGGGTCTCCCAAAGTGCTGGGAGTGCAGGCGTGAGCCACTGTGCCCAGCCTGGACACATTTTTATGTGCTTATTGGCCATTTGTATATCTTTTTTGGGGGGTGGAAATTACTTTTATTACGTTAAAATATTCCTTAATGAGCTAGCAATTATTTGTGTGGAGGATGATCCAGAAAACAGGTTCATGACTAAATTATCCTTGTCCATGATTACAGAAATTCATGAATTACACACATCACACTATCCTCTGGAGTAGCTGCTGAAGGTCTGCGAGCCTGTGAGCTTGGAGGCGCTTCTCCCTGCCTGTTAGGCTGTTCCCATCAGATCACGACAAGATGGATGTTATTTTTCTCTTTGGAATTAAATCTTGACAAGAGTTCGAATGCTCTTTCCGGAATGCATGAGTTCAAAGGCTTTGTTAATTTCATCAAAAGACAGATTGTGAGTCATAAATTCATCAGCTTTTATCTGACTTCCTTCCCTCTACCTCTCCAAACATATATATGCAAACACACCTTTCAGAAACACCAACACTTAACTTCCAGTGACCTACTTTTATTCCTCATTCTACTTCACTTCTCTGAAGTGTTTCATTATGTTGACAATCCCCTTCTCTTTGAATACACAGACATTACCTACTTCTAATTTTGCTTCTATTTTGCTAGCCACTTGCCTTCAATCTCTTTATTTCAGCCACTTGTTACATTTCTGGACAGCTCAAGGCTCTGTCCTTCATTTTCTTCTCTTCTGGTTCTGGCTCTAAAAAGTGAGACTCAGTGCAATATAGGAGTCATAGGCAGGAGGAGATCAATAACCAGGGAGATTTTTAAAACTATTGATGGCCCCTTTCCGGGACCCTGGCTTGTTCTGCTATACCCCCGCACTTTATTGGGGATAGAGGCAGGGAGAAGCACATTACCCTCGCCCCTCCTTAATGCTTAGTGAATTTAGCCAAAACTATTTGAGGAAGAAAGACTTGTTCTCCCATTCACACACCCCCAACCCACCCCAACAAAGGCTTCTGCCTCCCTCACTCCCACTTCCAAAATGGACACTACTTCTAAGAATCACATTTGCCTGCCTTTGCCTGACATTTTAAAAACTCTTTTAAAGGGCCTGTATTACAAATCATGAAAAGAGGGAACTGGAGGATGGGGAAGAGAAAAAACAGAAGTGGATGGCATAGGCAGTGTGTGTTTCTGTGAAGCAACATTGGGGAAAAGATACAAAGGAAGCTGTAGCCTTGGAATCTATGTCAGTTCATCGTAGGGGAAACAGGCTGAACTGAGTAGCCAAGTCCAAGCAGTCAAGGGCATTCAGATTGCTGTGGCAAGAAGTCATCAAGGGTAGAGACAGGCTTGGTTATGCTATATCTTGAGGTGAGTAAGGAGTGCTTAGGATTGTGACCTCTCTGAGTACAAGAGGTTCTCCCCTTTAATTCCCTCCATCTGAAAATAACAATAAGTAATCTACCTGCCTATTTGTGTGTCAATAAGTATAATTCATGAAAGTCTTCAATGAGTAGTAAAACTACTATTTGTTGGGCCACATACTTTCCTAAGAAATTTATGCGTATTTTCTTGCTTAACCTTTACCACACAATCCATGTAGCAGATACTAGAATTATATATAAGCCAGGCATGATGGCTCATGCCTGTAATCCCAGGACTTTGGGAGGCCAAGGGGGGGGCAGATCACTTGAGGTCAAGAGTTCGAGACCAGCCTGGCAGAGAGAGGCTGAGGCAGGAGAATAACTTGAACCCAGGGGGCAGAGGTTGCAGTGAGCTGAGATCGCACCACTGCACTCCAGCCTGGGCAGCAAGAGCGAGACTCTGTCTCAAAAAAAAAATTTTTTTTTAAAGAATTATATATACTTATAAATATATGTTCTATTTATATATGCACTAAAATATATATAGTATTTATATATTCTAGTACAATGGACTTGTACCAGTCTATGGACTGTTAGGAACCCGGCTGCACAGCAGGAGGTGAGTGACTGGCAAGTCAACATTACCACATGAGCTTGGCCTCCTGTCAGATCAGCAGGGGCATTAGACTCTCAAAGGAGCATGAATCCTACTGTGAAGTGCACATGCAAGGGATCTATATTGCACTCAATATGAGAATCTAATGCCTGATGATCGGAGGTGGAACAGTTTCATTCCAAAACCATGCTTCCCTCTGCCCCATCCATGGAAAAATTGTCTTCCAGGTAAATCAATCCCTGGTGCCAGAAAGGTTGGGGATTGCTGTTCGTGTGTGTGTGTGTGTGTGTGTGTGTGTGTGTGTGTGCAAAATTTGGGTAGCTGGGTAGCTGCTATATGGATATATATTTTAGAAAGAAGTCAAGAATCTTGATGGGTAAGAAGCAAAGCAGGGATTTGAACCAGGGTTGGTCTAATACGAAAACTGAGGCTCTTCAGCAGTATTATTCCACATCTAAATGTAATTATTCAATGCCATCAGTCATAATGGAAATATAAATTAAAACCACAATGTGACACTAATATACACCCATCAGAATGGCTGCAATTAAAACTAGCAACAACAAGTGTTGGTGAGGATGCAGAGCAACTGTAACTCTCATACATTGCTGATGGGAGTGTAAAATGTTACAAACACTTTGAAAGAAATTTTTACAGTTCCTAATAAATTTAGATATAGTATGTATGCCCTTTAATTCAGCAAACTCCTATATATTTACTTAAGGAAAATAAAAATAGATGTCCACAGAAAGACATCTATAAGAATGGAAATAGTAGCTTTGTTTGTAATAGCCCAAAACTGGAAACAGCCCAGGTATGAAAATAATGGAAAAACAGTGACATATTCTTTTAATGGACTACTACTTGACAATACAAAGGAATAAACTGTGAATACACTCAATGGCATAAATGCTTGTCCCAGACATTATGCTGTGAAAAAAAGCCAGACACAAAAGAATGCATGCTGTATGACTCCATTTATATAAAGTTCTAAGAGTGGCAAAAAACAAAAACCAGAAAACAAAAACAGTGGCTGCCTCTTAGCAGAGTGGGAGGGGTTGACTTGGAAGAGATATGGGAAAACTTTCTGAGTAATAAAAGTAATAAAAAATACTTTTTATCTTGATAGGTGTGTGGGTTACATGAGTGTATGCATTGGTCAAAATTGTACAGTAATTGAATATATATAAATCTTGCCTCAAAAACAACTAAAGAAACAAATATTAATAAAATAGGAGAAAATGGGAAAAGAGGAAAGGTGAAACAAACATGACATTGATAGTTGATAACTACCAAAACCAAGGTCAGGACATGGGGAAATATATCATTCTGTTTATTTTGATATGTTCAAAATTTTCCATCATAAAAACTAAGTATTATCAAATTCTTAGTCATGTGTTGTATTAGGGTAATTAAAATACAAATTAGTAGTGAGTTTGAGGCCAGATTGCTCATCATCCTGGCCCAGTGCAAAAAGCAAATCTGATCATGTTCCCTCCCTTCTTAACAATGTTAACAAACTTTCCATTCTTCACCCTGAAGAATAGTGTGAATTCCTCAGAGTGGCTTTGGTATGAAGAAACTTCATACCATAGATATATGTGCAAAGCAGTGTGCAGAATTCTGTTAGTTATATTATTTATTTAGACTGAGACCATCTCTATGAAGGTTTTATAGATAAAAGTGTATATCAATGAAGGGACTCAAAACTAGATGGATAGTGACAGGGCCTACAGAAAGTTCAAATTTTGGATTCCTTCAGCTTTTTCCTACTTCGATTGTGATAGAAAGAGCTCTAAGATTCTGACTCCTGGAGTCCCCAACCTGTTATAATGTCCTCCCCTTGAATGTGGGCAGAGTAAGTGAATATGGTGGGATATCACTGACTACTAATCATGTGACTTTGAGTTCATCAAAAGGGGGGATGATCCTGGGTGGGCATGACCTAATCAGATGAGTGCTTTAAGGGAAGCGGAAATGGGATAGGGAAGCTCTTCTGTTGGCCTCAGAATGAAGCAAACTGGCATGTTCTGACAGGGCCTATGGAGGGGCTGTGTGGGTGACTTCTAGGACTTAGAGGGGTCTCCAGTTAACAGCTAGTTAGAAATAATTTTCCCAATTGCACAGCTTCAGATAACTGAATTCTGCCAATCACCATGTGAGCTTGAAAGAGGTCCCTGAGCCTCAAACGAGATTATAACCCCAGCCAACTCCATGATTTCAGCCCAATGAGACTATGAACAGAGGACCCAGTTAACCCATACCCAGACCCATAAAAGTCTTCAGATAATACCTACGTGTTTGTGATGATTAATACTGAGTGTCAACTAGATTGGACTGAAGGATGCAAAGTATTGATCCTGGGTGTGTCTATCAGGGTGTTGCCAAAGGAGATTAACATTTGAGTCAGTGGGCTGAGAAAGGCAGACCCGCCCTTAATCTGAGTGGACACCATCTAATCAGCCACCAGCCCAGCTGGAATATAAAGCAGGCAGAAAAACGTGAAAAGACTGGCCTAGCCTCCCAGCCTACATCTTTCTCCCATGCTGGATGCTTCCTGCCCTCAAACACTGGACTCCAGGTTCTTGTTTTGGGACTTGGACTGGCTCTCCTTGCTCCTCAGCTTACAGATGCCTATTGTAGGACCTTGTGATAGTGTGAGTTAATACTTAATAAACTCCCCTTTATCTATCTATCTCTCTCTCTCTCTCTCGTTAGTTCTGTCCCTCTAGAAAACCCTAACTAATACAGTGTTGTTTTGAGCTACCAAGTTTGTGATCACTCATTATGCAGCAGTCAAAAATGAATATGCCCCTTCTCTCCCTATTTCTCTCAATGTTCCAGTCACTCTGAACTTTTCTTAGTTTCCTAATTAAAACATTCCTTCCATAAATTTTGTTCTGCAAGAACTACTCACTTTGCCTGTAATGTCCTTATTATCTTTTCTGCCATTTGATTATTTTTTAACTTTTATTTTAGGTTCAGGAGTACATGTGCAGGTTTGTTATATAGGTAAACTTGTGTCACAGGAGTTTGTTTTGCAGATTATTTTCTCACCCAGATACTAAGCCTAGTATGCAATAGTTATTTTCTCTGCTCTTCTCCCACCTCTCACCCTCAACCCGCAAGTAGGCCTCAGTGTCTGTTGTTTCCTTCTTTGTACGTCCATGAGTTCTCATCATTTAGCTCCTACTTATAAGTGAAACATATGGTATTTGATTTTCTGTTCCTGCATTAGTTTGCTAAGGATAATGGCCTCCAGCTCCATTCATGTTCCTGCAAAAGACATGATCTCATTCGTTTTTATGGCTGCATAGTATTCAATGGTGTATATGTATCACATTTTCTTTATCCAATCTGTCACTGATGGGCATTTAGGCTGATCCCATGCCTTTGCTATTGTCAATAGTGCTGCAATGAACATTCACGTGCATGGGTCTTCAAGGCAGAATGATTTATATTCCTCTGGATATATAGCCAGTAATGGGATTACTGGGTCAAATGGTAGTTCTGTTTTTAGCTCTTTGAGGAATCACCATGCTAATTTTTTCAATGGTTGAAGTAATTTACACTCCCATTAACTGCCTGTTGAGTATTACCCATCCTTCAGAACCCAGATCAACTCTTCCTCTCCTGGAAGACTTGACCAATTGCCCCAGGCAAAGTTTATTCCTCCCTGCTCTAGATTTCCACCATACCCTGTTCTTTCTCTCCCTTCCTTCCTCTCTCTATTTCTCTTAATAGCATATAAATGAGTTGAAAGCAGAAACTCATAATATTCATGCTCAAGTCACTTTGAACTAGGATATAATTATGCTTACAACATAGTAGCCACTCAGTAAATAGCTACTGGGTTAATACACATACTGTTTTTCATTAGAATGCTTCTGGAATTTATTTAAGTTAACAAATATTTATTTTTCAGAGCCTCTGAAAGCTGTAATGGACAATAAGAAGATGAGTAGGGCATGTTTCCTATCTCAAATAAGTGGAATAGGATTTGCACAGAAAAAATAACTGCAAGGCAAAATACGACCTGTGTCACATAAGAAACAGAATCTGGTCTGTTGGGGGCTTCTCAGAGACAAAGAGATGATGGTCCACAGGATGGAGCATCTCTCTGACACTTCCAGTGTGTATTTTAGGGAGGAACACCTTTCCATCATTATTGGGGAGGTTGGAACAAAGAAGGGGAAAAACAATGGCAGTTCTTATCTTTCAGGTAGCTGTATGGTGAGCATTCCTCTCCCAGCAATCTGTTGTTCTTTGTGAGCAGACTGGAGTGTGACAGCTGTGAAAACGATCAAAGGCAGGTCCCAGACAGGAGAGGGCTGATGACAATGCCAGTTTCCCTCTAAGACCCTGTGGACAGCAGGGCCATGAGGGATGCTGTGACACAGAGTCTTGCTTGATGCAGTGTGTGGTGTTACTCACAGGAGTGGGTTCAGCCACTCTTGGTGTGAAACCCAAGGAAAATGTCTCTGCCGCAGCTGATGTCAACATGTACAGCATGTGACCAGCTTGCATTGTAAGTCAGACACCCACATCCTGTTGCTTTACCCTCTCACCAGTTCTCCCTTTAAGTGATTTATCAAAGAGGATATGCCTTATTTTTTTCATATAGACGTCTGTTATTTTTCAGCAGAAAGGAGATGTGTGTATGAGTTCTGCAGAAGTCCACCAAATGTGGGCCAGGGTTATTTCCCTGGTGATGCTCTGAAGCTTTTGCCAAAGGACAAATGGTAATTTGACACATTTAATCATTTGTGTGTTAATTCAACATCACTTAAACACTTCCTTCTTTAAAGAAATCTCATCCATTTAGTTTGCACCATTCAAATAAACTTGCAGAAAATTACGTAGAGTGTTTGCGGTATTAAAGTCCACTTATACTTTAAGCCAATTAGACATTTCGATCTGGCTGTTTCTCTGAGCTTACAAAATGCTGTGGATATAAAGGTGTGGTTATGTTTGATTTGGTTTTATGTTTTTGAACTTTGCCCATTTAATTAACCAGGCTAAAATAATAATCAGATTATTAGATCAATGTAAGTGCTTATAGGAGTTCTTTATTTTGCATTGGATATTTTTAGCTCTGCATGGGAGGAGAGGAAAGAAAAAGAAATCAAGATTTACTGAAAATAAACTAAGATGTTGGAGAAACTTACTCTACTTTTTTCTAGTTCGGAATATCCCTTCAATTCACATAGCTCTGAATCGTTTATGGAATAAATTTGATAGCACCCTAGTTACCTGGGGTAAGAATCACAGAGAAACCCCTCCCTTAGCAGCCACCTCACTGTGGGACTTTCCAACACTTTGCCCAGTCCCTAATGTACTCATTGTAATGATGATGACACATGTCTTGACAATATGTCTCCATGCTCAGAAGTAGAACATCTCCCATGTTTCTGATTGTATTTCAAGCTTTACTAGAGCTGTCTGCCCACCACAGTCTGATGTCTTTAAACTTGGCCTAATTTTTTTCAAACTTTAGTTTGGCCAGTCATACCAATTTTCCAGGGTAAAGAGATAATATTGCCTTCTAGAGTTGGAGGTAGATATTAGAGACCATGTTATCTTCCACTATCAATTTCCAACATGATGGTCTCCATTAAAGTTAGTAGATGCTTACAAGGCTACCACTGGTTTTCACATTAAATGTGATGTGAAACATAGTTTGTAAAAATACGCTCATGACTTCTAAGTTATCAAGGAGCTCTTACAAAGGGTTCTACTTTTCACCTCTTTACATTAACTGGTTTTATTTTTTCTTAATTGGCTTCTGCAATGAACCATGGGTTGGCCAAACTGAATTCCAAAAGTCTGAAAGGTCATTTATGATGGAAAACAGGATAAATAAAAGAGATATTATAAAAAACAGATAATCCTTAACTTTTGCAAGTTAATCTCTAAAAAAACTGCTGACACATTCTCATCCACTACATATTAAAATTTCTTTTGGAAGTATGTATATAAACTGATGAATGAAGAGACATTATTTTTTCTCCAGTGGGAGTACTTGTTTGTTTGCCAAGAGTTCAGGTTTAGAAACAGTCTTATTTTTGCTTGTAAAGCTGAGTTTGTTTTATTGCATTCTGTCCCTATTAATTTATTAAATTAATGAAAATGAACAAATAAAAGTAATAATATGAGTTGTAAACCTTGTAAATTTAATATGATTGAAATAAATAAAATCATTATAATAAAATGTTATAGGATAGTTATTGTACTAGGTCAGGTCAACCATTCAACTATTAAAGAAAATTAAAGAAAAGCATAAAATCATAGAGGTAGATCACCAAAGATTATTCTAATAGCAGAGAATTAATTAGGAATGTTATAAATTTATTTTAGTCTGTGAAAATGGAATGTCCTTTATGTGATTTTTATACTTTAGATTGTTGTGCATATATTCAGGTGCATATAATGTAAAAAGAGGGTATTAACTGTGGGCATTTAGAAGATGAACTTTGAAATCAGATGGAACTGGGTTGAAATCCCAGCTCCTCTATTACCTAATGCAAGTTACTAATTATTTTGGGATGTCAGTTTTTTCATTTTAAAACTTAAGTTCAACAAATTTGTTTTCTTAGAGTTGCTTATGAGGGCAAAAGATAACATATTTTCTGGATATGGAAAGGACTTATCAAGGTATCCAGCATGTAATAGGCTTTCATGAAATGCTAATTTTATATAAGAAGCTATATATCATTTATTTACTAACCGTGGGCTGATTTCTAAATATATTCTTAAGATAAACTGAAATGTATTTACTAAATACTAAATAATGTGTTTCATCTTATGCTGGTAAACCAGGAAACAGGAAGTACAATCATGCACTGGGGTAAAGAAGATTCATCTGCTCTTAGCTACCTACCATGCCAACACTCCTGAGAAAGCTCACAGAGGCCCATGATGCCCACCTGGATCTGAGGACCTAGAAAGCCACAACAGGCAACCATAATCTGGGTCTTCCCTCAGCCAACTCCCCTGCATAAAGTGAATGAATGAAAAACCCATCTTATATTAATCAGAGTTCTCTAGAGAAAAAGAACCAATCAGATGTGTATATATAGAAAGAGAGAATTATTTTAGGGAATTAGCTCACATCATTATGCAGGCTGGTCAATCAAAAATCTGTGGAGTGGGCTAGCAGGCTGGAGACCCAGGGAAAGGCTAAATTGCAGTTTAGATCAGAAGGTCATCTACTGGCAGAATTCCCTCATCTTCCAGGAAGGTGGATCTTTTTCTACCAAGGCCTTCAGTTTATTAGATTAGGCCCATGAACATGCTGGAGGGTAATCTGCTTTACTCAATACATACTGATTTGAATGTTAGTATCATCAAAAAGACCTTCACAGAAACATCTAAAATAATGTTTGACCAAATGTCTGCATACCATGGCCAAGCCAAGTTTACACATAAAATTAATTATCACACATCCCACGAACACCATCCCCAACAGATGCTCATGAGCATTGTGGTTATGATTTCAACTTCAGAATAAGGCAGAAATGTGTACAAATCCTGACCCTTTGACTTATCAGCTCTCTAAAAATCATTATATGTCAACTTTCTAGACTTTACCTGAAAAACAGAAACCAAGATACCCACAGCATAAGATTGTTAGGATTGAAGAAATTGTTACGATTGTTAGGTATGAAGAAATTTAAACAATGATGCAGCTGAGATATTTAGAATTGTACCTGGCATGTACTTTGTATTAAATAACTAATAAGGCCTTTTTCTGGTGAAAACAAAATAAGCCTGGATAAAAGAAGATGAGACCAGATTGGTTGATGGCTCGGCCTGGGTGGGCTCCTGGCCCATCTGAAATTACATTACTCTTATGTAGTGCCTTTTTTGTTATTGCTAAAATAAAATAAATAAAACACTCTACTTTCATACTTTGTAAAATGCACTTCTCATTCAGTTCCTCTTCCTGTGCCTTTTCCCTATTGTCTATCTGCACACAGCTGTTTTCTTCTGCACATTTTCATCACAGAGAATTACCAGGTGTAGGTCAAAAGATGCCACAGAGATAACAAAGGAAAGGAAAAGCTTTTCTGCACTTCTATCCTTGTAAGCACAAAAATTAATCACACTTTCAGTAAACAGGTCAGGTAAGTCAGTCCTGCACTTGAACCTTTTCTCCCCAAATAAATAGTTGAAATGGGAATGTCGATTTCTGTATTTGAACAGAAATGTATTAGTGTAGCTTTCAAAAGAAGACTACTCTCTCCATATGAATATCATCAGACCCACAAATACACATATGCATACATTCACAGTTCATCCTAACGCTGCAGAATATTCTAAGAGTAACACATTTCTGTACAAATCAAGCAGCAGCTTTCACTTGCATGCTAATCTTCAAATTAATTCTGCAATGATCCATTCATTCCACATCCCAACCTACATCCTCAGAAAAACAAAGATGTAAGTAAGGAACTCAGTATAACATGTTTGACTTTAGACACTACTCAAATATACTCAAACTTTATATGAATATGGATATTGCTCCTAGATTAGGCAGTTCAGAAAACAAATCTTGATTATTCTTAGTTACAATGTAGTATAAAATAACAACAATTTCATGTCAACAACAGAATCTCCTAAAAGATCTTATAAAGATAAAAAGTCTTAGGTGTTAGTCGTCAAAGACTAAGTTGTAAATGTATCATTGTATTTGTGTAGTTAATAAAACCCTAGACAAGATATGGGTTCCAGTTCTTGAACCACCACCACCTGTTCACCTTAAATAAGTCAACTAACTTTTCAGGGCTTCATTATTTATCCTAATATCAGGATCCTTGCTATGGTTAATTGAAATATTGTAAATGAAAGTACTTTATAAACCTAACCTATTAATTAGTAGAAATGGCTAGGATTAGTACAATCGGTTCCCCTTTGCCACAGTTTCATGTTTCTGGGTTTCTGTTACCTGTAGTCAACCATGGTCCAAAAATATTACAATATTTTGAGAGAGAAAGAGAATACATTTACGTAACTTTTATTACAGAATATTGAAATAATTGTTCTGTTATACTATTATGGTTGTTAATCTCTTACTGTGCCTAATTTATAAATAACTTTATCATAGGCATGTTTGTATAGAAGAAAACGTAGAATATATGGGGTTCACTACTATTCATGGTTTTAGGCATCCACTGGGGGTCTTGAAAGGTAATGGCCCCAAGGATAAGGGAGGACTACTGTAGCTCATGTCTATTGAGTAATATACATATTACAAAAAGAGTATCAGATGTATACTCTTTTACTAATGCATATGTGTGTTTCTAACTTAATTTTAATAACAACACTCTGAAAGAAAAATTATTATGCCCATACCACAGATGAGGAAATTGAGGCTCTTAGAAACAAGTAACTGGATGGAATCACAGTGACAGGTGCTAGAAACAGGCTTCAAATCCAGGCATTCTGGCTGCAAGAGTCCATGAACACTAATTTCTACCACATTCAAGGTTAGAACTTTAAAAGCATCTAACATTGGATAGCCCAAGCCCACCCTCATTCCATTTTTGCAAAGGGCAATGATGTCAAGTGAATGTAAAGTTCACACTGTAGACCCTGTGTGGTGCCTCACGCCTGTAATCCCAGCACTCCGGGAGGCAAAGACAGGCAGAACACTTGAGGTCTTGGAGACCAGCCTGGCCAACATGGTGAAACCCCGTCTCTACAAAAAATTCAAAAATTAGCAGGGCATGGTGGTGAGTGCCTGTAATCCCAGCTACTTTTGAGGCTGAGGCAGGAGAATTGCTTGAACCTGGGAGGTGGAGGCTGCAGTGAGCAGAGATCATGTCACTACACTCCAGCCTGGAAGAAAGAGCGAGACTCCATCTTGGAAAAAAAAAAAAAAAGTTCACACAGTAAAGCTTAAGACACAAGACATTTCTCCTACCTTCAACGTCAGTGGTTTCTTCTTCTCTGAAGGGATATGATGGTCAAGACAACAATATATAAGCAAATGTCAACCTGAGTGGGATATGAGACCCAGCTGGGAAGATTTAAAGCCTCAGAATGTGTAGATTACAAAGGCAGATTGTGGGGTTGATAAGCGAGAAAACATGAAGGATAAGAAAAAGGATTTAGAATATTTGAGAGGTGAAAATTTTACTTCTGGGTTTGCTTTTTGCCTGGGTTCTTCCAGAAGGGATAGCAGGAAGTTGTGAAGATCAATGTGAGTTCTGGAGTCAGGTCTTACCTCAAATCCCTGGTTTATATGGATAATGAGGCAAAACAAAATCAACTTGGAGAATTTCTATTCCATGCTTAGATTAGTAAATGGGCCGGTTTTTTTCTTTCTAGACATACCGTTTTGAGCCCTTTTCATCCTTATCTGCCACCAGTGATACAATGAAAAATAATGAGAAAATTAATGCGACAATGCTTTTAAGATTTTCCTGACAAGTTTCAAAAGAACATCTTACTATAGATGCTTATCTCCGATGAACTATTGAACCCTGGAGAGTGTGAACAGATTGAACCTTGTATATTGTGAACATCAGCTATAGTATCCCACCAGCTGATGACTTCTAAGAATGTCACATACTGGCAATGAACATTAGAATATAAGCTTTTATTTAAGATAACATATTTTGTACTTTTGCCGATTCATTTGGGAATTTCTGTATTTCACATATAAGTCACTGAAACAGAACTCTAAAAAAACTAGAGAAATAAATAATTGGTTTCATTAAAAAAATTCATAGGATGTGGAATTTGACTAACATAATGTGTTATATATGTGTATATTATATACAACAAATTATGTTATAATGTGTTAAACGTAATGAGAAAAAAGCAAAAAAATAATCTATCACATAATATAAAAACATAGCTATTTTATTTTTTTCTAAATGTCATAATCCAGGGAAAGATAAATCATTTGTGTTTGGGTTACTTATTCATTCAATCTTTAAAATAATGCCTTTCTCAGTGTTATCCCCAGGCACAAGTACAAAAAGAAAACAAAATTAATTAAAATGCATAATAGTCAATAACAATTTCACATATTTATAGGAAAAGAGCTTATTAGAATGCTACCAGATTAAAAATTCCCTTCTTTTGGAGAATTCTAATATTTAAAAGGTATTTAGCACTAGGTCCTGATGACCAGAAGCTGAGTTTAAGTCAAACTGACCCAGGGCTGTAATCGTACATGGTCTGACAGAGGAAAATAAGAGTGTGGTAATCATTAGTACTATTTCACCATGGACAGCAGGGCTGTATTTATTACCATCCTAATGGCAAGTCATTCAGTGAGCCGCAGTGTTTATTTCTTTTCAGGCTTGACTCCCTGGGGAAGGAGTGTCACTTGATCGCATCTATAGCTCTCTCAAATAAAGTGACAGAAGTTTTATATGATGTAAACACATAAAACGAATGAGAATAGCTATCATTTATTAAACACCTACTATAGTCCAGTAATGATATACATTCTATCACTTAATCCTCATGACATTTTAGGAGGACGTTATCATTGTTATTGTACAGATGGGTAAACTGAGATATTGAGAACTTAACTTGCTTAATGGTGGTATCTATGCAATAACTATTAGAGCAATTATTATTATGGTCATTATGATTAAAAAGTGAAATGGCTTGATCCTGGAAATGTATGAAAGCTAGGAGCCGCTGTTTCACACAATGGAACATCTTATTCACTGAAATGTTAACACCCATCTGTGATTTTACAGAAGGTGAAAAACAGTTCTGGTAAACAAAGCAGGGATTCTGACATTGAGCCTTTCAAATACATGCTTTGATATGTTTCCTGGGAATAGTAAACCTGAAAACTGTGCTTTAAAGAAAAACTTCCATCCATGATGTAAATAAATGACTGCCCTCAACGATGAACCTCTGCATTCGTAAGTGATCATTGTTCACTGTGTCTAAGAAGGAAACCTCCTAATTGAACATGTCTTACAATCAGAACTGAACGACTGACCAGGCAATACAAAGGAAGGGACTTACTTTTCACAGAAAACTAGACTGATGGGTTCCCACCGAATAATAGAATCTGTGCCCAAGACATAATTTGGCTGTTTAGAGTCTTCATGCCTCAAACCTCCATGCCTTTCCCTGGAGGTCTGTAAAAGAGATGGGATGTTTTCACCCTTTGAGAAAACTAAAGAAAAAATTAACCTAATTTGAACATAAGAATGGAAGTAAACTGATTCCCAATGAACCACATGTCATTTTAAAATAATGCCTTTGACCAGTTTGACATGAAATACGTGACAACTCACACGTGCTTCTTTGCTAATGACAAGCACACCACCATCTACCACGTACCTAGGTCCATTCATTGCTCGCTTTTCTTTCACAGCTTTTATTTCCTTTGTGTCAAACCTCTCACTACTCAATGCTAGTCTCACTAAAGTCATTGGGAGCTTATTGTTGTTGTTTTCCCATTTAAATAAAGCATTATGAAGGGAAAACATGTTTTCAAAAAACTGAAATCATTGATATTCACATACACACATATGTGCAAAAAGCAAATGAAAAAGAATTTAATCAGAGCCATGCCGAGCCTGCTGCTAAGTGTTAGATTGGCTGACAGGAGACTATTTGTAATTTTAACTAATGCTTTTTATAAAAAAGTTTGAAAAAAGCCATTCTTTTCTAAGTTTTAGGAATGAGCAATTATACTTTTTTTTGGAAAAGTATAACAAACACACAAATCTGTTCAAAAGAAAAAACAATAGAGACATTTAAATCCTCCTTCTAGGATATATTCAAAACCTAGTTTGAGAATATTCTATTTAGTGTCTTCTACTTGAATGTATGTTTTAATGTTTCAATTTCTGAAAAAAAAGGCTGTAATATTTAAACTTTAGCCAATAGTTGAGAAATTATTTAGAAATACACTAATCCCTAGAAGTGCCAAATACATTCTACCCATTCCCAAAAAACAGTTTCATAGAGTTTAGCAATATATTTGCAGGAAACTAGTTTTAATTGTCTGATAGGGTCTTTTTAAATTCTGAGATTTTCACATAACTATTTTTATTGGAATCAAAATGAAATTTACCTTGATACAGAACAGACCTCAAGTACCAGTCTATTGTTTCATGGAAAAAAAAATGTTTTGAAATTCACATAATGACAGACAGAATGAGAGCTTTGGTCAAACTGGTCATGCCTGTATTAAAACATTTCACTCTTCAGGAGAATATTTACATTTTTGTACATATCTCATCTGACAATCTCACCTTGATAAAAAGTCAAATTCCCTTTAACTTAATTGTATATCCCATTTGTTTCAAATCACATTCCTAACATTTGGAACATTGAGTCATCAAGTTTGAATGTAAGGCTTTACATTTTTGTTGTGAGCTACCTTCTCAGATAATAAGCAAACAGGAAAATATGTCAATCAAAGTCCATTTTGAAAGTGAGACCTTTAAATAACTGGCAGCCCAGGTTCTATAAACAAGCAAGAGATACAAATGGGTGACCTTTCCTAGCTTAAACTCTACAGATGGCACCTAGGAGGGATCCATGCCATAAAAAGGCTGCTGTTTATTGTATATCTTAAGAAAGATACTACATATCTTTAAAAAATAAGATAAGTAATTTCCTCAGTGTCCGTAGCCGATACCAACACACTGACTTCTGAATGACGAATATTGACCTGGTGAGCCAATCCATCTCAGATTTCTTGGTCTGCATTCCTGATGAGATTATTGAGAATTTGGATTTTTTTTTTTTGTAATCAACTGATTTTGCTAATATTTACTTGGCCGGACCCAACCAGTCCTTGGGTGCAAGGTATTTTCAGAAGCACACTGATTCATTTAAGCTCTAAAATGTCATTTAGGCCATTGAAGCAGTAATCTACTAGACGTCATCTGGGTCAGTGCCTCATCAAGTAAACATCCATAGTTCCTATCTCTGATTTCATTGAACTGGAGGAAGGGCAATATGTGGTCTTTACAATAAAAAGGTTTGTATTCAATCTTGTGTGAGAGTTGGAACTCAACATTTTCCAAAGGTATTTACAACTTAATTTTAAGTCCCATTACCTCAATGGACTCAATAGATTATTTCCTCATTTTACTTAGGAGCAAATGCACAGGGCTATACTCCTGGAGCTAAGTATACGTAAAGAAGGGGCTAGATTTTGCGAAAGGAAACTTGTCGCTTTCCTCTGGTCACAAAATAGCTAATTATTAATATTTGCTTGTGTGGGACTGTTGTCCTTGAATCTATTACATTTGTTATTCCAGAGAATGGGCTGCATGCTGGGTTCTCAAGTTTTTTCCAACAAATGTCTACAAATATGTATACTATCTTACTTGCGTAGTATCTGAGATTCAAGAAAGCAATTTTGAAAAATACATGGTCCCTGTTTCCTAAAGTGTTGTCAATTTAAGTGGAAACAATTTAACTCTAAGTGAGAGCTCTTATATGTGTACCACTGGAGCCCAAATACTGCATTATATGCAATCTTAAGAGATTTCAGATGGAAGAGATTTTTCAGAGGAATACTTCCTGATTAGTAAAATGATGCTTAAGATAACTTTTACTGTATATAGCATGACTCTATGAAAAAGAGTGTTTACATCATTCAGGTTAATTACCCCGATTATTTGCTTCAGGCTTTATACAGAATTTCTAGTTAGGTAAGCAGTCCTTGGAAGCAGATTTTCCTATCCAAATCACATTTAACCTTTATAAGAAAAGGAAAATCTTTAAATACTAAAAATTAATCTTGACTTTCTAATATCTACGCATAAAGCATAGAGTAATAGAGAATATGGAAATAACTAAAAGATGGGAATTCTGGGTTCTAATCTGCCATGAATTATGACCTTGGGCAAATCACTAGAATTCCTTGTTATCAGTTTTCAAGGGGATATTACAAAGACATTGAAGAGTTCTAAGTATCAGAAAAACCTAAATTTGAATCTCTGCCCTGTATTAGCTGAGCAAACTTGTAACAAGTTCAAAATGTATCTTTTTGCTTCCTAATTTTTACCATGAAATGAGATAACATATAAGGTTCTTTACACAACTAGCACTTTAATATTAATTTATCCTTGAGTAAATCTAAAAAAAATTTTGAAGCATTTATAAGCTCTATTCAAATGTAAGAGATTGCATTATTTACAGCCTATGCTTAATGCTTAGAAATTAATACCAACACAAAAGAATGTTCTTAACCAAGTGTATTAGTCCACTCTCAAATTGCTATAAATAACTACCAGAGACTAGGTAGCTTATAAAGATAAGAAGTTTAAAGGACTCATGGTTCCACAGGTTTTACAGGAAGCATGACCAGGGAGGCTTCAGGAAATTTCCAAACATGGCAGAAGGCAAAGGGGAAGCAGGCACATCTTTACATGGTGACAAGAGAGAGATAATGAAGAAGGAGGTGCTACACAATTGTAAACAACCAGATTTCATAAGAACTTACTATCACAAGAGCAGCAAGGAGGAAGTCCACCCCTATGATACATTCATCTCCCACCAGGCTATTCCACCAACACTGGGGTTTACAATTCGACATGCGATTTGAACAGGGACACAAATCCAAATCAAGTATTACATAATTTTATGGCTAGGAATACAGTTTCAATATCTATCACTAAGCTTAGTTATCTGTTTTTTTAATGAGATGTTCTATGTTAATTACAAGTCATGAGTAATTCCACATTAGTTTACATATCAGACAATATAAAAATTTCACACTTTGCAATTCTCAACAAGAAATCAGCCTCAGAAAACATAAATGTCAGAATTATGTGCTCCCTTTGTAACAAGCTTTTTTAAAATTTTACTTTAATAAATGATTATCTTAAAAATAGACATGTGAATATAACTCTAATTGTAAATTGCAACATGCCTTGCTATGGACCATGGTTAGTGTTTGATCTTTAGAGATGACTTGCATAAGATCGTTACTATGCTTTTTGATTGGACCTTACATAGAGAGAGATATTCTTGATATTCCTAAATAAATCACTTTTATTTTAATGTACAGAATATGTAGAATTATGCTGGGTTATAGCCAAATATGTCAATGAGTTAGTAGCATCCAGGAAAACCTCAAGATTCCATTGTTTTTATATATTTTTGATTCGTCCTAGGGCTTATTGCTCCTAGATGCTCCAGCTCCATTCTTCTCCCCTCTAGCCATTGTATCCCACAAGAGCTCTAAAAAGCTTTCCCTCGCTAGGAGCAAATAGAAACTGCAAGGTGCAAGGACTTAGTAATATTTAATAAATGGTTTTTTTCTCCTAAAAGAATTGAAAGAAAAATCTTGGAGAAGGAAAAACTTTCACAGTAAATGTTGACGGCATTCTAAAGCAGTTTGTGACAGCAACTGAAGTACACACCTAACTCTCCAATTGTGGGAGTTTCTGATTATGAACTCTTCAATAAATGAGAGAGTACCCTAAGTGTGTCATGTGTTTGCTTCCTATTTTATTTTAAAAAAATGTCAGGGAGGTTGTTGGATGTGACTCAGTGAGTGGCCAGAATGGAACGCTACTCAAATCTCTATTGCATACCTATGAGCAAGTTTCTCTGCTAGATGCTATTAAAAAAAAAAAAAAAAAACCCATAAAAGTGAGTAAGACAAGGACCCTATTCTCAGGGAGAGATAGACCTTATCACAGGTAACTCTTGCACCAAGTACAAAGTGGTACTCCCTAAGTGTTCTTTTAATGAATGCATTGCTGCCAGAGTTCTAATAGGAATATTAACAGCACACCAAGGGAACATAAGAGGAGTGGGACACTCATACTGGAAAATCGGGGAGGATGTGGCATTTGGACTGAGCCTTGGAGAACGAATAAAATCTTAACGGAAAGATATAGTGGAGGGAAGATGTCCATGGCAGGGATGTTGGAGGCACTGTGTCCAAACACGTTGGTAGGCTAGTACTGCTGTTTCACTTCACAAGTTGCATGTTTCTTTCATCCACTAAAAAAAATAAAAATCTAAACACGTTGTTGTTAAAACTAATGATAATTTATCTGCTGATTTGACCAAGCCTCTCTGAGTTCCACTTTCTCATGTGTAAACTAAGAATCCTACTCACATCATGAAAGGGTGTTTGAGCATTAAATGAGATACTACACTATGACAGAGTCTGGCACCTATGAAACTCCCGGTTTGCCATAATAGTAACAATTTCAGAAATAGCAGCTGTAGATTGCTTAAAAGATCCAATTTGCTTCCAAAAAAATAATTGTAGGAATGTCTGAACATAATCAAAGCAACTATTTTTTTCTGAATACAGCTTAGCTGTACTCCCATGGTACATTTTTTTTAGCTCTTCTGGATTTTCTGTCAAGTTGAAGGGAAGCATAATGTTTAGTTTTGTGCTCTCAAAGTCTTAAATACATGTTCTAACTTAGATCAACTGACACATATCTTAAAGATTAAAACATGTCTTCATGAGTCATGTAACATGAAGATGACTTTATGTGCTATTAACCCATATTGGAATATTTATCCATGGTGTTACATTCCAGAAAACTTTATAACATGTGAATAGCTTTTGGCTACAAATATTTATGTTACATGTTAGAGAATGGCTAATTTTTTAAATGTATTTTTATATAAACTCATAAAGTATCTAGACTTTAGACTTGGCTGGAGTGTTCAAGTGTAAAATATAAAGCCCCAAAAGGCAAAAATTAGATTGCCAAGGCATCCCCTGATTCATTGTTTAGGATAAAATAGCACTTTCATTATTAAATGCTTGCAAACATAAGCCATATATCAATTGTTTCAAACGCACTAAAGTAAATAGAACAAAATGGATTGTTTTGAAAACTATTACACTTATCTGTCAATCAAAAGAGTGTTTAGGTTTCAGCCTAGACATTGGAAAATACAAATAAAACATACTAGCTAAGACTGGGACATATAGATTTAAAAAAATATTAGTAGATGACCATAAGAAAAAAAATTTATTCTTATTAAAAATACTCTGAATTTTCTGAAAGAAACTGAAATTCAGTTGGGCATTCTCAGATGTGCAAAATAAGAAAAGGGCGCATATTTTCCTATCTTTTGGAATAATTTTTTTGTCATTTGGGGATGACATCACAGACACATTTGCATATTTAAGTGTCTGAAATTATTGTTGTCCCCATGAGTGAGAACAATGGTGCTTACCAAGGTAAGCATTGCCCTGGAGGCTTTGGCCAAAGGACAGGAGATTACAAAACAAAATACTGGGTGAGTCATAATAAATGAAAGAAAAAGCTTATTATGTTTTTCTGAAAAATCCTTTTATTATAAAAACAAGAGGAAAATCTTAAAGTTGGAACTACCTCAGAAAAGAAAATCATATAAGTTAAAATTTGGCTTTTAAAACAAGATTGGTTTGGATAACTGTAAAGTCCACGAACACACACAAATATTTCTGTGCATTAATATAAAAGCAATCTCTCTTTACTTACCGTAATGACTAGTAGAATTTCTTTCTTTTTCTGAATTACTTTACAATTAAAGGTGAGGAAAGTGTGGCTCCTCTCCACCGCCGTTGCTATTCATATTGAGTAACTCTGGAAGGATTACAGAATTATGATACTATCAATTAAATTTTAATAGCAAATGTCATCCTTATAGCATTTTACAAAGCGGTTGCCTCTATATTATATCATTTAGTCTCAGAAACTCTGTGGAATAGTTTGGGTGGGTTCCTAATTTACAAATGAGAGACCAGCCATTTGGAAAGTGATTTATCCAGGGTCACATGTGGTATAGCTGGTAGCTGAATTCAGGACTCTGTCCGCAGATTCATCTTCATCTAAGCTTCCAGTGAGCTTCCATATAAAGTATAAATTCCCTCCCCCTCATATATACAACACAACTTTTGAAGGTTTGTAAAAACTATTTAGAATATATGGATTATAATTAAAAATTCCTTTTCCCTTTTAGCAAAAATCATTTTCTCTTTTCACATTTATTAAACTTCCAGGGTACCCCAAGAATTGTTGTCCAAGGTGGTTCTCTGTGGGACATTTATGGAGAAGTAGTCTAATCGAACTAATTTTACATCTTCAGTCTGTTATCATTGAAATACCAAGCAGTAAGATTGATATAAATCCCCATATTGAAGTCAGGAGAGCAGATGCTCTAAAGCTGTTTTGTAAGCTACAGTAGCCACTAATCATGTGTGATTACATTTAAATTCATTTTAATACATTAAGTGAAATAAAAATGGCAGTTCCTCAGTCACACTAACCACATTTCAAGGGTTCTATAGCCACAAGGGGCTAGTGACTATTGTACTCTATGAAGCTGAATTGTTGGGTGAGTAACATCAGAGGGGTGTGTGTGTGTCTGTGTGTCTGTGTGTGTGTGTTTGTGGCTAATAAACTATGATTTTGTTCTCCCAAACAAAACTAGAAAAATCAGCGAGTCACAAATAAACATGGGCTATTTATATGGCTTCTGTTGATGTGGGAAGAAACACTAATCTCCCTGGGACTATCAGACAACCCTAAGATCATTTCAGTGACACACTGTTTTATTAACAGCTCTGTGTGATAGGGAGAGGGCTGAAGAGTGCATCTGTAGTTTCTGGGGATTTGTGGACAGGGAGATCTAATGGGAGGACTTAGCATTTGGAGATAGGGTAGTTGGGGGAAGGATAAGGAAAAGAGATCCCTCCCATGAGAGAAGCCCATGCAAGAAGCCAGCAGGGCCCAGGAAGCACCCAGGAAATATGTCCCATCAGCTCCTCCTCGGGATTTTCTTTAAGGAACCAGATGGCTGCCTTGGCTGGGAGAGTGAAAATAGAGGAAAAGATGAAAAACCTCAGGAGAAATAACTGAATATTGTTCTTACCAAGCCATCTACTGCAGATGGCCAGGCATTCCTGAACTGTGAAAGTAGGTTAATCTGAAGAGGCAGTGGTTTAGGGGGCCAGGACACACTCGGCCAGAATCCTCCATCTGCTACTTCCCAAACCTTTCTAGCTTTGGTCGCATTTAACCTTTATGAGCCTCAATGCCAAACTGTACTCATTCTGCTGAAGGCTAACCATGTGACAACCAGGGTGCTTGGGTTGGGTAACAAAGATGATTACATAAAATAACAAAGAACTCACACAAATACATAATTATCACATAATTCTGTGAATGCAGTGATCGACATACACACAAGGAAAGTATACGCCTGGTCGGGGTTGGGGACGTGGGGCTTGCAAAGCAGGAAAAGACTCTGGTGGAGAAAGTGATACCTGGGCTCAATCATTAAGGATGAGGAGCAGTTGAGAAAGGAATAAATAGTTAATGGAGAAAAGAAAGGAAAAATAAAAAAAATGGAGAAAAACATACACATGTCTATATCTATAGATATCTATATCTATGCCTATAGAAAAAGATATATGTATCTATATAGATATCTGTATCTTTACCTATAGAAAAACATATACATATCTATATCTATAGATATCTATATCTATACCTATAGAAAAAGATATACATATCTATATAGATATCTATATCTTTACCTATAGAAAAACATACAGATATCTATATCTAATACCTACAGAAAAACATATACATATCTGTATCTATAGATATAGATATATATACACAGATTTATATTTTAAAAAAAAACAGATCCTTTCTCAGTATAAAAGGAGAAAGACGTATGTAAATCAGGAAATGCCTAAACAGGTAGAGTTAAAAGGGTTAGAGAAAAGTTATTGATTGAAAAGGAAAGAAAAATAAGAAGAATGGCTAGAGACCACTCCAAATAAATCCTTTTCCATGAAGAATATCCTTTCTTTCTTTATGTGCTGTTGTTGCCTTTGCCGTTTATGTGTATTTGCACAGACAATTTAGCAGCAGTGTTCATACAAACTTTCTCTCCTTTGTGGTCAAACAGGTTGCATCAGTGAGATAACAGACATACTTGGCAAGTAAACTTCCTCAGGGACCAGAGCCTCAGGGATCACAGCAGCAACCAACACTCCCCAACATCGGTGTCTTTCAGTGGCTTGCCTATTGGATGACCTTCTGCCAGAGCTGGAAACCCTTCTCCCATTGCTTTGACATTGAAAACTGGATAGGGTTTGGCTTCTGTCTAGCGCAGTTAATCCATATTATTGAGAAACAAGCTGTTACTGAATTTAAACACTAATCGAAACCTACACACCCATCACCCACCACTTTCTGATCCTAGATGTCTCATGAGGCTCCAGTTGTTGATGTCTAGGCATCTTTTCTTTGGAACCCCAGTGTCCCAGGGTGCTATTTAGAGAAGAACAACCTACTGTGTAGCCCCTAGAGAGGCTACCTTGTGAGTCATGAGCCCATTCACCTTAGGAACTGTCTTTCCAGAAGCATGAACCAGAGAAGGTGCTCTCATGGAGAGCTGCACTTGTTTTATTAACAACAAAAAAACTGAGATGAGGATGGTTAATGGGTAAAAAAAAAAAAAGAAACAGAATAAATGTGAGCTACTATTTGATAGCACAATAGGGTGATTCTAGCCAATAATAACTTAATTGTAAATTTTAAAATAACTTAAAGAGTGTAATTGGATTGTTTGTAACTCAAGGGATAAATGCTTGAGGGGATGGATGCCCCGTTCTCCATGATGTGCTTATCTCACATTGCATGCCTGTAACAAAGCATCTCATGTACCCCATAAATATATACACCAACTAAGTACCCACAAAATTAAAAAAAATTTAACACTGAAAAACATTAATTTGTTTTAGTGACACCATTCACTATTGGCATCTTAGACGCTTCAACAACAGTTAAGTTAAGGTTCCCTAAGGCTGTTACCAGGTTTGTGGATTAAAAAGAAGATATTCGGCCAGGTGTGGTGGCTTACGCCTGTGATCCCAGCACTTTGGGAGGCCAAGGGGAGTGGATAACGAGGTCGGGAGTTTGAGACCAGCCTGGCCAGCATGGTGAAACCCTGTCTCTACTAAAAATACAAAAAACTAGCCGGGCATGGTGGTGCACACCTGTAATCCCAGCTACTTGGGAGGCTGAGGCAGGAGAATTGCTTGAACCCAGGAGGCAGAGGTTGCAGTGAGCTGAGACAGCATGACTGCACTACAGCCTGGGTGACAGAGCGAGACTCCATCTCAAAAAGGAAAAAAAAAAAAGGAAGATATTCATATTCTCCATGGGATGGTTGGTGGTTAAAGAGTTGTAGAGAGAGAAGGCCTATATTTGTCATCACAACTCTTTTCTCTCCACTCCACCACCACTGCCACTCAGAAAAAGTTGGGACAGATCAACATTATATACACATTTTGGGGGGCAGGGGTGTGGGACATGGACCTGTAGGAGATGTCAGCAGACTTTTACCTTTGGGCCAAATCTAGCCTGTCACCTGTTTTTATAAATAAAGTTGTATTGCAACACAGCCATATTCATTTGTTTACATATGGTCTATGGCTGCCATCTTGCTGGCATTGAACACTTGCAACAGAAACTATGTGGCCCACAAAGCCTAGAATATTTATTATCTGGCCATTTACAGAAAAAGCTTGATTTGATCAAAGGTAAAGCAGAGACAGACACAGGAACTGATTTGCTCAATATTTATCATCTTTTAAGTCATTTGACAAATATTTGTGAAGTACTTATGGGTGCTAGGCTCTGAGGATACAGAAGGAAATAAATCCAATAGAGTCCTTTGCCTCGAAGAACTAAAAACTTTTTTCTAGTTTCACTGCAATTGTTCCTGCTCAACTATTTTCCTCCACAGTTATTATAAGGTACAGACAAGTATTGTAACACAGTAATAGCCACAGGATAGGATATAATTCAGGATTTTCAGAAAAAATATAAGACATTCAATTAAATTCAGCACATATGAACTAAATGTAAATAGCAACTATGAATAGGGCCAAATACAGTAAAATTATTCTCTCCCTGAATGATGCATCAAGAGAGGGACAAAGATAAGTGTTCAATGGACTTAGAGTGTTTTTTATTTTGTTGTCACGAAACATAGGATAAGAATGATATAGGCAATGGATGTTAAGTATCAGGACAAGACTATCCCTATTATGAGATATATGTGTCAAGCTATTAACAATGATCCTGGCTGGTCACAGTGGCTCACACCTGTAATCCCAGCACTTTGGGAGGCTGAGGCAGGTGGATTGCTTGAGCCCAGGAGTTCAAGACCAGCCTGGGCAACATGGTGAAACCCTGTCTCTACAAAAAATACAAAAATTAGCTGGGCATGGTGGCGTGCAGCTGTAGTCCCAGCTACTGGGGAGGCTGAAGTGGGAGGATCACTTCAGCCCTGGAGGCAGAGGTTGCAGTGAGCCAAGACTGTGCTACTGCATTCCAGCCTGGGTGACAGAGTGAGCCCTTGTCTCAAAAAACAAACAAACAAACAAAAACCTAGTAAACATTCAATTCTTTTTTTACTAACAATTTTTAAAGGGAGGTATGAAAAAAAGAGAGGGAAAGCCGGAAGTGGAAGGGATAAAAAGAGAATCTATTCGTAGTATCCAGGGTGAATAATTCATGAGTGTTGAGAAATGTGAGGAGAATTCCTGTGTATAAGTATGTATCTCATGCTAAAAATGCCTGGCTTAACATATCCAGGTGCTTAGTCTTGTGATTATAAGAAAGGAGAATGGGAGAAAGAAAATTCAGTAGCAGCTGAACTTGTCTCTTGTGTGTAAAATCTGCATCCAGAGCATTCACATAAGCAGAATGGAAACCCTTTTAACAAGTCCTGCACAGCCAATCCCCAGAGACAGAGAGGCATGTGAAAGGAGACATGGCGTTTGCTGTCTAAATAGATGAAAGCATTAGTCCTACTCATCAAACTAAATGCTTGTGTTTACAGCATCAATAGATATTTAACTCACACAGACACTGTATAAAACAAAACACAGATAAGGAGTTTGTCGTCAGAGTTTTCTTAAAAAAAAAAAATCAAGCCTGGACTATATTAGCTAAATCTTAAGCAGTCTCTAAATTTCAAACATAAATGAAAAGTGGCTTGTTTCCAGGTCACCCATAAAAGGTTTTCATCAAATCTTCAGTTCGTCACAGCAGCGACTGCAGATTTCTCTTCCCAAGAATTTCCCAAAAAGAATTTTCTGATTTGTCACACACGTTCCCATTCATTGGTCCAGTGCCCTGGCAGAACTAGAGATTCTAAGCTTGTCAGGAAAAGGGTTTCATAATTCATCATGCATACTACTCTGTTGGCTCCAAGAGCAGTGGCCTGATCCAAGTGCATGCTCTTGGACACTCATGGTTGACTAAAGAGACCAGGTTTTTGATAAACTAATGTAGGACAAAGGAAAAGAGCCAGATAACACAGGCCCTGTAGCTGAGATGAAAGAGAGAGAAAGAGAGAGAAAGGGAGTGAGGCTACTAAAGGATGAGGCTATAATGAGTGGAGGACGCTCCCTTTGATGGGTGTCCCATGAAAGAAATGTGTGCTTGCACTGGTTGAGAGAGATTGCTCTTTGCAGCTAGGGAAAATTTTGCCGGAAGAGTGATGACAGGCTTGGCACAGGTAGAGAAGGGGAGGACAGGATAAGGGGAAAAGGAGAGCCTGGTGAGAGAGCAAATGTGCTAGAACAGATCATTTTGGAAAACATGGTGCCAGCCAGCCAGCACAGGAAGTTCATGTTGAGGGCCATCCTCAATGTAGGGCATCCATCTACCTTGGTGTTGGCAAAGCTCGGGGCAGGGGATAAAGAGTGATGGACATGGGTGCATGGGATCCACGTCATTCGGATGTTCTTTGAAAGTGCCAATTTGTCTATAGAGGTAAAATATTCTGAAAAGTTTCCCGTTTCCATTGTGTTCGTAATGATTTCAGCAGTAAGCCATCTGAATTCAAAATTAAGATTTACTTTGCTTGAAATGTTTCACCTTAGAAAGATGGAGCAGAATCATAAGAAAGGAATATGTTTAACCATTGTTGTTAAATCTAAGTATTCAGTCAGCCTTCTTCTCCTGCTGAATATTCAAATTGGAAAACCGCAGAGGACAAAGAGAAAAATAAATGCATTTCTGATTAGAAAATGCAAATTAATGCCTGCATTCCATCTAAGTCACTCCAATATATCCTTTTAGTTTTTTTTATTACCATCTGACTAGAAACCTTATGTAATTTTTGTATTGTTGGTAGGTAAGTGGGAGTCTCTTTGTAAGTTTACTTATTTTTAAAATTGTACTGATAATTAAAGCAATGTGAATTAAAGCTACAAAATAAGAATTTTCCTATCAAAATGGTGAAGATCCAAAATACTGATCATTCCTCAGGTTGGAATAGTTGTGACAAAACAGAAACTTCATATAGTCTTGCTGCCCTTATAAATTGATATTACAGGTTAGAAGGGCAATTTGGAAATGTATCTAGACTTTAAATCCTTTTATCCCAAGCATTTCATATCATTAGATCTACTGTATGGAGACACCTGTGCAATTGATCAAATGTATATGAACAAGGATGCTCATTACTGAATATTTCACAGGTGCAAAGAACTGGAAATGATTAAAATATTCACCAGTAGAGAAATGGCTTACTAAGTTATGGTACATATTTTTCAACAAAAATGCTAAACACTCCTTAAAGGATTGAGCTACATTTACATGGTGTGGCATACATCACATATCGTTTCAATACATTAGATGGGAGAAAAAAAAGAATCATCATTATAATATGTTGATGCTAATCTTATTTTAAATAATATATCAATGGATAGAATCCATGAATATTTGATAGGATTGTTTAAACAAAGGAAACATCTAGAAGGAGTCACAATAAAATATAAGCCCTGCCTACTTCTGAAAAGTGGCAGGTTGAGTTTGGCAAAAATAGAAGCCTTTTGTTTTATTTTGTTTTTCTTCCTACTACACTGTATTTCTTCGTTTGATTTTTACAGACCTGTGTTCTTTCCTAATTCAAAAACTATCATTGTATTTACTGAGAAATTTTAGTTCACTTTTTTTCCCCAGAAATCCTAAGATTTGCACACTTCTCTGGCCAAGTGTCATCATATCTGAAAAGCTTACCATTCAGTACTGTTTTGCCACTTTGTTTCAGTGATTGTCACTCCAGGCTCCTAAAAGTCTTTGGAATGTGTGGCACATTCTCACATCAGCTCTCCCATTCCTGCTCCTTTTCTCCACCACAGGCACCTCTACCTTTGTCCAAAGATAAGCTCTTAGGGGCTCCCACACAGAAAGCAGGGTGAAATTTCAATCCTCACTTTCAAACTCTCACCAGGACAAAAGTCTACAAATATCTCAAATAATAAAGGCTGATGATCTATCATTGTATAAGAAAAAATTTTGAATCTTAAAATAGTAGAGCTAGAAGGCTGACATTATCTAGCTGGGTAGTTCTCAACCCTCACAGCAAAAATAAATCATCTCAGGAGCTTTGCAAGCAGAGATACTCAGACTGTCCCCAGATTAACTAACACCAAGTTTATTTTGGATGCACAGCAATGACTGAAAACCTTGTCTAAGCCCTTATCAAAAAGATAAGGACACAAGTGTCAGAGCAGGTGAACGACTTGACAAAGGTCATTCATGTGCAGGTTGGAATATGTGCTATTCACAAGATCTTAACTGCTGATTAAGGCTGCATGGTAATGAATAACCCAGGCAGTGGAATTAAACATAAACTTGATTTAAACTTGTTATTAAAGCATAGACTTGTTATTAACATCAGAAAGTCAGAAGGGATATTTTTATATTCTAAGACAAATTTTGCCTGAAAAGTAATCTTACTGGCGACACTTTTCCATGTTAGCCCAATATTAGAAAAATAGATCTCATGCTGCCTTGATGGTAAGTAGTTTCTCAGAACATTGTGTCTAGAAGACTTTAATTGCTTGCATCATAACTCATCAGCCCATCAAACATATCAATAAGAAGCTCAATGGCAGATTTAAATGTCTTAAAAGAATATAACAACTATATTATCTCTGGATAGAGCTCAGCATAAATTAGAACAGAAAAGTAATTTTCAAAATCATCTCCTTGTGTTTAAATCTAGGCAACCATTTAAAATGTGTCAAATTCTCATAGGAATTAATATACAAAGCTTAAGTTTTAAATTGTTCTGCAAATAAATCCCAGTGCATGTCTAATTATTATGAACATTTCTAAAAAGCCATTTTTTATCTCAGATATTATATTTGCATCTCAACCTTTTAGTCAATGAAGAATTTGAATTCACTTCAAGTTTTCATGATAAAGGTAAAGTAACCCTCCCATCCACAGGCACACGCACACCTTTAAATATGGTTTGGCTCTCTGTCCCCAAATCTCATCTTGAATTGTAATCCTCACATGTCAGGAGAGGGCCTGGTGGGACAGGGATTGGATCATGGGGACAGTTTCCCCCATGCTGTCCTCATGATAGTAGTAAGTTCTCACAAGAGCTGTTGGTTTTAAAAGTGTTTGGCCATTCCCCTTTTGCTCTCTCTCTCTCCTGCCACCATGTAAGAGATGCTTTGCTTCCCCTTCATTTTCCGCCATGATTCCAAGTTTCTTGAGGCCTCTTCAGCCATGGGAAACTGGGATTCAGTTAAACCTCTTTTGTTTATAAATTACCCAGTCTCAGATAGTATCTTTATAGAAGTGTGAAAATGGATTAATACAGATAATTTGTACTGGGAGTGAGGCATTGCTATAAAGAATCTGAAAATGTGGAAATGATTTTGGAGCATTTGGAGCACAGGAGCATCTGCCTGTGGGTTAACAGGCAGAGGTTGGAATATTTTGGAGGGCTCAGAAGAAGACAGGGAGAAGTGGAAAAGTTTTAGACTTCCTAGAGACTTGTTGAATGGTTTTGACCAAAATGCTGATAGTGATATGGACAATGAAGTCCAGGCTGTTATGGTCTCAGATGGAGATGAGAAACTTACTGGGAACTGGAGTAAAGGTCACTCACGCTATGCTTTAGCAAAGATACAGGTGGCATTTTGCCCCTGCCCTAGAGATCTGTAAAACTTTGAACTCAAGAGATGATTTAGGTATTGTATCTGGTGGAAGAAATTTCTAAGCATCAAAGAATTCAAAAGGTGACCTAGCTTATTCTGAAAGCGTTCAGTTATATGCGTTCACAAAAAGACAGTTTGAAACTGGAACTTGTTTAAAAGGGAAACAGAGAATAAGGGTTTGGAAAATTTGCAGCCTGACCATGCGGTAGAAAAGAAAAACTCATTTTCTGGGGAGAAATTCAAGCTGGCTGCAAAAATTTGCCTAAGTAATGAGGAGCCAAATGTTAATAGCCAAGACAATGGGGAAATGTAGGGCTGGTGCCTGCATACAGAGTCCCCACTGGGGCATTGCCTTGAGAAGCTGTGAGAGGAGGGCTGCCATCCTCCAGATCCCAGAGTGTAGATCCACTGACAGCTTCCACCATGCACTTGGAAAAGCCACAGACATTCAATGCCAGCTCATGAAAGCAGCTGTGGGCTGTACCCTGCAAAGCCACAGAAGTGGAGCTGCCCAAGGCCTTGGGAGCCCACCCCTTGCATCAGCATATCCTGAATGGGAGACATGGAGTCACAGGAAATGTGGGAGTTTTAAGATTAAATGCCTGCCCTGCTCAGTTTGGGACTTTCATTGGACCTGTAGCCCCTTTGTTTTGACCAATTTCTTCCATTTGTAACAGGAACATTTACCCAATGCCTGCACCTTCACTGTATCTTGGAAATAACTAACTTTTTTATTATTTTATAGGCTCATTGGTGGAAGGAACTTGCCTTGTCTCAGGTGAGACTTTGAACTTGGACTTTTGAGTTAATGCTGGAATGAGTTGACTTGGGGGGATTGTTGGAAAGACATGATTGGTTTTGAAATGTGAGAAGGATGTGAGATTTGAAAGGGGCCAGGGGTGGAATAATATGGTCTGGCTCTTTGTCCCCACCCAAATCTCATCTCAGATTGTAATCCCCCATGCGTCAGGATTGGGACCTGGTGGGAGGTGATTGGATCATGGGGATGGTTTCCCTCATGCTGTTCTCGTGATAGTGAGTGAGTTCTCACGAGAACTGATGATTTTAAAAGTGTTTGGCAGTTCCCCCTTTGTACTCTCTCTCTCTCTCTTTCTCTCTCCAGCTGTCATGTAAGACATGCTGCCTTGCTTCCCCTTCACCTTCCACCATGATTCTAAGTTTCCTGAGGTCTCTCCAGCCATGCAGAACTGTGAGTCAATTAAACCCCTTTTGTTAATAAATTACCCAGTCCCAGGTAGTATCTTTATAGCAGTGTGAAATGAACTAATACAGCACAGAAACCATAGTTGCTCAGCTTTCCTTTTAAGAGAGTTTGGGAGCCAGAGGCTGTTATTGACTCTTTTCAGACAAAATTCTAAGATTTTCCTTGCAGTAGTTCCAGCTTCAATATCTTAGATAACTGCTTCATGAAGCCTGTGTCAAAACATACTCCCAATGGACTATTGAGAGAATTGTAGAATAAAATTGTAGCATTCTAGGGTTAGCACTCTAACTCTTTCTCTTTGAAGCATATTCCATCAAATATATCCTAATACAAACACATTTCAATGTAAGACAAAGGGCAATAATAAACATACCTTAAGCAATAAGTGCTTATAGTTTCCCCCTCTTTGAATGGGAAGACTGTAGTCACTACTCTGTGAGAATCCATTATATGCTGTTGTTTTGTTTTAAAAATGCTTGTTTTTTGTTTATTATTGTTTGTTTCAGTTTATTATTTTCCCACATGAGACAATAGTTAATTTAAAAATGAGCTTTTATTCATGTCTTTGAGACAGCCTCATTAAATCTTTTAGGACATTAAATTTTCCACCTTTTATTTTCCTTTTAATAATATGACAAATCTGTGGGGTTTTGCCTGAGCTAGACAATGTGGCATTTATTTATTTATTCAGAAGCATTTTCAGGGACCACTTGAAAAAGTTTGTTTCTAAAATCCTTAATAATGTTATCCTAATCCATCATGTTACTTGCTATTTGCATAGTCATTTCATTGGATAGTTTATGAAAAATGGAAGGGAAAGTATTTTCTTACAGTGCCATTTTTCACAAGACTCACTTCCTGATGAGAACATGAGAAGCAGTTTCTTCCTGAGACCCACTTTAGTTTGTCCCAACCTTCTGAAGAGACATGGGGCTGCCCTGACAGTCTGCTGATTTTGTACAGTGACCACTATCCCTGTCTGCTCTAGTCTTTTTTCACTTTGACTCTGTGAAGACCATCTTCTGGAAAGAATGGACATTTCAGTCTAGTCAGCCAAGAAAACAAGCTGCCCAAGTTTCTGTCACACTCAAAGCTTCTATGAGTCATTGAATTTGCACTTCTTTTGTCACCTCTTCCCAAGCCCCTTATGATCTTAACAGGGCATGTCCAAACTTGCCAGAGCATATTCATGAATTATCTAAAGAATTCCATTGTTATGGTCTGAATAGTGTTCCTCAGAATTCATATGTCAAAGTCCTGATCCCCAGTACCCTCAGAATGTGACTGTATTTGGAGATAAGACCTTTAAAGGGATAATTAAGGTAAAATGGGGTCATATGTGCACACCCTAGTTCAATATGACTGGTGTCTTTACAAGAAGAGAAGATTAAGACAAAGACATGCACAGAGGGAAGACCATGTGAAGACACTGGGAAAAGATGATGTGTTAGTCCATTTCCTATTGCTATGACAGAATACCACAGACTGGGAAATTTATTTAAAAGAGAGAGAGAGAGATTTATTTGGCTCACAGTTCTAGAGACTGGGAAGTCCAACAGCATGATGACAATATCTGCTTGGCATCTGGTGAAGGCCTTCTTACTGTGTCATCACACACTGGAAAGGCAGAAGGTATCACATGATGGGAGAGGGTAAGAGAGAGTGAGACAGAGAGAAAGAGAGAATCATATTCCCACAATAATGGCATTGACCTAATCACCTCTTAAAGGACCCACCTCTCAACACTGTTACAATAGCAATTAAATTTTAGCATGAGTTTTGAAAAGAATATTTAAACCATAGCAGCCAGCCATCTATGAGCCAAAAACAGAGACCTCAGAAAGAATCAACCCTGACAACACCTTAATCTTGGACCTCTAGCCTCCAGAGCTGTGAGAAAATTAACTTCTGTTGTTTAACAAAAATTCTGTTGTTTAAACCACCCAGTCTGTGGTAATTGGCTATGGCAGCTCTTGAAAATTAATACAATTATTTCTCTCTAACTCAACTTTGAACACCTATGAGAGGCTGAGGTAAACTGGCAAAAGGTAAGACTGGAGAGAAAGTCTTGTGTAAGATTATGTATGATCTTCAAGGTTCTGGAAGGAATTATAATTTTATTCTAAATGAGATGAAAGAAGGCTATGGAATTCAATAGCAAGGATAAAACCCTTTGAGAAGGCAAGATTTGAGCAGTTTAAATAGAGAAGTAATGATGTAAGTCACACAGTGGATTAAAAACTGGATAGGTTTTAGTAAGAACATGGATTCAGGGAGTAGAGGTGATTAAAGTACCTATGCCTTTTTTCTAACAATAACCCATGTAACTCTGGCTTGTATTTAATATGAAGAATTAAATACAAGTTTAGTGCCTTGATCTAATATTTTTTTCATCTTCAGTGGAAAAAGAACCAGCAGGTTCCTAATGAATTACTTAGACCTATTACCAACTACTCAAAGAAAAAAAATGTAATTTTTTCATATCTTGTGTTTAGGATAATCTGAAAGTATGTTTTCCCTGGAGACTGATATTTATGAACTTGCATCATTATACTATATGGAGATAGAAAGTTAGAAAATAAATAGCAATCAGAAGATTTTGTTTACTTTGCCATAACGCATTAGCTATCATTAGCCTTATATCCCTAGTCATTGGTATTTCACAAGTTAACATTAAAAAATACTTTTTGTGCTACCCTGTGAATTTTCTTTCTCACATAAAAATTCTGCAGTGATTATATAAAACCTTAAGTAGGTCATAATCATGTTCAGAGATTATCATTTGCTTGCCAGTGCAATCTTGGAAGATAGCACTACATTTCTTAAATAGGAACTTTTGTTTCAGCTCACCTAGCTAAGAGTAGTCATAATACAATTGGGACTTCACTTGAAAATGTACAGTAATAGCCAGAATTGAGTTGCCAAGTTTTCCTGGGATGTTGTCAGAAACATTAAATGTTTACCATTGTTTTGCTATTTGGTTGGTTGTGATTTAGACTTCTAATTAAAATTCAGTGAGAGAAGGTATGAAAAACAGCACAATTCCTGGTACTTGGTGGGCATTCAAAAAATGTATACAGAATGAGTTATTAAATGACTTAATGAATGTATCCTAGTTAGAGCAGAAAAGTAGCTGGTCATCAAAAGGAAACTGAAACTATGTTCTAGAAAGTAGTCACGAACTCAAGCCATACCTTTGCTTTACCTTTATTTCTACTTAATTTTTCTCCCTCTCTACTAATTGGCTTTCTTTGCTACTTTGTTCCCATGGATATCTCATTTCTTCTGAGTTTAAATCTGTGTAATATGCTAATGTGTTATTACTCACCCACCCCTCAGAGACTGCCTTTTGTTCTCAGTTTCAAACCCCTGGAATCATCTGATTGGTTCGCTTAAAAGTCCACCTTCGTCCAATTGGTTTTCTCAAAGAGGACAGATTTGCACATGGCAAACGTGACTCATGAACAAATTCTCTATGTGTCCCCATGAATGAAAGGCCAGTTGCTAGAGAAAGAAAATCATATATTGGGCAGATGCCTAAAAGTTGTTACCTGATGACTGTGAGAGAGAGGAGAAGCAGTAAACTTTTAGTGGAAAATGAATAAATAAAAGGACATCAGGACGAGATGCAAAGGAAAGATGAGAAGATGATGACTTTGAATCAGAATGGCAGAGAGATTTGAAGTCAACAATCACAGAAGAATCATCCATAATTTAGTGGGTAATCTCTCTACTCTTGGTCTCAAGTGGACATTGAGTAAGTATTACCAGATACATATATGTTTCAGATGTGTAGATTTATAGTATATACTTGCATCAGGATTAGGCAGTATGAGATTCAACCTATGAATATTTTCCCACTTCTGTTACTTCTTCTACATTTATAAATCAAGAGTAACACAAAAATTCATTTCATAATACATTATTTTGATATTCTTTCATCATTTGAATGAAAAGCAGCTTATATTTAAAAGGGAGAGAAGAAAAAAAACCAACTAACCTTGAGTTTCTGCTGAAGTAGCTGAGGATCCAAGATGCTCTAGGCTGCAAGCTGAAGTTTGAAGAAAATTCAGCCTGCTGACTTTTATCCTCTCTTTTGGACAAGATGACTGTGGGCAATTTGGGCCTCTGGCTATGAAACATGAACCTGTCTATCCGCGTTATTAATGGATACTTGATGGGATGAGCTAACAATGACTTTGGTTTCTTTGAAAAAAGGAAATTTCTTGAGATAGGAAAAGCCAAATAAACAGAAATACGGTGACAACAACTAACATTTATAGACTGCTTATGATGTGCTAAGCATTGTATTAAGTACTTTAAATGGTTTATTTAATTTAATACTTACAGTCAATCTATGACATGCATACTATCATTACCCCTATTTTATAGATGAGAAAATCAAGGTTTCAAGAAGTTAAGTAACTACTCAAGCTCACATTAGCTAGAAATAGAGTAGAACTGAAATTTTGCTCTATATACTTTAGAACCATCATTTTCCTATAGACCTTAACATATTATATTTTGCTGCATCCTTCATGTGGAGAATGAAATTCCAGGCCAATCAACAAGTCATGAAAGTAAGCCCTCCTCTCTCCGGGTTAAAATATAATTGGACTTGGCCAGGCGCGGTGGCTCACGCCTGTAATCCCAGCACTTTGGGAGGCAGAGGTGGGCGGATCATGAGGTCAGGAGATCGAGACTATCCTGGCTAACACAGTGAAACCCCGCCTCTACTAAAAATACAAAAAATTAGCTGGGCGTGGTGGCGGGCGCCTGTAGTCCCAGCTACTCGGGAGGCTGAAGCAGGAGAATGGCATGAACCCGGGAGGCGGAGCTTGCAGTGAGCCGAGATCGCGCCACTGCACTCCAGCCTGGGCAACAGAGCGAGACTCCGTCTCAAAAAAAAAAAAAAAAAAAAAAAAAAAAAAAAAAATATATATATATATATATATATATATATAATTGGACTCGTCTACAGCCATACCACCCTGAAAGCACCCGATCTCGCCTGAAATATAACTGAATTCATTAAACATGAGATGAAAATATCTGGGCAATTGAGACAGGTGAAAAGATTTTATATGTATTTATACCTTAGTTAATTTAATGCACAAACTTCTAAATATTACTTGTACGTCAGCTGTTTCAAATTGTTCTGAGCCCAAAAGATGGAATTTCTTATTCATAGATAGGAAAAGAAGGAATGGGGATAAGTGGATAGAAGGGTTACGCCAAGGCTATAATTAAATTTTTGCAGGAAACACCAAGGAGCTACTCCATAAGAGGGAAACAGTGTTCTACCTTTCAAATTACTTTCTTTTGAAGTACATTGTAAGCCCAGAAGGAAGTTTAGTTATAACCCTATGATATGGTTTGGCTGTGTCCCCACCCAAATCTCATCTTGAATTGTAGCACCCATAATTTCCACAGGTCATTAGAGGGACTGGATGAAAGGTAGTTGAATTATGGGGCTGGTTACCTCCATGCTGTTCTCATTATAGTGAGTGAGTTCTCACAAGATCTGATGGTTTTACAAGGGGCTTCCCCCTTTGCTCGGCTCTTCTCCTTCCTGCCACCATGTGAACAAGGAAACATTTGCTTCTGCCTTCAACATGATTGTAAGTTTCCTGATGCCTCCACAGCCATGTGGAACGGTGAGTCAATTAAACCTCTTTTTTTTAAACAAATTAACCAGTCTCAGGTATACCTTTATTAGCCGTGTGAGATCAAACCAATACACCCCCAAATATTCATAGCAAAATCCAACTCCAGGCATGACCCCCATCCATGGTGAAATCATATTACCACTTTTCTTTTGCTTAATTTTGGATAGAAATGGGCACATTTGTCCTTAGTATATCACATAAAAGTGGATATGGATACATAAAAATACGGATATATCGAAAAGATTCTAAACAAGAAAGGAATTTGTGCATATTATTTTTTCCTAAGTGAGATAGGCAGATATCCTGGGGTGAAATCTCGGTGACCTTAATTTTCATATCTTGCTTAAAACAACAGTTATAATTTATTATTTTCATCTATTACTATGAGAAGAAAATATTAACACATTTGTGTTTCAGGAATTTCAGGCTTATTTGTTTATTTTCCCAATGATATTCATAGCACTTTCCCACTACCAACTTCTAGATTTGCTCCTAGAATATGGATGGAAATAAAGGGAAGTCAGAAACCTTCTTTCAGGAACCCAGGAACCCACTGAATACAGGGCAAGAAAAACAGGCTTAAAGAATTTGTCATGAGAAAGAGAAAATGGTTTTCTTACTTCATACAACATTAGCAGTTAAATCTAAAATCCTGAACTACAAATTATTTCAACTTTACCACAGAAATCTTCATCAAGAACACTCTATTTTAAATCTACAAGAAAACAACAACAACAACAACAACAAAACATTAACAAGTGGACAAAGGGCATGAACAGATACTTTTCAAAAGAAGACATTTAGGCAGCCAACAAACATATGAACAAAAGCTCAACATTACTGATCATTAGAGAAATACAAATCAAAACCACAACGAGATAGCATTTCACATCAGTCAAAATGGCAATTATTAAAAAGTCCAGAAATGACAGATGCTGGCGAGGTTGCAGAGAAAAAGAAACACTTTTACACTGTTGGTAGGAGTGTAAATTAGTTCAACCATTGTGAAAGACAGTGTGGGGATTCCTCAAAGATCTAGAGGCAGAATACCATTTGGCCCAACAACCCCATTACTTGGTATATACCCAAAGAAATGTAAATCATTCTGTTATAAAGATACATGCATGCATATGTTTATTGCAACTCTTCACAATAGCAAAGACACGGAATCAACACAAATGCCCATTAATGATAGACTAGATAAAGAAAATATGATACATATACACGGTGAAATACTATGCACCCATAAAAAGGAATGAGATTATGTCCCTTGTAGGGACATGGATAGAGCTGGAAGCTGTTACCCTCAGCAAACTAACAAAGGAACAGAAAATCAAACACTGCATGTTTTTACTTATAAATGGGAGTTGAACTATGAGAACACATGGACATATGGTGAGAAATAACACACATTGGGGCCTGTCCAAGGAAAAGGGTGGGAGGAGGGAGAACATCAGTAAGAATAGCTAATGGATGCTTGGCTTGATACCAAGATGAGATGGGTTGATCTGTGCAGCAAACCACCATGGTACACATTTACCTACGTAACAAACCTGCATGTCCTGAACATGTACCCCTGAACTTAAAATAAAGGTTGAAGGATAAAAAGACCATAAACCAGTCCTTGGAGCATAAAGAAAAAAAAAGGAATATTCTGTTGTGTCTTAAAATTCAATAAACAGCACACATCATAACCTTGTTCAAATGCATATTTTTTTCTTGGTTAATGTATAGGTTCAGAATTGGAAAACATAATTAAATTGTACCATATCAAGTACTTTCAAGTATTTTCAAATCCAAATTTGAAGAGAATTTGAATCAATCTATTAGTTTTTTAGCCCTGATTCTTTGCATTATTTTTAGTGATTGCTTTTGAATGACAACATACATCTTTATCTTCTCACAGTCTTCTTAGAATTAATATTAAGCCACTTCACATAAAATAAATTTTCCATTATATAAGTCCCCTCACCTTTATCTTCTGTCCTTTATGCTGTAATTGTCATATGCATTCCTTACATTTTCATACAGCAAAAATCTTATATACAATATTATAACTTTTCCTTTAAGCAGTCATATATATATATATACACATATATATATACATATATATATGAAATTAAGAATAAAATGTAATTTTGTGTTTATCCAGTTTTCTGTACTGTTCTTTATTCCTTCCTCAGGATCATAGAGTTTCCATCACTATCATTTCCCCTAATACTGAATGATTTCTTTTAGCATTTTTTGTAGCACAGGTCTGCTGGTAATTAATTCTCATTTTTTTAATCAGAAAATGTTGTTATTTTGCTCTATTTCTTGAAGGATATTTAGATTTTATTCTGGGTCTAGAATTCTAGGTTGAAGTTTTGGTCTTTCAGTAAGTTCTTGCACTGTCTTCTGGGCTTCATTGTTTTTGCAGATAGGATTTTGATTGCTGTTTTACTGTTTGTGTTATTTTTCCTTAGTTGCTTTTAAGATTTTCTTTTCAATTTTGATTTCTAGCAGATTGACTATGATGAGCATAGGTGTGGTTTTCTTTCCATATGTCCTTTTTGAATGCACTGAACTTGTTATTTTAGTTTATTTATTTCATATAAAATGGGTAGCTTCTCTCCTCAAACGAGGCAAATTCACTAAGAAAATTGAGGTGTCTGGAGATATCTTAATCAAAGAAAAGGTAACTTTATGACAGAATAGAATAAAAGATTATTCCAAAAACATTGATGACACATCAGATAATAGAAGTGATGTATTTGGGGAAAGGAAACCAAAAAAAATATTTTACCGGAACTCAAACCAGGTTTGAATTACTCCATTTTTCTATACTGTTGATCACCCATGCTATATTGTGGAAGAATATTAAAACTAAAGACACAAAACAGCACTGAACATGGAAGAGAGGGGGAAGCCAGTGCAGAATTTTTGCAACAAACAAGAAAAAATTCAGCAAAAAGGGTTATTTTAGAAAATGATACTGTTTGTGTTGCCTAATAACATAAGCTAATTTTAAAAAGGGTTCTGACATCTAAAATTAAAATGGCAGGCCCTTTATACAGAATTGGGCAAGTATCTTGAATATTATCAAACATATTTAAAGAAGCATTCTTTATTTGGGGTGCCATCTTTATTGCCCCCAGCATAATTAGCTATGGTGGAAAATAAGGTAAAGCATTTTAACAATCTACGAGAGTTTCATGAACGCAACTTCTTTAGTAATACCTATTAGTTTATCAATAGAAAAGCACTTTCTGATCACCTGTTTACACACAATTCCTGCTGCTGAGTCATTTACACATTAAAGAGTGCATTGATGTAGGTTGACAGAAACAACCAACTGATCAACCTGAACAAGTGTTTGCATTCAATAATAATTTATATTATGCATAAGCAAAGGTAGGTGCACTCATGATGGGGTGGCAGATAGAAAGACTAGCAATTTCTTGTTTAGACAGAAAGACCTGACAAGGAAGAGCTCATTAGGGTCTCTGGAGAGTGGCTGACAACTGAGGAGCTGTCGGCTCTGTCAAAAGACCTTTGAAAATAGTTCTTGTTTTTGAATCAGTATCTTCTGAATCACCAGCAGGGTGCCAGAATCACATTGTTTGCCTCCTTGCCTAGTTCCTTACCCTTCAGTGCTATTAGAATTTGCCCAAAGCCTTAGCTGCCTTCAAAACTTTTTTGCTTTAGTCTGCATGCTCACAAACAAACTGGAGTCTATTTTCTCAGATATCCCTTTATTTTTCCTTGCTTCTATTTCAGCTAATTACTGTCAGACTTTGCTTTGATATATGCAGCTACTGAGAATATGTGATTGTGTGTGTAAGACACACACACACACACACACACACACACACACAGGGACTAACCTTGACTTTGTGTCTATGAACAAAAGGAAGATGGTAGGAATAGAGAACTGGACTTGGAAAAGGACTGATTCAAATAACTGCTATTGAAAAACAAAAACAAAACTCAATCCAAACCAAAAGTCCCTGCATACAGGTCCGGTCTAGGTAACACACTTTGATGAACTGCCTCTCGGACTTTTTCTGCTTAGGCATAGCAGATTCTAATTTTCCATCCTGGAATAAGGATGTAATTCAAGATAAAAACGTGCTAGCCCTCAGCACCACCATTCCCAGATCTTCCTGTGCACTCCTCTCCCTGCCCCCAACACACACACCGGTATCATCCTCACAGCAGTATTTCCCTCAACTCCACCCTCTGTTTCCAGCATTGTTTATACCAGCACTTATCAGAGGTAGGAAGGAACATGTTCATAAATATATGTTTATGTACCTTTTTATGTGTGGGGAAAATCCATTAATAACAGCTAGCATAAACGGCATAAGAATGATTATCCCCACTTTACAGTAAGGCAGGCTGAGAAATGTTTATCACTGGTTCAAGGGTGTATGGTCAATAACGGACAGTCTAGATTCCTCCTACTCAGATCTGACTCCCAAGCCTTTGTTTCATCTTAACCAACATGCTAGCCTGTCACCCCTGAAGCCAGCCTCTCTATCTTTGGTTGGTGTTTGCAGCCTCTCTGGAAATTACAAGATGTATGGAACCTTAACTCCCAAGGCTCAGAGTAGTTCAATAATCCCTCTTGGTAACTCTACCACTGCTGCATTAATTCCTTTAATGAAATCACAAAACCTCTGGTGTGTGTAGTTACCCTGATTTTCTTCAAGATCTGACTGCTTCGGAAGTGTGATGGTGGTTGGGTCACTGATTAACCTGAAACAGGTATTATCATCATCTCCATTTTATAGTGAGGAAATTGAGACTTACTGGAGTTGAGTACAGTCAAGATCAAACTCAAGGTCTATTTGTCAACAAATCTCCTTGAGAATGGGAAACTTATCTTTGTATTATCTAGAGTTCTAGTCACACCCAATACACTTTTTCACTTGAATTGCCCTAAATAACTCCTTTCAGTATAACCTCTTTCCTGTGCCAGCTCTCTCACACTGAGCAGGACCTTCTAGTGTGCTCCAACATTCTGATCTCAACATGATCTCAAAATCCCCTTTATTTTCTTCTGTAACAAGTCATAATCCCTAAAAGAAGAAAGAAACATATTATAAAGATTTGGATTTGTTTTTTATTTTTTAATAGAATAACCACTTTCCCAGGGATGTGGGTAGGGTTAAGAGCATCACGCTAGAAAGAGAAGACTCAAGTGCCCAGGAATTAGCAACAATTGGGAATCTATAATAGCCTGCTGGACCTAAAGAGGCAAGAAAAGGATGGTATTAACGGAACCATTAACGGAGAGCTGGAGCCTTGGTAGCAGGGCTGTCTGACAGGAACAGTGGTTGAAGGAAAATGGAGTCACTCTCAAGGGTGGTGAAGCAGGAAGAGAAGAGAGGGAATAAATACTGTAATCTCTCTCTTCCCATTCTTCAGTCAACTGCTGGGCCTTCCATTAGCTGAATCCAACTAGGAGCCCAAGTACAAGGGAACTAGGGTGATTTAGGGTGCAAAGCAAGACAGAAAGCAAGGCAGAAAGAAAATGTATCTAGAGGGAAAAACAGAGAGCCACCATCTACCTCCCATCAATGCAACTCCTTAATACATATCAAAGAGAAATGAGTGTGTATAACTACCAAACCACATGCACAAGAATGTTAATAACAGCTTTATTTAAAATAGTCTAAAATGGAAATAACCCACATGTACCTCAACAGTAGAATGAATACATTGTGGTATATTCATAGAATAGAAGAGCACAGAGCAGTGAAACAGAATAAGCTACTCATAAGTGCAACAAGATGAATGAATCTCACTGATACTACATGATGTTTAAAAGCCAAACACAAGACTACTACTGAATGATTGCATTTATAAAAAGTTCTAAAATAGGTAAAAACCAACTTGTGGTGATAGAAGTCAGAATAGTGTTTACCTCTTGGTGTATGTGGGAAGGGAGATAGTGCTGTGTATTGACTGGGAAGGGGCAGGAAAAAGCTTGTGGGTGGTGGTCACTTGGGTTTAGAAATATGTAAAAATTCATTGAATAAACAGTTAACACAGGTTTACTTCAGGCAAGTTGTATCTCACTTCTAGCAACAATAACAATGACCATTACTGTTATTCTTACCCTGCATGGAGCAAAGTCATCCAGAATTGAGTTGTCTGCTGGGTGATAATAGCAAGTAATAAACTTAATCAAAATAAACTCTTCGGGTTTGTAAACTGTGTATTTCTCATCGATGACAAAAATGAAAACATGACTAAGATGCAAATGACGAAGGCAAAAACAATTTCCTCTTCAGAAAACAATTGAACAAGGAATTCAAAGAAGCCCTTTTGGAAACACAAGAAGACTGTCAGTAGCATTAATATTTTGGGGAGGGCAGGACTTTGAGGCCCTCAAGATCATGCCACGCTGGCTGGTGCCTGTGTTAAGTCTGGTTCACATCACTGTCCTAAAATGTTGCTATGTCACATGGGGTTAAAGCCTTAAAGAACTATGACAGATAATCCATTTTTATGAAAAGTGGCCAGAAATATTGCGTGACTGATTTTCAAACATAATTTATTTTTTCTTGGTAAATTGAGTAGAACATAGAATTGAGTGAAATCACACAAACCCACCTGGCTTGCTGTTTTCTCATTTACTACTAAGTCGGTTTTCAATGCACTAGTTATTAATATTTGTAAATAGGAGCTCCAATTACATGGCATTTTAATATCCTGACCCATAGATAAGAATTTAACAGATCTCTTTGCTATGATGCTATCTCAGTGGGCCTGATCCTATGGTGAAGAAGCCCTACCCTGGGAATAAATTGTTCCCCATAAAAGTGGAATTAACGTTTCTAAGCACCATGGCTCCATTGTGTAAATTGTTTCTCCATGGTATTCCACTGGGCTGCCAAAGATCAGCGTATAGAATTGAAACACAATAGAAAGGATGACTGGATTTCAGGATAACTAGATCTGGAATGAAGATCCAGGACAACTAGATTCAGAAGCAAAAATTCCAAAGATGGCCTCAAGACCAAAAGGGAATTTAGGGCTACTATTTGTGTGGAATGTGCATACTTCATGTCTCCAGGGCCACAGTAGCTTATAGATTCATCATATACAGTACTTCTCTGGTATTTCCACCATATATGAAAACTCCAGCCCAAATTTCTGTCAAATTCACATGGGAGTCCCCAAAAGTCATCTCGTATGTATTCTGTGAACAAACCCGCAAGGTTACTACATGTTGTTCACCACTTTCCTCCTTTCCCACCCAGCTCAAGCTGGGTGTGTCTCTTGTTAGGCCAGCATTGCTCTCCAGAGCTCTACATCTGTGTTGAGGCCCTATCTTCAACCAGTGGCTGGATTGTCACCAAATATTTTTGCTGATGCCTTAGTGCTGTCTCAATGTCAGAGAGATTTCAGTGAAACTGCTGTCAGTTTAGGGATTTTTTAGCTTCTCATAAAATATATGATCCATTAAAAAGAGTAATAATACCTTTAATAAATAAAATAAACAACTTGTACCTACCATTCAGCTTAGAAAATAAATCATCACCATAGCTTTGTAGATTCCTCTACATCCCTGAACTCCTTCCTCTGTTCCCAGCGTTTATAACTAAACCTCATCTAGGACATACTATTTGAGGTTTTGTTGATTTTTGGAATTAAGCAAGATCTTTATTTTTTTTCCAAAAAAAGGTCATTTGGGGCAAAACTGGAGAGGAGTTTAGACTGGAGCAACAGGAAGGTGGGTGGGGCAGCTTTTCCCAAGCAGGGATCCCAATAGTGCCACTACAATTCCCAATAGCCTAGGGCCAGCGCACAGGCAGAGAAGCCAAGTCTGGTACTCTGGTGCTGAGCCTAAAACCTTAAAGTAGACATAAATGCTCCCAAGTCAGTGGTATCTCCTGGCTACTTATAAAAGCAGAGGCAGAAGTAGAAGCAAACCATCTCTGGAGAAAAGATATTTTAATTTAGGTACATGGAGATTATATGTATTAAAATCAGGCAGTAAATTCAGATGCAAAGAACAGCAAGTACAGTCAAAGAATACACAAGCAACCATGGGTGAACATCAACAAAAATGATAAATAATAGCTAGAGATAGTGCACCTTTGAAGGACTGTAGATACTGAAATTATTAGGTACAGGATATAAAACAGATATATATGAAATATTTGAAGAAATTAAGGACATAAAAAAAGTAATTAAGCACAGGGATTTTCAATTTTCTGAAAGAGCCTAAACCCGGAGTTTTTAATCCTTTTTTTGAGTGGGAATTTTTTAACTACTTTTTTAATTCCATTAATCCTTTAGAACACTCAATTTCTATATATTTATAGAATTATACATACATAGAAATAGAAATATATAAAAATATACATCTATATTAAAATATATCATATAAATACATGGAGACATATCATATATTGAATATATATTTATATTTTTATTAATATATAGAAATTGAATGTTCTAAAGGATTAATTAAATAATCCCTAAGATTACAGCTATAATAATTGTATTGCTCTCCAATATGCCTGTGTTATCTGTTTCCAAATGTGTTAACATAAAGTTGTTCATATTTTCATTAAATTTAACCTTGCAGCATTTTTAGTTACCTTTTTTTTTCAGTCATAACATTGTGGCTTTTTTCCTCCTTTTTTTTAACTCAAGCTTGTAAGAATTTTATTTTGTTTTCCCACTGAATTAAAATTTTGTTTTGTTGGTCCTCTCTATCAAATGTTTATGTCTTATTTTATTTCTGCCCTTCCCTTTGTTATTTTCATCCTATACTTGCTTTTGGCTAATTCTGTTGCCACCTTTGAAACTGTGCGATGAATGATTCACCCGGTATTAGGTTCCACATCTACTTTCCTAGCCTCTACTTTGTGATGATGGTTCTGAAGACAACATGTCTCCTTTGTCAGAAGGCTTACTATTAATTTCCATCAATAGGAAGAACTAGGGGAAGAGTAAATGGCAGGAGAAGGGGAGAAGGAACTTGTTCATTTCTGCTTGTTTATTTTTTCCCATCAGATCACCCCACTTTGGCCTTTTACCCTGGCAGCAGCTGTTAATTACAGCTTTCAGATCATCGGGCCATTCCCACTAACAGAGTCATTGTGCCCCTTCACGACCACCAGCTGCAGAGCCCACTCATTATGTGTCTGCATCTCAACATCACAGGACCTCTTCCCAACTTCTGAGGTACCAGCACTAGCTGGTAGCTCCTCACTTCAGAGGTTAGGCCCCCATTGTGTGAGACCCTCCCTCCAAGCTCCTGAGATTTCAGTAGCAGCCTCCTTGGAGGTAGGTAACACCCTCCTTGGAATTCTGAGTCCTAAATCTTTGGGCCCCTCTATGAACCTTGTAAGTTTTGATCAGCTTCCCAATGAGCTTCCTGATCTCAGCTTCCTTTCATTCCTCCAGCCTGAGGGGAGGTAGCAGCTTTTTGTAATGATCTCTTCTAATGTTCTCATTTTCCTTTTCAGTTCCCCATCATCTGATTAACAAATTCCCTATATGAAATTATCTCTGTTGAAATACCTCGTGGGGTTTGTTCCCCTGAATGGACCCCAAGTGATACAGGTTGAACATCTGTTATCCAAAATGCTTGGGATACTCAGCCTGTTTTACTGTTAGATTTTGGAAGTGCTTAGGATTTTGGATTTTTTGGGCGCAGGGAGGTTGGAATATTTGCATACATATATTGAGATATTATGGGGATAGGATCCAAGACTAAACCAAAAATCACTAATGTTTTATATATACCTTACATATTAATATATAGCCAAAGGTAATTTTATACAATATTTTAAATAATGTTGGGCATGAAGCAAAATTTTGATTGCATTTTGACCGTGACCTATCACATGAGGTCAGATGTGGAGCTTTCTACTTGTGGAGCCATTTTGACACTCAAAGCTTCAGAACTCAATCAGTTTTTTAGCAGTTTGGATTTTGGATTTTCAGATTAGGTCAGCTCAACCTGTGTAAATGCTAAAGTTTATTTCTTTCCATTCTTTTTTCTATTATAAACATCTAAGGATTATGTTAGAGTCTTTGTTCTTGCTCCTTTTTTGTCACACCTGTATAGCAGAGGAGAATCTGGGACTGTGTCTCTCAGAATAATCTTCGCCATATGTCCTATGTTTGGATTTGGATTAGAGCTTCTCTCTTTCTTTAAGAAGTAAGGCTATGACTAGAAGAGTGGACATGGGCCTGATAGAGAATTCACAGCTTCTTTTGGGAGAGCTCCTTTTATTCAGCACTTCAGGTAGCCAAATTATTCGATGGGAGCTTCCTGGATGTTTTTGAGATTTTTATAGACTCCTGTGAAAGCCCCTGAGAATAAACTAAAATTTCTTTTTATTTGGTTTTTTAAAATTGTCTTTTGGTACATTTGCTTAACTAATTCTTAAGCCACACTTAACCAGTTCTTTGGGGTCACCTCATGTTTCCCACTGAAGTTTAATTACAGTAAGATAAACTGATTGACATATGTTTTGCTTTTTCTTTGTTAGATGACTCAAAACTGAGGCTAATTATCAGAATAACCACAGGAGATTTTAAATACACAGATGTCTGAGCCTCATTCCTGAAGCTGGGTTCAGGTAAATACATATATTTAAAGTTCTTCAGATGAATTTGAATGATCAATCTTGTTTTGGAACCTCTGCTCTGGCTTCTACCCTTTAATCCATCTGTTATCTTGTGATCTTAAGATCCAGCCTATGTTTTTCTCCCTTACTTGTTTTTCTCCTTCTTGGGCCCCAGAATCAAAATACACTTCACAAAGTCATTTGTAAGCTAGTGCTTCAGAAAGCAGGATTTAAAAACTCCTCCTGCCAGACATCATTCCCGAAAACAAGGATCACTTATTTTGAATATGATGTCCCTAACCATGTTTATTTCAGAATGACTGATAATGGTAGGCTCTGTGAGAACATGATGGACTATGTATTTCGATTTTATAAATGCAGAGTAAGTCAAGAATGCCAAATGGCAATGCCATAATCCTTCTGTTCTCTGCCAACCTATTACCTTATGGACTCAAATATGTCGCTCTTGAAGCAGATGGCTCTCACCGCTCTCCAGGTTATTACATAAGGAGATGAGGTGCAGTGGACTGAGTTTGCCTGATTTCCAGGAAGACTAGCACAATGCATGTAATAAGCTCCTGGGTGTAGGAAGACAACTGAATTCAGAACCAGGCATGTCTGGATTTAAATCTTAGCTCTGCCTCTTTCTGATGATGAGAACTTCAGCAATATGTGATGTTCACTTCATATATGTGGAACAGTGCAATATTTGTCCTTTGGTATCTGGCTTCTTTCACTTAGCATAATGTCTTGAAGGTTTATATATATTAGCAAGTGTTAGCATTTTCTTTTTAATTGAATAATATTCCACTATATATATAAATCACATTCCGTCTTCACATTCATCTGGCAATGGACCTTTAGGTATTCATCACAACTCTTAACTTTATTTTACTGTACTTTTTTAGGTTATCTGTCTGTCAATTTACTCTCATATTTGCACATCAATATCACCTTCTTTAATCTTAAATATACATGAATATCTAACAACAGAAGCAATCATTTTTGGCCAACTATAGGGCCATACATCGAAAAAGAGATAATTTTTACTTCCTTTCCTTGTTTAAAATTTTGGAGACTCAAATTCAGGAATTTCTTGCATCCTGAAAGCTTTTGACACTGAGTATAGTATACTTAAAGCCAGTATTTCTCACATGTCTATGTCAGAAGCCCTTGGTCTCTCAGCATCCCATAGAAAGGCATATGTAGACAAAGTCTGGCTGTATGGACTGAGGGCTTTTCTTCAAGAGAAGAGCCTGTTCCTTTCCATTCTCTTTTCTTTCACACCTCCTATGAGAGGAGCCTTCCAAATGGGTTAGAAAGGATGTCATCTGAGCTTGGGCACCATCTTGATTCTTAACGTTAAATGAGTTGCTCAAGGAAACTCAATTTGGCCTTCATTCTCTTGTCTGTAAAAATAGAGATGATAATATCATGTTTGTATGTTTATTGTAAATTTGAGTATTATGTATATAAAGCAACTGGCAAAGAGAAGGTACACAGTGAGAGACTTACTTTTTTGAGATTTTTTATTTTAAAAAATTCCTCCTAAGTTTATTTCTGAATGTCATTTTCTCTGAATTAAGGAGGCCACCTGATATGATTTAATGTAAGCACAGGTTAGAAATCCTTTTTCAGGAACCCATAAAAGTGATTATTATAACACGAAGCATACACAGACTGAAATCCCAGTCTGTAAAGGGATAATGCTTATCTGATTTTGCTTTCTCAAGGCACTGGGATCTTGATTGGCAGCCCAGCTGAGTTCAACCCATTTAGGTATCTAAAAATATAAATATATGAATATGTGCATGTTGTGGAGTTGGAGCGAGCCATAGGACTTTAAAAGAAGGCAAAATAATTTGATAAAAATTACTGAACCCACTCACTGAAATGCGAACTATATGAGAATATTTAAACAACAATTTTAAGTATACTTACATAAAACAAATGACAAATAATAATAGGGAATTGAGAGTCATTTCCATTTTCACTCCTGAACAGGAATTAGTAAAATGACAACAATAGCCAAGGGAATAATTCAAGTACAATATGCCATCTTTTACATCCTGCTGAGTATTTTGTATGTCCCGCATCCCTGTCCCAGCCAGGCAGGTGGTGTTTTCTTGAATTAGAACCCTTACATTGTTTCAGTTTTTGAACTGTTCACGTTTGCCTAAGCAGTTTTCAGCAGATTGTTATCAAACACTTATTGAGTCATGCCTCAAGGCTTATACTCCCTCAATGGTAGCCACAAATCAACTTCAGGCTGCTAAAGCTTGTCAGCACCCTGTCCCCACTACACCCAGTTTGCTTACTTTCTGCATTCAGACTTCTCTGACATGGGATGCCTATGAAAACCTGATTGGTACCAATGCATGCATAAATCTGGAAGACTGCCATCCTGTGAGGCAACCCTTGGTCAATGCAGAGCTGGAGACAGTGGATAAATACCTTCTCTTCTTCCTTTCATACTGACAATTCAGAGGCACAGCCTATATGGCTCTTCCAAGAGTTACAGTGGGACCAAACCCCAGTTGCCCACAGCTATGACTGGATAGATAATGCATTCTTATTTTAGCAGCCCCTCCTCCCCAATTTCACCCTCCCTAGTCTCCAACTTGTGGCCCTGAGATCACATCCCCAAGCAAACTACCTGGATAAAAGATGTGTTTCAGACCCTGCTGTCTGCCAGTAAGCCAGGCTAAGATAGTATCAGTAAGGCCAACCAATCAGCTAAGCAAAACTGCTGAGTGCCTGAGCTCACCTACAAGGGTGACATGACTTTGCAACAGCTGTGTACTGTGTCTCTCTAAGCGTTCTGTGTTCCTCCCTGTACTTCTGTTTCTCTGCAATGGCAGAGAAACTGATATATCGCTTGGTCTGGTGGGCCAGGACTGATGTTCCACCTCTACTGGGGTCAGATCACAAAACAGATTCTCCTTGGGCCAAATCACGGAAGTCATGACCCTCCCTGTGAAATACTCTTAAACCTCCACCTCCACTCTAGAGTAATTAGCTGTGGAGACTTTCTGTTTAACCACTTACCCATTAAGTCATATTGCTTAAACAAGTTCCCCCAAAATTCAAGGTCCTCAAATCTGTTTCCTATAACACCCTTTTTCACCACCCCCGTAAAACAAGAATACATCCTCCTTTAAATGTTACTTAGTGTGGCTTTTATTTTAGCTGAACAATGTCACCGAAGATGTAGAAATAGAAAATTATGGTATCACGTGGCATATTCTTGGCAAAATTCTCCTTGACCTCTTTTCACTTTCCTACTAGAGGATTTTCCAAGACCTGGTCTCCCCACCATGTGCTCTGAGCCAGAGATTGTTGTCTTGGTGGTGTTCATATTTCCCTGTTACTATAGGTGCTGTGTTTTCCCCTTGTGTATCCATTTCGGGTGGGTGGGGAGCATCAATCTGCAAACAAGTAGAGCCATCCATATTCTGCATATTTCGATCTGGCCTTGAAGAGATGACTACAGATGGGGCTTCTTTCACTCTAACCTCTATTATAGCCCAAATGCCTTCTGTTCTCTAGTGAGGCCAGCTTTGCTTTCTCTTTTTAATCAGCCATGTGTTTTTGCTAGGTTTTGTTTTGTTTTCACCACAGGCAGTTTCCCCCATCCTTCCAAAAGCCTGAAGGATTTTTCCCCTGACAGTTTTGTTTATCTTACTTCATCTCCCAATACAATCTCCCTTGTTGAATTTCCCTTTTTTTTTTTTTTTTTTTTTTTTTTTAGCACACAGAAGCACAGAAACTTTGGAGTTAGACTGGCTTGGAGTCTAATCCAAGTTCTATCATCTACTATCTGTGCGACTTTGAGTAGCTATGTCTGCTTCTGATCCAAAAATCATGTATTTCACATAACCACAGAATTTTTGCAAACAATAAAGAATATACAAGACAAGCACTTGGCAAATGACTATTTCTTCATCTCTCTTTGCTAGTAGCTATAGTTTTACTGAACACATAGGTGTGTCTTACTCTGTTGTTCATTACAGGCATATGAAATTTTCCCAGCCAACACTGGTTCTTTTCTCCAAGGTTCCATGCTCACTCTGTTCAAGACTATTCCTTAGTCAGTTTTCAGTGAATGCCCTTGGCCTTTTAAAAAATGTCTTGCATGTTATTGCACGAGTTATCTATTGCTGAGTAACAACAAACATTTATTATCTCATACAATTTCTGGGAGCCAGGCAGGAAGGAGCATCTTAGCTCAGCTCAGGGTCTCTCACAAGGTTGCAGTCAAGCAGTTGGCTAGAGCTGCAGTCTTCTCAAGGCTCTATGGGGGCTGAAGAACACAAAACATAGGATCTGCCATAGACCCTATCTCAGCAATCAAGCAAACTGTCTGATTCCAGATTGTAGATCTCATGATGCTTATTGATTTATTTACTGGAGGCTTAGCCTGGCACTTTCCGCCTAGGCAAGATATCCCTAAGTTAGGATCAAAGCCATCTTCTAAATTGGGAACTTAACGGTTTGAAGGTCACAAAACACAATAGGATTTTTACCCTGTGAAAATTTGCCCTGTCTCCACATGGAAATGACCAGGCAAATGCAGTCAAGCCAGTATTTTTCTTATGGAGCCACTTTGTATGCATTCCAGGGGCTGAAATATGCCTAGTGGATCCAGAGTGCCGCACTATCTAATTGAGCAAAGATTGTCTGGGATTGCAACATTATTTTGAGTAGATTTTGACCGTTCCCATATCAACTATGGGCAAACGGCATTAACTATGATACTGGCTGCTTTCTGTTTGTTCCTCCAAACCCATGCTTCAGTGTTTGGCGCTCTAGAAAATGAGCTGCATGGAAGTAATCAGCAGGCTCCCTTTGTGTCCGGAATTGGTGGGTTCTTGGTCTCACTGACTTCAAGAATGAAGCCGCGGACCCTCGCGGTGAGTGTTACAGTTCTTAAAGGCGGCATGTCCGGAGTTTGTTCCTTCTGATGTTCCGATGTGTTCGGAGTCTCTTCCTTCTGGTGGGGTTCGTGGTCTCGCTGGCTCAGGAGTGAAGCCAGGGACCTTCGCGGTGAGTGTTACAGCTCTTAAGGCGGCGAGTCTGGAGTTGTTCCTCCCGATGTGTTTCGTGGTCTCTCTGGCTTCAGGAGTGAAGCTTCAGACCTTCGCGGTGAGTGTTACAGCTCATAAAGGTAGTGTGGACCCAAAGAGTGAGCAGTAGCAAGATTTATTGCAAAGAGCGAAAGAACAAAGCTTCTACAGTGTGGAAGGGGACCCGAGCAGGTTGCCACTGCGGGCTTGGGCAGCCTGCTTTTATTCTCTTATCTGGCCCTACCCACATCCTGCTGATTGATCCATTTTACAGAGAGCCCAGTGGTCTGTTTTGACAGGGTGCTGATTGGTGCATTTATAATCCCTGAGCTAGATACAAAGGTTCTCCACATCCCCACCAGATTAGTAGATATAGAGTGTGGACACAAAGGTTCTCCAAGTCCCCACCAGAGTAGCTACAGAGTGTCCATTGGTGCATTCACAAACCCTGAGCTAGACACAGGGTGCTGACTGGTGTGTATACAAACCTGGAGCTAGATACAGAGTGCCGATTGGAGTATCTACAATCCCTTAGCTAGACATAAAGGTTCTCCAAGTCCCCAACCAGACTCAGGAGCCCAGCTGGCTTCACCCAGTGGATCCCACACCGGGGTTGCAGGTGGAGCTGCCTGCCAGTCCTCTGCCCTGCTCCCGCACTCCTCAGCCCTTTGGTGGTCGACGGGACTGGGCGCCGTGGAGCAGGGGGCCGCACTCGTTGGGGAGGCTCGGGCCGCACAGGAGCCCACGGACGGTGGGGAGGCCCAGGCATGGATGGCTGCAGGTCCCGAGCCCTGCCCCGCAGGGAGGCAGCTAAGGCCTGGCGAGAAATCGAGCGCAGCGCCGGTGGGCCAGCACTGCTAGACGACCCAGTACACCCTCTGCAGCCGCTGGCCCCGGTGCTAAGCCCCTCATTGCCCCGGCCGCTCCGAGTGCGGGACCCGCCAAGCCCATGCCCACCTGGAACTCCAGCTGGCCCGCAAGCACCACCCGCAGCCCCGGTTCCCGCTCGCGCCTCTCCCTCCACACCTCCCTGCCAGCTAAGAGAGCCAGCTCTAGCCTCGGCCAGCCCAGGAAGGGGCTCCCACAGTGCAGCGGTGGGCTGAAGGGCTCCTCAAGCGCACCCAGAGTGGGCGCCAAGGCCGAGGAGGAGCCGAGAGCCAGCAAGGGCTGTGAGGGCTGCCAGCACACTGTCACCTCTCACCTTGACCTCATCTTCTATTAGGGTATAGCCAATTGGAAGCTCTAGAAGGGGATTTGAATAGCAGGAAGAGAGTAAGTTGGGGTAGTTGTCTCCTAGCCCCTTTATAGCCAGGTGGCAACATTAACTGTGTCTCTCTACTAAAAGTCACAGCCCCTGTTAAAAGGGCCTAATGGCCAGGCGCGATGGCTCATGCCTGTAATCCCAGCACTTTGGGAGGCCGAGGCGGGTGGATCATGAGGTCAGGAGATCAAGACCATCCTGGCCAACATGGTTAAACCCCGTCTCTACTAAAAACACAAAAATTAGCCTGTCATGGTGGTATGTGCCTATAATCCCAGCTACTCAGGAGGCTGAGCCAGGAGAATTGTTTGAACCCGAGAGGTGGAGGTTGCAGTGAGCCAAGATCATGCCATTGCACTCCAGCCTGGGTGACAGAGACTCTGTCTAAAAAAAAAAAAAAAAAGGACCTATCTTCCCAGCGATCCACTTCAGGGCCCTATAACAACACTCCCCTTGCCCTTTCAGACTTCGAAGTAGTAACTACTCCCCAACATTATCTAACTTCAGGGTGTTTCATCATCACTTTTTCTTCCTAAGCCCTGCCAACAACTTTGTAAATAGTTCTCTATTAAACTCTTCTCCATTACCTAGTTTGAATGTGTCACTGTTCCCTGCCAGGACCCTAACTGTAAAGTGGCTGGTTTTAAACATCATAGCCTCCCAGGATACCTACAGTTACACTCTGTGAGATAGAGTCACAAGTAATTAAAACAATTGGCTATTGAATTACTCAGTTGTGATTTGATTGAAGCTTAGTGACTGGCAGCAATTTTCATTTCTAGCAAGTCTGTATGAACAATCATTTATTGCCAAAAGTACAAGGGCTGAATATTAACTAATTGAGGATCATCAATACTAAACCTGGCAAAATACCTCATGATTTAAAATAACGGGTAACTTGTATTGAGTGTCGAGTGACAAGCGTTGTGTCAAATGATACACATTTTTAAGATTATTTTAATCATCACAATCATTCTGTGTGGTATAATAATTTTGCTATTCAATGGCGATCATTAAAAAGTCAGGAGACAAGTGCTAGAGAGGATGTGGAGAAATAGGAACACTTTTACACTGTTGGTGGGACTGTAAACTAGTTCAACCATTGTGGAAAGACAGTGCGGCAATTCCTCAAATATCTATAACTAGAAATACCATTTGACCCAGCCATCCCATTACTGGGTATACACCCAAAGGATTATAAATCATGCTGCCATAAAGACACATGCACACGTATGTTTATTGTGGCGCTATTCACAATAGCAAAGACTTGGAACCAACCCAAATGTCCATCAGTGATAGACTGGATTGAGAAAATGTGGCACATATACACCATGGAATACTTTGCAGCCATAAAGGATGAGTCTATGTCCTTTGTAGGGACATGGATGAAGCTGGAAACCATCATTCTGAGAAAACTATCACAAGGACAGAAAACCAAACACCGCATGTTCTCACTTATAGGTGGGAATTGAACAACCAGAACACTTGGACACAGGGTGGGGAACATCACACACTGGGGCCTGTCATGGGGTGGGGGGAGGGTGAGGGATAGCATTAGGAGTTATACCTAATGTAAATGACAAGTTAACGGGTGCAGCACACCAACATGGCACATGTATACATATGTAACAAGCCTGCATGTTGTGCACATGTACCCTAGAACTTAAAGTATAAATAATAATAATAATAATAATTTTGCCATTCAAAAGATGCGGAAACCTGCCAGGCATGGTGGCTTACCTCTGTAATCCAGCACTTTGGGAGGCCAAGGTGGGCGGATCACTTGAGGTCAGGAATTTGAGACCAGCTTGGCCAATATGGTGAAACTCTGTCTCTACTAAAAATACAAAAATTAGCTGAGAGTGGTAGCGGGTGCTTATAATCTCAGCTACTCGGGAGACTGAGGGAGAAGAATCCCTTGAACCCAGGAGGCAAAGGTTGCAGTAAGCCAAGGTCCCACCACTGCACTCCAGTCTGGGTGACAGAGTGAGACTCTGTCTCAAAAAGAAAAAAAAAAAAAAAAAGGATGTAGAAACCAAGGCTCACGGAGAAGAAGTGCCTTACTCAATGCCATATAATAAACCAGAGATGAAACTGGTATTCAATCCCAGGCAAAATTCAGAATCTGCATGTCACTCAATTTTCCTTGATGAGAAAATAATTATGAATAATTGACAATGGTATGGCTTTGTTTATGTAAAAATATTTGCTAATTTCTGTATGGTATAAGTAGGCTATTTAGAATTAGAAATTATGCTACCACTTGTAACACTTCTATTTATTCCGAGCTTGATAGTTGATTTTGCAAAATAAGGAGAACTGGGTTTTTAAGTGTGGCCCACAAATATAAACAATTCTGAATTCACCAAATACACATACACACACACAGACACACATGAGTCTAACTCTAGCACTTAGCAATTCCTCAACTGGGAAGTAGTTAATACCAGGCCTTCTTATAAATCTCTTTATAAATAATGGTTGTGTTTACACAACCTGGAAATACTGAATTTTTCCCTGAATGAGTCATTGTTTTAGAATAGTGTAAACAGAGCCTGTGTTAAGGAAGAGGATGTCTTTGTCTAGTGAAGCTCTGAGCATTTAAACAGCTGCTTCGTTTCCCTACATAGGTGTTTGCATTTCATTGATGGAGTAATTTCCAAATAGCTTTCAATCAATATATAGTAGACAAGTGGTTGAGAATGATCTCTTAAGGGGGAATAAAAAAACAGAAAAAATGCAATTCAACCATTGCATCTTATTTATTTAATTTTTAGCATCTGTTATTAAGTAATCACCACAAAAACCATAGCAGGAATGTGAAATTTTGTGTAATGGTCCATATTTACAGCTGTTCATTTTCATAGAATTGGTAGTATTTGTTTGTGTATTCTTGTTTATTTTCTGTTTCTTGGTTTTTGTGTTTTTCTTAGAGAAGGCACTGTATGTGTCTGCACCATGATTTATACCCAAATTTATACCCAAATTTATACCCATGTAACGCTGTACTCCAGCTTTTCTAGGAAGTATCAAATTTTAAGTATACAAAATATACTTAAATATACTATGTATAATTCAGATATTAGCAAAACGTTAGGAGATTTTAAAATAAAACCTACATGACATTATTATTTTATACAGTCAATATTCACTTAAATTTACACACATATTAACTATATTATTTGTTCTTCATTTTTTCTTGTACCCATTTCAGACCGTTTTCATTCTTCCTGAAATATGTCCTTTAAAATTAATTGCTTTAGTGAGGGGTTGCTGAGGGCAAATTCTCTTATCTTTTTTCCTTTGCTTCCTGAAAAATTTTTTATTTTACACTAACTCATGAAGGATACTGGATGAATACAGAATATTAGTTTGGCAGTTATTTTTTCAGCACATTTCTAATATTATTCCACTGTCTCTGGCATCCTTTGTTGCTACTGATAAGTTAGCTGTCAGTCTAACTGCCACTGATTTGAAGCTATAGTGGACTCTGTTATGTGCTGCTGTTATCCCTTTTAGGGACTGAAATTACCCTCAAATACTGAGAATGCTAGAAATTGGTCTTAATGGAAGAGAGCCACTTCAACCAAATTCATGTCCCATTCCTGGAGGCAGGAATCTGAATACTTTTCTGATTCATAAACCAGGTGATATGAAAGGCCGCCAGCTTTGAGTGGGAGCCAGGGCAAGAAATGACTCTCCCAGCAGCAAGTCTAGGCTGTGATGTAGATGGTTTTGCCATTTGGGCCACTTGACTCAGCAGAACCTAAATAGTTAGAAGTTCAAATCCCAGTAGGAGTATCTCCTTTAGAGTTCTGAAAAAAGGTCATGCCTTCTGTAGCAGAGAATTATACCCTTTTTCAAAAACTGCTTAAGTGTGATAATTGGTACTGGAAAGGCTAAGTGCCTGACCATGATGCACAAAGTGATCTCAAACCCAAAACTTCTCAATAGGAGCTGGGTTCTACCAGACACACCAAATTGGACAGTTCCAGAAGTTATCCAACATGTGCTGGAAGAGAAATATCTGGGATCAAAGCCAGGGCAGGGCCAGAGGTACAAATGTAAGGCACAAGAGGTGAACCCATGTCACTCATGGTGATTCCATTCATGATTCTTCCTACCCCAAGCTGATGAAGGGGGAGGAAAGTCAAGCTTGATTCATAGATGGGCTGTCTCATGACCATGAATGTGGGTCAGTATGTGGGTATAAGCCAAAAATGGACTTTGGCTACACTACATTCCCATTAAGCGATGGACCTTGAAGGTGAGGTCTGTGAGGTGAAATTATTCCAATGGGCAGATCTTCAGGCAATAATATACCTCGTTTTCTTTATGTGGAAAGAGAAGTATCCTGATATAAAATATACATAGGCTCAACCAGTAGCTTATCTGGTTAGTTGGAGACTTGGAAGAAGAAATATTAGAAGATCAGGTATCAGAAAATGTGGAATAGAAGCATGTGGATAGAACTTTGGGCCTGAAAAGAGATCTTTACATTTGCATTATATGTTACCACTACTATAGAGTATCTTCCAAGGAGGAGACACCAAGCAACCAAGTACAGAGAATAACTTGGACAGTTGACATCAGTCAGCCTCTGTCACCTGCTATCCTAGAGCTGGTACAATGTGTTTGTAAATGTAGAACAATGACGACAGAGAAAAAGGCCCTGCACTGACCCACAATTATGGATTTCCACTTACCAAGGTTGCTGCTGAATGTCCAGCCTGTCAGCAACATTGATTAATGTTGATCCCCTTATACAGCCTCATCCATCGAAGAATCAACAATCCACTTAGTGGTATAAGTTGACTTCATTGAAGCCCTTCTACTCTGGAGGAAACAAAGATTCATTTTGAATTGCCAGTGCATATTCTGGATGTGAACTGAATTTCCTACCTACAAGACTTCAACCAGAACTACTGTTTAGGGCTTATAGTTCCAGCCACTTAATTGGATTCCCATATAACATTGCATCAAATCAATGAACCTACTTTATGACTAAGGAAATAGGGTGATGGGCAAATGCTATGAGATCCACTGGACTTATCACATATCACCCACAGGGTGAAAGACTGAGAGAGTGACATAAATGCTGAGTGGTCCAGGGGATTTGAGGAAACCTAGGATACGAGTTCAGGGGAGCCACATTTTATTTTCATAGGGTGTGGGCAACGCTATGGACATTGCTAGAAAATTCTGGTACATTCCTAAAGGCCTGGCTGGTACAGTTAATACAAATATATCAAGGACAAGGTTAACACCAAAAGACCAAGCAGAGGTAGTAGGGACCTGATAGGGATGTGTGGACCAAACACACTTCCAATGCCATGATGATTGTACATTCCTGGGATGGGGGGAGGCAGTGGGGAGGGCCAGGGCCAGGAGAACAGAGAACAGCCCTTGTAGGTAGTTTCACCTTTGAGTTAATGACCAAATTCTGGGTGGAATTAACAATTCCACTGAGTTTCAAATGTTTAAACCAGAAGAGACCATAATAGCTTTCAGTGACAAGATTAAGAGGTTTTTAACAGCAGCAAAAATGGGGGTGCCAGGGCTAAATAGAGCTCAGTAATATAAAAGGTAAAGTTATGTTAATATTTCTTCACATCTGAGCTGTGACTATTTCAAAACACTACACAGGCAAACTTTTTACATGTGGGTGCCCTAGCAAGTAACTTTCAGAATTTCCTGGGACCTGACTCAAAATTAGCCGTCATAGTCTATTCTCATCCCTTGGTGGAGGGAGGAGGAGGGAAAGAAGAATTCAACTGAAGAGGAGAAGATAAATTCACCTTACTTTAAAAGCACAAATCAGTTTTCTTTTACTTACCATTAAAATATTATTTAATGATTCACTTATAGGTACGGGCACCTTCATAAAATACTCAAAAATGCTTCAAAACTGACTCTCATACATGATTGACAAGAATGTAAGACTGCTCCATCACTGTAGAAAGCAGTTTAGCAGTGCCTCAATAAAGTTAAACACAGAATTAGCATATAACCTGGCAAGTCTACTCCTAGACATATGTCAAAAATAATTGAAAATAGGTGTGCAAACAAAACTGTTTACAATAATATTCATGGTAGCACCATTGATAATAGCGTAAGGGTAGAAACAACCCAAATGTTCATCAACAGATAAACGGATAAACAAGATGTAGTACATCCATATAACAGAATATTATTCAGCCATAAAAAGGAATGTAGTTCTGTTAAATGCTACAACACCAGTGAAGCTTGAAAACATGCTAAAAGTAAAAGAAGCAGACACAAAAGGCCACATAGTGTATGGTTTTATTTATTTGAAATATCCAGAATAGGCAAATTCATAGAGATAGATAGCAGATTTGTGATTTCCAGGGGTTAATTGGGGAAGTAGTTGGAAATGATAGCTTAAGAGGGTACAAGGTTTCTTTTTCATGCAATGAAATAGTTCTGGAACTAAATAATAATGATAGCTGCATAATATTATGAATGTTCTTAATGCTACTGAATTGTATGCTTTAAAATAATGGAACTTGTAAGTTTCATGTTATGTGTAGTTTTTCTACAATAAAAAATTATACAAAATTCAATTAATAGGCACTTTCCTTGTTCCCCAAGATCATTTTTTGTCTCTGAGAAAGTTTTCTGTAGTGTTAACTGAAATGGGTCAGTTCTTCCTTGTGGGAGGCAACCCAAGACTCTGATTGCATTGTGTAAAGTTGGTCAGCTGTTTTACAAGGCAAACACCTGGCACCAAACCCTGAGCTCTTTAAAGAACTGCTAGCTAAGCCTCTTCCCCAGGGTAAATTCAAGGAGAAGTGCTATGAGTCTGAGCTTGCCAGATTCGTGTGGGCCACACCCAGAAGTTAATAAGTTGTTCCAAACTCTACATGCCCCATCTTAATCACTAGTTCTGCTCCCAGTTTGTAGGTTCCCATAATCATGTGGCTGCTCGAATGAGAACAGCAAAAACCACTTACAATTTGGAGATGAGACAGAGTCCAGAAAGGGAAGAAAAGTCATGAAAATATAAATTTAGCTTGAGGTGTACCATGAACAGAAGGCAGAGACCTAGAATTAGGCCTTGTTCTAAATTTCAAAATTGTCAATATAGTGGTGTCTCTGAAACAGTCATTCGGGTGAGGAAAACTCTCAAGTAGGGGCTAGACTCCATTTCCATCAGTACAGGGAACTGATCAAAGAATTCAACATTTTAGGAATTTAAAACAGCAGATTCTTTGGTCTAGCTGATGACAACTGGTCAGAGCAGCTTGCCATAACTTAAAGCTGAGAAAACCAACCTGTGAGTAGCAAAGAGTAAAAACTACAGTTACCTCTACCCAAAAATAACAGTTAAAAGTACTAGCTTTTAAGTTAGAAGCAGGTCAGCAGTCAGCAGTAGAAAAGTACAAGTACTGAGAGGTAGGCAGGAGCCAGATAATATAAAACCTTCAAGTCTGAATTTTCTTCTAAGTACAATTAAGAGATACTGCAGTGTTTTAAGCAGGAAATTTTATGTCATCAAATTTATGTTAATAAAAGATCACTCCCTCTGGTTGCAGTGTAGACGATGGAAGATTGTAGGAATCTGAGAACTGAAGCAAGAATAACTGCCAGGACAAAAGCTAGATGATGGTGGCGTGGACCAAGGGTAAAATAATAGATGAAGATCTAGAGAAGTGGATGGATTCTAAATGTATTTAGGAGCAAAGTCTATGGAACATCCTGGTGGAATAGCTTGTTCTTTAAACTTCCCTCCTTCCTTGAAAGCCATCTTTAACAGCACATTTACAAATAAGAAAAAATCTAACACTTTAACATTGATGGCCCTCTAATATTATCTCTCACTGTTTCCTGTTCTATATCCAACTCTCTGTAGATATATACTTGCATATTTGGCTTTCCTTCTCTTTTTTAATCTTAAGACTTTACTTAATATATCTTTTAATTAAGGCATAATGTTTATATACATTACAATGAAGAGAGCTTAAATGTACAGTACAATGAGTTTTGACAAATGACAAATGTGTACACTCATGAAACCCAAACCATACCAAAGAGAATATTTTCAGTAACTAAAAAGTTCCCTGTCCTCCTTTCTGATCAACCCCAATGCCAACCACAAATGCTATTCTGATTTCTTTCAATGTATATTAGTTTTGGATTTTTCTGAATTCTGTACAAATACATTGATACATAATGCATCCTTTTAGTTTGGCTTCTTTAGCTAAACATAATGTTTGTAGAATCCATCCACATTTTTCACATGTCAGTGGCATGTTCCTTTTTTATTGCTGTGTAGTATCCCATCAAGTGAACATGTCACAATTTGTTTATTTAGTCTCCTGTTGATGAATACTTGAACTGTGTCCCGTTTGAGGCTACTATAAATAAAGTTGCTATGAATTTTTATGTACAAGTCTTTTTGTAGATACATGTTTTTATTTCTTTTGGATAAATATTTAGTGACAAAACTTGGGGGTCCTGCAGTATGTGTATGCTTAACTGTATAAGAGATTATCATAGCTTTCCAAAGTGGTTTTTTCATCCTACACTCCAACTATCAATGTATGAGGGTTCCTATGTTTGCCATTTTCTTTTCAATTTCGGCCATTCTAATTGGTGTGAAGTGATCCCGCATTGTGGTTTAATGTGACAACAAGTGATGTTGACCACATTTCATATACTTTTTGTCCATTTATATATCTTACTTTGTGACTTTCAGGATGTTTTCCTATTTTTATTAGATTTTGTCCTTTTATTATTGATGTGTAATGGCTATGTATTCTAGATACAAATTCCTTATCAGATGTATGTTTTGCAGAGATTTTCTCTGTTTGCATTTTACCTTTTTCATTTGTAATGTCTTATGGTGAGCAGAAATTTTTAATCTGAACAAAGTCGAATTTATCATATTTTTTCTTAATATTAGTGCTTTATGGAGTCTAAAAAGTCTTTGCTTATCCAAGTAGGCAAACTGTTGATTCTTTCTTATAGAAATTAACAGGCTGCTTCTAAGGTTACATGAAAATGCAAAAGATTTAAAATATCCAAAAATGATCTTAAAAATGAAAAGAAAATGTGGAGACAAAAGCTACTTATTTTAAGACGTACTACCAAACAACAGTAATCAAGACAGGATAAGTGCAAGGACAGACTGATAGATCAATGGAAAAAAAGAGAGTCCAGAAATAAACTCATACATATAAGGTCAACTGATTTTTGACAAGAGAGCCAAGACAATTCAACAGAGAAAGGAAAGTCTAATCAACAAGTTATTTTAGAATGACTGAATAAATACATGAAAAGAATGAATATTAACGTTTACCTCACACCACTCAGAAAAATTTATTAGAGATGAATCATGCAGCCACAGATGAAAACTAAAAATATACAACTTTTAATTTAAAAAATTATTTATCTTCACCTACATTTTTCTCCTCCCTATCATTTTCTTTGACAGATTACCCATACTTCAAAGCTGAGCTCAAATGTAGCCTTCTTCATGAAGCTTTTATGACCATGCCTGTCAGAAATAAGTGCTCCTTCTTCTAACTCTTACAACAGTTTCTTTGTGCTGTTGTAAACATTGTACTATGGTCAAGTGTGTGCATGTGTTTACATGTATACATATCACAACTGTCCTTCTAAATGCTGTGTTCCTTGACAAGGTGCTATTCTTCACTAAATCCCCTGAACCATGCAAGAGGATATACATCCAACAGACTGTGCAATGGTGTATGGTAAAACATCATCCTGCAGAGTACACCAGTACCTGCAACAGGGTCTAGGAAACCATCAATAAACAACTGATTGCAAAGTTGTAATTCCATACAGAAGTATTGAGGAAAAAAGAAGGAAAGGGAGGAAGATAAAGAGTTGCAGCTTGCTTATCGGATAGAGAGGGGAACAGTAGGATATAGAGGCAGATCAAATCCAAATGAATTTTAGTAAGTATGTCAATATACATTTACACTCTTGCTGGTAAATTTCTAGCAAGAACATATTGTCAAAATTGGACAGGACCTTTGTGTAAACAACTATAAAACCTTTATCAAAACGTAATGTGATCTCTGTAAGTTTTTCTTTTGATGCAATCTAAGAGCATTCATAAATAACACTCTCTAGAGAAATCAATTGGTAGTAAATTTGACCTTCCCCTAAATGATTTTCTACATATGTCTATTCACAGCAAACATCTATGAGACCAATATTGTGAATAATTTTATTACCATTGTCACTACTGAATATTTTGCTCTGAAAGACTCTCTTACTCTCTCTCTTTCTCTCTCTCTATATATATATGAATACACATACATTTTATAAAATGAATAATTTATATTTATTTAAAAATATATTATTACTTTGGTACTTCTTGCATTGTCTCAAGCAAGAATACAGTCAAGAAAATACTCAGGTTCATGTCTCACCCTGATTCAAAAAAGATTTTGGCATGACAAAGAAACAGCTCTAATGAGCAAGATGAAATGGGAAGACAATAATAAGTGACTTTTCTAAATTGCTCAAATTTTTAATTTTAGTTGAACAATATAATGAAGCCCATTAAAATCACAGCTTATTTGTGAGACTACATTTATAACTTTCTCAATAGACCCCTATTTATTCTCTGAAATCATACCTTTGTTTCAAAGACTGAATCATCCTGGTTGTATCGGTATCTTAGGATTGTCTCTTTTTCTTATGAAAATATATTTGCGTTCATAGGTAAGATATTTTTAAATGAACAAATAAAAATAATCTAAGAATGGCTGCTGCTTTATTGTCAAGGTACATTTATTTTACATGCAGGCTCTAAAGTACTTAGAAGAATAAAGCTATTACTGTCTTGTTATTGTTACCATCGCTACTGTTAATAAGATTCTGCAGAAACACTAGACTAAAGGGCAAGGCCATCATTAAAACTCTTGATGTGATTTCACACACTCAGCCACCTTACTGGTAACTCCCTCTTCCTCCCCCAGACTTGGTTTCTCCTTAATTTGCAGCACAACCCAAGGTTAACAGGAAGAGGTAGGCTGAGGAATTGCAGCATTCAGAAGCCAGTCTGCGTAATACAAAACAGGCCTATTTCTACTTCTCCAGGGAGATCTTTAAATATTAAAAACTTTTGTCTCTTTCTTTAGTTCTCTCTTTCTCAGGACAAAATTCTCAATTCCTTTAACTAATCTTCATCTGACATGATTTCTAAAAATGACAACCTTGGCTTCATTTTTGTAAATAATAAACAACTTTTAAAGCAAAATTTATCTTACCTTTTATTTACTTTCCACTTCATAAATTAATATATATTCTTTCTCAAAAACGTAGTGCATATATGTATAGCCTGAATCTGCAATCTGAGATACTTCTACAATTTGTAGTTATATTACAAAAAGCAAACTCTCTTCTGTGCTCCTGTTAATGAACATAATAATGTATCTTCTGAAACCAAGATAACTCTGACTTTTGAGAAGAATGTCTTTACAGATATCCTTCTGTGCCTTTAAATATTTATTTGTTATTTATATATATATATTCCTTCAATGGAAACAAATCTATTTTCTACATTGTTTAGTGTCTGCTATGGTAACTGACTGGAGAAGTTTGGAGATCAGGTGGGGGAGTGGCATGGAAGTGCACATAAAAATTGTTTAAGAATTTCTTAATAATCTGAATTTGAGAAAACTTTAGAATTTTCATCAAGTAAAATTTATATGATTTTAAAGCACAAACCTGGACCTTATGCCAGTTTCAATGCTCATTTAAATATCTTACAGGTTTCACATTGTAAGTTATAACAAAGTATGTTTTTAAAAAGGCATTCAGAGCAAGAAGTCACATGACTTAAATAGATAATGATTATTAGTCTCTTTGTTCATATATAAACTTCCAGTATTATTTTATATTAATGACAAAGGGGGAAAATCTCCTAGAAGCTGAATGAATCAGGCCAAGACTAGAGACATGATGATTTACTTCCTTATCCCTAATTCAACAGTGAGTTCATTATTTCAGTTAAGCTATAATGAGAATCTTAGTTCAGTCTAAATACTTCATAGGACCAGATACTAGAAATGCACTCAATCATAAAACACTATGTTTTAGTCTATTTAATATATTTCTACCCCGATTTAATGTTACAGTTCCCAAGACCTCATGTCCTATTTCTGAATGCTGAAAATATCTTCAACCTGATCTTGTATTTTTGCCTGAGTAAGATAATTTATTCTTAAATATGACTTGCTTCCCTCCAGTTATAAAGGACAACATTATTTTTAAAAATGGATGTAGCAAAAAGAAAAAAAATTCTCACATGTCTACAAGTTAAGTCAAGGCTATGAATTTCCCTGATGATAAACTAACTACGTGCTTGGGCATGCTATGATCTAATTTTTGAAACTCATCATATAATTAGCCACGTTGAGTGGCTTTCAGCACCGTGTCAGACTGAATGTCATGAAAAAAATGGTTTATAATTTGTGGACTTTTACTTCTAGAAGACAGTATACCTTTAAGTGAAAGAAAATGGTTTTATACAATAATAATATAAAGAAAGCCAGAAATGGAAAAGGCATATTTACTATTCCTAAGGGAGATCTTTGGTAGGCCCAGAGTAACCAAAACATGGCCTTTTTTTCCAAGGATGTCACACTCCAGTGGAGGAATGGGAATTAATAGAAATCATTATGATACAAAGCATGGTCTACGTGGCAGAAGCAATGTCTAAAGAGTGATTCATTTTGACAGGGGTAGAAGTTGAGAAAAGCTTCTCAGAAGGAAGTAACATTGAATTTGACCTCAGAGGATCAATTAAGCAGAGAGAAAGGGAAAGACTCTGAAGGCTGGGATTGGTAGTTTCAGCAAAGATGCAAATTCAGGGAAAAAAAATGTAAGGCATCATTTAAGGAGTAAAATTGTTTATTATAGGTAAAACACATGGTGACTTAGAGAACGTAAGGCCAGAAATTAGAGGAGAAAAGGGATTGAGGTGAGATGTGGAAAGGCCTTGAGTGACAGACATTGAAAACTCTATTTTACCATCAATGCTCTAGGCAGGCAAATAGCACAGTTTTGTGTTCGGCAAGGAGTTCCAGAGGCAGTGTCTGAAAGGAATTAGAATGAAGATAGATCAGAGGCTGGTAAACCAGTGAGAAGTTAGTTGCAATAGTCTAGAGAAGAGGAAAGAAGGTAAAGTAGGCTTGAACTCAGTATATGGCAGTAGGAGTAGAAAAGAATGGATGATTTAAGAGACTGTAAAAGTGTTACCAATAGGATTTGGTGACAGATGTCACAAGATTGAGGAAGAGGAGGAATCAAAGATAATCCCCAACAGTTTTCACCCTATTGACTAGATGGACGAAGATTAGTCACATTTATGCCTTTGTAACTTTGTAAAGTTCTTCTTTCTGCCCAAACTATCCATTCCTCATTCACTTTCTATAGATATCCCAGCCCTCCTTCAAACATTGAGTCACATTCCACTTCCTGTACAGCAGCTTCCCAGATCCCCTTCCCTACACTCCTTCTATTCCTAGAATTTATCACTTCTATACTTGCACAAAATATTACTTTTACTTCTGTATTCTATAATAGGTGATTACTTACATGCCTGTTTCCCCAAAAGTGTGTAAGTGCCTTGAGAAACCATCTTCCTCTCATCTTTGTATTTTTCATAATACCCAGTATGGTGATGTTCAGCAACTAACCTCTACAGCTGCTTCTATTTGTTACATTCCTGGATATTATTCATGGTTAAGGTGGTCCAAAGAGAGGCAGTATTGAGCAGTGATTCCCAAAGTGTGCTACATGTGTTAATGAACAAATATGGAAAACAATTTACAGTGTGATTTTTTTATTGGTCGCGTTTTTGTTTTAGCATGTGCTTGAACAAAGCTAGATCGCTACCTCATCAACTCATCACCCAATGGGAGTTAAGAGTGAGATATGTGAACTCAGAGTAAAACCATCTTTCCCTTAACCACCTGTGTCCACCACCAAGTATGAAATGGGGGTCTTCGATACCCAGAATTCCCTGCACTCTAAAATCCACAACCATGCCACCATTTTATGCCTGGAAACCACATTTATTGTTGTTATGTCTGTTACCTCAAGAAGCTTTAGAATCACAGGTAACCCTCACCCTCCACGTTTAACAGTCGCATAGCTCCATAATCTCTTATTTTGTCCCCATCTCCCTTCCCTCTCCAATTCCTGAAGCTCTTTACCCATAGTCCATCATCGGCAAGATCTTATATGTCCTCAGTCTCTTATCTGAATAGTTCCCTCAGCTTTTTATATAGCAGAAACTAGATTTGCTAGTTATTTTACCTTCAGCCTTCTCAGAAGGTGGCTATTTTTCTGCACTATATTCATCCTATTGGACCTAAAGGGTGGATGAGTATCCTGCCTGTTTCTTCATTAAAATTTCCAGATCGTTCTCCCTTCCATACTGTCATAACATCAGACTATCCCATCCACTACTCCCTCTTTGATATCCTGTATTAATCTCTAGACTACTGTCCATGAGATTGCTTTAAAATAATTCAACAAATACAAAAGGAGAAAATTAAAGCAAATGTGTCAAATATGGATGAGTGTAGAATCTGGGCTTATGGGGATGTATTTTGTTACTCTAATTATTTTTATATTTAAACTTTGAAAACAAAAATAAATTTTAAAACAACTACTTAATAAAAATAAAAATTACCACATGGACAGTATCAAACCCCGTACTCAATCTACTTGCAAATTCTGTTGCCTCTTAATTTAAAATACATCCAGAATACATTAATACTTACTGCCTCCACTGCTATCCCCTTAAATTAAGCTGCCTTTATCTCCTAATTAAACTCTTACAGTAGCCTTCTGGCCACTCTCCCTATGTCCACAATTTCCCCATGGCATCTATATTCTACACTAAATTAAGAATTATTTTTTCAATAGACAAGTCAGATTACATTACCCTACATTTCAAAATCTTGCTTTCCCATCTCTCACAAAGTAAAATTAAAATTCTTTACTTTGGCTATTGGGGTCCTACATGAATTTGTTCTCTTCTTTCTGTCTGTACTCAACTATTACATTTTCCTCTTTTACTCATTCTGTTCCAGCCACACTGGCCTCCCTACAAAAAAAAAAAAAAAAAAAAGCAAGTTTTAGCTTGCCTCAAGGTTCTTTGAACTTGCTCTTAGAAAATTCTTTTTGGTAGAATGACTTATTTTCCTTTGGGTATATACCCAGTAATGGAGTTGCTGGATCAAATGGTAGTTCAACTCTTAGTTCTTTGGCTCTTTGAGAAATCTTCAAACTGATTTTCACATGACTGGACTAATTTACATTCCCCCCAGTAGTGTATAAGTATTCCCCTTTCTTGACAGCCTTGCCAGTGTCTGTTGTCTTTAGACATTTATTTATTTATTTCCAACTTTTATTATAGATTCAAGGTGTACACCTGCAGGTTTGTTACAAAGATATATTGCATGTTGCTGAGGTTTGGAGTATGAATGTCTCTGTTTCCCAGGTAATAAGCATAGTACACAATAGGTAGTTTTTCAGCCCTTGCCTCTCTCCCTCACTCCCCCACCTTGTATTTCTCAGTGTCTACGACTCTCATCTTCATGTCCATGTATACTCGATGTTTAACTCCAACCAAATACATATAGTGTTTGGTTTTCTGTTTCCTGCATTAGTTAGCTTAGGATAATGGCCTCTAGCTGCATCCATGTTGCTACAAAAGGCATGTATCTATTGCCTCTAACTTTAAGTTAATGCTTACAACCTCCACTGCTACCTTCCTAAATTAAGATGCCTCTTGGTTCTTTTTTATGACTGCATAGTATTCCATGGTGTGTATGTGCCACATTTTCTTTATCAAATCCAAAGTTGATGGCCACCTGGGTTGATTGTGTCTTTGCTATTGTAAAAAAAAGAAAAAATTCTTACCCCCCAGGTAGCCACAGGACTCACTTCCTCACTCTCTGCTCAAATTTTAAACAGTCAGAGAGGCTTTCCTTGACCACTTCACGGAAAATAGCACCACTCCACCCAACTATGCACTCTCTATTCCCCTTTACCTACTTTATTTTTCTTCCCAACTCTCTTTATTATCTGGTATGTTTTATATATTTTTGTCTGTCTGTCTGTCTTGCCTGACTAGAATGTACCACCCTTGGGGGCAGAGTCACTGCTAGTTTTGTTCACTGTGGAATCTCCAACACCTAGAACGGTATATGAACATGGTTGGTGTTCAATAGATATTGAAAGAGGAGTCAAAGAGTCATAGTCCCACCTTTAACCCTGGATTTGGAAATTCAGCTTACACCCCTGAACAAAAGGAGTTCTACATTCCTCATGCCCTGAAATAATGTTACCTATCCAGGAGCAGGATGAAGAAGCCATGACTAAGTAATTCACTTACTGTTTGGGAATAAGATTGAGATACAGTATAGAAAAGATCTCAAGCTAGACAAGGGCAGTTCTCATGGGGATCTCCACCAGGTCCAGCCATCCCCCAAGCATATGATTCACTGCTGCCCCAGCAAGGAGGAACAAAGTTGGGTGTAGGCAGTGGTGGAGGGGAATACCCATGTTATCTTCCTAATAAATTTTAAAAGGCCAAGTTTCTATTTATGGGACAAGGGAGATATACTGGGAAAGGGATAGAACATTTTCTACCAAATTGAAAATAATGATGATGACTACCATAAAGAAGATGGTGTGGGTCTTTTTTCATTCCCAATTCCCTTCTAAGCCCATCAAAAACAAATTATTACACGATAATGAGCAGAAAGAACTAATTTTTTTAGCTTCTCCACCCACCAGGGTTTTCATTATTTGTATTCCATGCTCAAGAACACTGCCCACTCACCCACAGAATTGCACACAAGGAGAACTGGGTGTATTGTATTGAAGGAGATGATGTTGCTTTCTAAGAAGGGCATAGCTGTTTGTTAGGTAGAATAGTGATAGTTAGAATTTGTGGCAACATGAGTATATACTTGAGAATTTTCTAGAACTGAGCCTGGTGACCCTTGAACTTACTGATTATATAACCTTGGACAGGTTACTTAACCTCTCTCTGCTTCAATGTTTCATTCGTAAAACATATAAATAAATAATACTTCCTTCATAGAGTTATTCTGACTAGTAAATAATACATAAAACATCTCAAAATGTTCCTGGCACATAGATATAATCAATTAATTACTAATATTTAGTTTTCTGCAATCAACATTAAAATTATCCTTCATGTAACTCGAGAAGACATAACTATATATTTCTTCAATGCAAATAATGTACTTTTTTTCCCTTGGAGTAATGGTAAATAGAAAGTGTATTTTGCACTTGTTAATACAGGGGTTCTGATATAACCAACGGAAAATGGCCATGTTCTTATATTCCTCATTAAAAAATAAAATTGCTTTAACCCGTATAATCCTTTCTCCTGATAACTCTTTGCTAGTTATCCAATGATGAAAGACTGAGACTGTTGCTATAACACAAGTTTTCATTAAAGATTTCCTTCACATTCTCTTATAATGAAGACATTAGATAATACACTTGTGCAGGGAAGAGATGTAAGACAGTAGCTGAAATCAATGCACAAGCCCAATCTGCAACTGAGCTATTTGGCAAAGATGGCTTTATTTTGGCAATTTGTGAAAAAAGAGCAACAAGACATTAGATGCTAGGATACCACTTACCAGTTCCAGAATTCTACTATAGGATCAGTCCTATTCAACATTTTCTCCAAATGATTTGAATAAAAACTAAGAGGGCACACATATCTAATCTGCCAGTACTGGAAAGAATGGCAAGATGATGAATAGCACTGATGGTCAAGTGGAAAATTAAAAAGAGAAGAACAGCCTGGAATGCTGGACTAAAACTAGCTGTAAGAAAAGATAAACCGAAAATGGTGTTCATAAAAATATAGAGCAATGTAAATAGCAAAATTCCATACAGTGGCTGATCGGCTGATCATTTACTCAGGTCCTTTGCTGAGACATGCAGATATTAAAAAAATGAAAAATATTTTATCCCAGTTTCTCATAATACTCAGTCCACTTGAGGAGAGAGAGCTATAAAAAGAAAAGTGCAGTGATGGGCCATTTATACAGTACAGAGAAGCAAGCAGCATTTAACTCATCTAATGAAGAGTGACGGGGGGAAGAAGATGTACCAGTGAAGTAGACATCTGAGCTGAAAGGGTTTTATTCTGGCTAAAGGGCACAACATGAGAAAGACACACAGGTGAAAACTAGTAGAGTGTACACAGAAATCTCTGAGTGCTAAAAGGCAGAGCAGAAAATGGTGACAGATGATATTAGAGAAGCCGTGAAAATACATAGTCATATTAGGGAGCAGGACCTCAAATAATCCCATGTTACTTTGGGTTCTCCAGGGTTTAAAAGCCAAAAGAAAAGGAAAAGAAGTTTATGGAGAAAAAGGAAAAAATGAAAGAAAGAGTGGTTAGAGGGACATGGGACAAACTCTGAGAGTTCTGGGTCTTGGAAGCCATGGAAATAGAGTTTCAAGAAAGATGTAATTTACAGTATTAAATGTAACTCAGAGGTCCATTAAGACGAGAATTTTAAAATGACCTGTGAATTTCACAGTCAAACCAATTGTTAGACTCAGTAGGTGCAGTGCCAGTAAAGTGGTTCAGATGGAAGCCAAATTAAAGTATATTTTAAAAACTAAATCAGAAAAGAGAAGAAAGCATGCATTTCTTCGAGAACTTGGTAATGAAAGGACAGAGATAAGGTAGTAGCTACCAGAGAGAACCTGTTTCATTTGTAATGGAAGAGATTTGAGACAGTTTAGAGGCACAGAGGGCAGAGTCAGTAAGAGAGAAGAGCAAAAGAAGAATAAGACAAGCTTCCAAGAAGAAAGAAAAGAATGGATTCCATGGGTAGAAAAGTGAGTTTTGATAAAAAGAGGGTCATCTCAACTTAAAAAAAAAAATGGAGAGAAAATGGAGGATGACTGTGGCTAAGTAATTGGTTAAAGGTGTGTGGGAAGTTAAAGGTGACCAATTTTCTCAATGATATCTTATTGTCACAGTGGGAATCCTATATTTTTTCTTGCTTAAAACCATATTAATAGGAGATTCCGGATTCTTGACTTGACAATATAACATGTGAAAAAGATCCTAGGAGACAACAAGCTGATAGAGGTATTAGGAAAATAATGGTGGTCCCAATCTACTTCCATAGAGATAGACATCCAGACCACATGACAATGATATGTTCAGTTTTGAAAGGCCACATTAAAAAAAAGACTCTGTGAAATAAGATATTGTTCAGAAAAAAGGACATCGAATGATCATAATCCTTTAAAACCACTCAATGAAAAACAGTTGAAGGAGGTTGGTATTGTTTACCTTAAGAAAGGAAAATTTAGAAAGCAATCTATCATAGGTATTGGGAGAATATTCACTCTAAGGTGCTTTATGTAGCAAAATTTGGATATGACAAAGAGGTAGGTCTTATTTTAAGAGAATAAAATACTCATTTAGAGGACTGTGCAACTCTCCATTGCGGAAAGTGTTTAAGAGGTTCAATAACTTAAACGCAGGAGGGTTGCAGCAAGGACTCCTGCATTTGGAAAATGTTGGTTATCTTCCAACTTTAAGTTTCCATAAGTCTTTCTTTGAAATTGTTTACCCATTTTTTAGAGGTTATGGGATAAGATATGGAACACATTAGTGGTAGTATCTAATGGGATGTTGAACACATTGAAACAGGAGAGCATTTAAAATCACAGTGTTTAAAGTTTGCACTATAGGGATTTGGCACTGAATTTTACAACTTGGTTTAACTGCATAAGTCACTAAAAAGATAATTCACTGTTTCAAAGCAGTGAATTACAATTCATAGTAATGAAGTTTGAAGAGGATAACTAGCAGCTTGCAGGATCTGGAACTTGACAAAATTATAAAGTGGCCATTGGCAAGATCCACATAACATGTGGGGAGCAGGGAGAGTAGAGGTGTGTACATGTGTGTAGAGATAAACCAAGAGGGGTGAAAGAATAAGCAAATATATCATCAAGCATCCAAGCAACCAAGTTTACTAGAGAGGAAAGGATAAGGAGATGGAGTTGGTAGGACACTAAAGGACCCCCACCAGGCAGCCAGGAAATAATGGTCCATGAGTATCAAAATCTTATGTGAGAGTTGCTGAGTTGTCAGCAGGTGTCTTCCACCAACCAATTAGGTGGTCAATTGTTTCTGAGCCTAACTTAAGTGAAAAAGGGGGAGTTCATCATAGAGATATCAGGGTATCCTTAAAAAACTGGGCTTTAAAAGGGAACTGAAACCAAGAACTGAAATACAATTGAGACAATATCTCTCCTTTGAGCATCTACTTTTTTCTCAATCCCTCTGGCCTCTGTCTTTTAGTCTACATGGGACCCAAATGCTATAATTTAGTCCCAGATTCAAATCTTCCTCCAAGAACTATATTTATCAGCCTAATCTCTGTCGGGAACTTATTCTTGATCCAATAGACTATGACCAGAAAGGGAAGGCCCCATGGAATTAAACAGCTGCCAGGAATACTTTGCTGGTACATCATGGATGGGGTTATGGGGAGGCTATTTATAGAGAGTTGGAACTGAACAAAGAACAAAATATATACTCACCAAATATATACCAACAAGCTTCTGATATACCAACATAACTTCCATAAATCCTTAGATTCCTCCAAACAACAGAAGGCAACAAGAACCATGAGAGTGGCCAACTATAAGACGTGTTTCTCCAGATTAGACAGATGATATTCATAAATGCTGAAAGTCAATAACATAGAGCAATTACTTGTGTGGACTTTGCAGTTAGAACCTGTCTTCAAATTGTGGCTCTGCTAAGCACCAGTTGTGCGACTTGGTCTATTAGTTAATTTTTCTGTGCCATTTTTTTTCGTCTGTGAACAAGACCCATGTTAGCACACACCTCTTGAGTGCGTAAATAAAAGTAAATGGGATAACACACTTGAAGTATTTAGCACTGTGTGTGACACAGAGTGAGTGTTTCCAAAATGTTGCCCTGAGTCTCCTGCAAACATTTTAGATGACAACCCAAGGAAAGCAAGGTGAAAATCTGTTGTATTGCTTCACCTTTTGTCTCAATAACAGTGGAAGACCTAGTCCCTTTTAATCTTACCACACTCGCAAACCAGTCAACTCTAAACCATCCTGATGTTTTAGCTTTGAGGGAGGCTTTTAACAGCAGGTAAATTTCAAGCGTGGCAGCAACCTTTCTTTTTGGTGGCTGTTCCCTAGACCTCCATGGTCTTCTTGAAGGAGTGGCCACCTAAGAGTCCTCAAGTCTCATTTCAGAGACAATGGGTGGTAGTGGGAAAAGTTTCATCCCAGCTGACGTAATGTTGATTAACCAGGTAATTCACAGGCAATTAATACTGGAGGGTTTTTTTGGAGGAGGAAAAGGGGGATATCATTTTTTGATCCACTCTTGTTCATTACTTATGCAAATTGAAGGCAGAGGATAGGCCAGTGAGGAAGAGATATTTTAGGGCCAATGGGTATCTTAGGTCCTTGAATATCATAGAATAGCAATGCCTGACATTTGTATAACACTTTAGGATAGTGGTTCTTAATCTTTGGCAAGCACAGGAATCACCTGAAGTGGTAGCTAAAACACAGATTGCTGAGCCCCATACCTAGAGTTTCTGATTTATCAGGTTTGGGAGTGGGGCCCAAGAATTTGCTTTCCCAGCAGGTTCCCAGGCGGTGCCCATGCTGCTGGCCTAGGAACCACATCTTGGAACTCATAGATTTAGCGTTTGCAGAGCATTTTCCCAGGTGTTATCCCATTTAATCCTGACCATAATTTTGCAGGGAGGCCTTATTATCTTCATTTTCAGGGGAGGAAGCAAAGGAATAGAGCTCCATGCTTTTCCTCTCCCCGCTAGCTTTCTGAAGCAGTGCTAACAACCTATATTTGTCATGACTTGATGAAAATAGTTAATGGCACATCACTAATTCAATTTGTAATAATGGCAGCTGATGAAAATGTTGTTACACTCTTGAAGAACAAGGGCTGTTATGTTTTTATACTGCAAAGAGTGGGTACTCAAAACTTTTTTGCTGATTTTCTTTTTACTTTTATCATGTCATCTCACCCATAAAGTCTCTAAATACCTAAGTCTCAAAGTGGAAGGATGTCTTGGTGCTGAACATAAGTATCCAAAACTCAAGTATCCAGGATGCAAATGCTACAAACTTGAAGAGAACCTTGGGAGAGCTGCATTAATAGATTAACTAAATTTCCTACAGTTATGCTGGCTTTTTTTCCCAAGTACTTTTCACCTATACTGTGTACCAGGAGCAATGATTCTGATGAAACATTATTAAGGTTGTCTGAATGCGAGTAAGTTTCTGTGTGTATTTCCTTTTGCAAAACCAACTTCTTTTTCTGCTCCTTTATAAGTCTCAGCAAACCATTATTAAATAATGGTCAAGATGTGCGGGCTATTTTACAGACTATTTTCTGATTTAATATTAGACCTGATTTTTAGTCTTTTTATATAAAACACTAAGCTTCATTGTTGAATTGTATAACCACATAGTTTAAAATGGTAGACATTATGATTCTGAAAACTGAAACATTATTTTTGAAGAAATGGGAGTAAGGAAAAGAGCTTCAGGGGGTCTTTGAACTTACATTTCTATGGTTTCAGATTTCAGATTCAATTATTCCTAACTTAATAATAATTTAACCAAGGGTATAACTGTATTATCAAGAAGTTTTCATATAAACAAATAAAACTTTTTAAGAATACATGACATGTAAATAATTATAAAAAACAACCAAAGACTATGTTCTAAGGGGTTTATGGCCCATAAAAGTTTCTATGTGTTAATGAAGGTTGAATCTGTAAACCTTCATTCAACAAACATTTATTTTGCACCTATGATGTGCTAGGCACTATACTAGCACCAACTCAGTACACCATACCAAGAGGCTGACTATAGCTGAACAACCATACTGAAACCTGATATGAATCAGCACAGTTTAGTGTAACCGTATTCTTGGTCCTGCTGTGGCTAAGGCCATTCTGATTGACGGAGCTATGGAAAGCCCATTTTTCTAAGTACTTACGTAATAAAACAGGGCTGTTGAGGGGCTGGGAGGAAGTAGGGATGAAAAGGAAACATCTAGTGTACAATTACTGTGAATCAAACACTTGCATTTCCTCATTTACTTTTCACAATGACCTTGAAGTAGGCTTCAGTAACTCCCTATTACGCATGAAAACACTAAGAATCGAAGACTTCAAGCAGTGAACTTCAGACACACCACTAGGAAATGAGAGAGCCAGGTTTTAACCCCATTTCACCCTCAAATCATGGACCTGGCCTTTGGACTGCTACCCAGAGCAAGTGGTTACATGTAAATGTTTTAATATACTCCATAGGACCATCGTCTACATCTATCTACCCCATCCGTGGACCTGCCCTTTTCTGCCATACACCCCTGTCACCTTCTACTCTCCTAGGTTGGCCTGTCACACTCTTGAAATTTAAGGAAAGCAAGCATGTGATCTATGAAGCTACAGAAGCCATCAATGACTGATAAAGTATTAATGGCTGATCACTCTGGTTTACTTCACCAGTAAAGCAATTGACAGCTGTCCATTAGATCTAAAGAAATGAACGTCTAATACCGGAATTTCAGAAATTCTTAACAAGCCAATGGCGTAAAGGTTTTAGTGAAGAAGGCCTTTTAGAACCCTTAACATCATACCTCATTAAAAGATTTTACTATAGTTGTAAGCAACAAAAGTAGATTTTTTAAAAGTATTTTTAGTATTATCTCAATTATGAAAAGGACAAAAATAGAGGCCAAAAGGCCTGTAGAATATATATCAGAATATTACTGCAATAAGAGTATAAGTGACTTTTCTCCCCACTTCTTTATGTTTTTCTATATTTTCCCTTTTTTTTTTTCCTTTTAACATAAGCATGTATTACCTTGGCCATCAGGGAAAGAAAATTAAAAGCAAGGAAAAAATATTCCCACAAGGCAAGTGTCCATTCTAGCACCAGGAAAGGCAGCTTGGAGGGAAATGCCGTGGATGTACTGTGCCCACAGAGATAAAGCCTTACACAGCCAGGAATATTTTGAAGCAAGCACTGCTGGCAGAAACATTGAGGTTTTCAACTGCATGCGGCCTTCCTGGGGACAGATGATAACATCCTGTTCTGAGTTATGGGTACATGTTGCTGAATACAAGGTCGCAGTATTCTAATCTCTTCCTCTTTTTTTCTCCCATAGTAAACAAGACTGAAGCCCATTTGAAGCCATGAATAAAAAACAGAATCAGTTGCTAAACCCTGCAGCCTTGAACCTGTACCCATTATGGGACCTGAATTCCTATATGGACACAAAGAGTATGAAAATTCCAAGCCCAGAACTTGAGCAAACACTGAAATGAGGCTCTTGCCTTTCCCAGGGCTCCACAGAGGTACTCAAGATTTCTATTTGGCCCTTTAATATCTGCTTAGCCTTTCTTTTTAACATAATTTATTGTTTGTACATTATTTTCTATTTTTTCTTAATTTCCCTGAATATTTAAACACACTCATTTTAAGATTACATTCTTTTTATACTAATCTGAAGTTCCTTGGATGTAGACAGAAAGTCTACACCACTCAGAACACACATAGTAACATTATCCATTCCAAAATGTGCTCACGAAAAGTATCTATGATGCCAAAAGGAAACCAAATGAGAGAAAATCAGAAGAAAAGGAAAGGGAACAAATTGGCTGTGCGCGGTGGCTCAAGCCTGTAATCCCAGCAAGTTGGGAGGCAAAGGCATGTGGATCACGAGGTCAGGAGATTGAGACCATCCTGGCTAACATGGTGAAACCCCATCTCTACTAAAAATACAAAAAATTAGCCGAGCGTGGTGGCGGGCGCCTGTAGTCCCAGCTACTCAGGAGGCTGAGGCAGGAGAATGGCATGAACCCGGGAGGCGCAGCTTGCAGTGAGCCAAGATCTCGCCACTGCACTCCAGCCTGGGTGACACAGCGAGACTCCATCTCAAAAAAAGAAAAGAAAAGAAAAAAAAAACAGAAAAGAAAAGGGAACAAATTACATCCAAGGAAACTCAGATTACTACAAAGAAAATGCAATTTTAAAAAGAGTATGTTTAAACAGTCAAGAAGATAAAGTAGAAGATGCCCAAAGTATAGGCATCTTTATGACTCACAGGCCCTCATGAAAGAACTACCAGAGGATACACACTGGCAAGAAACAAAATGAATCCCATAAGCAAAGGGAACTAAAAGCAATTATGAGCAAATAAATGAATCTAAAGGAAACATGTTGACCTTTCACATTATACAGATATTACAGAAGTATTCAATAATATATGGTATTATAGAAGTCTCTGTGCTTTTCTATAATGTAATTATCTTCCTCAATTTTTTAAAAAAGCAATAAAAATAGCAACAGTTAACATTTATAGTTGTTTACCATGTTTCAGGCACTGTACTAAGATTTTATGATGGTTTATCTCATTTATTTCCCGCAACAACCTTGCAAGACATATCTACTTGTTATTCTCATTTTATAGATGTCACAACTGAGGTATAGAGCAGTCATTTTTTTCAAGATCATATAGATAGCAAACAATAAAAATGAATCTGTGCGACCTAGGGAAAGTCAAAATGCAATTTCCTCATCTGTGAAACAAATATATGGATAGTTGCTCTGACCATATTCTAAGGTTATGTGAAGTTGAAATAATACTAATACATGTTAACGTGCTTTAGAAATTGCACTGTACAACTTGAAGTTATAATAAAAATAGAATGTGTGCCAAATTTTAAGAAGGACATTTTGCCACTAGTTAATAGATGATGACATATTTTTATTCATCCATTCAAAATATTCTTTTAATATGGCTTCAGTAGCTAAATATAATTTTGAGGTTATAAAGTAGTAGTGCATTTTTCAGTTTGCTTGCTTGTTTATTTCTGGCTCATTTTGCTCCAGAAAAAAATTTCAGGCAGCTAACAAAGGGTATACAATAATAATTAATAATAATAATAATATTATAAAAGGACTCATCTTGTTTTTTATTTTTAAAATACAACTTAGATTTTATTTCTGAATATACACACTTTTCAAAAGCAACTTGTTATTAATTTAAAACGTAACTTTGCTCCATATGTCCTCTGTCACCACCCGTACTCCGACACACAAATTTAAGCAGCAGGAAAAGTTCATATTGTCTCTTTTAAAACATGAAACTTGCTAATTTTCATACTGCTGTGGCATGGTTCAAGCTAATGATGTCATAATGTGATATTAAAGTAGTAACTACTGGCCAGGCACGGGGGCTCACGCCTGTAATCCCAGCACTTTGGGAGGCCGAGGTGGGCAGATTACCTGAAGTCAGGAGTTCAAGACCAGCCTGGCCAACATGGCGAAACCCCATCTCTACTAAAAATACAAAAATTAGCCGGACGTGATGGCGCACGTCTGTAACCCCAGCTACTCAGGAGGCTGAGGCAGGAGAATCACTTGAGCCCTGGAGGTGGAGGCTGTAGTGAGCCAAGATTGCACCACTGCACTCCAGCCTGGGCAACTGAGCAAGACTCTGTGTCTCAAAGTAAATAAATAAATAAATAAATAAATAAATAAATAAATAAATAAATAAAATAAAGTGGTAGCTCCTGCAGTTATAACAGCCTAATTGGGCAGCTGACATCACAATAGTATTGCTAAAATGTTGGATTTTACTCGATTTCCATAAGAAAATGGAATCTGACACTCATTGCATGCTAATCATTGCAATTTAGTATGTCCCTTATTTATTTTGGATAAGCATTTCATTCTCAAATAAAGAATTAAGTGAGAAAAATGAGCTAAAATTCGATAGAGACACTGGTTGGCAGCCATTTCTTTTGGCTCCCATAATACAGAATTTTTAAGCCTATAGAAAATGAGAACAGATGTAGATAATGACACAATTTGTTATTTATGAATGCAGGTTTTCTCTGAAGATTTAGGAATTATCATGAGAACTATTCACTGAACCTCAAAAAAATCAATAAATATTAATATCAGAATGCAAATGTTTTTACTATAATTTAAAACATGAAGAATATTTACCCATTTTGCTTTTGAAAACTCCAGGCCAGCCTGAATACTTATTAACTGTGTGTCATCAGATGATTCAGAGAGCTTCTCTGAACTACTTGAAATTCTCAAGCAAGGCAATAAGAACACATCCTCAATAAAGAAAAGCTTGTGCATTGTTCTGTCTAAATTTCCACTGGCTCTCATAGCTTAGCAAAAAAAAGGACTGAATATGTCATCAAGAAACCTGGGCTCTGGCTAAGTGCAGTGTAATTCCTGTAATGTCTGTAATTCCGGCACTTCGGGAGGTTGAGGCGGGCGGATCACTTGATGTCGGGAGTTCAAGACCAGCCTGGCCAACATGGTGAAACCCTGTCTCTACTAAACATACAAATATTACCCAGGTGTGGTAGCAGGCACCTATAATCCCAGTTGCTGGAGAGGCCGGGGTGGGAGAAGTGCTTGAGCCTTGGAGGCAGAGGTTGCAGTGAGCTGAGATTGTGCCGCTGCTCTCCAGCCTGGGTGGCCAAGTGAGACTCTGTCTTAAAGAAAAGAAAAAAAAAAAAAAGGGAGAATCTGTCTTTAAAAAAAAGGAACCTGGGATCAAATATTAGCCTTACCACTTAATAGCCCTTTGTGATTTCAGGTAAGTTCCTTAAACATGAGTTACATTTTCCACATCTATAAAACGACAATAATGATACCTCCTGCAAAGGGTTATTTGAAGATAAAATGAGAACAGAACCTTGTATACAGTTAATTATATCTAATTTAGAAGTGAGAATATTCAACAAAATTATTAATTAACCTTTGGGAATTCTATTTTGACTAATATGAAGCTGATGACACCTATCTGATGGAAATTAAATGACAAGACATATGTACATATTGTCCTCAAGTTACCAGTTACGATAGTTTGTATGGGACCTTCCTTTCACTTAAACACTTAGAGAACATTGTAGGTTTATTAATTGGCCTAATTTCCATATTGTTGTGTCTCAGGTAATAGAGAGGCCCAACACAGTTGTATGGGACCTGACTAGAAGCATATATATATATATATATATATATATATATATGTATATATATGTATATATATGCAAATCTGTTATGACAAATTGGTTCAATCTTTAATATCATGAGTTCAGAGCAATGAATTGGGTCACTAAATTTATTTAATCATTAAAAGTCTATTGCTTTTGTTGTAAGACTACTGTTTGGGACCATTCTAAGAGAAATGCAATAAAGAATTGACTTAATGAAAAATCATCCAGCTAACACACTATGCAAACATCAAAGAGCAGAGAGACTTGTTCCAAAGCTTCTTGGCAATCATTTATTCCTATCCTCTACTGAATCCAAGATGTCCTGTGTGGTGCCTCAGGCAGCTCCAGGCAATAGGGAGAGGGAAAGTTTAGCTCCTGCTCCACTTCTTTACCTTGATTCCACCAGCACTGCCTTTACAACTTTCAAACACTGACCTTTTGTCTAAGATTACATTTGCACAAAGGGTTTGGTTACTTATAAAAATGTTTAACTAGCTGATATTCCAACTTCCTCATTTTAGAAAGGAGGAAATTGAAGGCCAGAGAGGTAGCACAGGTCACTTAAGATTCCTTCAGAATCAGGAGCAGAAAAAAAAAATGTCCAGTCTTTTAATCCAGGTTATTTCCACCACATTGCTTTCTTGATGATAAGATTAATCCCTATCATGTACTAAATGTTGAGCATCTTACTTGGTGTTCCACCTGTATTTACCAATGAATAATTGATAAATACATTCCCTTACTTGGTGTTTTACCTGTGTTTACCAATGAATCCAGCAAAATCTCTAAATATTTGCCTCATTTGAAGATAAAGTTCAAGAATGTTAAGCAACTTACACAAGCCTACATTCAAATCCAATCTAACTGGAAATCCTGTACATGTATTTTCCAAGTTTAGATAAACTTAAATGTTTCTTGTTGGCCATCAAAACAACAGATCATCCTAAGGTGACCCAGGGGGATAAAGAGAGAATGGGTAGTTTATTGCCAAATTTTGGCTCTACTTTTTATGTGTGCTTTATTAAAATTGAAGAACAATGAATATAGTTATAGAAAGACCAAATGAAAACCTTATTTGAGAATTGCTTTCATCTCTTTCTGCCCTAAGATTATCAATAATCACTTCTTATTTTATGTTGATACTATATTTTATTAGAATAAGCATGTGGCTTTTCCAGTCTTTGATGTATCATAGATCATGCGTTTGTACATATTAATTTCTTTCCTTGTTCAAAAGGTTTGCTGCTTATATTGCAAATCAAATTTGTACATGTGCTCACAGGAGGGGAATATTGCAAAGATGTTTTCCACTGGCATTATCATTTTTCAAGTTGCATGTTTAAACCAGTTTTCTTTATCTCTTGTATCCTTTAACTCAGATACATAATGTAGTTTTAGCATAATTGTGATACAACTCTGTTTTTGTCCTGTTTTGTTTTTTTTCAAATGTAAATCTGCATTTCATTTGTACAGAACATCAAGGTAAAAATATGTATGTAGTTCTTAAAAATCTCTATAATATGAAACTATGGCAGATAGATCTAAAAAGAGGCTATAAACAGAAAAGTAATATGTAAATGCAATCAAATTTTAAAAGAGAATGACAATAACATTATACTGAATAGAGTGGGGTAACCAGAAAGAGAACACAAGTATATCTCGTTTTATTCACCTTGCTCTATTGTGCTTCACAGATACTGCATTTTTTACTAATTGAAGCTTTGTGGCAATCCTTCGCCCAACAAGTCAGTTGGCACCGTTTTTCAAACAGCATGTGCTCACTTCATATCTCTGTGTCACATTTTCATAATTCTCAAAATATTTAAACCTTTTCCCTTATTGTCATATCTGTTATGGGTAATCTGTGATTAGTGATATTTGGTGTTGCTATTGTAATTGTTCTGGGGCACTGTAAACCTCACCAATCTGACAGCAAATGCAGTGGGTAAATATTGTATGTGTTCTGATTGCTGCACCATCTGGCTGTTCTCCCATCTCTCTCCCTTGCCTTGGGCCTCCCTATTGCCTGAGACACAACAATACGGAAATTAGGCCAATTAATAAACCTACAATGTCCTCTAAATATTTAAGTGAAAGGAAGAATCACACAGCTTTCACTATAAATCAAAAGCTAGAAATGATTAGCCTTACTGAGAAAAGCATGTGGAAAGCTGCAACAGGCCAAAAGCGAAGTCTCTTGTGCCAAACAATCAAGTTGTAAAGGTAAAGGAAAAGTTCTTGAAGAAAATTCCAAGTGCTATTCCAGTGAACATGCGAATGATAAGAAAGAAAAACAGCTTTATTGCTGATAGGGAGAGTTTTAGTGGTCTGGATACAAGATCAAACCAGTCACACCATTCCCTTAAACTAAAGCCTAATCTAGAGAAAAGCTCTAACTCTCTGCAATTTTATGAAGCCTGAAAGAGATGAGGAAGCTGCAGAAGAAAATTTGTAAGCTAGTAGAGGTTGCTTCGTGAGATTTAAGGAAAGAATCCACCTCCATAACATAAAAGCACAAGGTGAAGTAGTAAGTGCTTGATGGAGAATTTGCAGCAAGTGATCCAGAAGATCTAGCTAAGATCGTTGATGAAGGCGGCTATACCAAACAACAGATTTTCAATGCAGATGAAACAGCCTTATATTAGAAGAAATGCCTTTTAGGACTTTCATAGCTAGAAAGGAAAAGTCAATGCCTGACTTCAAAGCTCCAAAGGACAGGCTTACTCTATTGTTAGGGGTTAACACAGCTAGTAACTTTTTGAGTTGAAACCAGTGCTCATCTACCATTTCAAAAATTCTTGTGTCTGTAAAAATCATGCTAAATTGACTCTCTCTGTGTTCTATAAATAAAACTACAAAGTCTGGATGACAGCACATCTGTTTACAGCATGACTTACTGAAATATTTTAAGCCATCTGTTGAGACCTATTGCTCAGGAAAAAAAAAAAAACTCCTTTCAAAATATTGCTGTTCATTGACAATGCACCTGGTCATCCAAGAGCTCTGATGGAGATGTACATGGAAATTAATGTTATTTTCATGCCTGCTAATACAACATCCATTCTACAATCCATGAGTCAAAGAGTAATTTTGACTTTTAAGTATTATTACTTAAGAAATACATTTCAAGGCCACAAGTGGTGACTCATGCCACCTCTCTTTTGAGGGCAGAGGTGGGAGGATTGCTTGAGGCCAGGAGTTTGAAACCAGCCTGGGCAACATCTATACAAAAAAAATTAAAAAAAAAATTATCCAGGCACAGTGGCACATGCCTATAGTCCCAGCTAATTGGTAGGCTGAAGCAGAAGGATTGCTTGAGCCCAGTAGTTCAAGACTGCAGTGAGCTATAATCATGCCACTGTATTTCAGGCTGGGTGATAGAGGAGAGATCTCATCTCTTGAAAAAGACAAAAAAAAAAGAAATACGTTTCATAAGGTTATCGTTGACATAGATAGTGACTCCTTTAATGAATCTGGGCTAAGTACATTGAAAATCTTTTGGAAATGATTCACCATTCTAGATGCCCTTAAGAATGCCCATAATTCATGGAAGAAAGTCAAATATCAATATGAATAGGTGTTTGAAAAAGCTGATTCCAGCTCTCATGGATAACTTTGAGGGATTCGTGGCTTGAGTAGAGGAAGTAACTGCAGATGTGGAGGAAAGAATAAGAGAATTCGAATTAGAAGTGGAGTCTGAAGATGCAACTGAATTGCTGCAATTTCATGGTAAAACTGGAATGGATGAGGAGTTGCTACTCATATATGAGTGAAAAAAGTGATTTCTTGAGAAGGAAACTACTTCTGGGGAAGATGTTGTGAACATGGTTGAAATGACAACATAGGATTTACAGTGTTACATAAACTTAGTTGATAAAGCAGTGGCAGGGTTTAAGATTGACTTCAATTTTGAAAGAAGTTCTACTATGAGTAAAATGCTATCAAACACTATCACAGGCTACAGAGAAATCTTTCGTGAAAGCAAGAGTGAATCAATGCAGCAAACTTTACGGTTGTCTTATTTTAAGAAACGTTACAGTCACCCCAACCTTCAGCAACCACCATCCTGATCATTTGGCAGCCATCAACATTGAGGTAAAACCCTCCACCAGCATACACTAGGATTTGCTGAAAGCTCAAATAATCATTAGCATTTTTTAGCCAGAAAGTATTTTTTAAATTAAGGGATGTACACTGCCTTTTAGGAAAAAATGCTATTGCATGCTTAATACACTCGAGTGCTGTGTAAACATAACTTTTAAATGCACTGGGAAGCCAAAATATTTTGTGACTCACTTTATTGTGATATTCTTTTTGTTGTTGCTGTTGTTGCTTTTTGCTGTGATCTGGAACTGAACCCAGAATATCTTCAAGGTATGCCTGTATTTTTATCTTATTATTATTTAAACCTTTAAAACAATCTTTTACTGACAAATGGGATCTAATTAAACTAAAGAGCTACATCACAGCAAAAGAAACTATCATAAACAGGCAAGCTACAGAATGGGAGGAAATTTTTGCAATCTACCCATCTGACAAAGGTCTAATATCCAGAATCTGCAAGGAATTTAAACAAATTTACAAGAAAAAAACAACCCCATCAAAATTGGGTGAAGGATATGAACAGACACTTCTCAAAAGAAGACATTTATGCAGCCAACAAACATGAAAAAAAGCTCATCATCACTGGTCATTAGAGAAATGCAAATCAAAACCACAATGAGATACCACCTCATGCCAGTTAGAATGACAATTATTAAAAAGTCAGGAAACAACAGATGCTGCAGAGGATGTGGAGAAATAGGAACACTTTTACAGTGTTGGTGGGAGTGTAAATTAGTTCAGCCATTGTGGAAGACAGTGTGGCTATTCCTCAAGGATCCAGAACAAGAAATACCATTTGACCCAGCCATCCCATTACTGGGTGTATACCCAAAGGATTATAAATAATTCAACTATAAAGACACATGCACACATGTGTTTATTGCAGCACTACTTAAAATAGCAAAGACTTGAAACCAACCCAAATGCCCATCAATGATAGACTGGATAAAGAAAATGTAGCATGTATACACCATGGAATACTATGCAGCCATAAAAAAGAATGAGTTCATGTCCTTTGCAGGGACTTGGATGAAGCTGGAAGCCATCATTCTCAGCAAACTAACACAGGAACAGAAAACCAAACACCGCATGTTCTCACTCATAATTGGGAGCCAAACAATGAGAACACATGGACACAGGGAGGGGAACATCACACACCAGGGCCTGTCAGGGGGTTAGGGGAAAGGAGAGGGAGAGCATTAGGACAAATACCTAATTCATGCGAGGCTTAAAATCTAGGTGATGGGTTGGTAGGTGCAGCAAACCTCCATGGCATATGTATACCTATGTGACAAACCTGCATGTTCTGCACATGTATCCCAGAACATTAAGAAAAAATTAAAAAAAAATTAGTAGTTGCCATAAGGTTTAAAATATAACTCTTTAATTAATCATAGTCTAGCTTAAAATAATATTATAATACTTTGCTTGTAGTGTAATAAACTTACAACAGTATACTACCAACTTCTCCCTTCCATTATTCATGCTAGTATTATCAGATATTTCACTTTTACATACACTACATACCCAGAATAGATTGCCACTATTTTTGCTTTAAACAAACCATTATCTCTTAGTGATTAAAATAATGAAAAATAATTTTTATATTAAAATTTATTTTTACTATTTTTCAGAACTCTTCTTCTGTATAGATCCAAGTTTCTATGTGGTGTTAAAACCTTTCTATCTGAAAGACATTCTTTAATACTTTTTTGTAAGGTGGTTATCATGGGAATTAATTCAGTTTTTGTTTGTCTGAAAAAGTCATTATTTATCCTTTGTTTCGGGAAAATATTTTGCTGGGTAAAAAATTCTGGATTAACAGGGTTTTCTTTTTTTCCCTGCCAATTTAAAGATGTTACTGTACTGTCTCCTGGCTTGTATAGTTTCAAATGAGAAATCTATTGTAATTCTTAATCTTCAAGTTTTTCTTCTCTCTTTCTTCTCCTAAGATACCCATTATGTAGGTACTAGACTATTTGACATTGTCCTGCAGCTCTCAGATGTTCTTTTTAAAACTGTTATTATTTTTTTAACTCCTATATCTCTTACTTTGAGTAATTTCTACTAACATATTGTCAAATTTGTGAATCCTTTTCTTGTCTACGTCTAGTCTACTGATAATCCTGTCAAAGGCAATCATCATCTTTGTTACCTTGGTTTTTCCTGTGATTTTTTAGTTGATGAGTCAATCTAGTCCGAAGTTGAGCTGGGGTTGGGTTGTGATGTTGCTCTGATTACCCTCAGTGCACCACCAGTTTCAAATTCCTTTCATATTACCTCGTGCTTAGAGTAGGGTTTCTCTCAATGTTCTAACCACTTTCAACCTCAGCTTTAGGCATTTTTTTTTTTTTAAATGGAGTTTTGCTCTTGTTGCCCAGGCTGGAGTGCAATGGCATGATCTCGGCTCACTGCAACCTCCGCCTCCCAGGTTCAAGTGATTCTCCTGCCTCAACCTCCGGAGTAGCTGGGATTACAGGCACCCACCACTACGCCCAGCTGATTTTTTGTATTTTTAGTAGAGACTGGATTTCACCATGTGGGCCAGGCTGGTCTTGAACTCCTGACCTCAGGTGATCTGCCAGCCTTGGCCTCCCAAAGTTCTGGGATTGCAGGCTTGAGCCACCGCGCCCGGCCCCTGAGCCATCGCGTCCAGCCCCCGCTTTAGACTTTCTTGAGACACTGTGCCCCTGAAAGGGTCTTTCTCTATGCTTTGCCGGGGCCACGGTGGCACACTGTTGTGACATGTTATTTGACTTTGTTAACCTGATGTTTGAGTGATAGAGGGAAGTTTTCTCTTGTGCTGGTTCATCCTCTCTCTTAGGTGGGTCCTATGTCTCTAGGTCTTGGGTATAGGGCTTTTTCAGTGATCCTACGACTCTCCAACAAAAGGAGAATTCTAATGATCTGGGTAGAGGGTGAGTTTCTGCTCTTCCCCCTGTGATGAAGAATTTATTTTCTCTGGCACCTGATTAGCTGCAATAGATTTTAACTGTGCCATTGGAGCAATAGAGTTTTCTGTGCTTCCCCCCAAAGATGGGAGGCTTTTTTCCTGTAGGAAAGATATGAGGGAAGGATCAGGACCAAGTGTCATGTGTTTTCCACATTGTTTGCTGTGCTCCACCCACTGCCAGCTTGGTATCAAAGAGAAAGTGTTTTTAAGCTCCTGCCCTGTTCTCCATCTTTCTCAAGGGTGCACCGTGTAGTCTATGGAGAAGAACATGTGCACAAACACAAACTCCTCTTGCATCTGCAGCTCCTGTGGGTTCTATACACCCAGGAAGCCACCCTTGTCTTTTAATAATTCAATCAAAAATGTATCTGAATTTTTTTATTCACTTTTGTGACAACTCAGTCTTCCTCCCTCACTCTGCCCCAGTAAACCAGTGTCCAGGTAAGTCAGTGCCCAGGTAAACCAGTACTCACATCCCCACTTCTCCTTGGAGGTGCCTGTCTTTCTTCAGATTTGTGGCTAATTAGTTTCCTTGTGTTATCAATTTTCTGATGAGGTCAAGAAAAATTATGATTTTGAAGATTATCTGGCTTTTTGTTATTGTTAAGGTGGAAGCAACATTCTAGCTTTCTACACTCTGACCAGAGCCATGAAGTGTTTCTGATCTAACTAAATATGCAATATTATTATTTATTTTCCTATCTATGCCTACTTACTATTTTTAAAAGTATAAGAGAGTTCTTAGTAGGCCCATGTGATGGTTAATTTTAGGTGTCAACTTGACTGAGTTAAGAGATACCCAGATAGCTGATGAAACATTAATTTTGAGTGTGTTGATGACAGTATTTCTGGAGATCGGCATTTCAATCAGTGGACTTAATGAGCAAAACCCACACTCATCCAATGTGGGCAGGAACCATGCAATCAGCTGAGGCCCTAGAAAGAACTAAAAGGTAGAGGAAAAGCAAATTCTCATTCACTCTGTCTTGTGAACATGTGACAACATTCTTCTCTTGCTCTTGAACATCAGAACTCCACATTCTCTGGCCTTTGGTCTCCAGAACTTGCATCAGCGGCCCCCAGTTTCTCAGGCCTTTACCTTGGACATAGTGTTACACCATTGGCTTTTCTGGTCCCAAGTCTATTTAAAGTAGATGGAGAGAGGAAATGCAACACCTTGGCCTAAGAATCTAGACGAACTTTACAACAATCCCTCTACCTTCGCACAATATATTATGAAAATGGAAAATCAAATTTGAGAAAACTGATAATTACCTGAACAAAATCATGCAGTCAGGGGAATTAAAATGCACTTGGAGAATAGGAAGTAGGCCGCAAATAGGTATGTCTCTGCATCCAGGAACATTAGAAACAAGGCCAGAGAAACAGACAAATTAGACCATGTTGTGCAGTTGCCAATCAGATGTGAAAGTCTCCTATCAGCTAAAGGACTCAAATTGAGAGGCAATAAGAAAACAATAAAAATTCTGTGAAGGAGAGTGACATAGAGAAAGTGATCCTTTAAGAAAATGTGTCCGGTGGTCAGTTGGCAACAGATGGAAGGTAAGAGAATCCAGAAGTAGGGAAATGGAATAATAAATTAGTATAATAGTCTAGGAGTAAAAGGGTCAAGGCCTGCATTGCAATGCTAGCAATGCAACTAGGAGGAAATGGGAACAACTTGGGAGACATTGTAGACAATTCCTAAGGCTGGTTGACTGATTTGATAAGCGTGGTGGAGGGAAAGGAGAAATCAAATGCACAAGGCTTCGTGCTGCTATCATAGGGGCCCAATTTTCTCACTAGTATCTTCAATTCTTCCTTGTCCAAGACTTTTCTCGTTTCTGCTTTTAAACTTGCCCGTGCTTGAATTAGCATAAATGTTTGGAAAAGATAAAAAAACATTTATCTTCGAAATGTTTTTGAGGTAAACCATCTCTGAAATAAGAACTTGTTTTCCAGCCAAAACTCAATTTGTATTAAAACTGTTGTTTAAACACTCTGTCCAAACATGACAGATGTTGGAATCAATTGGTTTGCAAGTCTTTATTTTTTTCCCTCAGCTTCAATAAACAAAATCTTCTTAAGTTATTTTCCATCAAATACATTTACTAAATGTTCAAAATGCATATAGACCTCTATAAAGTTAATTGAAAATCAAATTCTTGGCCTTGAAAAACTAAAAAGAAAGGTAACATGGACATAACTTTTTCAACATGCTTTAAAAGATACAAGAGTATATTTTTTAAAAGCCTAAAGACACAGCAATAAAAGAATTTTCTTTTGTAGTTACCTCTCTAAATTTTTTACTAACTTTTTTCCTAAGGTTCCAAAGAAATTTTAGAATAATTTTCATAATAAGATTTTGTATTTGCTATAGGTAATACTGTATAAGTCAAATGAGTCTGAGGCTGTTTCTACATATTACCATGAACAATAAATATTTATTGACACTCTCCTTGATGAAGATAATGAGACTAACAACAGGCTAAATTTAATCAATACAAAAGGAATTTAGAAGTAAAACTCAGCCCTAAGGCCCCCTGGCTCGTTTCTACCTATTTACTCATCTATAAACTAGGACTTATAATAGAATCTAGCTTTTAGGATTGTGGGGATTAAATGAAATGATATGTATAAAGTACATAGTATGGTTCCTTGTACATAGTAAAGATTCAATAAATATTGCCTAATATGATTATGCTATTAATCTGTTTCATTTATTATCTACTTATATTTTATTAATTATCCTTCTATGTCAACTACTTATTAGGATCTTAATATTTTAATTTAAATGTAGTGTTCTTTGTGTACTAAAATATTAATGTTTGATTATATTTATAGCAAATTCATTTCTAACTTTTTTGTCTTTCAAAAAATTTGATAGGCATTTGATAATATTGCATTTCTTCTTTTATTTTACTTATTTATTTATTTATTTTTGAGATGGCGTCTCCTCCGTCGCCCAGGCTGGAGTGCAGTGGCGCATCTCGGTTCACTGCAAGCTCCACCTCCCGAGTTCACGCCACTCTCCTGCCTCAGCCTCCTGAGTAGCTGGGGCTACAGGTGCCCGCCACCACGCCAGGCTAATTTTTTGTATTTTTTTCAGCAGAGATGAGGTTTCACCATGTTAGCCAGGATGGTCTCAATTTCCTGACCTCGCGATCCGCCCGCCTGGGCTCCCCAAAGCGCTGGCATTACAGGCGTGAGCCACCGCACCCGGCCCTCTTAAGCACTTCTTCTTGAGATTTACCATTGCTTTTAAAGGTAGAAAATCTTTTCTGTTCCAGAAATACATACAAGATAATATGTTTATTTGAGCATCTTCCTTCTTCCTTCATCCTCTTCTTCTTCTTCCTTAGCTGGACATTTTACATTTAACATGGTACAGATGGAATTGCAGAATGGGGTTGTGAAGTGGGGCTCAAATTTAATTTTCTAGCAAACATTGCTTGAAATAAAAGTCTCACATGTGGAATAACTCTTTCTGTCATTATTGATTTATATTATATGTTCAGTCTGGCTCATTAACCTTATGTAAGATCCAGCTGCTCAAACCCCTACTACAAAATTCTAGGTTCTGCCTCCTGCTCTCCATTCTGACACTGCTCCCTCTGGTCTGAGCACTTGGTTGAATCTACTGCTTCATGCTTAAATTTCCTTCTGTCCCTACAACAAGCACTTTGGTTTACCTTTAGTTACATCTTGAGCGTCTGACTTCACTTGGCTTCTATTGGCCAATCCGCCCCACATCACATGTGGTGGTGCCCAAATCTGGTGCCCTAGGAAAGGGATCGGATAACTACCATGTTTATTACTACTTTGGCAACTTTTGACAGATGCTGAATTTTACTTCTGTTTTCCTCCAGGCTATGAACCCTTCAAACTCACAGCTATATTTGATAGCTAATTTAAGTTAATTTATTTAATCTAAGTTTGCAAAGGTCCTGAAAGCCGAAGCAATGATCTGCTCACCTCTCTAAATTCTAGCTCTTAAATAATGTCTTATTATGTCATGTTAGATTTTTCAATGCTTTTATGAAAGCATTTTGTATTTTATCTCGTAATTTTAGTTGTTTTCAGCCTTACCTTACCAGATATAGACTTGCTCTGCATTACGTCTTTCCAATCAAATACACGTTTTGATTCCCTATTTAAATTATGTTTCTTCATTACAGAATTATCCTAGGTACATAGTACAGTGCTTAACCCACAGTAGACACTCAAATAATATTTGATAATACAGACGTGTGCCACATTAACAACGTTTCGGTCAACAATGGACAACCTATATGAAAGTGGTCCCATAAGATTATAATAACACATTTTTACTGTACCTTTTCTATTTTTAGATATACAAATACTCACTGTTGTGTTACAGTTGCCCACTATATTCAGCGCAGTAACATGCTGTGCAGGTCTGTAGTCTAGGAGAAATAAGCTATACCATATAGCCTAGGTGTGTAGTAGACTATACCATCTAGGTTTGTAAAAGAACACTCTATGATATTCATATAACAATAAAATTGCCTAACAAGGCATCTCTCAGAATGTATCCCCATCATTAAATGATGCATGCCTGTAATTATAGAGATAGCAATGATAATGTCAGCCAATCAGAAAGCTTCGGATTGCAAAAGTAACTCCAAAAACTCTAAAACATTGACTCTTAAATATGAGATTTCTTACCATAAAATACTTTGAAATAATTATAATTGGAACACGTTTGTAACGAGAGAGAATCTAGATTCTGTCTAGAACATGCCTCTGTTTATTTGATTACAAAATATTCATAAGGCACTTGAGGAAGAAGTATGTATAAACACGAAAGTCAGGGAGAGGGAGGAGACACCATCATTGGTATGATTTTTCTGGTCTCCAGCAAAAGCTTGGGAACAAATTTGTTCTGCATCCTTGATTTTAGTAACTGTATGGAGAACTCCCTGATGTTTCAAGTGTTTGTAAAACCATGTCATCATTTGGATTTACCACATTTCTGTGTCCTCTGCTAAACCACAAGTCCATAAGGAGAGGGAGAGTTGATTTGTTCATGACTGTATTCCTAGTACCAAGTGCACTGTTTAGTACATAATAGGTACCAAATAAATTTTTATTAAATGAATGAGAGGATGCAATATGTTCAGAGGCATAAGACATGGCTCTGTCTTGCAGAATTTAAAATTTTCATACATTTTGTCATTTGTTGCTGGCAAGAACCAGCAGAGAGACAGCTTTGACACCATAATTTGCGAAGACCACTATCTTTTTTTTTTTAATGAAGGAATTGAGACCCATAGAATATATGAAACTTACCCAGAGTCACATTGTTTTTTAGTGGTAAAGCCAATATTTCTCTGAATTCAATGTCTAATATTCTTCCTTTATGCTACAATGCCTCCCTATGAGTGAAACACAAGTGACAAAACAAAACAGAAAATTACATTTAAAATATCCAGGATGACTATAAATGATTTAGAAATTCAAAGAATAAAAACAGTGAAAATTAAATACAATAGGCTCATGGAGGAGTTAGAGTTTAGGTTAACTCCTCAAGACTGTAAGTAAAGAGTAGAAGAGAGGTTACCTCAGGGAAAAGAATTTCAGAACCCTCATCAGGATTTTTTAAAGTCAATTTATGTTCTTGCTTTTTTTCTAATGGTAATGGTTGATTAGCACTATAAATATTGTGGAGGTAAGAAATGGTTCTCTCACAAGCCACATAACATAGCATGGGTATTATAGTGGCATGTGAGCCATGAGATTGGTACAAGTCTTCACTTTTGCCTCAAAAGACTATATCGAAAAATAATTAAATGGGAAATGTTCAGGATATTCACACAATACTTTACTAATCTAAATGATAATACTCAGCATCTGAGTCCGTGTTATGCCTAATGATGACTGCAGAGAAAAGCATGAAGAGCCAGTAACAAGTTCTGATTCCTGCAAAAAGCTAGCATGGAAATTTCACCACTTGATGAGAAGAGGGATTGTTCAGTGCAAAATTGGCAATGACCTCTATGATGATTTCAAATGACTGGGCTCTGTAGATTCAGATAAAATGTCGACAAGATATCCTATTAGTTAAGCATTTCTTTTTTTTTTTCTCAAAGCAATGCTTACTGGCATTATGCTGATTTAAGAAACCCCATTCTGACTGTTAATGAAAACTTAATGGAGCTGACATAAGTAAGATGATCTTAAGCTCTCCTCACTCTCTAAATTGCCTTTTTTGTTGCCTTCTGGAAAATTGCTGGGTCATTGAACACTGATGTCATGCCACAGTATGAAAGGAAAACTGGTGAACAACACTGGGAAGGTGAATTATACTCAGAATACAGCCAGGCAGGTCCTAGGGTCATATAAAAAAATGAAGAAGTAGGAGCTAAGGTATCAGAGAGAGGGTCAAGAAATCAGTAATTTAGAAGTAATCCAGGCAGACCTGATTTTGCTTCCCAACTCTACCTGTTAATAGCTTTGTTAACTTGGGGGAGTTACTTAAGTTTTCTCAGCTTCAGTTTCTTTATCACTAAGACAGATTATATAAAAATAGTATCTACTGCAAATGCTTATGTGAAGACTAAAAGAGAAAAATCAGGCAAAATATTTAGCATTGTGCTTGACACAAAGCTTTCTACTATCATCATCATTTTCTTGACATTAACAGGAACAAGATAGAGGTACAGCAATTAAGATATTTGAAAGAAAAAAAGAAAAATAATAAAGTGTAGCAGCTCAAGACAGACAAGAGTCAGAAATCCAACACAGCAGCAGGTCCTACAGCCACAAGTCATTGAAAGAGAATTTAGGGATCATCTAGTCAAATATCTCTGTTTTACAGATGAGCAACTCCATGCTAAGAGATGTCTCAATGACAAAACTAGTTTTGAAAACATTTTGGCTTTTTTTTTTTATAAAGTTAAACATGGACTTAGCATGTTTACATGGGCAACCTAGTCATTCCCTTCTTAAGTATTCACCCAAGAGAAATAAAAACTTACATCCACACAAAGAATTGCATACAATGTTCACAGCTGCTTTGTTTGTAACAGCCTAAACTGAAAATAATCGAATGTCCATCAACAGGAGAATGGATAACTAAATTTCATATAATTGAATATATTCAGCAATAAAAAAGAATGAAGAGTGGTGCACACAACATGGATGTATCTTAAAAGCATTATGCTCAGCAGAAGAAACAGTATAAAGAGTACATACTGTCTGATTCTGCTTAAATGAAGTTCTAAAGAATGCAAGCTATAGAGATTCAAAGCATAACAGTAGTTGCCTGGGTCCCGAGGGGATGAGGTGGCAAGAGTTTGTGAAGGGGCGCGAGAGAACTTTTGGGGATGATGGAAAGATTTTATATCTTTTATGAAATGTTTTACATCTTAGTTGTGCTGGTGGTTACACAGCATATAGATTTGTCAAAAGTCTTTAAAATTGTACAGTTCAGTTGGGTATATTTTATTGTATGTAAATTATACCACAATGAAGTCATTTTTTCTTGATCAGGTTGATCATATTCAAATAAGTTTATTTTAAAGACAGAACTACTTGATGCCTTATCCTTTCCTAGGGCAGAACTAGGATTCAAAGCCAGATCTTTGTTAACTAGTTAGTTAGTTAGCTAAATTCACAATTAGCTAGTGCTCACTAAGCTGAGCTTTGCTGAGTAATTAGTAAAACATTCTGGTCTTCTTGCTCTTATTCTGAGAGGTAGCCTGGTGAAGTGGAATAAATCTTGGCTTTGGAGTCACAAGGATGTGTCTTGGTGACATGGCTTCCCCTCTTACCAGCCGTGTGGCTTTGGCCACTTTGTTTAGACCTATCTGATCTACCTTTCGCTCATCTCTCAGTTTGGCATAAAACTCCTATTTATAAGGTTTCTATAAAGATAAAATGATACAATATAAAAAGTAACCAGAAAATGGTAGGCTAAGCACTTGATAAATTGTAGCTATAAATACTATTAATTTCTTTGGCCACAGACCCAGAGCTGTGTCATAGATAAACCTTGACTTGTGAGCTGGTGAAACAATCCCTCCAGGCTGCATTTAACCATTAGTGCAACAAATATTACTCAGTATCTATGATGGGCCAGGCAGTGTTTTAGACTCTTGGACTTTGGTAGAGAACAAAAGAGCTGCATTCTAGTAGGAGGAGACTGAAATGGATAAGCCAATACATGCATAATATGGCAGGTGACGAACTACACCAAGAAGAAACATTAACAGAGTAAGAGGAAAAGAGAATGATTAGGGATTATAGGAAGTTGCCGTTTGACAAAAGCTGCTTAGAAGCAGCTGATCTACTACCGTGATATTCGAACAGAAACCTAAAGAAAAGAGAGAACTGAAAAAAAACAGAGAAGGGGCTAAGCAGAGAAATAGTTGGTTGGAAAATATTCCAGGTAGGGGGAAGAGCAGTGAAAAGGCCCTGTTGCAGAAGTCTGCTTGTCACATTTTGGGATATGCAGGAAGCCTGGGGAGCTATGTGCATGGTTTTCAAGATTTAGAACAGTGCCAGTCATTTGCACAGGGTATGATGACATACATAATTTACCAACTGTTCACAGTGTTGAATTCCACCTCTCCTGTATTTGCAACTGAATTTTCCACTCAGAAGCAAATCTTCCTACAAAATTCCTATTGCTATTGTCTTGCATAGCTAATGGCTTTGGTACCAGGAGAAAGTAGTTACCTTTCTTTGTACACTTTGTAAATAGTAAGCATTTATTAAAATACAATTAAAATAAGTAGATAGTAGTCCAAATAAGCTTCCTCTTTGCTTTACAGAGATGTAAATCTGCACACTCAGTGTGATGGGAAGCAGCTGAACTCTAAGATGCCATTTGTCATTGACATGGGAAATAATGTTTTCCATTCTCATTATGGACCCAGGAGCAGGAAAGAAGCTGAATGTGGGGATGGAAAATGTAAGTGCTCAAACCCACCACTTCTCATTCTAATTTTCTCCTGTTCCTTCAGGATGAAAAGCACAAAATCAAAAAGCACTAAATCACAGAAATAGTCCATACATTATTTTAGCCACTATATGCTAATCTAGGTCCACAAAATAGGGTGCACTGAAACTAGGAAAGGAGAAGGCTAACCTGTCCAAGCGAAGGTCAGCCGTGAACACTTACTGCCTTTAACAAGTGACTGTGTGCTTTCAACACAGTCTAGATGGCAGCCAATGGCTTCTCTCACCACAGCTTGTCCTAGTCATCTGAGTTTTACTTCTGGGAGAAATCTACAGAGGAAGACAAAAAGTAGAGATACTTCCTTATCTCTGGTACCAGCACAATTCGCTTGAACTTTTCAATATTCTGGCCACATACTGAGGCACAGTAGAGTTCAACCCTAAGAAGCCCCAGGGGTCATTCCTGGGGAGCACTAGTCTAAAGCCAGTCATATAATGGCTCAATGTGGTTAAGAAGTGCAAGCAGGGTGTTAACTGGCACACCATAAAAATCATGAGAAACAAATGTGATGTCAGTGATAAATAAGGGTAGAACTAGGATCTATCTGCAAAATAATGAAGATGTGCTTGGCAAAGGAAGAAGGCAGTCTCCTTGGTTCTCAGGGAAAGGATATTTTGGTGAGTAAATTAGTTCATTCTTGCCCTGAAATAAAGAAATGCCTGAGACTGGGTAATTTATAAAGAAAATAAGTTTAGGCTGGGCGCGGTGGCTCATGCCTGTAATCCCAGCACTTTGGGAGGCCAAGGCGGGCAGATCACGAGGTCAGGAGATCGAGACCATCCTGGCTAACACGGTGAAACCCCGTCTCTACTAAAAATACAAAAAAATTAGCCAGGCGTGGTGGTGGGCGCATGTCGTCCCACCTATTTGGGAGACTGAGGCAGGAGAATGGTGTGAACCTGGGAGGCAGAGCTTGCAGTGAGCCGAGATCACATCAATGCACTCTAGCCTGGACGAGAGCGAGACTCTGTCTCAAAAAAAAAAAAGAAAGAAAGAAAGAAAATAAGTTTAATTGGCTAACAGTTCTTCAGGCTGTACAGGAAGCATAGTGGCATCAGTTTCTGAGGAGGCCTCAGGAAACTTACAATCATGGCGGAAGGTGAAGGGGAAGCAGGCACGTCTTACGAGGCCAGAGCAGGAGCAAGAGAAAGAGGGGACAGTTGCTACACACTTTTAAACAGCCAGATCTCCCGAGAATTCACTATTGCAATGACAGCACTAAGGGGAATGGTGTTAAGCCATGAGAAACCACCCCCATGATCCAATCACCTCCCACGAGGCCCCACCTCCAACAATGGTGATTACAATTAAACATGAGATATGGGCAGGAATACAGATCCAAATCATGTCATTCTGTCCCTGGCCCCTCCAAAATCTCATGTTCTTCTCACATTGCAAAATACAATCATGCCTTCCCAGTAATCCCCCAAAGTCTGAACTCATTTCAGCATTAACTCACAAGCCCAAAGTCCAAAATCCAAAGTCTCATCTGAAACAAGGCTAGTTCCTTCCACCTATGAGCCTGTAAATATAGAAAAACAAGTTAGTTACTTCCAAGATACAATGAGGGCACAGGCATTGGGTAAATATTCCCATTCCAAAAGAGACGAATCATCCAAAAGAAAGTAGCTACAGGCACCATGCAAGTCTGAAACCCAGTAGGGGAGTCATTAAATCTCAAAGCTCAAAAATAGTCTCCTTTGACTCCATGTCTCACGTCCACAGCACTCTGAGGCAAGGCCTTGGGCAGCTCCACCCTGGTGGCTTTGTAGGGGTCCCTTCCCATGGCTGCTCTCATAGGCTGGTGTTGAGTGTCTGCAGCTTTTCCAGGCACAGAGTGCAAGCTGCCACTGGATCTACCATTCTATGATCTGGAGGATGGTAGCCCTTTTCTCACAGCTCCACTAAGCAGTGCCCCAGTGGGAACTCTATGTGGCTCCAACCCCACATTTCCTCTTTACACTACCTTAGTAGAGGTCCTCCATGAGGGCTCTGCCCCTGCAGCAGGCTTCTGCCTGGACATCCATGCTCTTCCATACATCCTCCAAAATCTAGGCAGAGGTTCCCAAGCCTCAACTCTTGTACTGTGCACATCCACAGGCTTAACACCATGTAGAAGCTGCCTAGACTTAGGGCTTGCACCCTCTGAAGCAGTGGCCTGTGCTTTACCTGGGTTCCTTTTAGCCACAACTGGAGCTGGAGTGACTAGGATGCAGGGACCAGTGTTCAGGGCATCAGGACCCTGGGCCTAGCTCATGAAACCATTCTTCTCTCCTAGGCCTCTGGACCTGTGATGGGAGGGGTTGCCATGAAGTTCTCTGAAATGCCTCCAAAGATTTCTTCCCATTGTCTTGGCCATCAGCACTTGGCTCCTTTTTACTTATGCAAATTTTTGCCACCTGCTTTAATTTCACCCCTGAATGAGCTTTTCTTTACTACCACATGGCCAGGCTGCAAGTTTTTCAACCTTTTATGCTCTGCTTCCCTTTTAAACGTAACTTGCAGTTTTAGGTTATTTTTTTGCTCACGTATATGAGTGTAGGCAGTTAAAAACAGCCAGATCACATCTTGAATGGTTTTCTGTTTAGAATTTTCTTCCACTAGATACTCTAAATCATCATTCTCAAGTTCAAACTTCCACAAATCTGTAGGGCATGGGCATAATGCCACCAAGTTCTTCACTAAAGCATAATAAAAGAGCCCTTTTCTCCAGTACCGAATGTTCCTCATTTCCATCTGAGACTTCCTCAGCCTGGACTTCATTGTCCATATTACTATAATTTTGGTCACAACCATTCAACAAGTCTCTAAGAAGTTCCAAATTTTCTCGCATCTTTCTGTCTTCTTCTGAGACCTCCGAACTCTTCCAACCTCTGCCCATTACCCAGTTCCAAAGTCACTTCCACATTTTCAGTGCCCCACCACTTGGTACCAATCTTCTGTATTAGTCCATTCTCACACTGCTATGAAGAACTATCTGAGACTGAGTAATTTAAAAAGAAAAGGGATTTAATTGGCTCACAGTTCTGCAGGCTATATAGAAAGCATAGTGGCATCAGCTTCCGGGGATGCCGCAGGGAACTTACAATCATGCCAAAAGGTAAAGGGGGCGTGAGGCATGTCTTACATGGCCGGAGCAGGAGCAAGAGAGCAGGGGAGGAGGTGCTACATACTCTTAAACAACCAGATCTCACGAGAGCTCACTATTGTGACAACATAATCAAGAGGAATGGTGTTAAACCATGAGAAACCACCCCCATGATCCAATCATCTCCTACCAGGCTCCACCTCCAACATTGAAGATTACTAATTGAACATGAGATTTGGACAGGGACACAGATCCTAACCATATTAGTGAGGACTCTTCTAAAAGGCTGAAAAAGCTCTTTCTCAATTCTGTCTCTATATACCTCCAAGTAGCTTCTTGCGACTGATCGCATTCACTTTGGATAATCTGCACCTGAGCTCTGCTTTTATTAGTACAGGCGGTGAAAGTCAATTGTATTAACAAATATTCCAAGGAAAAAATAACTGAGAGAGAATTCAGTGAGGAACCTGGTTTTTCTGTGAGAGAATTTTGAGTGTTTAGTCAATTCAGCCCATTAGCCTGAACTAAATATTAAATAAAGAGATTGCAGTTTATCTGATGACTGCTGGACCACAAAAGCACTGAGTGGAAATCCAAATTCAATTTTAGACAAACCTGGAGATAAGGTATTGCACAGTTTCCTGAAGTTAATAGAATGTCACGTATAACTGCCCCACACGTGGGCCAACCAGTAGTGACCACTGTGCTTCTCATACCTGTGGATAAAGGTCTAATAGAAGTTGCTGCTGAATCTACATTAATCAATATATAAAGTTATTAATACCCAGAAAAATTAGAGGAAATAGAAATATTATAAAGAGTTATCTAAGTTCAACAATATTGCCTCTATTTTAAAACAGAAAATATAGAAAGTTTAGTATTTTAAAACTTTAACTGAAGATTAAAAACATATGTTCATAATAACATTGATGAATAGCAATAGCTACTGTGTGTTTTATATTTTTTATAAGTTCTCCACATATCATTTATCAAAAATAGCCCATATTTGTTAGCACTTTACTGATTTAAAGTGTTGTCAGAAAAGTTCAGTCATTTAGTGCTCATGAAATCTTGAAAGATAGGTATTATTACCATCTCAGCCATTTTCCTGAGGAAACCAAGACTCCATGATGGTTCATTATTTTCCCTTATTCCTACAGGCAAGTATCAATGGCAGCACCAAGATTCACACAAAAGGTCTTTGATTCCCAAATCCTTTGAAACTTTCCAATTCTGCCTTTTTCTGTAAAACCTCAAAACATAATTTTACACAAATGAAACTGATGATTGAAGAGTCTCCCCATATGCAAGGCATATTTCATTCATTCATATTTCATTTCATTCATTATCATAGATAATGAATGCAATTGTCTTATTTTGTATGTATGAGCGAGTGAGAAAGAGACAGGCAGATAGAGAGAGAGAAACACATAGAGAAGCCATTTAAAGGAGAAGGAAGAATGACCTTATTTCATCCTTCATGCCTTTCTCTGCAATGCCTCCTGCCCTGTCCACTTTTTTAAAACCATTTTTCTGTCTTAAAACTACCCATTGCCCTTGCCAAACACCAAAGCTAATTAGTTAGCACTTTCTGAAATCCATAAAATGGTGGTCCTTGACATTAAATAGTTTTTGCTGAAAACTACTTTGATAAAGAGGTTTCTGATGTTAAAATACTGCTTTTTCTTGGGTTACCCAAGCACAATGCAGACTTAATGTTTTTTATAATTTAAAATATTTTAAGGTATATCATATGCATAGGACAAAGTGTCAGAGTATCTTGCTGTTACTTACATATGTAGTAAGTTAAAACATGTAGTGCAAAGATGGCAAGGAGTTTAAATTTCAAGCCTACTCCAACTAAGTGGTAGTTGCTACCTGTAACACCATGTTGTAAACTACTCTGAGGCCAGACCAGGACCAATGACAGGGAGTCCAGAGATGGATTAACAATGCCTGTCATGGCTTCAGGAATGGGGAGTGGCACTTACTTCCCATCCTAAAGTTATTATATCTTGCCAGGCTTAGAAATAAAATATTAAAATGTCTTTCATTAAAAGGCAAGTTCATAATTTACATGCCAGTCTATAAAGAGAATCACATACTTATTTCTAACTCCCTGAGTTGGACTTCTTGGATGGGAAGTGAGGGTTTTAATCAATGGCATGTTGGGTAATTTTAGAGCCTGAGACAGCCTAGTCTGACATCTGACTGGGTGTGTTTCAGTGTTTCAGTACGTGGGCAGTAAAGCAGAGATGTTGGGAACAGAAAAAGGAAAGGGAAGAAGTGTACTTCAAGACTGACCAGGATATTCAGAAGTTTGCTAAACGCTGAGAATATCTGACCTGGGTTTGTCACATCAAAGTTCAATACATCTGGCCAGACCAAGTGTATAGTGTCACTCCTCCACTCCCACCTCCATTCCTGCCATCTGTCCCTGGGTTCTCTCTCAAATTCACCTGTGGCCCTGTTTGAAGACAGGAGACATTCAGCCTAAAGTTCTTACATTAATATTGAAATGCAAAACAGCTTACTTAATTAAACAAAAACTGCAAATAACTTTTATTATTTTCCTACTGTCATTTCATTAGGTCCATTCAATTTTGGTATACTTTTCTGAAACTGCCTGCATTTGTGGAGTTAATCTTTAGCATTCTTATTGGTTTGGACAGAGTTGGTTATTTGTTTGTAGTATCTTAACACCTAGAAGACAAACAACATAAATGAAAAGCTGAATGAATATCAACCCCTGCCGCCCACACACCTCCACTGTGTAGATAAAGAAGCTGTGGCACATCAGGTTAAAGCAACTTGTCCCAGGTCACACTGTTAGCAAAAGGTAAGCTGAGATGTAAGCCCAGACAATCTAATGTCAGAGCCTGAGCTCTGAACACTCTGCTTACTATGCTGCCTCTCTAAATAGGGGATAGAGTATTGCCCTTAGAAAGTTAAGCTATGAAATCAGCACAGAAATATGCAAAATCTCCCCAAGCAGGCAACATGACCATCTGGCCAGAGTAGACCTTCCCTGTAAACTCATTAGAGTTATTAATGTGATAATCTTAAAAGGGTAGTTGGTCAACCATGGAACACAGAAAAATGAGAGTCCCAGAGACAAAGACTAACAGTGCATGTGCAGTGCTAATCAGGGGAGAGAAGCATTTGGTTACCAGGCAAAAACATTAGGGCGGCTTCGCTGGTACCCCTGTAGTGGAGAAAAGAGCCTCTAGTTATTTTAGTTGAGGTGTATTTCTTTAGATCAATCAACTCTCTTTAATCTAATTTATGCTTACCAGGTAAATGCCTGATTAGTTTGCCTATAGGGAGGCTCTAGGCATTCAAGTATTTTGGTAACATACTAAAGTAGCATTCTCTGAATAAAGTATGGACTTTAATTAATGTTAATGTATCAGTATTGGTTCATTGATTGTAACAAATGTGCCACCCTAAAGTAAGATGTTAATAATAGGGGAAGCTGGGTGTGGAGTATGTGGGAATTCTCTGTACCATCTTTAATTTTTCTGTAAATCAGACTGTTGTAAAAAATAAAGGCCATTACATAATAATAATAAAGTAGGATTCTGCTTAAACACCAGTCTGTTTGTTTGTTTAGTGTGCTATTTCCCTGAACATTTACTCTACTTTCAGAAAACACAGCATCAGAAGTGGAGGGCCAACATATAACAGAACCCGCTAAAGTAAAGGCTATGTCATAAGGGCTATAACATTGTCAGCTGGTCAACCTTCCCTGGTGAAATGCCTTCACTTTCATAAGCTACCTTTGTAACTTTAATATGGCTCAAGATAGGGCCAAGGCAGGCAGGTGCAAGATCCTTGATGCTTCATCTTGCTGTTAAACTACAGCATTGTAAATTCTTAAGCAATTCATCCTAAAATTAGGAGTGATGAGGCTGAGCTTACATATGGGTACTTGTGACTTGAAAAGTTAGTTGTAGAACAAGATGAAAAATTGAAAACAGGGGAAACCTAGTCCCTACTAACTGGGTGGTATTGGACAAGTCATTTACTGCTCTGAGCCTAAATTTTTCATATAAAGAATTGTAGATTACTTACGCCACTCATCTATAGAGCCTTTATAAGGATCAAAATCCATACGAAATTCTTTTCTAAAGTGTATGTAACTACACAAACCTTAGTGTTGCTACCATAGATCTTGAGTATAGTGACAGCTCTCTTGTACGCAGTACTTACCACAAGCCGTGTGCTGTTCCAAGCATATTTTGTATATTAACTCATTTCATGCTCACAATAATCCTGTAGCAAATTCTGTGACGTGTCACTCCAAAACTGACCACAGGATCAAGACCCTTATTTCCCCAGCTATTTAATACAGTGTTGGCGAATGACCACTCAGAGCTGAGTTGCTCTCCAGAAGTTGCTTTCAGCCAAAGGAACTGCCTCATTCAAGGTTATGAGCCCTCACTGTGGGTAGTCCACTTCCAATGCCTAGTTGTTGCGGGTGAGAGAGGGCAAAGCCTCAGCTTCCTTGCCTTATTATGAGACCGCTCTCTAAAGGGCCATCCAGCTCCCCAGCTTCCATGGTGGGCTGAGGCCTCTGTTGCACCTGCATCTCTTCCCCATCCTGCTCCTCTCCCCCTGTTACAGCGCTATTCCTCAGAAGCTTCCCCAGTGAGCCATCTACACACAATGGTCTGTCCTCAGAGCCTGCTTTTGGGAGCATTGAACATAAGACGGGTGCTATGGAGTACTGTCATTTCCTTTTTAAAAAACGTTTATTTTAAGGCCAGGGGCGGTGGCTCATGCTTGTAATTGCAGCACTTTGGGAAGCCAAGGTGGGTGGATCACCTGAGGTCAGGAGTTCGAGACTAGCCTGGCCAACATGGTGAAACCCCATCTCTACTAAAAATATAAAAATTAGCCAGTTGTGGTGGCAGGCACCTGTAATCCCAGATACTTAGGAGGCTGAGGCAGGGAAATCACTTGAACCTGGGAGGCAGAGGTTGCAGTGAGCCGAGATTACACCACTGCACTCCAGCCTGGGCCACAGAATGAGACTCTGTCTCAAAACAACAACAAAAACAACAACAACAACAACTTTTCTTTTAGAATCAGGGGTACATGTGTCAGTTGTTAGAAAGGTATATTGCATGATGCTGAGGTTTGGAGTACAAATGAATCTCCATCACCCAGGTAGGGAGCATAGTGCCCAAAGAGTAGTTTTTCAACCCTTGGACCCCTCCTCTACTTCCCTTCTAGTAATCTCCATTGTCTATTGTTATTATCTTTATGTTCATGCGTATTCAGTTTTTAACTCTCACTTGTAAGTGAGAACATGTGATATTTGATTTTCTGTTTCTGTATTAGTTTTCTCATGATAATGGCCTCCAGCTGTATCCATGTTGCTGCAAAGGACATGATTTTGTTCTTTTTTATGGCTGCATAGTATTCCGTGGTGAATATGTAGCACATTTTCTTTATTCAATCCAGAGTTGATGGACTACTGGGTTGATTCCATGTCTTTGATATTGTGAATAGTGCTGCAATGAACATACAAGTGCATCTGTCTTTTTGGTAGAACAATTTATTTTCCTTTGTATTATCCTGATTGTCAAGAGGTATAGTAACTTACCTGAGTTCATGTGGCTAGTAAATAGCAGAGCCAAGATCTGAGAGCAGGCCATCTAGAAAATGTTTTTACTGTGACATTTGGCACAGGCATCTCTCTCAGTGAATAGACTGTGTCGGATGTGTTGTTTGATTAATGTCTGTGCTAGAAGCAGAACCCAAGGACATGGGTATTGGTTGCAGTCACAACTTCAATGGAAGAGAAAAGCTACTCTGGAAAAACAGTGAGATAAATTTAAATATGAATATTTGGGGGTTAATCCAGGATGGAGGAGATGAGAAGAGAGAGTGAAGGGAGATGTGGGGCAATTTAACTGAGGGAGTGCTGTGGGCTGTGTGATGTGTTTCTCCCTGTGACATGCCTTCCCGCAAATGTCTTCAGTAAAATCTGGCCGGGCGCGGTGGCTCACGCCTGTAATCCCAGCACTTTGGGAGGCCGAGGCGGGTGGATCATGAGGTCAGGAGATCGAGACCATCCTGGCTAACAAGGTGAAACCCCGTCTCTACTAAAAATACAAAAAATTAGCCGGGCGCGGTGGCAGGCGCCTGTAGTCCCAGCTACTCGGGAGGCTGAGGCAGGAGAATGGCGTGAACCCGGGAAGCGGAGCTTGCAGTGAGCCGAGATTGCGCCACTGCAGTCCGCAGTCCGGCCTGGGCGACAGAGCGAGACTCCGTCTCAAAAAAAAAAAAAAAAAAAATCTACCCAACGTGGGAAAAGTTAGACATTGTATTTATTTGTTAGGGCTGCCATAGCAAAGTACCACAAACTGAATGGCTTCAACAACAAAAATGTATTGCCACAGTTCTGGAGGTTAAAAGTTCAAGATCAAAGTGTTGGCAGGGTGGGGTCTTTCTGAGGGTGGTGAAGGAAGGATGTGTTTCATGCCTGTCTTTTAGCATCTGATGGCTTCCCTGCAATCTTTGATATTCCTTGCTGTATAAACACATCACTGATCTCTGCTTCATCTTCCCGTGGCGTTCTCCCTGTGTCTGTGTTCATATTTCCTCTTTGTATAAAGGCAACAGTCATACTGGTTTAGAGGCCCACATTAACCCAGTATGACCTCATCTTAACTATTTATATCTGCAACAACTCTATTTCCAAATAGGGTCACATTCTGAGATACTAGGGGTTAGGACCTCACCATATAAATTTTTGTGGCACATAATCTAATTCATAATCAATGTAGATTAGATTTCTTGTGCAAATGTGTGAAAGGATTGGGTTCTACATCTGAGTGAATGTGGTGACAAACAGAGACAACTTATCTACCATGAGATGAGGACAGTAAGATTATGAGTCCTGGGAGATAGGTAGAGGGGTCTACAGCTCTCTCAAGTTGAAAAATTGGAATTAGAGGCAAGCCTACATGTGTCTCAAGCAGTGACAGACTGCTATGATTTGAATGTTTGTCCCCTCCAAAACTCGTGTTGGAAACTTAATCCCCAATGCAACAGTGTTGGGAGGTAGGGCATAATGGAAGTTGTTTATGTCATGAGGGCTCTGCCCTAGTGAATAAATTCATTCTGCAATAAAAATGGCTTTCAGGAGTGGGTTCATCCGCTTCTGCTCTTCTGCCGTGCAAAGAACAGCATTCCTCCCCCATCCACACACACATACACACACGCACACACAGGCAGACGCACACACATATGTGCACACACACACGCACGCGCACACGCACACACACAGGATGCAGCATTCAAAGCGTCATCATGGTGGCTGGGTGTAGTGGCTCACGCCTGTAATCCCAGCACTTTGGGAGGCTGAGGCATGTGGATCACTTGAGCTCAGGAGTTCGAGACCAGCCTGGCCAACATGGTGAAACCCCGTCTCTACAAAAAAATAACAAATAGTAGCCAGACATGGTGGCATCTGTGTGTTGTCCCAGTTACTCAGGAGGCTGAGGCAGGAGAGTCACTTGAGCCTGGGAGGTGAAGACTGCAGTAAGCCCAGATCACACCACTGCACTCCAGCCTGGGTGACAGAGTGAGACCCTGTCTCAAAAAAAAAAAAAAAAAAAAAAAAAAAAAAAAATTACTATCATGGAAATGAAGACTGAACCCTTATCAGACATCCAACCTGCTGGCACCCTAATCATTTTAGACTTGCCAGCCTCCAGAAGTATGAGAAATAAATGTCTGTTCTTTATAAATTACCCAACCTCCAATATTCTTTTAAAATAGCACAAAACAAACTGAGATAAAGACCTAGCTAAAATCTGGATGATAATGGCTTAAAATGAAGTAAATTCAAGGGTCACTATCAATTGCCTCTCCAATATGAACTTAAGACCTTATAGAACCAACTCTATCCTTTTAACCTCCCCAAAAGATCATCTACTCTTGTAAATCTTCAGGTCCATTAAAAGGAATTACTTCTCCTATTTCTTTTACATGCTTTGATATGTCTAATACACAAGGAAATAGCTTACTGGAGATTGATTATTAGATTACTAGATTTCTGTAAGGGAGGTCATAGTACCTAGACCACTTGTGAAAATATACAATTTTTTATGATGCAGCACTGCTATGGCAAGACAAATACAGATAATTTTTCTTGATATCTGACTTAAAGAAAGGCTGAGAGTACAAGTAAAATAGTGCTATATAGTATAAAATTTTCTACTCAAATTACCTGAGCTAAATCCACCTCTGGCATTTACTAGCTGTGTGACTTTGAGCAATTTATTTGATGTTTCTGTGACTCGGTTCCCTTGTCTGTTAAATGGGGATAATAATAATAATAGACCCCATCTCAATGGGCTCTTATGAGAATTAAAGGACTTAAGGGAGTAAGACACTTAGAATGCTGGCTCTCATGTAGTAAGCTCTTGATCAATGGCAGCTATTATAGTATTGTCAAAATAGCAACTGTCTTTCACACGACCAAAATGTTTTGCCACTGGCGCAGTTATAAGATAGGCTCAAAATAAGCACAACTCTTAAAATTAAGTAGAACAGAGGAAATGTTCTGCTTGCAGACTTATTTTGACTGTTGGATGAAATTTAAATCACTGGTCAGGGGCCAGACAATATTCACCAAATACTTAGGCCATTTTACATATTTCAGATAAAAATTGCCCAAGCCCAGTCTCTATATCATCAGCCAAGGCAACTGCATACTTATAAATAAAACTTCTTGGCTCAAGCCTCTGATGATAATAATTTAATTATATGTTTAGTCCATTAACATCATCAAATAAAAATTCTGATTGCTTAAGAATATAAATTATATGAAAATCTGGCTCTCTGGAAACAAAACAAAACAAACAAACAAAAAAGAATATAAATACCAAGCCAACATGCAATTTCAGAGTAACCATTATCTTTTTCTCATTTTAAAAATGTTTTGATAGAATGATTTATTTTCTTTGGCTATAAACCAGTAATGGGATTGCTGGGTCAAATGGTAGCTCTGCTTTAAGCACTTTGAGAAGACTCCAAACTGATTTCCATAATGGCTGAACTAACTTACATTCCCACCAACAGTGTATGAGCATCCCTTTTCTCTGCAGCCTCGCCAGCATCTGTTGTTTTTTGACTTTTTAATAATAGCATTCTGACTGGTGTGAGATGGTACCTCATTGTGGTTTGATTTGCATTTCTCTGATGATGAGTAATGATTAGCTTTTTTCATATATTCATGGGTTCTTGTATGTCTTCTTTTGATAAATGTCTGTTCATATCATTTGCCCATTGTTTAATGGGGTTAATTTGTTTTTTGCTTGTTGATTTAAGTTCCCTATAGATTCTACGTATTAGGCCTTTTTCAGATGCATAGTTTGTGAATATCTTCTCCCACTCTATAGGTTGTCTGTTTACTCTGCCGATAGTTTCTTTTGCTGTGCAGAAGCTCTTTAGTTTAACTAAGTCCCACTTGTCAATTTTTGTTTTTGTTGCAATTGCTTCTGAAAACTTAGCCAAAAATTATTTGCCAAGGCCAATATCAAGAAGAGTATTTCCTAAGTTGTCTTCTAGGATTTTTATATTTTGAGATCTTATGTATAAATCTTTGATCCATTTTGAGTTGATTTTTTTACATGATAAAAGGTAGGGGTCCAGCTTCAATCTTCTGCATAGGGCTAGCCAATACCCCAGAACCATTTATTGATTAATGAGTCCTTTCCCCATTGTTTTTGTTGGTCTCGTCGAAGACAAATCGTTATAGGTGTGTGGCTTTATTTCTGAGTTTTCTATTCTGTTCTATTGGTCCGTACGTCTGTTTTTGTACCAGTACCATGCTGTTTTGATTACTGTATGTTCACTGCTGTGCTATTCACAATAGCAAAAACTTGGAATCAACCCAGGTTCCCATCAATGGCAGACTGAATAAATAAAAGGTGGTACATATACACCAAGGAATACTATGCAGCCAAAAAAATGAAATCGTGCCCTTTGCTGCAACATGGATGCAATTGGAGGCCATAATCCTAAGCAAATTAATGAAGAAACAGAAAGCCGAATATTGCATGTTCTCACTTACAAGCGGGAGCCAAACAATGAGCACACATGAACACAAATATGAGAATAGACACCATGGACTTCTGAGGGGGTAGGAAAAAAGGAAAAAAGGGTAAAAAACTACCTGTTGGGTACTCAGCATCACACAAAATTCCCATGTAACAAACCTCCACATGTATCGCCTGTATCAAAAATAAAAGTAAAAATTAAAAAAATATATATCTTGGGGGAGAAAATAATGACACCTCATAGACAATAACTGTTATGAGAAGAATTGGGATCCATTTAAAAATTACAATGCTAGATTGAGTTTAAACAAGATTATAAAAGACAGAGATCTGATTTATTCACCAAGTTTGACCGTTAAAGAAAACCCCAACATGATGGGGCTCCTATCTTAGCAAAACCTGCCCATTACCTCAGCTTTATAAATCCCATCACATAGAAGACAACAGAGGTTCTGCAACTGCAAAATGAGAAAATAAAAATATGTTTTTCAGGGCACCATTGAAGAATCAAGGAGAGATAATTTATATAAAAGCAACCTGAAAACTATAAAATGTATATGTCTTAGCTATTATTATACTTATAAAGGGAGTTATGAGTTCTCAATAAGTACTAGATACTATTATGTGAAAACAAAATATAGTACAATGTTCAAAAGAAGTTATATTTGTGTACCACTTAAGAGTTTACAGGACATTTTTATATTTATTATATCTGTTCACTCTCATACTATCTCTGAAGGAAGGCAGGCAGGCAGTCATAGTTATATTTGTTTACCAAGAATAACTCTGAAGCTCAAGATAACATACATGGCAAAGCCAAGACTAAAGCATTCATTTTCTTTTGTGATCTCAGATCATGGCTCTTTTGTGCTTCTTTCAAAACAAGGGATATACATGTGTGTTACCTTGAGCTTTAATCTCTAAACTTAACTTCACTGGCCATATCTTTCTTTTAACAGTAAAGTAAAAATAGCATGAGCTAGCTCCCCTCCTTTTTAAGTGAAAAGCATCTCAGAAGTATGGAAGAAGCAGCAAAGCCCATGCCACTCCCACAACATCTCACATACTATCTTCCGGGGAGAACTCAAACTAGAACCATTTATTTCAGATAAAGTTTGGCATCCAGAAGGCCGTCATACCACTTAGCTATGCTGCAAAACAAAGCCTCCCAAAACTAAGTGGCTTCACAAGTTTATTATTGCTCACAAGTTTATGGCTCAGCTGAGCAGTTCTGGCCTCATCTGAGCTCACTTGTGCATCGGTGGTCAGCTGTGGGTTGAGTAAGCAGCTCTGTTGCTCTTGGTTGGACTTTCACACATATCTGTGGATGGCTAGGTGTAGGCTGCTCTAAGTTGTCCTCCTCTGGGACGGTAGGTCACTTGTGAACTTTCATCCTCCAGGAGGTTACCCCAGGCTTGTTCTTACGGCAGCAGCAGGATCCTGAGAGAAGTAACAAAAGTGGGTATGGCCTCTTCAGACCGGGGTGTAGAGCTGGCATGTTGTTCCTTCCACTGCATTCTCTTGGTAAAAGCAAATCACAGACCATTCCAGAGTCAAGGGCTGGGGAAAGAAATTCCACTTTTTGATATGATAAGCTGCAAAATCACATAGAAAAGGGAATGGATGGATATGGGGAGAATTGGAGAATTCGGGTCATCGTTGCAAGCATTCTACTGTAGCCATTATTATATCACGGAAGGGGGAACCCTGATATCAGCACACATGTTACACATTTGCAGGGATTAGTTGTCATCTTCAGCACGTTACTCAAGCAAGGAATTTGATAATAAATTATAATAATGTATTTCTAACGCATCTTTGTATTCCCAGCACCTAGCATAGCATCAGACAAATTCTAAGTATTCCACAAAAAATAATAATGACAAAAGAAATGGGAGTAGAAAAATTACTGTACTAGAAACCAGGGAATCAGCTGTAGCACAATTCACACAGGACAAATCCCCTGTGCAACTTTGGACGGAAGTGATTTTGCCTCCCCAGGATTTCAAGAGACAGAGTTAAACTGGGCATTCTCTAAATCCTTTCTTTTCTTTTTAACTTTCAAAATATTAAGGCTGTAAGAACCCTAGAAATTATGTAGATCCAACCAGTCATTAGCTACATGGGGAGACTGAGACTAGGAAAGCTAATCACCTGGCTTGAAAGCACAGGTGGTTCATGTCAGAGATTAGAACTCAGAGCTCATGACCCCCAGCCCAGTACCCCATGCACTACTCTAACACATTGTTATTCAGAGCGTATTCCATGAGCCAGTAGCATCTGCATCCCTTGGGAGCTTCATAGAAATGCAGAATCTCTCAGCCTATCCCAGGCCTACTGAATCAGAATCTGGATTTTTTTTTTACAAGGCTCTCAGGTAATTAATATGTGTATTAAAGTTGGAGAATCTCTACGTTTCCCGGTAAATGCTTAAGGGCTGAAAAACTAAAATAATGTATTTCGTTAAGGGAATATTCCGTTGCATATCTTAATACCAAAACCTTTTTTTCTATGCCCCTCTCACTAATTCATTTAACAAATATCCCCTGAGTGCTTACTGTATATGAGGTGTTGCACAAACCTAAAGGGAAGGCTCTTGCCCTCCTGGGGCTCACGTGTCACAGGGGAGTCAAAGCTCCTTCCTCTTTTCCTGCATCCTCCTTTCTCCCTCTATGCCCTCCTTTTGCCCTTTACCTTCCCAACCTCCTCTCACTTCCCGTTGTAATAATTCCTGACTAGGATCTATCTCATTTCTGAAGTCGTTGGTTTAAGAGCAAAGCATTTTATTCATTTGAAATTCCAGTTTCAGAATAGTGATTTAAAATGTTGGAAAAATTTGACTTGGCTGACTTCCAAGCAGCTTACATTATAACATCAGCATGACCCTAAAACCATGTATAAAGAAGACTAAAGCACTCAGAACACTTTGGGGGGAATACTCTATGAATACACTACAGGTTAGTCATACACTTTAGTTTTAATTTTTTTCTAATGCAGTCTTTTCTCTGGGAAGATATAAGTTTGGAAAGCTGAGATACGGGAACAAAACGACGAAGAGATTTTTTTTTTCCTGAAATATTTAGCTGGCACATCTGCATGTATAATAAAACATTTATTTTCTCATTGAGAAGGAAAGGAAAAATGTTAAATATCAACAGATTATTTTCATTCAAGAACCTTGTATGAAACACAGACAAACAGAAATCTAGTAAGTTAACTTTTTTTTTAATTAAAATAATGCCAGATACAAAGTTAACTATTTTCTGATGAGTAACGCAGGATGGAGTCTTTGCAATAAACAGCTGGACCACAAGTCGTGGTGACGTGATGCTGCTCAATTTCACTGAGGCTTACACGCCTGGCATTTTAACTTCCACTGTTTGAAAGTATTACACCTTTCTTTTTTCGCACTCCCTCACAGTTCTAAAAAGCTCTGAACTCATTTCGTTCTTCTTTTCTTCCCTTGTCTTTTCTCTCTTCAAAGATATTTCATGATGATTCTGCTTTTCAGAACTTTAGCTGAGAGTAATGAAATATCAATCTTTTGCACAATGGCAACTACATCCCTTTTCTGCTCTCTTGGGATAGTCAGAATAGCAACTGCCCAGCGTGAACAATAGGACTTCTTCTCAGTTCTGAGAGATTGGCTGTTGCTGAACAGCAGTGCATAGAAATAATCCTTGGCAATCCCATGGGTGACATTTCTCTTTCCTTATCACCCATGCTGCACACAGCCGGAACTTGATAAGACACCCAGAAAGAAGATAATGGCTGCTATCAAGCTGTCTAGGTAGAAATAATAATAATAATCTGTTTATGGAAGAGCAGCTGTCCTATTGTTTTGCATTTCATGAAATCTCAGAGTCAGAACCCTCTCTTCCATGCCAGCCCCATCCCCATTCCTCATGCCAATCCAATCACTTTGGGGTTTTAATGATGGGCATTTTATTCCCTGATCTTTTGATACAATAGACAAGGATGCATGTAAATCTCCCATAATCATATCCAGTCACAGGATGTGCTTAAAAGACTAGAGAAGAGGCATTGTATTGGAAGATTTGAAAGCTGGGAGGACGTTGTAATGAATATAGGCAAGCCCGGTATTCCTTTTTAAAATATGCACAAAACCCAGAATTACTGCAAATGAATAGTTCAGTTATCATTCCAGTCTGAAAGCTTAACCCCCCAAGGATTAAGGTAGGTAGGTCTCAATTTCTTAAAGTGGAGCCCCAAAGAATTGTGATACTACCAACAAGGCAGGTCACAGCTATGTTCACTGCTTTTTTTTGTGCACTGAACAGAATAGCCAAAGGCTTAGGAGCAGCCTGGCAGTAATGTCATTGTTCTCGTTTCTTTTGAGCCAGATTGCTCTCCTGGCTAGGGAAATATGCGGTCACTTTATTTACCAGTGTTCAGATCAAGCATTCCTTTCATCACTGTCACCTTCACAGAGGGCAGTCTGTGGATGTTACTTTCCTGTCTTTATCTGTCCACCTATCTCTGGAGAAAAAAATTAAGCAGCCATGCCCTTCAGGGTGAATCAAACAATTGAAAAGAAGAAAATATGTCAGTTTCTTTTTGCCTCCATCCAATACTTAACCACAGCCAAACTTGCATTTTCATTTCTAGAGAGGGTAGACACCTTCATTCCTAAAACAGTTATCCCACAAGGGTCCCACCATTGCAGAGAGCAGCAGGCCAGTGTTGTCTTTGTTTCTCTTTCCTGAGGCTTCCTAGAAGTCATCACAATCTCCAATTTATCCAGGCTGAGCTCACTTTCTCCTTGTGTCTCCTTTGAGTTAGGCATGGAAATAGCTAAAGGAGAACAAAGAGGAAAAATATATGGGCTTGTTCAGTGGAGAAACAGCCTTGAAGAACTTCCCACTAACTAGTTCCAGATGTCTCTTTGCACCTGAACAAGTCTACGTCTCATCCTACAAAACAAAGTCACACCCAGCTGAAATCTCTCTCTCCCTCCTTCCCACCCCCCCTTTCTCTCTCTCTCTCTCTCCTCTCCAGCCTCCACCTTTTCTCTCTCTGCTGTGTGAGTATCCCATACCCCAGAGGCATAGCTCAAGCACAACTTGCCCTATGAGGCCTTCCTCTACCCTCTTCCACCTTCTCCCACCCCGCAAGAGAACAAGTTAATCATGGTATTTTGTACATAGCTGTATTATAGCCTTTTATGTTCTGCATCATATGCCTTTCTTGCCAACCAGATTGTGAATCCAAGAAAGTAGGTAAATGCCTTTGTATCATGTTATTCATCTTTGGGAAGGCAATTTAACAAAGTGATTAAGAGAATGGGTTTTGCATCAAACAGATCTGAATGCGGATCCTAGCTCTAACATTAACTAGCTGCGTGCCCTTGAGTTTTCTGGAACTCGGTTTACTAATGTCTAAAATGGGGCTATTTCATAAAGTTTTTTAAGTGACTAAATGCATTAAAATATATGTATATAAAATATTTAGCATAATGTTGATATGCAATATGTTCTTGATAAATGGTAGCTATTATTATAATAAATTATAATTAACTTGGTATTCTCAGCCTCTCATAATAAATTATCAATAAATACATATTGAAGGATAAGATAAAAGAACAAATGAAATACACATACTGTATATACATATGCATATATACACATACCGTATATACATACACATACATACACATGACAGTGCATATACATAATCATCCTTCTGTGACAAATTGCATTGCTCTCTGCTTATCTGAGCTCTCAAAATGCAATTGGTAGACCTGCAGAGGGTATATGAGAGAAGGGAAGAAACTGATCACAAAAGAGTTTGCAGGGAATGTTCTTGGTAGCAGTTGTACTCTAAGCAATGACCTCACGAAGCACATAGGTTTCCCTCTGTGAGTGCCAAATTTGCCAGCCTCCTTCTGACACCTGGACAAAAACACAAAAACATCATTCAACCCTTGGATGATGATGTTGATAATGATGATAATGATGACGATGATAGCTAACATTTACTGACCAACTTCTATGTGTCAATCCCTCTCTACTCTCCCACTGTAGCCCTGGGTTAGGTAACATTGTTTAAATTTTACAAATAATGCAAATGTGCCCTCAAGAAATTAAGAAATTATTTTAGTTTATTCTGAAAATAGGTGGATGTTTCAGGACCCAAACCACCACATGAAGGTAGCAAGAGCAGCGTGCTTCTCATCCATGACCAGGCAGGCTAGCAAAGGGAAAAGCAGAGGTGATCAGGTCTATGTCCGCTTGCTGGAATTAGTCATGGCAGAATTCAGGAAGCAAGGAGCCGTGGCCTTTGACTTGCACTTCCTTCTCCCAATAGTCTTTTTTTTTTTGCACAAGTCATTATAAATCGCCTGGTCTCATACCATGAATGACTGTAAAATCCTGGAAATGTCTGGATTCAGACTTGGCATTTTCCCCCCTAAGACACCAAAGGGGTTAATCTCTGGCCAGTAATCAAAGTCTGGCAGCTTCTACTCCACACATAATGGGCATTGTTGTTCCTAAGAGTTTGTCTGTTTTTTCTGGCGGCTTTACTGTTTGGAACCAATTCTAAAACAGAAAAGGAAAGAGTCAATCTGCATTTTTTATGCACACATGCAACAAAACATAAGGCTGGTCATAGAACTGTTGTTTTGCTAGATTTCCAGGAAAGTTGTTGGCTTACTATTGAGAGAAGATGACTTATTGACTAAAATACATCTACCTCAAAAGGGAATTCATTTATATATGTAAGTGAGACACACATAATATCCTAAGGTGCTGCCTTCTCTCAGATATGAAGCAACACATTACAACTGTATTAGCTGATAAGTGAACTGTGGCTGGCCCACCCATCTGCATAGAAAATCCATTTGTGTGACGTTATTAATGTGCATGCTCATCAACCTTCCCAGGTCAATTGCAATCTCAGGACATGTTTGTCACTCCCACCTGATGGGCCCCCAGATGTTTCCATCTGAAGCCACGTGAATATGTCTTACTAAGTCACCAATACAACAAAATCCCATTACAAAACACCCGACTCTATTCCAGTGGAAAAGGCCAGGTTTTCTTTTTCTTAAATTTCCAATCAGTCACAAATCAACACTTTTGTATAAACCAAAATCATGCACTTAGATGTCAAAATAATGCACTTAGAAGTCACTAGCATTCTTAAATTGTTATATAAGTTTCTAAATAATTATTCACAGTTTCTGTACTCACCTTGTCATGAACCAATAACAAGCAGTTTGCAGATCAAACTCATCCATGGACCACACTTTGCTAGACCACTTTCTAGATGAAGGTTTCCAAACTTTTTCTATCAAGGATGAGAGGGCAAATATTTTAGGATTTGCAAGGCATGACTCAATTCTGTTGTTGTAATGTAAAAGCAGCCAGAGACAATAAGAAAATTAATACACTGTGTTCAGTAAAACTTTATTTATAAAAGCAGACCACAGGAGAGATTTGGCCCACCAGCTATAGTTCACCAACCCTTGGATGATGATGTTGATAATGATGATGATGATGATGATGATGATAGCTAATATTTACTGACCAACTTCGATGTGTCAGTGCCTCTCTATTCTCCCATTATAGCCCTGGGTAAGGTAACATTGTTTTAATTTTACAAATAATGAAAATGTGACATCAAGAAACTAAGAAATTATTTTAGTTCATTCTGAAAATAGGTGGATGTTTCAGGACCCAAACCACCGTCCCTAGGCTCACACTATACTACATATATAATGATTGAGACATCTTTTTCACAATTAATAAAAAAATTTAAAAATACTAGTATAATCTTGGTCATTTTCTTCCCTTTATCTCCCCACCCATCATCCACCTCAACAGTACCAAGCTCTTAGTGAACGATCATTCCAAAGAGTCTGTATATAGAGCAAGAGCCAGACATGAATACAGTCTGAAACAAACACACTCATTCAAACATACATTTATTCATTCAATAAATATGTATTGGGTGCTTACTCTGTATCAGGCATGAGTCCAAGGAATGGGGCTATAGTAGTGAGCAAAACACACAAGATCCTGTCCTTAAAAAGCTTACATTCTAGTATGGGGAAGTAGACAATCAGCAAATAAATATATTATGTTGGGTATTAAGATTCAGGGTTCAAAGAAAAATAAAGCAGAGTAAATAAGAGAATAGAGAGTGACAAAGTGCTTTTTTTTTAATCTAACTCTTTTATTATCTCTTCTTCACCAACTAAGATATGTACACTCCCAGCAGAGCTGTACTTTCAAATGTATCTACTAGGTATAAGCGCACATTTATAAGATGTTTTTGTACCATATTTGTACCAGTTATATTCTGCATAATTGTATAGAAAAAGACACTGAGAAAGAAACTATTTCATTAATTCATGCTGCAAATATTTATTGAGCACCTACGCTGGGCCGGGTGATATTTTTAAAACAGGGAATCCAACAGTGAGCCAAACGGACAAAGATGCTTGCTCTCATGGACTTCCATCATGGCCAGGAGAGTGGGAAAATAAACAAAAAACATAATAAACACATGTTAGAAGGTGATATGTAAAATGGAGAAAAGAAACGCACAGCAAGATAAGGAGATCAGGAGTACAGAGGAGAAACCAACAGGTTATAATTTAAAATAGTTGAACAACTTTCTCTTGATCAGGTAGTATGCAACTAAAATAACCCCCATTTGAAAATCAAGCCCTGGTTTTTAGTTCATTCATTCCTACAGTCAATGTGTCATCAACTAAAAGAAAACACAGGATGTTTTGCGTTGAATGTTCTATTTAAGTCCATAGAAAGAAATGTTATTCTTTCTAAGTCATTTTTGCCCTTTCCTTTCCCTTGCTTCAGAAAAAAATATTAGGGAGCTGGCAGCTGAAACAATGTAGGGATGGGAGAGGGGAAAGGAAGGAAAAACTAAAGGCCAACATTCATGCCGGTTGACTGTTTTAACAAGGATGTAGCTGTGATCCAGCCCTCCTGGATCCCAGTACAGCCTTGCTAGGAAGCCCACAAAAGCAGTGAGGACAGACAGTGAGCATTTTCCATTAAGTGTGGCATTCACTTTTTTCAAAAAGTTATGAGATGTTAATATAGATTTGAATTTTAATCAGATTTAATATGGGAACAGAGTATTTTTCTGCAAATGTGAAATTTTTCTAGGCTTTTGGGAAAATGTCATCCATATAAAGGCTAACTACTGTTTTACCTATAAAACTGCCATTCTTCATTGGTTTTTCAGGAAAGAAAAAGTACGATGATACAATGAAATATTATTGCAAAGATTTCTTATTTCTTGTGAACATTAATGGTTTCTGAGGGTATTTTAAAAATCAAACTAAGAACGCTTGTAAGCTTAAGGCAAGGATTACAGAATTTCAGTTAATAAATCAAGAAAACAGACATAACAAATCTATTTCTTGATAATAATAGTAATAATTTAAGAGCTCTCAACAAATTCTTTAAAATATCATGTAGACTTAGTGCTAGAAATGCCAATAGCAGTAATTCTGCCTCAAACCAAAAGGGGTTCAAAGTCAGGACTGCATGTCCAGAAAAAAATATACTTAGTGGCTACCACTCTCTGCTGCCAGCAATGTAATACTATTATCTCAGATGTATTGTGTTAGCAGCTACTGTATATCAAGCATTTTTCTGAATCCTTTTACAGACTGTAAAATAAATACTTTAGCAAACCCTTACCATAGCCATGTGAGGGAGACATTGTTCCCATTTAACAGATGACAACATTGGCTTAGAAATGTGACATAACTACCCAAGGGCATACAACAACTAACACTGGAATCTAATCCACATGTGTCTGATTCTGAAAGCAGCACCTTGGCCCATATTTTCTCCCTTCTTTTTTTTCCTCTGCATTACTTTTTCCCCACATACTCTTCCAAAAATATGTACTTATTTTACTATTTTTACAAAATTTTTGGAATATAATTTTTACATATTTACTACATCTAGTTGATTGACCAATCAGTGTATTCTGTAAACCTCAGGAAAGAAGTCCTCTGGGTTGTTACAGGGCAGGCTGGATCCTGGGAGTCACTATTATCTCTCTTAGATAAATCAAGCTGTTTTCTACATGACTAGTTTATCTAACAATTCATTGGTCAGACATCAGATAGGAACTCTCCCCCATCCTCAATCCGCTTCCTACCCACCCTCAACCCCAAGAATTCTCTAAAGGCCACTAAAAATCAAAAAAACAACATCAGAATTAGCATTTGCTGGAAATTAGGAAAATAGTGACAGAATTCCCTAAACCTCCTTTTTTTCAAGTCTGACTTTTGTATTCCTTAGAGAAAACAAAGGCAAAACCCCTTAAAATTGTGTTTGGGGGATGGACCTTTCCTGCAAGCTTGATATTTTCCATCTGTGCATATATTTGGATGTCTAAGCATGTGTTTATAACATATAATCCCATTATTAAATATACAGAATAATAAGAAAATATATTGGAGAGAGGGAAAACTATTTACTCAAAGGATTTTTTTACATTAAAATAGAAATCTCTACTGCATTCTTTTGCAAAATAAATTGCTAGGAACTGTGAGATGCCCATTTTTCTTTCTAACTCAGACCAGACAGGCAGACTGAGAAACTAAGCAACCTATGGCAAAGGCAGAAGGAAGGTGTGCAATGAGGGAATGGGGCAGCTCAGCTGGTATGCTAATGAGCTCTCCTCAAAACCATTGGCCCAAAATGTCTTAAATGGACTTCCATTTATAAAAATTAAATGTACCCATTTTTAAACTCACATATATAACCTATAGAAAGATCTGCCTAGGTAGTAAACTTGAATATGTGTATCAATGAATGAGAACATTGGTCTATGGATGTCAAGTCTGGTATGTATCAGAAGCGCTTGGAGTGGTTTTTAACTTAGGTAATTTGGGCACCACAGCTGACAATTCTGATTTAGTGGATCTGGGAGGAATTCAGGCATGGGCATCTTAACAAGTCCTTCCGAATCCACCCACATCCAACCACCATGTACATATATACACGTGATTCTGAAACACACCTAATTCTAGGCTATTTAATGGAAAATGGTCGATAGTTCCTCTATGTTGAGGGAGACAAGGTAGACATTCCACAGGACACCCTGGAGGAAAGGAATCATTCCTGACTTGTCCAAGATGTTAACTAAAAGGTATATGCAATCTTTATAAGGAGAAACTGATGCCCACAGCTCCTTAACTAATGCATTTGGTTTATAGAGCGTATTTTATTTAAAATTTTAAAGGCTACTGAAATTCCTCTCTCGAAACTCTCCCTCACTTACATAACCTTAGCCCTATTCTTACATTACCTAGCCCATTCTCTTTACTTCTATTATTGCAGTTTCTGACACATAATTTCAAATGAAGATCGATAGATGCTTCTAAGGGAAAAAATGAAAAACATTAGCTTTTCTCAATGCTCATTAAATTCATATGCGCTCTCTTGGTCAGCTGGGGCTGCCATAACAAAATACCATTGACTGGGTGGCTTGAACAGCAGACATTCATTTCTCATGGTTCTTGAGGTTGAGAAATCCAAAATCAAGATACTGGCCAATTTGGTTCCTCGGTGAGGGCTCTCTTCCTGTCTTGCGGTCAGTCATCTTCCCACCGTATCTTCACATAGTCAGAGGTCTGGAGGCAGGGCACAGGGGAGAGAGAAGGAGAGAGCGAGCACTCTGATGTTTTTTTCCTCTACTTATAAGGACACTAATTCCACCATGAGAGCTCCACCCTCAAGGCTCCTAAATCTAATTACCTAAAGGCTTGCATATCCAAATATCATTACACTGGGAATTAGGGCTTCAACATATAAATTTCAGAAGGACACAAACGGTCTATAACATGTACAAGGATAAACATTATATTCTTCAGAGAAGAGGCCATAAGCACCAGCCAACACATTGATATGCCAGGCCATTGTTCCCCCTCAAATGAGTCATTCCCAGTGAGAAAATTAACTTATTTAAAAGAATGTGAATCAATCTTATTTTCAAAAGAAAAATGCCAATGTCAGTTTCCACTATATCAGTAATCATGTATTTGTAGAAACAGAATGCTAACAAAGAATAAAATTCAAAAATCCAGCACTCAAGTTACCAACTTGGTGACAGTTGCCTAGTTAGTGACATCAACTGTTCAAAGGGAAGCAGGGAAAAATGACTAAAGTTATTCAACCATCTCTTAAATCTGTAATTCTGTCTATGAATTAGCCACTCTACTTCATGCTTCATTGCATATTTTTTGGAGATAGCTAATTTTTCTGATTTAATTTATTTCTCTGAGTTTAGTTACTTTTCAGAACATATTTTATAGAAGTACTATAAAGGCTAGTAAACTTAAAAGATGTTTCCATTTATACATGCCAAGGGTAGAACAGTTTTCTTCTCCCCCTATATTTCCATTAGTTAATACTTTAAAAAGCCCGTGAAATAGCATCTATTCTGTCATTTTATTATCTGCTTGCTCCCCTCCAGCCATCATGGGAAAGATTTTAAGTACAGACATGCTATCAGATCTTTACTTCTGGAAATAAGGAGTTTCTGCAGTGAATAACAGTTACATTCTAATTATATTAATTCAGGCTGCAATTTCTTTGAAATATAAAGGACCTGCTGTCAGGGTGGTGTGGACAATGGAGGCTGAACATGTCAATGACATGACAAATTCCTCGAGCAGAGTGCCAGATGTATTGTTGCCCAGGATTCTTTTTTGAGAGCAAATTCAGTAAGCACTACCAGTGTCAACTCTGGAGTAAGGAATTGGTTCATTTGTTATCTTTCCAAGTTGCAGGTACATCTGCCAGAAGAGTCTGCCAACAGATGAATTGGTAATTAAAATCATTTCCGTGGCTATAGGGAGTGATTCCGAAATTGTTTCGCTTTTATTTCTTTCTTTTCCTGTGTAGAGGAAAAAATACTTTGGTGAATATTGATATGAATTTACCATGGGCAATACTAGAATTATGTGATTCATGAGTGCCTCACTATCCACATTCATACATGATCACCTTTGCTGGGATTTTAAGCTTTTCTTATAGAATTTTAAATTTCCATTCTTTGCCAGTTCTGTATGTTAGAATAATGCTTCATCTTATAAGTTCTTTGCAGATATAACAATACCTGATATAGGTCAAATACACTTAATAATACCACTCAATTTAAGAAACGGTATATTGTATCCCTTGCCTATTCAAGCTACTATGCTAAAATAAATAATAAATAATGTTGATAAATTTAAAATGTTGATAATTTAATTAAAATTAAAAATACATTATATAATATGAAGCAGGTGCTAGTGTAATATCTGCTCATAGTAGTTACCTAACAAATATCATTTTAGCTCTTCTTTTCTGTCCAGAAAGATACTACTTTGCCATCCACGTATCTATACCACATCACCATCATCATCATCACAACAATGAAAACAAAATAAACTAACATTTATTGACCATTTCCTATAAACAATCTAAGCATTTTATATGTATTCATTTACTTTATCCTTACAAAACTCTGCTTTGTATCCTTGTTGTACTATTGAGGAGGATCAGCCAAAGAGAAGTAACTTGCCCACACTGACACCACTAGGAAGTATCAGACCTAGAGATTTTACCCAAGTAGTCTGAATCTCAAGCACTCAAGCTTAACTACTTTCCAATAATGTCACGTAAGACCATATAAATAAATTAACTACAATAATTTTCCCAAATTGTGCAATAGCCCATTAATTGACTTGTCTTTTATTAGTCATTTGCTTACTCTTTTTTTCTTTTCTTCCTCTTCTCTTTCTCTCCTTCCTTCTTGTTCTTGTGTGTGTGTGTATATATAAAGAGATATATATTTATATATTATATATTACATATATAATATATATAACATATAATATATAATATATATTATATATTTATATAATATATATTACATATATAATATATATTATATATTGCATATATATCTATTATATATAATACATTACATATATTAGATATATAATACATTACATATATTATATATATATAATATATATGTAAAGAGAGACAGAGAGAGAGCTGCTTCTCTTTTTTAGCAACAAAGCAAGGTTTTCTACCATCCTCAGAAACTCAGAGGAGTCTTTATGAGAACTGCTAAATAGAAAATACTGTTCTAAAATTAAATTTTTAATTGTCTTATGGATTACTTTATTTAAAACTAGACAACAAAGTAGGTTTATAAATGTTGGTGACCTATGAGTTTACAATCAAGTTATTAGGATATGATGTGTGTATACATATATGGATATGTGCATGTAGGTACACATACATATATATAGCTATATATACACATATAATAGAGCATTGGAATACTTCAAATATGTTTAAATATGTGACGTCTTAGTGATCTTAACAGAAACAACAATTCATGTTTACCTCAGAGGAGAGAACCAACTCATTATTTTGCAAACTGCTAGATGAGGTAAAGAACAAAACATTTATCCTGGGTTTTGTTACTGTAGATACAAGTAGGAAATGGGGAGGGGAAGAAGTTTCTCCTTACAGAAATACCCTAGTCAATAAATGAAGAATGAATCGTTAGTGGATACATGTTATTTTATATTTGTCAAAACCTATAGAATGTATAACACCAAGAGTGAACCCAAAGAAAGGATGGACTTTGGGTGATAATAATGTGTCAATGTACATCCATCAATTGTAAACAGCTTACCACTCTAGTGAGGAATATCAATAATGAAGGAAGCTATGCATGGGTGGGAGCTGGGGGTACATGGGAATTTTACATACTTTCCACTCAACTTTGCTGCAAACCTAAAACTGCTCTAAAAAATAAAGTCAATTTTTTAAAATCATAAAATTAAGATATCACCACTTTGCAATAGCAAAAGAATTGATTAATCCAGGCAAAAATCCTCAATAGTTGTTAACATTTCACACATGCACATTTCCACTTATGGAAATATATACCACTATTTGTGAAGTAATCTTGCCAAAACCATGGAAGCAGAATCTGATCTCTAGCCGTAACTGTGAATTTAAAAGAAGTGCATTGTACAAGATGATGAATATGTTTGAGAACACATTAGGGATGGAATCAAGACAATTCAAATTATTAGAAAATCTTCAGTTAAAACAATCTCGTTTCTCCAATAAGACCAAGGAAAAGAAAAAAAAAGGGACCAAGAAAAAAAAAAGTAGAGATGAAGATAGAGCCTACAGGTTAAAAGAGACCCTAGAAATATATCAAATAATAATAAATCATGAACCTTGTTTAGATCTGGATTTGATTGTTAAAAAAATAGATGGTAAGATAATTGGAGATACGTGTATACTGACTACATATTAATTGATATTAGAAACTATTGTAATGTTTTTAGGTGTCATAATGGTATTTTATTTTAAAGAATCCCTATCTCTTAGAGACCCAAACTGAAAGATATATAGGTAAAAAGAAATTAATGCTTGGAGCTTTGTCTCAAAATAATGGGAAAAAGACCCAACCCAACTATATGCTGCATACAAGAAACTCATCTCACCTGTAAAGGGTTACAGAGGTTGAAAGTGAATGAATAGAAAAAGATATTGCAAGTAAATGGAAACCAAAAGGGAGCAGGAGTAGCTGTACTTATATCAGAAAAAATAGACTTCAAGTCAAAAGCTGTAAAAAGAAACAAGCAAGAACATTACATAATAATAAAAGAATTAATTCAGCAAGAAAATAAAACAATTGTAAATATATATGCACCCCACACTGGAGCACCCAGACATATAAAGAAAATATTATTAGACCTGAACAAAGAAATCCCAATACAATAGTTGGGGACTTTGACAATCCACTTAGCATTCAGCAGATCATCTAGACAGAAAATCAACAAAAAAAAAAATCTGATTTAAACTGCACCATAAACCAGATGGACCTGACAGACATTTACAAAACATGTCATCCAACAGCTACAGAATACACATTCTTTTCATCAGCACATGGAATTCTCCTGTAATGCCTATATATTAAGACTCAAAACAAGTCTCAAAAAAATTTTAAAAATTAAATTATACCAAGTATCTTATCTGACCATAATAGAATGCAACTAGAAATCAGTAACAAGAGGAACACTTGAAACTATACGAATGCATGGAAATTAAACAACCTACTCTTAACTAATGAATGAAGAAATTAAAAATAAAATTAGAAAATTCCTTGAAACAAAAGAAAATCAAAATACAACATCCCAAAACCTATGCAACACAGCAAAACCAGTATTAAGACAAGTTTATAACAATAAATACCTACCTCAAAAAATTAGAAACATTTCAAATAAACAACCTAATGATGCATCTCAAAAAACTAGAAAAGCAAGGACAAGTCAAACCTAAAAGTAGTAGAAGGAAATTATAAAGATCAGAACGGAAATTAATAAAATTGAGACTAAGAAAACATAATTTTAAAAATCAACCACAAAAAAAGTTGGCTTTTCAAAAACGTAAACAAAAGTCTCCCATCAACAACAACAACAAAAACTCCAGGACTAGATGACTCCACTGCTGAATTCTACCAAAGTTTTACAGAAGAAGTAATACCAATTCTCTCAAAAAAAACTGATGCAAAGGGAGTTCTTTCTTACTCATTTCATGAGACCAGCACAACCCTAATACCAAAACCAGACAGGAACACATACACAAAATGAAAATTACGAGCCAATATCCCTGATGAACAGAGACATAAAAATCTTCAACAAAATACTGGTAAACAGAATCCAACAACAGATCAAAAAGATAATATACCATGATCAAATGGGATTAATCCCAGGAATGCAAGAATGGTTCAACATATGCAAATTAACAAAAGTGATACATCCTATCAACAGAATGAAGGACAAAAACCATATGATCATTGCAATAGATGCAGAAAAAACATTTGAAAAAACTCAACACCCCTTCATATAAAAATTCTCAATAATTAAGTATAGAAGGAAGGTACCGCCAAACAATAAAGACCACATGTGACAGACTCACGGCTAACATCATATTGAATGGGGAATAGCTGAAAGTAAGAACTGGAACAGGACAAGGAGGCCCATTTTCACTACTGTTTTGTGATATGGTACTGGAAATCCTAGTCAGAATAATTAGGGAAGAGAAAGAAATAAGGGGAATCCAAATTAGAAAGAAGGAATTCAAATTGTCCCTGTTTTCACAGGACATGATCTTATATATAGAAAAACCTAGACTCCACCAAAAAACTCTTAGAACTGATAAACAAATTCAGTAAAGTTACAGGATACAAAATCAATATGTGAAAATCAGTAGCATTTCTATACACCAGCAATGAATTAGAAATCAAGAGGCCGGGCGCGGTGGCTCACGCCTGTAATCCCAGCACTTTGGGAGGCCGAGGCGGGCGGATCACGAGGTCAGGAGATCGAGACCATCCTGGCTAACACGGTGAAACCCCGTCTCTACTAAAAATACAAAAAATTAGCTGGGCGAGGTGGCGGGCGCCTGTAGTCCCAGCTACTCGGGAGGCTGAGGCAGGAGAATAGCGTGAACCCCAGGGGGCGGAGCCTGCAGTGAGCAGAGATTGCGCCACTGCACTCCAGCCTGGGCGACAGCGAGACTCCGTCTCAAAAAAAAAAAAAAAAAAAAAAGAAATCAAGAAGGCAATCCCATCTACAATAGCTACAAAATAAAATAAAATACTTATGAATAAATTTAACCAAGGAGGTGAAAATTCTCTACAAGGAAAACTGCAACACACTAATGAAAGAAATTGAAGAGAATACAAACAAATTGAAAAACATCCCACGCTCACAGATCAGAAGAATTAATATTGTTGAAATGACCAAACTACCCAAAACAATCTACATATTTAACACAATTCCTATCAAAATACCAATAACATTCTTCATGAAAATAGAAAAGCCATTCCCAAATATTGTATGGAACCACGCAAGACCTCAACCAAAACAATCCTGAGGAAAAAAAGAAAAAAAAAAAAAAGCTGGAGACATTACACTACCAGGCTTTAAAATATACAATATATTACAAAGCTGTAGTAACTAAAACAACATGGTAATCACATACATAGACCAGTGGAGCAGATTAGAGAACTCCAAAATTAATCCATATATCTACAGTCAACATATAACATCATATTGCATCAGATTCCTGACATATGCAACATATAACATCAGATTCCTGACAAAGGTGTCAAGGACATACATTGGGGAAAGGACAGTCACTTCCACAAATGGTGATGGGAAAACCAGGTACCCATATAGAAGATAATGAAATTAGACCCCCACATATCATCCTATACAAAAAACAACTCAAAATGGATCAAAGACCTAAATGTAAGACCTGAAATTATAAAACTACTAGAAGAAGACATAGGAGAAACACTTCAAGACATTGTTCTGGGAAAATAATTTTGGTTTTTTTTTTGGTAGAGATGAGGTTTCACCATGTTGCCCAAGCTGGCCTCAAACTCCTGGGCTCAAGTGCTGGGATTACGGACATGAACCACTGTGCCCAGCCTGGAAAAGATTTTATAAATAAGACCTCAAAAGCACACACAACAAAAGCAAAAACAAAATGGGATTATAACTAAAAAGCTTCTGAATAGCAAAGTAAATAATCAATAGAGTGAAAAGATAACCCACAGAATAGTAGAAAATATTTGCAAACTACTCATCCAAAGGGTATTAATATCTAGAATACACAAGGATCTCAAACATCTCAACAGCAAAATAAAAAATCTGATTTTAAAATGGACAAATGCTCTGAACAGACATTTCTCAAAAGAAGACAAACAAATGGCCAAAAAATACATGAAAAGATGCCCAACATCACTAACCACTAGGGAAATGCAAATCAAAACCACAATGACGTATCATCTCACCCCAATTAAGACGGCTATTATCAAAAAGACAAAAAATAACAAATGCTGGTGAAGCTGCAAAACCAAGGAAACTCTTACACACTGTTGGTGGGAATGTAAACTAGTATAGCCACTATAGAGAAATGCATGAAATTTCCTGAAAAGTCTACAAATAGAACTATCATTTGATCCAGCTATCCCCCTACTGGGCAATTATCCAAAGGAAAGAAAATCAGTGTATCAAAGAGACATCTGCACCCCCAGCAGCACCATTCTCAATAGCTAAGATTTGGAATCAATTTAAGTGTCTAACAACAGATGAACGGATGAAGAGAATGTGGTAGGCTGGGCTCAGTGGCTCAAGCCTATAATCCTAACACTTTGGAAGACCGAGGTGGAAGGATTACATGAGGCTAGGATTTCAAAACTAGCCTAGGCAGCATAGAAAGACCCCATCTGTACAGATGGAAAAAAAAATTAGCCACTCATGATGGTCCAGCGTACTGTAGTCCCAGCTACTCAAGAGGCTGAGGAAGGAGGATTGCTTGAATCCAGAAGTTGGAGGCTTCAGAAAGCCATGATCATACCACTGCACTCCAGCCTTGGTAATAGGGAAAGACCTTGTCTCAAAAAGTAAAAGAAAAGAAAGGAAATATGGTATATATACATAATGGAATACTATTCAGCCTTTAAAAAGAATGAACTCTTTTTATTCATGGCAACATGGATGAAACTGGAAGACATTATTTTAAATTAAATTAGCCAGGAACAGAAAGTTAAACACCACATGTGGAAGCTAAAAAAAAAAGTTGATCTCATAGAAGTAAAAAGTAGAATAGAGGATGATGATAGAGGCTGGGAAGAGAAAGGGGAAGAAGGAGGATAGGGAGAAATTTGTTAAAAGACAGTACAGCTAAGTAGACAGAATAAGTTCTAGTGTTCTGTGGCACTGTAGGATGCCAATTGCCAATAATAACATATTACATAGTTTTAAATACCTAGAAGAAAGGCATTGAAGGTTTCCAGTGAAATGAAATGATAAATGTTTGAGATGATGAACATGCTAATTACCCCTGATAGGATCACTATGCATTACACGTATCACAGCACCACTATGTACCCCATACATTATTATGTGTCAGTTTTTAAAATGTTTAAATAAAAAGTAAAAATAAGTAAAAGATAATGGGGGGAGTAGATGGTGATTGACAAAATTGACCCTGAATTAGTGAAATAAGCATGGAAGTTCATTATTTCATCTTCTCTTATATATATTTGAAATCTTTTCCAATAAAAGTTTATATATAACTTGGCAATTAACTTACCAAAGCCTGTTTTCTTATTTATTAAACAGAAATAACAATATCTACAGCAGAGATAATATCTCCTTATAGATTTTTCTGAAATTTTAAGTAGTATATTTAAATCACATGGCACACAGTGGCTGTTAGATAATTTGTGGGGACTCAGTTTGACCCACTTATTGCTGAATTGGCTGGTCTGAAGTTAGGGAGTTTTTGCGCTATTCCTACAGCATAGCAATGCTGGGAGGGTGAGCAAGGGACAAGAAAAACCTATGTCCACATGAGTCACCCTTTCAGGCACCACAAAGATGCTGGTGGGAGATTTTGGCTTTTTTGTTTTTGTTTTTTTTTAAAAGTTCAATCTTCAAATGAGTTACTATTTTTGGATTTGTGAGCCCTGGAATATGCTGGTGCTGGTAGACACACTGGGTTGGCTAAGTGTTTATTCAGTCCCAGGCAACTCCAGGTGCAGGTAGAGAAGGTGCAAATATATCTTATCTTCCAAAGCCATTTACTCAGGCTCCCCCCTCACTTCCACAGGCAGTTTTCTTTTATGAAATACCAAAAATATCAGATTATCTTCAAAACTAAATAATTCTAAACCTCCCAGTTTCCCCAACTCATTCCAATTCTCCCTGATTATTTTCTTTTTGCTTTGCATTCCTGTACTACTTAGCCTTACCCTTGTTCGCAAAAGACCAAAGTGTAAAGCAAAAAAATTAAACAGTGAAGTACAGAGGCACCAAGGCCGGAAAAGATTAGATTGCTCAGAGGCACAGTCTGCTTTCAGAGATGATAAGCCCTGAGTAGTTCTTCTGGTTAGTTTTTCAATGGCTGAATTTTTTTGGCTCTCTGGATACTGCTGGAGACTTCAGTTTGTTAAGAGCTAACCCTGGACTCTCTCCCGTTCCTGCCTGCATGTCAATTCATCTTATTTCTAATAAAGCCAATTCTTATTTTTCTAACTTGTTTCCAATTCTCAAATGTAGCTCCAAAGAAAACAGAAAGTAATTAAAATGTCAACACTTCCCTGAAAAAGAACATAAACTCTCTTTGGATTTTCTTCCCATTGGAAATGTTACTTTTCTCCAAGGTGCCTGGGCCCCATGTGTGGCAACCAGCTGTCACCCACAGCAGACCCATCAGGCAATGCACATAAATCCCCTCTGTTCATTACTCTCGTTTGCATTTCTTCTTCTTCCTTACCATTTTCCAAATGGAGAGATCCTATAAATGAAGTACTTATGCCTGTCTCTTATAATGGACTAATATCTACGCCAATGTAATATATCCAAATTGTATGCAATATGAAATAAGCTCCAGCAGCAATAAGCTATTTAATCTAATGTGGAAAAAGCAATGTGGAGCCTAACAGCTTATTATTTAGTGCAGTGCAATAAATTAACTAAGCACCATTTTGCATAATAAGAGCTGATTATTCCTTTTACCTTCATTTGGATTGGTTTGGATGGGTTATGACTGTCTTCAGAGTTAATCGGGTTTATGTGAAACAACTTCTTTTTTAAATGTATTCCATTAAAGAATGAAATAAGGAAGAGCAAACATGTGCCATTATTTTGCGATTGGTGTTTTTGAGGTTAGTCTTTTAGAAGAAAATTCCCCATTAACAGGCAAACGTTGTGACCATTGTCCCAGAACTCTTTAATTGGAAAGAAGCCAATATTTGTCTCCCTTCTCACCCTTTTTCTACTTTTCCCTGTAGATTCCTGCCATTCCCTTGACTCGATTTTTCAAAGCACTTTTAGTAAAACACTTGGTTTCTTCTTTCCAGTATCTCTCCAACCCTGGCCTCTCTCATCCCCACACCCAATTACTTAGCACTTTGAGGTACATATCAGACTGATCAGCACCACTGGTCAGTAAGTGCAGCCGTTCTATCTAGTGTTACAGCCAGACCTCCCACCAAAGGTCTCCAAAATGCATCAATAAGTATCAAAACACATGTCAACAACAATGGCTGCAGCAAATCATCATAACTAGCATTTTAGAGAGCTGAACATGATGCTAGCACCTTAAAGAGGCATCTTATAGTAACCCCATAAGGTAGATATCATCATCATCATCCCTATTTTACAAGTGGAAATTGTGTCTGATCAAGATTAAATATGAGGGCTTGATTCTGAATAACATCAAAATCTTTGTAACATGTTATATTATCTGCTGGGGGGTAAAAAATAAAACATGTTAGCGAAAAAGTCTCTCTCTGTTTCTGCATTACTGTCCAGGGAAAAGCAATTCAAAGTGGGTGTCCTATCTGCAGTGAGGCCAAACCTTCAAAATCACTTAGATGAGGTTATTTTTACAGTACTTAGGATACATGTGGGGTCTGCCACCTCTGCCCTTTATAGAGATTTGCATTCCTTTTCTGGATTAATAAACTGCTTGAGGTTAGGACGTGTATTTTCTACACAATAGGACATCAGTGTGGTATAACGTCTGAGTCAGAAAATCCTAGGTTTTTGGGTTTTCTTGTTTGTTTGTTTGCTTGCTTGCTTTAGAGACAGGGTCTCACTCTGTCCCCCAGGCTGGAGTGCAGTGGCACAATCAGTTCACTGCAGCTTTGACACCCTAGGCTCAAGTAATCCTCCCACCTCAGTCTCCTGAGTAGCTGGGACTACATGGATGCACCACTGCACACAGCTAATTTTCTAATTTTTTTGTAGAGTCAAGATCTAACTATGTTGCCCAGGCTGGTCTCAAAGAAAATCCCACTTCTGGGATCAAGTGATCCACCCTCCTCAGCCTCCCAAATTCCTGAGATTACAGGCATGAGCCACTGCACCTGACTGAAAACCCCAGGTTTTAATTTTGGCTCTATTTACCAGTAACTATAGCAAGCTCTAGTCTGCTTAAAATAAAAGTAGGTAAATATACCTCATAGAGCTGTTAAAGACAGTAAATGAAATAACATAAACACATAGCACAGGTGATAAAATCAATAAATTCTAGTTCTCTCTCTCTCTCCATACTCATTCCACCTCTAATATCTAAGCATCAGTTTTCTACACATGGAAATATTCCATGGAAGTGTCAAGGACAGTAAAGTGTGAATGAAAGCCTGACTGAAACTCTTTCCTTGCATTATTTTCTCTTAACGATAATTCATTGCCACATATTTACCCGTCTCACCAAAATGATATTTTTAAAAAGTGATTTTAATTCTACAACTTTTAATTCTACAACAATTCATAAAGTGAGTAAAGGTAACTGTCATTCTTATCTAATAGCCCTTTTCTTCTAAATTCTCCTTCTCTATTGCTTCATTTCTCTTCTCCAAGTTGTGGCAGTAAGCACCACTGATTATCTAAGGAAGCTTTGAATCAAGGTCAAGGACATCTAATTTTAAATTTTATCTCCTCACTCTTCTGACATGAAACTTTCCTTTCACTTTAGGAGGAAAAAAAAGAGCTAAGAAGAATAGCAAAAGACAAACCTGAAGTCTTTCAAAACTTTAAGGAGAAATTCAAGAAGAAGCCAAATTGTGATGTCATCCACACACATGAAAAATTATATGGCAAATTTTACTTAACATTATAAATGGCTTCAAGTTTTAAAGATGCATGAGGGGAAACATTATTCTTTGGACATATTTACACATTGTTGGGTTCTAAATGAAATGGTTCATAACAAAAAAATTATGGACAAGCCGGGCGCGGTGGCTCATGCCTGTAATCCCAGCACTTTGGGAGGCCGAGGCGGGCAGATCACAAGGTCAGGAGATCGAGACCATCCTGGCTAAAACGGTGAAACCCCGTCTCTACTAAAACTACAAAAAATTAGCCGGGCATGGTGGCGGGTGCCTGTGGTCCCAGCTACTTGGGAGGCTGAGGCAGGAGAATGGCGTGAACCCGGGAGGCAGAGCTTGCAGTGAGCCAAGATCGTGCCTCTACACTCCAGCCTGGGTGACAGAGCAAGACTCCGTCTCAGAAAAAAAAAAAAAATTATGGACAGTTTTCTTCAATGAATGACAAGTTGTTTCATCTTTGGTTTATGACATCTTTTCCTTTAGAGAACTCGAACTGTTTAATATTTTTTTGAGTTAAAAGAAGAACATTATTTGATGGAATTCGAGTTGATAAAATGACAGCTCAGAGAGATTAAGTAAAATATACAGAGCCACACAGCAAATTATTGTCCAATATTTTAAAATTTTGAATTGAGAGAGTGGGAAAGCTTTAAAAAGAAAAAAAAAGACAATATGCTGGGTAGAGCAGCTTACTTGAGAATTAAAATTTTGTTCTTGAGTCTCCCTCTCAATGCCCTAAGGGAATGCACAACTTAATTGAATGTGGGAGGCAGTGGGGGAATATATGAGATGAAACTTTGCCTAGAAATCTGGGAAGGGGAAGAAAAGTGATGCTTAAGGTTGAGCCTTCCAGAATGAATTGGACTTCCCAAGATCAACATTGTGAAGTAAGAGTGATGGGTTGGGGAGGAGAAGGCATTCCAGGCAAATGGCAGGCTGTGCTTGGCATGAAAACATGGGTGTAAACCTTTTATGTTGTGAACAATGAAGGGGCTAGAAGCTAGATCATGATTAGGTTTGCCTTTTGGAAGGATGAACATGACAAAAATAAAGGGTAGAGCTAAAATTGGGACCAAAGAGAACAGCTAAGGAGCTCTTATCGTTGTCAAGGGTGTTGGCGGGGGTGGGGGGGTCCGCTCTGTAACACTTATTTGAGTTGAGCAAGGTGGATCACCCATCAAAGCTGGTCCTCATGCTGCACATCCTACTCTTCTCACATATAAATCACATTGCATCTCAGCAAATTACAAATAATGTCATGTATCTCTGGGATGGCTCTAAAATGACTAATTTGTTCAAGCCATTGTTGAAAAGAAAGAAAGCCGAGGACAGGATCCTGGAGGACGCAGGTCAATAAATTGCTGAAAGAGCAGAGAAATCCATGAAGGCTCCCTGGAGGAAGAAGGAAATCCCAGAGAGCTAAAAGGTGTCAGGCACCAGAGAAGTCGATCAGACTCAGGGAAAGGAAGAGCATGGGAGGAGGCCAAGTAGAAAGGGCAGACCTACAGAACAAAGCCTGTAAAAGCAGAGTTTCAGGGTCATTGGTGGCTCCTGACAGAACAATTTGTATGGAATAAGAGTACAGTGATCCTATATTACAAGTAAATTGGGTCAGGGGTAGAAATGGCTGGTATGGAGCATTTTTTTTTTTTTTTTTTTTTTTTTTTTGGAGATGGAGTTTCATTCTTGTGGCCCAGGCTGGAGTGCAATGGCGTGATCTCGGCTCACCGCAACCTCCGCCTTCCAGGTTTAAGCAATTCTTCTGCCTCAGCCTCTCGAGTAGCTAGGATTACAGGCATGCGCCACCACACCCAGGTAATTTTTTGTATTTTTAGTAGAGATGGGGTTTCTCCATGTTGGTCCAGCTGGTCTCAAACTCCCGACCTCAGGTGATCTGCCCGCCTCAGCCTCCCAAAGTGCTGGGATTACAGGCGTGAGCCACTGCGCCTGGCCTGGAGCATCTTTTTAAGAAGTTTAGCTATGACAGGAAGGAAAGAGAGTGGCTATAGCCAGAGGGGCATGCGGAATGAAGGTGGGAACTTTTTTCATTTCTTTTTTTAAATGGTAGAGAGATTTGGGCATATTTAACGATAGTAATGAAGATAGAAAAAGAATATAACCTGGGAATACTAAGACCAGCAGAAACACAGATGTAAGAAATGAATGCTTTGGGTGGGGAGGGATACGGTTATCTGTGAGTTAAGAAAGGAGAATTTCATCAAAAGGAAGAAAGACAACCCTGGTTTCTGATGATCATATATAAAATGGCACAGTGGAAAGAACACTTTAGACTAGGAGTCTCCAGCCTTCAGTCCCAGTCCATGGCCTGTTAGGAACCAGGTCACACAGCAGGAGGTGAGCAGCAGGTGAGCACAGGAAGCTCTGTCTGTATTTACAGCTGCTTGCAATTGCCACATTACCGCCTGAGCTCCTCCTGTCAGTTCAGTGGCAGCATTAGATTCCAATAGGAGTGTGAACCCTATTGTGAGCTGCGCGTGCGAGGGGTCTAGGCTGCGCGCTCCTTGTGAGACGCACTCCTTATAAGAATCTAACGCCTGATGATCTGTCATTGTTTCCCATCACCTCCAGATGGAACCGTCTAGTTGCAGGAAAGCAAGATGTCAGGGCTCCCACTGATTCTACATTATGGTGAGTTGTATAATTATTAATATTTCATTATATATTACAATGTAATAATAATAGAAATAAAGTGCACAATAAATGTAATGTAATGTGCTTGAATCATCCCAAAACCATCTCCCACCCCGGTCCATGGAAAAACTATCTCCCATGAAACGGGTCCCTGGTGCCAAAAAGGTTGGGGGCTGCTGCTTTAGACCCTAAAAAGTCACTTACATTCAAAGTCAAATCCCAGCCTTATCTCTAACTAGCAGCGTCCCCTTTGACCAACACTTGACCTCTCTAAAACTCAGATTTTTCATCCACAAATAGTGATAAATACACCTACCTTAATGAATGAGGGGAGGATTTCAATTTCGATGATTCCCTGCTGACATCTCCTATTCTCTTCTCAGCTTGACTTTTCCCCCTAGCACCTATAACTTTCTAACATACTCAGTATTTTAGTGATTTATCTCGGTTATTATCTCTCTCTCCTAACAGAATGCAAACCAAACAAGAGTAAGAATGTTTTCCTATTTTGTTCACTGCTATATCCTCAGCGTTACAGTGCCTAGCACCTGGTAGGTTATCAATTTAAAAAAAAGTGAAATAAATAATGATTAGGATACTACAGAGCAGTTTCTCAACTTTGACACCACTGACATTTGGAGCCAGATAATTAATTTGCTTGAGGGGGTAGGGGCTGTCCTGTACCCCGTGAGATGTTTAGCAACATCCCTGGCCTCTAACCACTAGAGGCCAATGGCACCCCACCCCCAGCTGTGATGAGCAAAATTGTGCGCAGACGTTGCCAAACGTTCATGGAGGGGCAAAATCATTCAGACTTGAGAGCCTCTGCAACAGGGTAAGTACTAAAGATGGTAGCTTTTAATATTATTTTAATAGGGGAAGAAATGCAAAATCAAAGTAACATTTGATCATCAAATTCTCCCACAACCTGCTTAATTTGAGGTGGAGAAAAATACTGCTGCTGTGATGGTGTTGGCTTCACAGTAAACTGACATTTTACTTATTATTTTACCAAGAAACATGTTTAGAAGAAAACAGCTCTGTAAATCAAAAAAGTGTCTCCTAAGCTTCTTGTGTGTTAGTCGAATGTGAGAGATTTTCTTTTTTGTCACCTCTCTGAACAAACAATAATAGCAAAAGTAATCATTCCTATCCATACAGTCTTATAACATCAAAGCTAATAATGTATGGTAGATAATTCATGGGCCAACACTTTAAAAATACTAACATCTTAGCATCTATATTCTAATTAATGAAGGATTATAAGGTGCCAGAAGACACAGCTGCAGTTTTCATTTTTAGGATTATCTTTCCCTTCAAATTTTCTGTTTTTACCAGTCCATTCCTTTGCTTTAAATAGAAACCAGTGTCTTGTATTAAAATGGCTAATACTGATCTTTCAGAAACATGAGGATCTCATAAAATGGAGACTCTTCCAAAAATTGCTTTGGGGAGCATGGAAAAAAATATCAGCAATGACTTGTCTCCAACTTCTCCCTCCAAATACAGACACCACTAACTAGGGAGTAGTCATTTGATCAACAGAGAGCTCATGGTTAGGATGACCATGGTTAGGACTGGGTTTGCCTGAAACATTCCCGGTTCACGCCAGCTGTCCCAGTACACTAATTAATAGCAGCCCATTTTATTCTCAAAAATGTCTGGATTTGGACATTAAAAGTATATGGTCACCTTTTTCAGAGTTCATTAGCATTTGACTGTCCACACAAAAGAGAGGTGAGCAGAGAGGGATTTGGTGCCAACTGGCTTTTTGCTTTCCCGTCTCTGAGCCTCTGGCACATCTCAGACTTTTCTCAGCACTCTATGGCAGACCTAGCTACAAGGATAGTCCTTTCTGTAGCACAAGCTCAAAGGTAAACTATCTGCAAGTCAATAAATGAATCGGTCTTCCACCTAGCTTGTTGATCAATACATCATTTCTCCTCCACTTTCAAAAAAAGTGAAATGGAAATTAGCTTATCATGTGACAGAGTCTGGCTTGCCTTGGCCTTCCAGAAGGCATTTGGATTCAGAGAAGCCAAGTAGCGTGAGATTTGCTTGTGGATGAGGCTGGCCTCTGATTGCTGGGCCTGCTGAAAAGGCCTTCCGGACTGCAAGGTGCTAGCCAGAAGAACCCCCTGATAAAAGCCTCCTTGCCCCATAGCCTCATACTCCTCAGAGTAGAGTAGAGATGATATGTAAAGGCAGCCAACTGACCAAGAATATCCAGGCTTTTTATGAGTAAGATAAGCCTTTCTCTTTCAGGACCAAGAACACAGCTCAGGAGATTATACAAGAATCAGGAGTTAGCAACACAGCTATATGCCAGCTCAGATCAAGAGTCCAGGGGTCAGCAGTACAAAAGGGCTCTTATTCCAAAGTCAGGCCGAGGAGGAGAGAGACCAAGAACTCTAAATAGCTAAAAGGTAGTAACCTGAGATTAGACAATCCTTACTCCTTGAGCCCCACACCTTTCATTATTCAGCAGTCCCATCTGTAATATAGCTAATGTATTATTTATCATGATGATGATTTTACTGGGATTTAGCAGTCCCAACTAAGTAATATAATAATATTAGCTACTATTTATTAAGCACCAAATGTATGCATTATCTAATTTAATCTTTATAATAACTTTGCAGGCCAAGTGCACGATACATGGTTTTACCGCATACAGGTAACACGGATAACAGGGTGCTAGAAATCGTTCATGCTCTATAAACAATAATAATAGCCACTGTTATTGTATTACTCAATTGTCACCCTGTGTCTCTTTAAATACCAGAGTGAACTGCTTTCAGTTCTCTCATGTTTCGTAGTCCCTCTCATCTTAGTACCTTCACACATGTAGTTTCTTAGAACACACTCCAACCTCAAATTCCCATTTATTTATCCCTTGGCTCTCAGCATAGATGTGATTTCTTGCAGGGAATCCTCCCTGAACCTCCAAATTGAGATGAGAGGCCCCTCCTAAAACATTCACTCTCTATTTCCTGCTATCAAAGGTCTCGTTTTACTTGGTTAGAGTTGTCAGTTTATTTATCTGTAACTCCTCCTAAATTACAACCCCTTTGAAGTTAGGAACTGTGTCTCATTCCTCGTTCCCCATTTTTCCCCTTAGTAACACACACACAACACCTGATACACAGCAGTACTCAAAAAACATTCGTTGGATGATTACATGAATAAATGACCCATTTCACTCTGGTGGTGGGAACTGTGGAGGCGAATGGCATGAATAATGACACCTGACAATTAAGTAAGTACACACTTACTCAGAAGACATGTAACAGAGAGCACATGCTATTTCCATCGTCCTGTTATTTACATTACCTGTATGTGGTAAAACCATGTACCATGCACTTTGCCTGCAAAGTTATTATAAAGATTAAATTAGGTAATGCACATATTTGGTGTTTAATAAATGGTAGTTAACATTATTACATGACTTAAGCCTCACTACAATCCTGTGATGTAAGTATTGTTATCTGCCTTTTTACCATATGAGGAAACTGAGCCTCAGAGAGGCTAAAGTGATTTCATAGAAAATGGCAAAGTCACGATTCTAAATGATAACTGCCTGACTCTAAAACCCAAGCTCTTTCACTACAGCAGCCCAACTCGATGCAAAATGAACGGAAGAATGAAAGAAGGCAGGAAGGTATAAAGGCAGAAAGGAAAAAAGGAAGGAGGGAGGGAGGAAAAGAGGGAGGAATAAAAGGAAGGAGGAAATAAAACAGGAAGAAAGAAAGGAAGATCGTGATTTTTTTTTTCAACTGTACCCAACTCTAATCCTTGCAAAATTCTTCAAACAAGTATCATTGTATTGATTTTCATATAGCATTCATGCTTCAACTGTTACAGGTATGATTTGCAAGAGAACATTATAAAGACAATTAATTGACTGCTCATTGTAGCTTAAGCCTGTAATACCAGCAGTTTGGGAGGCGAAGGCAAGAGGATCACTTGAGCCCAGGAGTTCAAGACCAGCCGGAGCAACATAGTGAAACCCCGCCTCTACAAAAAATACACAAAAATTAGCCAGTTGTGGTGGCATGCACCTGTAGTCCCAGCTACCCAGGAGGCTGAGGTGGAAGGATCACCTGAGCTACAGAGGTGAAGGCTGCAGTGAGCTGTGATAGCATCACTGCACTCCAGCCTGGACGACAAAGTGAGACCCTGTCTCAAAAAATAAAAATAATCAAAACCTCCCATCTAAACGAGTGGCCACATCATTCGGCCATGATACCTCAGCTTGTAGCAACCAAAGCTCTGTCCACACTGTCCCTTCTTGCCAGTATGGCCTCAGTTGGCACATCAAGCATCCATGAGTTTTGTCCTGGTTCTGGCCTTGCTCTGGATTGTTGATGTGAGTCCTTGCGGAGGATGATGAGTCAGGATGCTTGATCAAGGACTTCAGCAAAATGAGGTTAAGGATCAATATGGAGAGTCATAAAAGTTCGCAAGGAGGTGGTGAAGGTGGCATCCCAAATTAGCTGCTTGAGCCTGGTTTACAAACAACTTTTGTCTACAGATAACAAATAGCAAAACTTCTCCTGCAAAAATAGCTAAGAAAGTGCTTCCTCATCAGTGGTATAATCCAGATAACAGAAAGACTGCACATGAGTCACATATGTTCTTTATGGAAATTTTCTTGGATGATTTCAAGATGATACATGTCATCAGATGTAGAACCATCCCAGTCAGTCTACTCAACCAAATTTCCTTTCCTTTTTTATAATTCCAACTCTTGTTTTAGATTCAGGGGGTACATGTGCAGATTTGTTGCCTGGGAATATTGTGTGATGCTGAGGTTTGGAGTACAATTGATCTCATCACCCAGGTAGTCAGCATAGTACCCAAAAGGTAGTTTTTCAACTCCTGCCCACCTTCTCCCCTCTCTTGTAGCTCCCAGTGTCCATTATTGCCATCTTTATGTCCATAAGTACCTAATGTTTAGCTCTCACTTATAAGTGAGAATATGTGGTATTTGGTTTTCTGTTTCTGTGTTCATTAGCTTAGGATGACAGCCTCCAGCTGCATCTAAGTTGCTGCAAAGGGTATGATTTTGTTTCTTTTTTATGGCTGCATAGTATCCCATGGTATATATGTGCCACATTTTCTTTATTCAATTCACTGTTGATGGGCACCTAGGTTGATTCCATGTCTTTGCTGTTGTGAATAGTGCTGTGATGAACATATGGGTGCCTATGTCTTTTGGGTACAACTATTAATTTTCATTTGGATATACATCTAGTAATGGGATTACGGGGTTGAATGGCAGTTCTATTTTAAGTTCTTTGAGAAATCTCCAAACTGCTTTCCACAGTGGCTGAACTAATTTACATTCCCACTACCAGTATATAAGTACTCCCTTTTTTCCACAGCCTCGCCAACATCTGCTGTTTTTTGATTTTTTAGTAATAGCCATTCTGACTGGTGTGAGATGGTGTCTCATTGTGGTTTTAATTTGCATTTCTCTGATAATGAGTGTTGTTGAGCATTTTTTCATGTCTGTTGGCCACTTGTATGTCTTTTTTGAAAAGTGTCCATGTCTTTTGCCCATTTTGATAGGGTTATTTATTTTTTGCTTATTGAGTTATACAAATTTCTTATAGATTCTGGATGTTACACTTTTGTCAGATATGTAGTTTACAAATATTTTCTCCCATTCTGTAGGTTGCCTGTTAACTCTGTTAATAGTTTATTTTGCTGTGCAAAAGTCATTTAGTTTAATTAGGTCACACTAGTCAGTTTTTGTTTTTGTTGCAATTGCTTTTGAGGACTTAGTCATAAATTCTTCCCCAAGGCCAATATCCAGAATGGTGTTTCCTGGATTTGCTTCTATAATTCTTTTTTTATTTTATTTATTTAATTATTTATTTGAGATGGAGTCTTGCTCTGTCGCCCAGGCTGGGGTGCAGTGGTGTGATCTCGGCTCAGTGCAAGCTCCGCCTCCCGGGTTCACGCCATTCTCCTGCCTCAGCCTCTGAAGTAGCTGGGACTGCAGGCAAGTGCCACCACGTCCAGCTAATTTTTAGAGACAGGGTTTCACCGTGTTAGCCAGGGTGGTCTCGATTTCCTGACCTCATGATCTGCCCGCCTCAGCCTCCCAAAGTGCTGGGATTACAGGTGTGAGCCACCACGCCCAGCCTAGAATTCTTATAGTTTGAGGTCTTATATTTAAATCTTTAACCTACCTTCAGTTAATTTTTGTATATGGTAAAAGGTATGGGTCCAGTTTCGTTATTTTCCATATGACTAGCCAGCTATTCCAACACTATTTATTTAATATGGAGTCCTTTCCCCATTGTTTGTTTTTGTCAACTTTGTCAAAGATCAGATGGCTGTAGGTGTGTGGCTTTATTTTTATCAGTTTCATTGTTCTATGTGTCTGTTTTTATTCCAGTAACATGCTGTTTGGGTTACTGTGGCTTTTAGCATAGTTTGAAGTCAGGTAATGTGATGCCTCCATTACCCCAGTTTTGTTTTGTTTTTGTTGTTGTTTGTTATTTGTTTGTTTTGCCTAGGATTGCTTTGGCTTTTTGGTTCCATATGAATTTCAGAATAGTTTTTTCTTTTGTTTTTTTTTTTTTGAGATGGAGTCTCGCTCTGTTGCCCAGAATAGTTTTTTCTAAGTCTGTGAAAAATTACATTGGTAGATGATGAGAATAGCACTGAATCTGTAGGTTACTTTAGGCAGTGTGGCTATCTTAATGACACTGGTTCTTCCAATCCATGAGCATGGAATGTTTTTTCATTTGTATGTGTCATTTATAATTCCTTTCCACAGTGTTTTACAGTTCTCCTTACAGAGATCTTTCACCTCCTTGGTTAGATGTATTCCTAAGCATATGTATAGCTATTGTAAATGGGATTGTGTTCTTGATTTGGCTATCAGCCTGAATGTTATTGGTGTTTAGAAATGCTACTGATTTTGTACATTGATTTTGTTTCCTAAAACTTTTTAAAAAAATTTTATTGTTATTAGACTTTAAGCTTTAGGGTACGTGTGCACAACATGCAGGTTTGTTACATATGTATACATGTGCCATGCTGGTGTGCTGCACCCATTAACTCGTCATTTAGCATTAGGTATATCTCCTAATGCTATCCCTCCCCGCTCCCCCCACCCCACAACAGTCCTCAGTGTGTGATGTTCTCCTTCCTGTGTCCATGTGTTCTCACTGTTCAATTCCCACCTATGAGTGAGAACATGTGGTGTTTGGTTTTTTGTCCTTGCGATAGTTTGCTGAGAATGATGGTTTCCATCTTCATCCATGTCCCTACAAAGGACATGAACTCATCATTTTTTATGGCTGCATAGTATTCCATGGTGTATATGTGCCACATTTTCTTAATCCAGTCTATCATTGTTGGACATTTGGGTTGGTTCCAAGTCTTTGCTATTGTGAATAGTGCCACAATAAACATACATGTGCATGTATCTTTATAGCAGCATGATTTATAATCCTTTGGGTATATACCCAGTAATGGGATGGCTGGGTCAAATGGTATTTCTAGTTCTAGATCCCTGAGGAATCGCCACACTGACTTCCACAATGGTTGAACTAGTTTACAGTCCCACCAACAGTGTAAGTATTCCTATTTCTCCACATCCTCTCCAGCACCTGTTGTTTCCCGATGTTTTAATGATCGCCATTCTAACTGGTGTGAGATGGTATCTCGTGGTTTTGATCTGCATTTCTCTGATGGCCAGTGATGATGAGCATTTTTTCATGTGTTTTTTGGCTGCATAAATGTCTTCTTTTGAGAAGTGTCTGTTCATATCCTTCACCCACTTTTTGATGGGGTTGTTTGTTTTTCTCTTGTAAATTTGTTTGAGTTCATGGTAGATTCTGGGTATTAGCCCTTTGTCAGATGAGTAGGTTGCAAAAATTTTCTCCCATTCTGTAGGTTGCCTGTTCACTCTGATGGTAGTTTCTTTTGCTGTGCAGAAGCTCTTTAGTTTAATTAGATCCCATTTGTCAATTTTGGCTTTTATTGCCATTGCTTTTGGTGTTTTAGGCATGAAGTCCTTGCCCATGCCTATGTCCTGAATGGTATTGCCTAGGTTTTCTTCTAGGGTTTTTATGGTTTTCGGTCTAACATGTAAGTCTTTAATCCATCTTGAATTAATTTTTGTATAAGATGTAAAGAAGGGATCCAGTTTCAGCTTTCTACATATGGCTAGCCAGTTTTCCCAGCACCATTTATTAAATAGGGAATCCTTTCCCCATTGCTTGTTTTTGTCAGGTTTGTCAAAGATCAGATAGTTGTAGATATGTGACATTATTTCTGAGGGCTCTGTTCTGTTCCATTGGTCTATATCTCTGTTTTGGTATGAGTACCATGCTGTTTTGGTTACTGTAGCCTTGTAGTATAGTTTGAAGTCAGGTAGCGTGATGCCTCCAGCTTTGTTCTTTTGGCTTAGGATTGACTTGGCATTGCAGGCTCTTTGTTGGTTCCATATGAACTTTAAAGTAGTTTTTTCCAATTCTGTGAAGAAAGTCATTGGTAGCTTGATGGGGATAGCATTGAATCTATAAATTACCTTGGGCAGTATGGCTATTTTCATGATATTGATTCTTCCTACCCATGAGCATGTAATGTTCTTCCTTTTGTTTGTATCCTCTTTTATTTCATTGAGCAGTGGTTTGTAGTTCTCCTTGAAGAAGTCCTTCACATCCCCTGTAAGTTGGATTCCTAGGTATTTTATTCTCTTTGAAGCATTTGTGAATGGGAGTTCACTCATGATTTGGTTCTCTGTTTGTCTGTTATTGGTGTATAAGAATGCTGTGATTTTTGCACATTGATTTTGTATCCTGAGACTTTGCTGAAGTTGCTTATCAGCTTAAGGAGATTTTGGGCTGAGACGATGGGGTTTTCTAGATATACAATCATGTCATCTGCAAACAGGGACAATTTGACTTCCTCTTTTCCTAATTGAATGCTCTTTATTTCCTTCTCCTGCCTGATTGCCCTGGCCAGAACGTCCAACATTATGTTAAATAGGAGTGGTGAGAGAGGGCATCCCTGTCTTGTGCCAGTTTTCAAAGGAAATGATTCCAGTTTTTGTCCATTCAGTATGATATTGGCTGTGTTTGTCATAGATAGCTCTTACTGAGATACATCCCATCAATACCTAATTTATTGACAGTTTTTAGCATGAAGCATTGTTGAATTTTGTCGAAGGCCTTTTCTGCATCTATTGAGATAATCATGTGGTTTTTGTCTTTGGTTCTGTTTATATGCTGGATTACGTTTACTGATTTTTGTATGTTGAACCAGCCTTGCATCCCAGGGATGAAGCCCACTTGATCATGGTGGATAAGCTTTTTGATGTGCTGCTGGATTCGGTTTGCCAGTATTTTACTGAGGATTTCTGCATCAATGTTCATCAAGGATATTTGTCTAAAGTTCTCTTTTTTTGTTGTGTCTCCACCAGGCTTTGGTATCAGGATGATGCTGGCCTCATAAAATGAGTTAGGGAGGATTCCCTCTTTTTCTATTGATTGGAATAGTTTCAGAAGGAATGGTACCAGCTGAAGTTGTTTTCCAGTTCCAGGAGCCCTTTAGCAGAGTCTTTAGGGTTCTTTAAGTATAGATTCATATTGTCAGCAAAGAGAGTTTGACTTTTTCTTTTCCTATTTAGAAGCCTTTTATTTCTTCCTCTTGCTTGATTGCTCTGGATAGGACTTCTAGTACTATGTTGAATAGGAATGGTGAGAGTGGGCATCCTTATCTTGTTCCATTTCTGAAGGGGAACACTTCCAGCTTTTGCCCAACCAATATGAAATGCACTGTGGGTTTTTCATAAATAGCTCTTATTATTTTGAGGTATGTTCCTTTGATGCCTGGTTTCTTGAGAGTTTTTATCATGAAAGAATATTGGATTTTATCAAAGGCTGTCTCTTTACCTATTGAGATGATCATATGATTTTGGTTTTTAATTCTGTTTATATGGTAAATCATGTTTAATGATTTGTGTATGTTGAACCAACCTTGCATCCCAGCAGTAAAGCCTACTTGTTCATGGTCAATTAACTTTTTGGTGTGCAGCTGGATTCAGTTTGCTAGTATTTTGTAGAGGACTTTTGTGTCTGTGTTCATCAGGATATAGGCCTCTAGTTTTCTTTATTTGTTGTATCTTTGCCAGGTTTTTGTATCAGGGTGATGCTAGCTTCGTAGAATGAGTTAGGGAGGAGTCTCTCCTCCTTGATTTTTTGGAATAGTTTCAGCGTAATTGGTACGCACTCTTCTTTGTACATCTGGTAGAATTTGGCTTGACTGCATCTGGTATGGAGCATTTTGTTGGTTGGTAGGTATTTTATTACTGGTTCGATTTCAGAACTTGATATTGGTCTGTGCAAGGTCTTGATTTTTTTCCTGATTCAATCTTGGGAGGTTGTATGTTTCCAGGAATTTACCCATTTCATCTAGATTTTCTATTTCCCTCTGAACTAATATAAACACCTTCTTCTTTTGTATTTCTGTGGGGTAGATTCAACCAAATGTCTTTCTTCATTGAACACATACTAGATGCCGTGCTCTATGCTAAACTCTAGGGTTAAATTGTGAACTAAGCAGAAATAATCCCTGCTTCATGGGACCTATTACAGGAATATATAGGTGAGTATGAACTATTATATTCCTCTTGGAGAAAAAGTCAATTAAAAATCTTTATTATATAGTGTACTGATTGTGGTAAAGAGGTCTAATTGAAATTTTAGTTATAATAACCAAAAAGTTGCCAATAATCCCCAAGAAGATAAAGCTTGCTAGGTTGATGAAGAAAAATATTTCTAAATATAGGCTGTGTCCTGTAAGACAGAATACTTTCTCATGCATTTCTTTCCAAGAAGAAAATGCGGTAACAAATCATTCTGACACTTATTGTTGCTAAACAATATCTAGGATCAGCAAAGTAAGAATACTTATTTCATTGAAGAGAATTATGAAACTTCAGGGCTGGGAAGGGGTTTTGAAATGGAATGTCATTCTCTTTGCTTTTACAGATGAGGAAACTGAGATTTTGAGAAGGCAAATGGCTTTCTTAGCATCACACAAGTAGGAACATGAGAGTTAGAAGGGGAACTTGAGTTTTCTAATTCAGTGCTCTTTCCTCCAAACCAAGCTGCAATGAGACCCTTTACTTTTTTTATGAGTACTAATTTACCAAAGAGGTAGTGATTTGCTTATAAACTCTCTCTTTCACACACACACACACACACACACACACACAATAAAATAATATGCTTTAGGCAACATATCAACTATATAGTAATCTAGCTTTCCACTACAAGTGTTACATGGCAAACAAAAAAAAATCTGTTCTTCATTAATTGAACCTCTAGAAATGGCTTTTACACAAAGCACAGTTGATTACTTAAGTTACTTCACTGTTTACTTGTGGGATTGTTTGATTTTACCCAGAAAACAGTTTAGCTTTTAAACATAAATACCCAAGTTTAACAGACCAGAACTCTTTCAAGGACTCATGATAAATATTATATTACTGTATTTGTTCTTTGGCAAGAAACATTTTTATCCAATTCCGGTACTCTCCATACTGTGGTTATTAAAGATTTACCATAGCAACTTAATTTATTTTATATACTCACATAGAATAAGCTCAGCTATAGTTGATTAAGAAAAAAAGAGAAGAAAAATAAATTTTAAGTGTAAATTTCTTCAAAAGTAAAGCAGATATATAATATGTATTATCCACATTCTAGAGCTGAGAATATTTTTAGATACCTTGAAATTTGGCATCAGCTTAACTTGAATCATCTGGCTCGAGGCAGGAACAGGAGTGAGAGATGCTGAAAAACCTACTCCACCTACCAGTGATGTACACTTCTATGGTCGATGGCTAGTGCTAGCCAGTTGTGAGATTTTAAGGCATTTAATTTTAAGGGATTTCTTTTCCTAGGCCTAAGTTTTCTCATGTAAACAATGAAAAACATGGAATAACTTGCCTGGTAAATCTCTTGCAGCAGCAGAATTCTCTGTGCCTTTTAGTTCTCATTTTTATTATTTACCCCAAAATCTAGATAAGACTCAACATATGTTCCAAGGACAGAGACATCTGTCATGACTGTAATATGCACAGCAAAAGAGGCCCCAACTAACGTCCAAAAGTACACATGAATCACACCTGTATCAGAACATGAATCGTGATTGAGAGAAAAATGGTCTAGCTGAGAACCCAAAAGTCAGATATACAGACTTCAAGTTGTTAAAAACATTAAATATGTAAATATTCCTTTTTATTTATTTTTTTACAAAATACTGTTGTCTATATAGTGATCAGATTTCCTGAATTTACATAAACAATGACATTGCAACTATGAATATGTTTCCTTACAGGGTGTGAAAGAAGAGTCATCATTCCTTCAATCTAAAAGGATTACATCAATTCAGGTAAACCATATTTTATGATATGCATTTATTACATACAATGTGATAATACTAACTCTACCCTTAACTCTAATGTGGGAAATCCCTAAAATAAAATGTCATAAGTTAACTTATATTCTTAGGCTTTACATTTTAACTGCAGAGATGGAATTCATGGTGGAAGCAATAATTGTTGCCCATAAATGAGAACAATTTACCTGAATGAGTACGGAAACACCTCTTTTAAAATCATATACTTTATAGAAAACATAACTTTCTAATAAAGTGTTAATTTTTCTTTGTACTGATTAAAGTATTGAACAACAGTTTCATAATGCAGTTCCAGAAAATGGAGTGACTGCCAATTAAAAATGTGGGAAGAGAAAGTCTCCATCTCCCTGAAGGAACATACAGAGTCCTTTTAAGATAAGTACATTTAAAGAAAATCGTTATGCACAACACTAACTTCATTGTAGGTTTTTGGCTCTCTTTCATATGACTATGTCTTTGCAGATGCCTTTAGTACCAGTGGGGAGTCTATACTGGAAATGCATTCTTCGCCACTTGGCAGAGTATTCACAGTAAATGAATATCAGAGCTAGGATTTTGTTGTTAGTTTTTTATCTGTGGCTGGCTAAAAAGACAGACTTTTACCTACAGGTTGGATTATACTAAACAAAAAGAAGGATAAGCAGATTTTCTTTTAAGGCAAGACCAAAGGAAGGAAGGAAGACCAAATCAAATTTTCATTTTGAAACAATGAACAATAGCAGACAAGTTGGTTAGCAGGGACACTACGTTTAAATATTTGTGTGTGTTTGCATGTGGGGGGGTCTGTGTGTCTCAAAATAGGAGCAGAAGGGCAGACTGAACACGTGTTCTTTCCCACCCCAATTACTCTGATATGATCAAATAAATAAATACATTCGTAACGCACTAGAAAACAAGAAAGGGTGGTGTCAACATCAAAGATGTTGAGATATTTATAAAAGATATAGAGCAGATAGGATTGAATTCTTCATAAAAAAAAAGACCAGAAAAAAACACATAGGAGAGAGAGAGTGCAGAGATGAGAGTGCTTATGGGAACTTCAGGCAGCCTTAGGAGGTCAAGGAGCAATTGTCACAGTGATTAACTGGGGCAGTGCATTTAGAGGGACTAGGCTGATCAGCCAGCCCCCCTACCTCCTGACTAAGCTGAGCAAAAGAGAGCAGGAATTGCCCTCAGGCTAAACAGATGAGCATGGGCTCTGAGACCAAAGAGATGGGACAATTCATTGTCACAAGTAGCTAGTGATACCCTTGAGACCAGCTGAAACCTCCTCCTAGCAGAATGCCCTGTCCTGTCCCCACGATCACTGCAGATAAACTCCTGTAATCCGAATCAATTTCTACTAAAATGTGAACAAGTTATTCAAATATGTATGCCAACAAAACTAAGATTCCAAGATAAAGAAAAATGTGGGATATAAGAAAGCATGATAAGAAAAAAATATATATATAGTTAAGTTTAAATCTTTTTTCTTTAATTTCAGCTTTTATTTTAGATATGAGGACGGGAGCTACATGTGTAAGATGTGTACACATAAATGTGTACATTATATGTGTACACATAAATGTGTACATTATATGTGTACACATAAATGTGTACATTATATGTGTACACATAAATGCTGATGAACTCTATAGTCAAAAACTAATTATAGTTGGAGGCATATTTTAAGAATTTAAAAGTAAAACTTCTGGTTAAACTTAATGGATTAAGTCTACATATTTACTTTATTTTATTTTAGAGTGCTACTAAAAACTTAAAAGTAAATTAAACAGGCCAGGCGTGGTGGCTCATGCCTGTAATCCCAGCACTTTAGGAGGCCAAGTCGGGCGGATCAGGAGGTCAGGAGATCAAGACCATCCTGGCTAACACGGTGAAACCCCGTCTCTACTAAAAATACAAAAAATTAGCCGGGCATGGTGGTGGGTGCCTGTAGTCCCAGCTACCCGAGAGACTGAGGCAGGAGCATGGCGTGAACCCGGAAGGTGGAGCTTGCAGCGAGCTGGGATTGCGCCACTGCACTCCAGCCTGGGCTACAGAGCAAGATTCTGTCTCAAAAAAAAAAAAAAAAAAAAAAGGAAATTAAACACGTACACAGGTATGCACACACATACAAAGAGACATTTTAAACCAATAAAAGCTAAAAGAATGGGAAAGGAAATGACAGCAAATGAAGTGTGGTAAAAAGAAAAGAAAAGAAAAAAGAAATGAAAGAATAAAGAAAGCAGCTGTGTAAGTGGTAACTGATTTGCTAAATCTGAAAAGGCTAAATTTTATGCCTGAAGAGAGGCATGCCAACAGGAAGCAAGACAATTTGTGCAAAAGAAACCCAGAATGACTTAGGAATTGGAGGCTCTGAGTATCTCTGAAGGTGAGGGTAAAGGGTAGAACTGAAGAATGAACTCTTAGAAGGAAGTTTGACTACTGTAATCCCAGCACTTTGGGAGGCTGAAGTGGGTGGATCACTTGAACTCAGGAGTTCGAGACCAGCGTGGGCAACATGGCGAACCCCCGTCTCTACCAAAAATACAAAAATTAGCCAGGCGTGGTGGCATGCGCTTGAGGTCCCAGCTACTTGGGGGGCTGAGGTAGGAGGATCACTTGAGCCAGGGAGGCAGAAGTTGCAGTGAGCCAAGATCTCACCACTGACTGTACTCCAGCCTGGGCAACAGAGCCAGATCCTGTCTCAAAAAAAAAAAAAAAAAGAAGAAGAAGAAGGAAGTCTGACTAAATAAAAAACAATCAGACCCCCAAGTGTCCTCCCTTATTCCAATATCTAGGTGATTACCTCTAACTAAGCTGAGAAGACAGAAAAGTAATGATTCTGGAGAAATTAAATCTGAGAAGCTCTGAGCTCCAGGAACAGGAAGCACAGCTAATAGATTAAATGAAATCCTATGGAAAGAACTCCCGCTAGCCGGGCATGGTGGCTCAGGCCTGTAATCTCAACACTTTGGGAGGCTGAGACGGGAAGATGTCTTGAGCCCAGGAGTTAGAGATGAGTCTGGGCAACATAGTGAGACCCCATCTCTACTAAAAATTAAAATTAAAAAAAAAAAAACGGCCAAGTATGATGGTGTGTATCTGTAGTCTCAGCTACTTGGGAGGCTGAGGTGGCAGTATTGCTTGAGCCCAAAAGGTTGAGGCTGCAGTGAGCCATGTTCATACCACTGCATTCCAGCCTAGGCAACAGATCCATGGACACATAAAAAAAAAAATGGCCTCCCAGAACCCTCCAAATTTGACGGTGGGATTATTATTCCTATTTCACCCAAGACAGGAGACTAGAGAAGTCCTCTCTGAGGAAACCATCCTGTCTAAGAGACAGAACTACTGTTGAGTTTGAATTCAGTCTGTACACACAGTCTTCTTGAATGATTTGTTTATGACCAGTGCGTTCTGAGAGTCCTGGTACCTCTCTGAATGAATGATACCTATGCCATATCAGCCTTGGGGGCCCCCAATTAATGAGTTAGTTACTAGAAAACTCAGCAGTCAATAAGACTCAGCCTCATACACAGAGCATTTGATCAGCTATTTACAGTATCATTCTTATTGTGAAGAGTCAACCAAAGATTACCAGGTATTAAAGTACGCCACCAAGATGAAAAGCAAAGACATAAATAAATAAATAAATAAATAAATAATATAACTCGGAGGGAAAAGAGATAATTCAAAGGGCAGAATAAAACTCTTAAAAAGTTACACTTTCAGGGAATGCTTACATACTATTGGTGGGAATGTAAATGAGTACAACCTTCATGAAAAACATTATAGCAATTTCTCAAATAAGTAAAATTAGTACTTTCATTCAATCCAGCAATTTCACTATTTGGTATCTACCCAAAGGGAAAACATCATTATATAAAAAACATACCTACACTCATATGTTTATCATAGCACTATTCACAACAGCAAAAATATGGAATCAACCTAAGTGTCCACCAATGGAGACTGAATGAAGTTATATATATACACACATTTTATATAAATATAAAAAATACATTTTTATATAAGTATATAAAGTATGTATTTATATATGTTTTATATATATATATATATATATATGGCATGGAATACTACTCAGCCATAAAAAAGAATAAAATTATGTCTTTTGCAGCAACGTGGATGGAACTGAAGGCCATTATCCTCAGTGAATAACTCAGAAAGTTAAATACTGCATGTTCTCACTTATAAGTGGGAGCTAAACAATGGGTACATGTGAACATACAGAGGGAAATAATAGACATTGGAGACTTCAAAAAGTGGGAGGGTAGGAGGGGGTGAGGGTTGCAAAACTACATATTGGGTACAATGTTCACTCTTTGGGTGACGGGTACACTGAAAGCCCAGACTTCACCACTTCACATACAATATATGCATGTGAGAAACTTGTACTCCCTAAATATAAATAAATAAATAAATAAATATTATAACCTCAGAGAAATATAAAAAGATATTATATCCACAAAACAAATCAAACAAGAATAAGATGCTATTTTTTAAAGAGACCATGAGAAATATATGAAAGGATTCTTTCTGATTGACCAGAATTTTTTAAGTAGGTAGAATTAGAAACATAAAGTTGTAGAAATTGCCCAGAAATTAGATCGAAATAACAGAGATGGAAAATACAACAAATGGGGGGAAAAAACACAATTATAGGATTATACACAGGAGATCAGAGATCTGAATTATTGTTTCAGAAAAAATAAATTGAGAGGAAAAATATCAATAATACAAGAAAAGGTACCACATAAATGAAAGATTATACACATTAAAACCTTCAGCATGACAGCAAATATCTCAGAGTGACTTAATGCCATACACTGAAGCATGGAGTTTGCTAGTAAAGAATTACAAATACTTACTGACCAAAGATAGTCATGAGCTCAACTGCTTTATGGTAAAATAATTAGCAATTGAGTCTTCCTGCAATTGAGGATGTAATCAGTCATGAGACCACATCATGCCAATTTTCATGACCAGTTGAGTTCAGAAACTTTGTTTCTTTGTGGTTCATAGAAGTATTACTCCTAGATAAGAAGACTACTGTCTTTCGCTTTGAGACGGGAGTCTCTTTTAGAACTCCAAACATCAAATGTTCAAGTCTGAAAGCTCATAACTGTCCAAAAGGAGTTACCCACTAAGTGACTTGAATTACGCCTAGAATTCATTTCTCTATCTGTTCAATTTTCATCCCCCATGAGAATCTTCAATAATGCTAGAGAAATATCTTCAACAACAGCAGCGTGATGACTTGCAAACATTTACTGAGTAGTTCCCATGGAGGCATGAAAATACACTGGAAAGCAGGCTCATCAGATTACAGGGAGAGATGAGCAAAGCAATTTATTTATTTAAACTTTTTATATGAAAAATTTCAAATATATTTTGAAATTTCAAAATTCAAAAAAGAAAAAAGAATATAATAAACTCCATGTACTCTGCTTCAATAATTGTCAACTCACAGTCAAACTTGTTTTATTTACACCCCCATCTAATTCCATTCCCCCCCACACCACTGGATTATTTTGAAGCAAAACCAAGCCATCACATCATTTCATCTTATGTATATCTTCATATGTATATGTATATATGAAGATATACATGAATTTATACATGAAGATGAAATGAATATATATATAGGAATGAATATATATGAAGATGAATATATTTGATATATACATATATAATCAGAAATAAGAACTTTTCCTTAAATCTAAGCACAATTCATTATCATAATTAGAGGTGATTAACAATAATATATAATATTACTAACTATTCAATCACATGTGCATGTGTGTGTGTATGTTTTGGAAACACTATAGGTTAAAACATAGTTGATTGTTTTAATTCTTGTAGTTATTATTATTTTATTGAGGCTCACATCATCTCATCTTTGCCTAGAAAAAGGCTTCCCTAGCTGGCTCCAAAGTGTTTTAGACATAGCCCCAAAAGTCACTGCTAGCTCTCTTGCCCTTCAGTATGATAAATTATTCCAGGTTCATGTTACACAATTCCTGCCCCAGATCTGTGATCAGTTCTCGCCCAAAGATCCCAGGTTCCTTTTAGTGCTCACAGTCTGAGCACTAGATTTTGAACCTAGTAAATGAACCCAGAGATACTCATTTTACCTACCTTGTCATTATTGCTAAGTCTTTTCAGTCAATAGAGCCAGGGAATTTATATTTTTACATTAAAATACATCACAATTTCAATTAATAATTACAATATAATTTAAAGACTAGAAGGTTTCTTTTTGGCTCTGTTTTTGTTTTCTGAGACAAGTTCTGGCCATCACCTAGGCTAGAGTGCAGTGGCCCAATTACAGCTCACTGCAACCTTGAAATCCTGGGCTCAAGCGATCTTTCTGCCTTGGCCTTCTGAGTAGCTGGAACTACAGGCATGCACTACCATGCCCAGCCATTTAAAAAAAAAATCTCTTTTGTAGAAATGGGGTCTTGCTGTGTTGCCTAGGCTAGTCCCAAACTCCTGGGCTCAAGCAATCCTCCCACCTTGGCCTCCCAAAGTGTTGGGATTATAGGTGTGAGCCACCACAGCTGGCCAAGACTACAAGGTTTTTACTTAAACGTTTTTTCTCTTAAATCTAAATTACCTTTCTTCCATACCAAAAATCCTAGTTCCTGATACCAACATAATTTCACTTGCTTTATCCCATAATGCACACAACAGTCTCAAGAAGAACGAGAGAGAGAGACAGAGAGAGAGAAAGAGAGAGAGAGAAAAGAGAAAGAGAGGGAGGGAGGGAAGAAAGGAAGGAAAGAAGGAAAGCAGGAAGGCAGGCAGGCAGATGTAAACAGTAACAACACTATCATCAATAATAATTTTAAAAAACAATGTAAAATTGTTTCACAATTCTTTTTCTTAGGAGATATCTACATACTGTATCATTTGAAATCATTCCTCTCTGTGAGTATGCCACTAATTTGAGACTTAGGTTCATTCATGTCATTTCGCTTTCAAATTTCAGAGATTGCTTTGTTTCATGATTATTTTTTATAGTCGTGTTAAACATTTATATGCTTTTGAATTCAAAACAAAAACAAAATAGATTCAGACATATCTAGCTGTGAATCCTGTCCCCCACCACCTGGTTTCCACCCTCCTCCATAAATAATCGTTTCCTGCAATTGCTTTTAGCATAAGCAAATTTGTATTCAGATTCCTAGTTAAATAGTAGCATGGTGGACACATTTTTTTTCACCATGACTTTTTCTTACTTAGCAGTAAGCCCTAGGGGTTATTCCATAAACTTACTGATTTTTTTTTTTAAAAGTGTGTTACTTACTAGCCCAGGTGAAAAATTTTGTCTATAAAATGGGACCATTAGTAGGCAGCTGCTGGGAAAAAGAAGATTTAATCCAAGAGTATTATTTTTAAAAATATGCAGATTGGGGCTTTATAGTAAACCTTCATAAAATGACTCACCAAATTCACAGCATCGAGCTGGGAAAAATTAGAGTAGGTGGCTTTGCTTCTTACAGGCATACACAGTGTACAATTTTACCATGCAAAATGCTTTTGCTACTACAATTTTCCTTTGCTTTGCCTTTTTGAAAAGTAATGTTCCTTCCTATTTTAGTAGTACCATTTGCATTCCTATTATTCACACTGAACTGTGATTTCCATTTTTATCTTCCGTTTTTTACTTGTTTTCATTCCAGCATTTCTCCTCTTGGTCTTTGCCTTTCCTTTATCTTGCCCTTAAATGGAGGCCTCGTGTGCTATGGGAACAGTGCCATGAATTTTCTAACCATCATGCCAGGCCTCATCCCAATTTAATGATATAAGTTCCCTTGAACCATTGCCAACAAAGCTAGGACATCCCACACACATTTGCTATGGAAACACCTTCATGACTAATGGTCTCTCAAATTAAGGCATCTTAAAGTTAAAGCTAGAAATGGTATTCATTTTTTCAAAACATATTCTGCAGTCAAGGAAAAATATATAGCAGTTCTCTAAAAGTTATGAGTTGCTGTATTATTATAATACCCAGTTTCTCTGAGAGGTAGACTCCTACAAACCCAATCTCAAGGTGTGTGCAAAATGAACGCAAGAATTAGTTGATACTCCTCTGTGTCTTTAACTGAGTAGCCTCTGTTCTCCTCTGCTGTGTGTTTATGAGCTCAGGTCTTTGGATTGTGCCAAGTTCTTTACCTTAGAACAGAAGCAGAAACATTCAAGACCCTGCATGATTTGGATGCTGCCAAATCAGCAGATCACATCCCACCACTTTTCCCTCTCACACTGTCATAGCAAATTACACAGACTTCTTCAGGCCCACCAGGCCACTTTGTGCCTTTGTCCAAGCTATTGCCTCTGTCTAAGAAGACTGTGCTCATTTCCCAGGGGAATCTCTGTTTTATTCTTAAACACCTTGTTCAGGCATCACCTTCTCTAGCACACCTTCTTCTCCTCCCCAGTGAGAGCCGGCCCTTTTCTTTCTTCCATCTTTTCTTATGTATCCATGGATCTGTGACTATCTAGAGGGCAAAATAGATGTTCATTTGTTCCCCACTATGTGGCACCATGCCTGATTAGTACTGGTTCTGCTCAACCATAAATGATGGTTAATTAAATAACGGAATGAGTCAATGGGCATGTGATGTGCTCTCTTAGGTGTAAAAGGGAGACTACACTACCACCTACATACATGTTGCATTGAAATATCTGACTTAGATTTCCTCTGTTTCACATCTCTGTTTGGAAGGAATGGGGTTTTAACACACATCTCTGATTGCTGACCATGATGATTACCATAAAAATGGTGAGCATTATGGCCAGATGGAAATGAGATATGTTGATTAACTTGAATGAAGCAAAGTGGGCTTTGCCACTCTCTGTTCTTTTAACAACCCAGTCTTTAAAATCCATGCAGACGAACATCCCAGGAATCCTTTTCATCTTATATTGGGCTTTCCTATATGATGCCTCAATGCTCCTTACATTGGCTCAGCCTTGGCATATCCTTCTAATTGTCACCTTCCATTCCCTACCCACTGCTCCTAGTTGAAGACTGGCCTGCCCTGGAGTCATGTCTACACATCCTAATGAATGCGTGGCAAAAGTTGCTAATTTGATTGATTAATTTATCCAGCCCAATGAGGCAAGACAAGAGTAGTGACTCCCTGGTTAATTATAGTATGAATAACCTGTGTAAAATTATAGATGGACAGGCCTTATTCTTATGTGTTTCTTTTCAACCGGTCTGGGTTTGACAAAGGATCTCACTGTTCTTATTAAAGCAGTTTCATTATTCCAATGCTAAGGCAAGTTTTGGAACTGCCCAGTGAGAAGCAGAGTCACAGGACATACCTTATGCTCTCTAACAAATGCCATCCAAAAAACAGACACCACTGTTGTCCATCTCCTGGATGACAAAGCAGACACTTTGCAACACAGCAGAGGAGGCAGAAGGGAAACAGCTTCCTTTGCTGGTGACCAGCAGAAGCCACCCCTATTCCACTTATGCCTTTATAATCTCCAAATGCAATGGAATAATTTTGCATCAGGTTCCTGACCACAGAAATGAAACTTTTTTTCTTATTACATTTGTGTGTTTGTGATAGATGTGATTACTAAACACAGGTTTATTCGGAAGTTAACATATCTGTTGCACAAAAAGCCACTTCTCCAGCTCTTACTGAAGGGGTCATTGAGAAGTCAGAAATTCCAGTTCCTAAAAAGCTGGATGACTTTACTAATGCTGTCTTTTCTCAGTATCAGGCTTTATTACACCTTTTCCCAGAAGCCACTCTTCGTTTCCTAACTCTATCACAGCAGGGTTCAACAGAGTAGCTTTCTCCTATGCTAAACAAATGATTTTTTGAGATTTCTTTTCCACTCACTAAGCTTCCAGTACTATCTAAGTTTGCCAAATATCTCAAAGGAATTAAAGATCTAATTTAAGAGAAGATGGCAAGTGCCTTCTCAAAGAAACCGGGAGTACCCATCCTTAATGGTAAGAGTGACAAAGGAGGAAGCAGCAGTGGCCCATTTCCTCAGCCTCACTGAGCAGCATCTATGAAAAATGAGCTCAGCTGTTAACAGCCCGGGAGGGACTGCTATCTACCACATCACAGTCAGTTGAGAAGAACAGGATGTTCTGAGTACAGCATGAACCTCAAAGCTAGAGTCAAAAACCATATTTCCCAGGCAAGTGTTTACCTTTGTCTTCAATCTTCAAGAGAGAACGTTTCTGTTCTATGAAGAGTTAAGAAAACCCTGCCTGAGAAAGGAGCAGTGCAGAACTGATACACCTCTTTATTTTCACCTTATTAATGAAAAGAAAGCTCACTCTGGGTTGATAACAACATACCAATATAGGAAGAGTGCCAAAGTAACCCTGGCACTCTTCCTATATTCTTTTTTTTTATTATTGTATTTTAAGTTCTGGGATACCTGTGCAGAATGTGCAGGTTTGTTACATAGGTATACAAGTGCCGTGGTGGTTTGTTGCACCCATCAACCTGCCATCTACATTAGGTATTTCTCCTAATGCTATCCCTCCCCTGGAACCCCCACCCAATGTCAGGCCCCAGTGTGTGATGTTCCCCTCCCTGTGTCCATGTGTTCTCATTGTTCAACTCCCAATTATGAGTGAGAACATGCAGTGTTTGGTTTTCTGTTCCTGTATTAGTTGGCTGAGAATGATGGTTTCCAGCTTCATCCATGTCCCTGCAAAGGACATGAACTCATCCTTTTTGTGGCTACATAGTATTCCATGGTGTATATGTGCCACATTTTCTTTATCCAGTCTATCATTGATGGGCATTTGGGTTGGTTCCAAGTCTTTGCTATTGTGAATAGTGCTGCAATAAACATACGTGTGCATGTGTCTTTATAGTAGAATGATTTATAATCCTTTGGGTATATACCCAGTAATGGGATAGCTGTGTCAAATGGTATTTCTGGTTCTAGGTCCTTGAGGAATCATCATACTGTCTTCCACAATGGTTGAACAGGCACCCTACAGAATGGGAGAAAATTTTTGCAATCTATCCATCTGACAAAGAGCTAATATCCAAAATCTACAAGGAATTTAAACAGATTTACAAGAGAAAAACAAACAACCCCATCAAAAAGCAGGCGAAGGATATGAACAGACACATCTCAAAGGAGGACATTTATGTGGCCAATAAACCTATGAAAAAAAGCTCATCATCACTGGTCATTAGAGAAATGTAAATCAAAACCACAATTAGATACCATTTCACGCCAGTTATAATGGTGATCATTAAAAAATCAGGAAACAACAGATGCTGGAGAAGATGTGGAGAAATAGGAATGCTTTTACACTGTTGGTGGGAGTGTGCATTAGTTCTTCCTTGATTCTTAAAGGAACCATGCTTAATCTCCAGGTCTACTTGTTTACAGCTGAAGTGAGCCCCCAAGCAGTTATAGATTAAATTAGTTTGCATCAGGTAAATTGGTTTCCACCAAACTGAATGAAGGCACAGAAGCTGGTTGGGATTCTTCTGTTAAACATTGTCTAGTCTCGGAAAGCAAAAAATAATAATAATGAAAGGAGGCACTAACAAGGAAATGAAGTAAGTTTAATGCCTAAAAATAGCCATGCTTAGTAAATACTCATTTCTCATCCTCAGTGAGTCCCTTTGTAAACTGCAGTTAAAAATGAAGGCTTAAGATGTGCAATCCAGGAGCTGTCAGGCCTAACTTCTATCAAGTATCACTGCTTAGTTGATAGCTGGTTGAGCATAGAATTTTAGAATCAGACATATCTGGTTTTCATCTGGGTCTACTTCTACTCATCAAGGGATCTTATGAAAGTGAATTAACCTTTCTGAACCTGTTTCCTTTCTTAAAAAGAACTATTGTGATAATTAAATAAGAGAATGCATATAAAGGTTGTATACAAGTTTTGTCACTTAAGACATACTCAGTAAGTATTATTATTATTACTAAATCAGTATATTAATCAGGACTCAATTGATTGTAAGTAAAACCGATCTCAGTCAAACTGACCTAAACATAAAAGGAAAATTGTTGCCCCACATGATTGAAAACTTCAACGGCAAGTTAGATTCAGGCACATATGGACCTGGGCACTGAAATGAAGCCCCAGGTCTTGATGCTCACCCGAATCTTTTTCCCCACCTTCTTCCATCTTGTGCCTTTGTTTTGCTGTTTTGCCTTCATTCTTCTGCAGCCTTTTTTCAGAACAATTCTACACTTATATTTTCCCACCTGAGAAACCTTGGCCCTATCAAAAGCTCGCTCTCTATACCTCATTTATTGGATCATATGCCCTTCCATCTCTGACCAATCACTGTGGCAGAGAGATAGAGAGGAAGAGAGAGAGGGAGAACTCAAACTGACCAAGCTTGAGTCGTGTGCTCAACCTGGAGCTGGAGGGTGATGCCAGCCACACTAAACCCACAGAATTGAAAAAGGGAGAAGGGAGTGACCCGAAGAAGATAAGGGGGGCCTGTTACTCAAGAAAGAGAGCATGAATGCCAAGCAGATATACTTGCAGTCCAAAACTTAACTTTTGTTTTCTTAAAGATAGTTGCCAAGAAACAGATGAAATGCAAACTTCACCTTCAAACTGAGAGAACAAGGTCTGCAAAGATGGAACAACTTCTCCCTTCTAAGGTGAAAGAAATAGGAATATTGGATTCATAACCCCTTAAGATGTTGACTTGCCATAGGTATCACCAAAGGACGTTCCAAGAATAGAAATGTTCTTGATGTCAAGCTAAAGTTTACATGTAGCTGGCCCTTTTTGGTCACCACATATGGTTTGGGCACGTATTTATTTTGATTCATTTTGACTCTTTTAAATATGTTTTATCTGTATTTTATGTTGAAAATATATCTATCTAACTGCTTTCTTTTTATATGGCCCTAACCATGTCTCACTCAGAAATAGTGTCCCTTCATTCTAATGTGACTTCTTCCTAGTGTTTCACCATGCGGTGAATGAAGAGGGGTGCTGGAAATGTCCCCAGATGTTCTAACATACTTGCCAAAGCTGATTACAGCATTTTTGTTTAATTAAAACAAACTTACATGACATATTTCTTTTCATAAAGGTAGTTTTTGTTTAATTGTAGAAAAGTTAGAAGATACAAATAAGGGAAAACAAGGAGAAGAAGGGAGAGAGGGAGACATGAATGAAGAAAGAGAAGAAGAAAGGAGGGAGGGAGGAAGGGAAAGAGAAAAGAAGACTTGCAGAGAAAACTTATCATCCCCAGAGAAGCCATCATTAGCATCTAAATGTTCAGCTTTTCAAAGCCCCCACCCCTTTTTTTTAACTATATATGGTGGGGTTATTTTTACAAAAATGTGATCATAGTCTTTTTTTTATTTTTATTTATTTATTTTTTTTGAGGCACGGGGCTGGCTCTGTTTCTCAGACTGGAGTGCAGTGGCTTCCTGCAGCCTTGAACTTCTGGGCTCAAGCAATCCTCCCACTTCAGCCTCCAGAGTATGTGGGACTACAGGTGCATGCTGCCACCACACCTAGTTCTTTTTTTTTAGTAGAGACAGAGTCTGCCCAGGCTGTTATCAAACTCCTGGGCTCAAGTGATCCTCTCGCCTTGGCCAACCAAAGTGCTGGGATTACAGGTATGAACCATTGCACCTGGCTGAATCATACTTTTATAACTTGCTTGTTCCACTACTCCATATATCTAAATTATTAAATATTATTTCTACTAAATTCTTAATACTAGGAGTTCTTAACCTTTGAGTGATAGACAGGTTCCTGTTTAAATCTCTTTATATTACATGAAAATGTTGAGCATATGGAGATTTTTCTAGGGAGATGGTTCACAGCTTTTATTGAGCTCCCCAAGGGTGCCCACAATCAAAAATTTTTAAGGCCACTGTTTTACACCCTCATTTTAAATGGTAAAAATAGATATATCTGGAAGAGATATAAACAGACACATATCATGATTTTTTTAACCAAATTCTTGTTACACATTTAATTCCATCCCACTTTTGAACTATTATAAACAATATGCAGTGAACTTAGCTTTTAAAACTTTAACTACATAACTATTTCCCGTGATACTGGCAGAAATGACATTGCTGGGAATTTTTTCAGTGTGAAGTAACACAGATTGACAAATTGTCACAGCACTTAACAAGTGACTTTTTACACCATAGAACCCACCTTGTTCAGATACTACAGCTAGAACTGTATCATGAGAGAGCCACCCTCCTGCACATACTGCAGGAAGGAGCAACATTTCCTGCATTTGTTTGGTTTTGTTACCGACTTGCCGCCCTGCCTGCCACTTTGAGGCACAGTTGCAGCGCCTCTGTTTACATTTTTGGAGGACACGTGGACAAGCCCAGGCAAAGCCGAACAGCACACGGTACATCAATCACACAAGGAACATCTGCTGATTCCCTTGGGGGAAACAGAATGATTCCGAGAGTTGGGGCACTGCCAACGGGAAATTCACACAGATGAAAGCAACAGAATTCATGCTTGCAGTTTCAAGGGGGTGGAGGAAGGAGGAGAAAGAGAGTGGGTAAGCAGCAAGGTGAAATACAGGGTTCCCCCCCGAGTCTCACTTGTTACATATGAAAAGGTTTAAATCAGTGTTTTAAAATATCGGAACTGGAAGTTGTGAAAGCAAAACTATTCTTTGGTTTCAGATGTATTTTCATCTAGAGACCTTATTAAGGAATTTGCTAGAATAGTTTTAGTGACCCAAAAATAAATATTGATTGGTTCTGTATGTATTTATAAAAGTATACCTGGTCTGGGGGATCTGAGGCTACTGGATCATAAGAGAGTACAATGAAACCAGAGTGTGCTAACCTGCACATCTTGAAGGACTAACATCTTCCAGGTTTGCTGTTGTTTACGTGCTGCCTGTGAAAAGCAGAGTTTTGAGTGTTTTCAGCACCAAAGTCCCCTCAAAGCAAAAGAACAAAACCATCAAGATGTTATTGGTAATTCATAATCTGAAGCTGAGCATATAAGAATTTGTCTTTTTTAATTGTGGATACATTGAATTTGGGCTCCCAAATGGTGTTCTTATGATTTCAGTTTTTCTCTCAGAGAAAATACTGTACCAACAAGCCCTGTCAGAAGTCACCTCCAAATGCATGGAATACCAGGAATGACCCCTCCCTTCCTTCAGATCTGATATTTCCTTGGCAAGCACTTTTTCTCAGACTATCTTGCCATCGAATTTCTATACCGCCTCAAGATGACACTTTGTCTAGCAAAAAGTGATGCAAAGCTCTTTTGCAAAAGCCCCTCAAATTAATACACCTTACATATTTTCACTAATAAAACTTTCCTTGGAAGCCCCATATGTGTAATTATGCTTTCACAGATGTAAACAACTAAAACACAAGAAGATTAAATGATCTCTCTGAGATGACCTAGCAAATCATCCACCAAATGCATGATGTCTGACAACTTATGACATACAAATGCTTACACTGACAACTCGCCCTCATCCTTGTTTCTGTGCAGAAAAATAAGGGAAATCGTTTACTGGCCCAGAAGACCTCACGATGGCAAATTCAATCAGATCCTCATTAACCAGATCAAAATGAGGCCTGACAGAGTCTTCATTAGATCTACAAAATCCTGTTCGTTTTAGCTCTGAGTCTCCTGACTTGTCCGTGTCATCATAAATTGGTTGTTTTGAAGTCAGAGAGGACAAAGTGCTTGCAGATGATGGTCACCCTGCCTGACCTATAAGGACAAGGTTCTGTTAGAAAAAATGAAACAGTGCAGCAGTGGCAAGGCCTGGCCAAAGAAATAGGTTTGCTAACCGGCAAGAAACAGAGAAAAGAAAAACCCAGTTATTTAAAAATACTGACCAAAATACTAACAACTACAAAGACATTGTCCCAGTCCCATCACGGAAACCAATGTAAACTTCTCTTGTGAAGCTGAATTACAGGTCACTTAAGTTCTATTACATACATTTTACATTCCCAGTCAGAAAAATGGCATCCTCTATATCTGAAAAAATTCATCTAACCCCAGATGAAGTCTTCTTTTTTTTTTTATAATGGAATTAAATTCTGTCACTTTTTTTAGCAGTGGTGCCAGCGAGACCAGCCACTGAAATAAGCAGAGTTAATGGCCATTGAGTTAACGGACTTGAGAGGGGCCAAAAAGCCGGCTTGCCAATGTGCCCGTGGCTTCCACCATAAAGTCACTCCAATGAATGGGGCACTGCATTTCCAAAATTCTCCTGTCACAAATGCTAATGTTGACCTATCACAGTGCCCAGGCCATCACAGACACTCAATGTTTATTGAATGAATAAAAGAATGATTGTTGCCTGTGAATGATAATAAGTTTTGATTATATTGGTTAGATTCTATTCCAAAAATATGTAAGTATCTGGAACATATTAACTCACTTGCTCTCACTATATGTGGTTATGAAATAGGTTCTCAGATTGGCCCTTTGCCAACAAGCCCAAGCCAGCTCTTAAAGAAATGGAACACTGGAAAGGAAAGCGTGGGACAGAGGCAATGAGATATGAGAAGGAGGGACTGGGAAGATCCTGAGGTTTGGCAGAGAAAGAAGCAACTTGATAGGTTAACTCATATCCGTGGCTTCCAGCACACTGTGGAGACCCATACCAATCTCCCAGAGGCCTAGAGGAAGAGTTTTACCATCCAAAGGAACTACTGATTAGTGGTTAAGCACACAAATTCAGGAGTTCAAATTCCTGCTCTCCTACTTCCTAGATGTATGACTCGGTGCAAAGTATTTAACTTCTGTCTGCCTTAGATATTGTTGCCCTGAAATGAGCGTCAGAATAACTCTCTCCTTGGGCCTTGTGAGGAATAAGATAATACACATAAAGCCCACAGAAGAGTGCTGGCCTGGCCTAGGAAGCACTCAGTTAATGCTAATTTTTATTCTTATCATTAATATCTCCACCTTATACTATCTCTAAGTAAGACAGTAGGGGTGAGCAATTTATCTCATACCATCACAGCTTCTACAAATACATAATAGAGAAGTTGGCTAACTGCGTCAACAGCGGTTGCCTCCTGTTAGTATATGTATCTCTGCATGAAGGAGATAGATATGTGCTTTTCACATTTATGCTCCTGCTATGGGTAAATTACTAGACCTTTCCTTGCCTCAGATGATGAATAGAAAAATTAGATAATAATAGTATGTGCCTCATTGTATTGCTGGAGAAGAGAGTTATATGATTTAGGCCAGGGGCAGTGGCTCACACCTGTAATCCCAGCACTTTGGCAGGCTGAGACAGGTGGATTGCTTGAGCTCAGGAGTTCGAGATCAGCCCGGCCAACATGGTGAAACCCCATCTCTACTAAAAATACAAAAATTAGCCAAATGTGGTGATGCACACCTGTAGTCCCAGCTACCCCAGTGGCTGAGGCAAAATAATCATTTAAACTCAAGAGGCAGAGGTTGCAGTGAGCCAAGATCATGCCACTGCACTCCAGCCTGGGCAAGAAAGTGAGACTCTATCCAAAGAGAGAGAGAGAGTTAGATTATTTAATTCCTAGACATAATCTAGAACAGTACCAAGTAGATAACAAGCATGGTCAATATTATTTCATATGGATGTGGGGGGTAGAGGTATGAGTGTGTGTTCCTCACAGTTTTTCTAAGGATGAGTACGATCTTGATAACCAATTTTCAATTTTAAAAAATCTGGGAACACATAGGTATTTACCCAAAACAGTTCTTTCACAGTATGGAGGACAGGTGCCACTGACATGATAAGGTGACAGAGACTTTGTTTCCTCAGCTTTGTGTTCCCCCTGAACTGGTCTGAGTAAAAAATCCATGCCCAAATCCGGGCTCTGGGGCGAAACCACTGTTTAATTCAGCAGCAGCGATTAAGGTCACCTAAAAAGATTATTGAAAGCATGATGCTAGCACTCATTACAGAGGGCTAGGGTTGATCCCTGGGTTAGCAGTCCTCACTTCCTGTGCTGCCCTGGGCATCAGTCTAGAATCACACACTCTGCATCCAACCTCAATTCCCTCAGTGGCCCCTAAGGGAGAGACTAATCTGCCATTTATTTCCAAATCGGTGAAATGGAAGGGCTATTTCTAACTCTGGGAAAGTGCATTGGTAGGAATGAGGCAATAAGCAGAGGAAACAAGTTTTGGGGGCTCTTTCCTCTGAATTTTAAAGTCAGAGTTTCCTGTGTAAGCAAAGCCGGGATTCTTTTTTCTCATTTAAGCCTACGCACCTACTGCGCACAACTTTGAAACTCAGAATGATTGTTCATAGCATAGTTCTGTAAAATAAATATACACATATAGATCCGTAAGATTCTAGGGGTGGGCAATGTATTCCTTACCCTTCCAACTTCTACAGATACACAATAGGTAAGTTGTGTAACTGCCTCAGCAGCTGTTTCCTATGCTTGGAATATGCGCGTCTGGATGAAGGAAAAAGACATGTGCATTTCACATAGAAACTCAGCGCAGTCCCCAAGTTAGGGAAATGGCAGTGCTGTGTAATAGCAATGAGCAGAGAAATGTCTGCTCATTGATATGTAAATGACAATAGCAGGCATTCTGCTGTGTTGAAGGAATCCCATGACTGGTTTGACCACAAGCAGGTTATTAAAGTGAAACAAGGCTATTTTGTCCATTATGAAAAGCACTGTCCTTTCCCAGTGAGTGGCACATTCAGGGCTATTTACATTTCAACAACCAACAATACATCAATATAAATACTCCTTTAAATCCACTTTCTTTTTCGAAGAACAGTAGCTGTTCAAAATCATGCGGTTACACAAGAATCTGAATCAAGCAGAAATAATTAAAAATCCAACATTCAGTCAATTCTATATATATTAAATCATTCATAAGTAAAGTCTTTCAAAGCCCTGGAGTAGAATTAAGAGAAATCTCATTTTGTAATCCTGGAAACTGAGGTTCAACTGTTATAGCCGGTAGCTATGTGTATTAAGTATTATTATGTAATCTATTTATTATTGTATTTACTATATGATAAAAATACTGTATGTGAGTACTTACTATTGAGATAGGCATATTCCATGTATGACATTATTTAATCTTCACCATGAACCCGTGAGGCAAATACCATTATAATCTGCACTTTAAAAATAAACAAACTGAGGCTTGAAGAAGTTCAGTAACTTGCCCCAAACCAGACACCCAGTATATGGAAGATTCAGGTTTCTTAACCAGGATTCTGATCTGCACTGCAGTGGTGTTCTTAACTGTCACCCACACCTCCTCTCCACAGAGATTCAATAATAGAAAGTGGATTTCAGCTAGTAAACTATCTTGGGCACTCAGGATAGTTTGCTTGTGTTAGACAAAAGACTAAAAAACCATAGTTCAGGCTGGATGCAGTGGCTCATGCCTATAATCCCAGAACTTTGAGAGGCTGAGGCAGGCAGATTGCTCGAGCCCAGGAGTTCAAGACCAGCCTGGGCAACATGGTGAAACCCTGTCTCTACCAAAACAAAACAAAACAAAACAAAATAATGAAAAGCTATATAGTTCAATCTACAGGAACATTTTTAACTTTCATTTACAAATCATTGTGAAAAATCCAGTTATCCATAATAAATTCTACCATCCATTCATTTTTGCATCCAACAAATATTTATTGAGCAGTTAATAAGTGTGAGGCACATGTCAGAACCTGGGGTTAGAGCAGTGAACCAGACAGACATGGCCCCAACTCCACTTAATTTACAGTCTACTGGGGGAGAAAAACATTAAAAAATAATCATTCAATACAATTGTGACAACCGTATGTAGGAGAAAAAGACCTCAAGGCAAGGAAAACCAATGAAAGAAAGACCAACTTAGTCTAAGAAAGTCAGAGAAAGCCACTATGAGAAAGTTTATATGTATATGTATATATATATATATATATATATATTTTTTTTTTTTTTTTTTTTTTTGAGACGGAGTCTTGCTCTGTTGCCTAGGCTGGAGTGCGGTGGCACCATCTCGGCTCACTGCAAACTCCGCCTCCCGGGTTCACACTATACTCCTGCCTCAGCCTCCCGAGTAGCTGGGACTACAGGCACTGGCCACCATAGGCTTGGAGACTGGGTAAGAGTTAGCCAAATACAAGAAAGGAGAGGTATATCAGGATGCTTTAACAATGTAAATATGCTTTAAAAACACTAAAAGGTATTTATTGGTCACTAAGAACAGTGTCAGATGCAGTTTGATCAAAGCTCTGGCTTTGTTTCTTAAAGACTCTAACTGTCCTTCCAAATTATATGTTGGTTTCAGTCCTTTGGTTTCTATCATACTATGTCTACCAACAACAACTAGAGCTTTTTTGTTCACATTCAGACAGAGTTCCCTTTTTATGCTGATTAAGCCTCCCCCAAACCAGTCCTTCTAACCAGTGGATGCCTAAACCAATCAATGTGGTAAGGAAAATTAAATTTGTATACTTTTGTATCCTAGGGTGGATCCATTTCATCCAAACATATGGCTGCTAGGCATAGATGTGATGTATATTGAAGAGGCAACCACACTTTCCATGTCAAAGAGAAAACTACTCTGGTCAAACAGAAAAATGTGTGCAAATAATCTTAGGCAGTAAGATTAAAAGTTTGAATATCTAACATAAGCCCAGTGTGAAAAACAGAAAATAAAGAGGAGAATGATATGAGATAAGTTTGCATGGTCAGAGAGGGGTCAGATTATGCAGGAGCTTGAAGCCCATGTTAAAAATTTTGGACATTTATCTCAGGTTAATGGAGAGCTTTTGTTGTATGTTATGATCAAGTCTATATATTAAAAGCATTCCTATATAGAAGAAATGAATTATCAAAAATGCATATTATATATCTTATACATATATGTATATAAACTATTTCTGAAAAATATACAATCAACTGGTAAATGTGGTTGCTTATAGGAAGAGATCCTTGAGAAATAAAGAGCTGACTTAGTAGAGAGACCTACTTATCATTGTGCTCACTTTTGAATTTGGCTTTATTTTTTAACTATATTCATGCGTTGTTTTTAAATTTTAAAAAGTAGTAAATTGTTTGAAGTGATTATCCTGTCCACAGAGAGAAAAATTAGAGGTGGGAAAGAGTGCAGGGAAGCCAGTTAGGAGACTACTGCAGCTGGCCATGCAGGAGATGGTGGTGGCTTGGCTTTGTATGGTACAGAAACAGGATTTGAGCCCAGGTCGTCTGAAGCTGAAGTTCCTGCCTTTCACCACCACTATAGCTAACAAACCTTGTATTTCAATGGAAGGCACACACAGGTGGGGCAGGAAATGACTACAGAGCCAGTTATTTCTGAGCATGAGATGCAATATGGTGAGGAGGCCTGAGAAAAAGCCAGAGCCAAAGGAATGGTTATAACAGGATGATGGGAGCCTGGGGAAAGGGAGCAAATTTTCATTTGTGCAGAGGTGCAAACTTATTTGATTTACCTGAGCTACTGATATCCCCAGTTGTAACATTATGCAAATGTAACACCTCTAAAAATGAGACACTGCATTCGAATTGAACTCTTGAGATTCAAGATTGTCAAATGGAATGAGAGCCTTGAAACCCCTTTAGCAGCCAGACCACACTGGGCAAGAAAATGGAAAGTTGCAGTCTCCTCTCACTCTGCAGCCTGACGTCATGAGCTTCACTTAGTCTGTGCTGGGTATAGGTAAGCTGAATAGCATGCAATAAGCAAGCACTAGTAAGTAAGGAGAGGATTACCAAGGAAATGAATAAATGTCAGGGGAAGTTTGAGTGATGACTATACACAATTAACAAAATATAAAATGCAAGGTTCTGGAAAATTCTAGCAATTGCATTAACTAGCTAACACAGGAGAACAGCTGGTAACATACCAGCTTCATCGAGTTGAGTTGTACCTTTGTAGAATCATCGAGTGACCATTTGGGAAATTCCCAATTGTTTAAAATATGAGAATTGACTACCTTGATGGGATATCAGGTGGGTATTCATATGTCCAGAAATCATATTTTTATACTATATTTGGAAGCCTGGGTATTTTTCTGTTTTATCTGTTGCCTTCCAAGGGCTATAGGAAAGGGGACATTAGATGAAGTGATGGGTCTCACCTTGAAGAGACAATGGAATTAATGTAAGATAGAATTAGAACGCAGAGAATAGAAGACATGAATTCAAGACTTAGGAGAAGAAGCATAAGAGATAAGTAAGGACCAGTGAGATGATGACTTCACTTAAATACTACTCTCCCACTAGTAAGACTTTCCTGACTAATTTGGCCCCAGGATAATTATGCCATTCTGTATCCCATTTCTCCTGGGCTTGGCTACACTAATGGACAGAGTAATGTGACTAACAGATTGCACGACGACCTATTTCAATCACATGCTTGTTTTTCCTTCCTCTGGGCTTTCTCTGTGATTCCCTCAACAGGGAACTCTATTTATGATGTTATTTCCATTTCACTAAGCTTAATTCTCCCTATCTGCAATTCACCTCCTTTATAAGGTTCTGTTCTTATCTCTCAAACTGGATGCAATCACTCCTTTTGAACCTCTTACCATTTCATGATACTTTCCTTGTCTCATTTATGGGTACAGTGCAACTTAGTGGTAACAAACATTTAGAGCTGGATAGGATCTGCCCCAATGTTCTCATTGAATAAATAAGGAACTTGAGTACCAGAGCAGACAAACGAGTTGTCCTAAGCTACACAGTAGCATAGCTCATACCAGGACATGTATCTCCTGATTTGGGGCTCTCTTGTCCTCTGATGGAAATGTTGGGGTTCTCTGCCACATTGTTACGTGCAACCAGCCCACTCATTTTTACTTCTATGAATAGAAACTGGGAAAGTGGGTTTAAACTTTTAATCAAGTATCAAACATTTACTACCTACTACTACCTACTACCTACTACTACATTTACTACCTACTACTAAACTATGACTTTACTCTTTCTGCAACTCTATTTCCTCATCTGTAAAATGGTGATAGTCATGTCATGTACCTCACAGTGTTATTGTGAGGAATAAATTGATATATATATAGAGAGATAGATATAGATATCTATCAGCTTGGGGCAAACCATAAGCTCTCTGTAGAAACTGGTTATTATGACTACTACAACTGTACATAATAGTTTTTTTTGTTTTTTGGGTGTTTTTTGTTTTTTGTTTTTTATGTTTGTTTTTTGAGATGGAGTCTCGCTCTGTTGCCCAGGCTGGAGTGCAGTGGCACAATCTTGGCTCACTGCAAGCTCTGCCTCCTGGGTTCATGCCATTCTCCTGCCTCAGCTTCCTGAGTAGCTGGGACTACAGGCATCTGCCACCAACCCCGGCTAATTTTTTGTATTTTTAGTAGAGATGGGGTTTCACCATGTTAGCTAGGATGTTCTCAATCTCCTGACCTCGTGATCTACCCGCCTCGACCTCCCAAAGTGTTTACACTTTGGGATTACAGGCGTGAAGCACTGCGCCCGGCCAGTTATTGGTATATTTGTTGTATATTTTATTTAGATTATATGCATTTTAAATTATCTGTCTAACTCAGCTTGTTGTACATAATATATTTATCATCTATTGCTGTGCAGCAAATTATCCCCATAATTTTTCAGTTTAAAACAACAAACATTTATTATCTCACAGTTTCTATGGGTCAGAAAACTGGGCATGGCTTAGAGTTTCTGCAAAGACTGTAATCAATGTGTCTACCTAGGCTGTGGTCATCTCAAGGCTCAACTACGGAAGGATCCACTTCCAGGCTCACTCATGTAACTGTTGGCAGACTTCAGTCCTTGCTGGATGTTGTCTGGAGACATCAGTTCTCTGCCATGTATGTCTCTCCTTAGCCACAACCAGCTGGCAGCTGGCTTTCCCCAGAACAAATGTTGAGAAAGAAAGAGAAAGAGAGAGAAAGAGAGAGAGAGAGAACAAATCAGAAGTCACGATCTTTTCGTAACCTAATCTCAGAAGTGAAAAATTTATCACTTCTGCTGTATTCTATTTGTTAGAAGTGAGTCATTATATCCAGCCTACTCCTGAGAGAAGGGGATTAAACAAGGATATGAATCCCAGGATGTGGTGGTCACTTGAGCCCATCTTAGAGGCTATCTTCCACACATAGCAAGGAGTGGGTAAAAGGTATAGTTATTAAATGTGTTATCCTTACAAGACAGTCCTTATAATTCTGAAAGATCATACATCTAATGGACTGAAACTGTGACCTGAACAAGTAAATGATGTCTAAGAGAAACACTCATTTGTTTGTTTATTAAACACTGGGGCTTTTTGTTGTTTATTTGTTTTGTTTTGTTTTTGAGACAGGGTCTTGCTCTGTCACCCAGGCTGGAGGGAAGTAGCTTGATCATGGCTTACTACAGCCTCAACCTCCTGAGCTCAAGCGATTCTTCCACCTCAGACTCCCAAGTAGCTGGGACTACAGGTGTGCACCACCAGGCCAGTTTAATTTTTATATTTTTTGTAGAGACGAGGTTTTACCATGTTGTCTAGGCTTGTCTCAAATGCCTGAGTTCATGTGATCTGCCCACCTCAGCCTTCCAAAGTGCTGGGATAACAGACATGAGCCATGACTGCTGGCCTTTATCCCCAATTTTATGTCAGACACTGTGTGGCGAATTAGGGATGCTAAGAATTTTTTAAGTGAACTTTTGAAAAATGAGTTCATTTAGAGTAGGATAGGATCTGGCCCAATGTTATCATTTAATAAATAAGGAAATTGAGTTTCAGAACAGACAAACAAGTTGTTCCAAGTCACAGCAGCACGGTGGGTACCAGGATATATATCTCATGATTTGAGTCTCCCTCATCCACTTACAGAAATATAAGGGTTCTCTGCCATGTTCTCCTGTGCAAATGCTTCTCCCATTTTCTCTTCTTTTTTTTTTTTTTTTTTTGAGACAGTCTCGTTCTGTCGCCCAGGCTGGAGTGCAGTGGCACAATCTTGGCTCACGGCAACCTCCACCTCCCAGGTTCAAGTGATTCTCTGCCTCAGCTTCCTGAGTAGCTGGGACTACAGGCGCGCACCACCACGCCTGGCTAATTTTTTTTTTTTTTTTTTTTTTTGTATTTTTCAGTAGAGACGGAATTTCACCATGTTCGCCAGGCTGGTCTTGAACTCCTGACCTCAGGTGATCTGCCTGCCTCGGCCTCCCAAAGTGCTGGGATTACAGGCATGAGCCACTGCGCCCAGCCCTCATTTTCATTTCTATGAATTAAGTCATAGAGAAGGACTAAACCAATGGGACTTACATGCTTTTTAGATGCTTGTGGTTTTATTAAATTAAGGCGTTAATATTAGGACACTCTTTAAATGAAGACAAATTATCATCTCTGAAGTTTCTATATTACTAACATAGATTTTCACTGACTCATTTTTCCCAACTGCCTTGTTCCCTGTACTGATATTTCATTTAAACTTTAAGACATCATCTGACAGAAAAACTGAGTTAGACATAACCTATGTTAGACAACTTCAGAGAGGGAAACAAATGCATTCTTCTGGAAACACAAACACAACTTGCCCCCAAACCATCCAAGCTTCCATTCTCTTCTTTTGCTTGTCTATTGAGGCTGGTTTTTGTTGTTGTTGTTGTTGTTGTTGTTTTGGTTTGGTTTTGACACAGAATTTTGCTCTGCTGCCCAGACTGGAGTGCAGTGGCATGATCATAGCTCACTGTAACGCGTGTACTCAAGCAATTCTTCTGCCTCAGTCTTCCAAGTAGCTGGGACTACAAGTGTGTGCCACCATGCCCGGTTAATTATTTTTTTTTTTTTTAGAGATAGGGTCTTGCTATGTTGCCCAGGCTGGTCTCAAACTCCTATACTCAGGCAATACTTCTCTCTCAGTCTCCCAAAGTGCTGGGATTACAGGCATGAGCCATTATATCTGGCCAGGCTGATGTTTATTTGTTGTTTCATTTTGCTTCCCTTCCACCAAAAAGCAACGTGTACATTGCGTGCATGTATCAAATTCAACAATGCCACTTTCCCCTCCTAGAAAAATAAAATAACCCTAACCCTATTCATGCCTGGGAATAGAATGTACTTCAAGAGGCAAATACAAGAATGTCATATGATATAAATAGACTCCATCAGTTCAAGGAGAGGGTGTTAAAACTGAAACATTGACAGGTAATTATCAAAAGTACCTTAGAAAAGCAAGTTTCTGTGGACGATAGCTGCAATTTATTATTATTATTGTTGCTAGCCTCCCTGATGTTCTCCATTTATGATTCGAGTAATCTTGTCTCTTTTGATGAATCTACCTTTTGTTTTTCATTAAGATGTCAACGCTCTAGACAAAAGCCCTGCTGAGTACAACAAAACCGAAAACCTGACAGAGGAAAAACCTTTATATCTTTATATCTACAAGCCCAAACACAATTGTCCCTGCAGGATGAAAATGCATATGTAAGAAAACATAGGTACACATAGACACACGCATGCACACACACACATAAATTATTCTTGACAGCCCTGGAAATTATGTTAGAAATCTTTTAGCCAGGTTAAAGTGGAATATGTCAAGAGTTGGCAGTTCTAGATCACAGAGAATGAAACCAGCAACCTTCTGTTCCTACTGACATCTTTTTGTCTATTTTGTGGGGATCCTGCTGAATCCCTAGACAGATCTGAAAGGAGAAAAAAAAATCTTTCTCCTTCAAAAATTTTCAAACCCCTCTAGAGATTCTAAGCTACACATGGTGTGCCTCCAGCATTGTTTATTCCTAGGCAGTCTGCTCCAAAGCTTGGGCAGCTACCTTTCAGAATTGTCTCAGCCCCTGTGTGGTAAAGGGATGGGCGAAGCATTCATCAGTCAGAGTCTATAGAGGTATGAGATAGACACACTGTATGAGCAACCAGCCCCAGCACTGGGTGTTTACGTAAGCATTTCCATAGGTTGTTCTTCAGAATCAACCCACTCCTTCTGAGATGTGTGGGGTTTTATCAGCCTAATATCCCAAGCCAGTGACAAAATCTTGGAGACTTGTCAAGACTAATAACTTTTCACCATCATACTCTCAACAGGGAATGGGAAATGGAATTTTCCCAGTGCTCAAGGCTGAATGTCTGTAGAAAATTAAAAAATAATAACAATTCAAAAAAACACTTAAAGTTTGAAGAAAAGATCAATGTAAATTAAACTCCCTCCATTCCCAACATTGAAAAAGTTTATTCTATGTGTCCCAGGGGAAAAAAAAAGAAACTTTTGGAAGAAAAGCTCAAATTTAAAAATATATCCTGAGCATTGATTTTCAGATAATTAGAAAAAGCTATTTTCTAAGTATCTCAAATCAAAAGTATGTGTATTCTGTATTAAGGTTTTGCTACCAAGACATAAATAGCCATGGAATATGAAATATGCTGTCCATATTACTTGACATTTGAAACCTGGCTAGTTCTAAGAGAAAATGTAAGAGCAAAAATAATTGTTTAAAAGAAGTTGTTTTCCCCTTTTGCAACCTCAACTCCCATTGCCTATGTACTCATTCAAGAAAAGAAAATATTGGCTGGGAACAGTGGTCCATGCTTATAATCCCAGCAACTCTGCAGGCTGCAGCAGGAAGACCCCATAAGCCCAGGAGTTCGAGGCTGTAGTGTGCTATAATCATGCCTGTGACTAGCCACTGCACTCCAGCCTGAGCAATATAGAGACTTTTGCCTCTTAAAAAAAAGAAAACGTACTTTAAAACAAAGAGCAAAACTAGAAATTGCATCTATTGTAATATTCCAGCTTTGTTTCTTCAAATGCTATTCATTCATGTATTCGTTAATTCACTCAACAAGCATTCATAGAGTTCTTTTTTGACTAAACACTGTAATAAGAAATAATGGATAAGTTACACATAGCCGCTACTCAGAGGAGCTCACTTCTCAGTAAGAGTGGCACACATATAAACAAATAATTATGTTCTAAGTGCTACATAAGAACTACAGACGCAGCATTATTGGAGCCCAAAATGCTGAGTGGCTAACACCAGCAGACTTGAAACCGTCTTTATAGAGGAGGTGATATTTTAGCTGAGTCTTAAAATACAAGTAAGGGTTGGCTAGGTAGGCAAGGTGGAAGAAAGCTTCACACATCTTAGACATGATGAGGGGATGGAGAAGGAGGTAGTAGAAGATAAGGAAAAGTAGGGGCCAGCCTTTAACTGACGAATTCTTCGTGCTAAGATGTTTGAACTTTACTCCACATGCAACAGAAAGCCATCAAGGATTCTTAAGGAGGAAAGATTTGATTTTTATTCAAATAATTCAGGTGGTATCACAGAGCAAAGATGAGAAGGTCCAGCTATAATCAGTATTTCACATGGCTACCCAGAATGCCCCCAACCTAGACCAACCATAATTGCTGCACAAGCTGGATCCTGTCCATTACTACATCTCCCCTTTTTATAATCTTTTCCCTATTTGCCTTTATTTATTCCTGCTAATCATCACCCTATTTGCCTTTATTTATTCCTGCTAATCGTCTATTCATTCATTCAACCATTTCATCATTCAACAAATATTTATTGAGCCTTTACTAAATGTAAGTAGGGGCTGGCAATCCAGTGGCACACAGCAGCCAGATGATCCTTTTGAAACATGAATATAATCACATTATTTCCTTTCAATAGCTTCTAATCCTATTTAAAATAAAACCATGGAGGACAGTGTCTGGACTTTGGAAAAGCTGATAGTCTAGCAGGACAAACATTTGTTTAAATACAATTGCAAGGCTGTGTAATGAACAAGAGGATGGCAAGCTATGGAAGGGAGGTGGTTACAGAGGCTTTCCTAAGGAAGTGATGGTTAGCCTGTGACCTTAAGGATGAGTAAAATTGAACCAAAATGCATGTGTCGGAAGTAGTAGGGGAAGAGGCAGACATTGCCCAGCAAGCGGGAAATAACCAGAGGCAGGAGAAAACATGGCAACTTGGAGGAAGTGAAATTGTCTTGCATGCCTGAAGAGTCAGACAAGCTAGAGAGATGGGCTGGAGTTTGAGCCTGCAGGGCTGTGTTGGCCATGTGCATTAGCCAAGTAGGCCGGGTTGTGCTGCAGGAATGAAACTTAAAGTTTGCTAGCTCAACAAACACAAGTTTATTTCTCTGTCAAATAAATTCCAATGCAGTTCAGGTGATATTCCAGGGCGGTTCTCCATGATGTAACTGAGACACCCAGGATCCCACTATGTTTTGATATTGCCATCTCAACATGTGGCTTTCAAGATCCCCACAGCAGGTAAAGACAGGGTGTGGAAGTGGCACACCACCTCTTACATGTGTAGGTCCAAAAGTAACACATTCATTTCATCCCCTCCTTGCCAGAAATAGCTGCAAAGTCCCAGCTAACTACAAGAAAGGCTGGAAAATGTAGAGAGCATGTGGGGCCATTCAGAAATTGCCAATGTTTCTGCTAAGGCATGCAGGTCTTAGGCTATATCCTAGGTAATGAAGAACCACAAGCAGAAGACTAGCCAGGATCAAGTTCATGTTGTAGAGATTACCCCAGCTATACTGTGGAGAATGAAACAGCTGGACAAAGAGAAACCAGTTAGGAGGTTTTCCAAGATTCAAGTAAGAAAAGATGGTGGCTTAGAATATGAAGGTGTCAGCATACCTGCTTAATGAACACCTTAATGCAGATATTTTTATTAAAAACCCTAACAAGGAAATAGTATAAATTGATACTTATAACAAAGGAGGATTTAAAGAATAATAACAATCACAGAATGTGTAAACTATTGTCTGAATCTACCCAGTAGTTTAACAGAGTATAAATAGCTGAATTCTCCTCCCATTGGTTAAGAAGGAAGGGGTACTGAAGAGCAATGGTTGTTGGGATCTGGGTCTATGGAATGGTGAAACAGAATAAAAAACACCCAGTGATATCTGACGGAGCAGCGGTCACCAACATTTTTGGCACCAGGGACCTGTTTTATGGAAGAGAATTTTTCCATGGACTGGGGAAGGGTTGGGGGGATGGTTTGGGGATGATTCGAGCACAGTATATTTATTGTGCACTTTATGTCTATTATTATTATGTTGTAATATATAATGAAATATCAATAATTAAGCAACTCACCATAATGTAGAATCAGTGGGAGCCCTGAGCTTGTTTTCCTGCAACTAGATGGTCCCATCTGAGGGTGATAGGAGATAGGGACAGATCATCAGGCATTAGATTCTCATAAGAAAGTGTTCAACCGAGATCCCTCACATGCACAGTTCACAGTAGTGCTCACACTTCTGTGAGAATCTAATGCTGCCACTGACCTGACAGGAGGCAGATCTCAGGCAGTAACGTGAGCAATGAGGAGCAGCTGTAAATACAGATGAAGCATCACTCACTCACCTGCCATTCACCTCCTGCTGTGTAGCCCAGTTTCTAACAGGCCACAGACCAGTAACTGTCCATGGCCTGGGGGTTGGGGACCCCTGTGATGGAGTATCTTGAAGCCAAGGCTAAAGCTGAGATAAAAGGAGTATGCAGAGCTGATACTCAGATAAGAACCTGAGTAACAAATCAGAAAAAGGATAGGCTGGGTACTGTGGCTCACACAGTACTTTAGGAGGCCCAGGCAGGAGGATTGCTTGAGCCCAGAAGTTTGAGACCAGCTTTGGCAATGTAGTGAGACCCAGTCTCTACAAAAAATTTAAAAATTAGCTGCATGTGGTAGCGTAGACCTGTAGTCCCAGCTACTCAGGAGGCTGAAGTGGGAGGGTCACTTGAGCCCAAGGAAGTTGAGACTGCAGTGAGCCAAGATTGCACCACTGCACTTCAGCCGGGCCAACAAAGGGAGACCCTGTCTCAAAAATATATATATATATTTAAGAAAGAAAAAGGATAAACAATTTTCTAGAACCAGGCAGCTGAGTCAGAAACTAGAGTATGAAACCAGAGAACAGAGGGATGGGCAAATAAGCACAGGAAAGTGGGTGAGGTCACAAAGTGGATATTCTGAATTGTTTTTACAGGCTTTCAATAACCCAGAGACTTGTAGGTACAACTGCAAAAGAGATAAGTTGGCAGTAAACATGTTTCTGCAGTCATTTAGCCATTAATCATCCCCCTTACTATGTGCAGGATAGAACTCCTGATTTTCACATCCCTCCCGCCAACTCTTCCCCATCTCCAGAAAATCATCTGCCATCCACTCAAGCCCCCTGCAATGAGCCCTTCTTGATTCCTCTTTTCTCTCAGGTGCTGCATCTTCACATCCAATCCATAAGCATGTCCTTTGACTCTGCTCTGAAATAGGGCCTGATTTCTCATCATTTCCACTCTACTCCAAGCCACATCATTGCTTGTTTTGACTGCAGTGATACCTTCTTAACTGGCCCCCATCTTCTGCTCCTGCCCCCTACTATATCTTCTTACCACAGCCAGAATGCTCCTTTTAAAACATAAATGTAATCATATTACTTTCTTCTAATGGTTTCTAATCCCATTCAGAATAAACCATGGCCTACAAATCCTTTAGGATCTGGCAGCTTCCTTCCTTTCCAATCACATCTCCAACTCTTTTCTTTATCTGTTACCCTCTCCAGGCATGCCAAGCTCATCTTCAAGTCATTGCTCTATTGCCTCCCATCACTTGGAGTCTCTTCCTACTGATCTTTGCATGACTGTCTCTGTCTTGTCATATAGTCCTCAGTGTAAATATTGACCCCTCAGGCAGGCCATCCTTGAACATCCAATCTAAAGAAGCCATTCATTACAAAACTGTGAATCTACGTTGATGCCCTGTGTACACTTTTTATTTTTCGCATTTTTTTTTCTCAGTTACCTTCATGGTGTCATGATCGTGTTTTTGTTATTTTGTGGTTGTTGTTTGTTTTCTCCTGCTAGAACCTCCAACGAAAGCAGCACCCAGCCAGGCATGGTGGCTCACGCCTGTAACCTAGCACTTTGGGAGACCAAGTCAGGTGGATCGCTTGAGCTCAGAAGTTCAAGACCAGCCTGGGCAACATAGTGAAACCCCATCTCTACACAAAAATATGAAAATTAGCCATGCATGGTGGTGCACACCTCTAGTCTCAGCTACTCAAGAGTCTGAGGTGGGAGGATTGCTCGAGCCCAGGAGGTTGAGGCTGCAGTGAGCCGAGATTGTGCCACTGCACTCCAGTGTGGGTGACAAAGTGAGACCCTGTTTCCGAAAAAAAAAAGAAAGAAAGAAAAAAGTAGCACCGCAACTTGCCTCGATCATTACTATATATACACAGTGTGTAGAACAGTTCTTAATGAACGGTAAGCACTTTCTTCTACTTTGTAGAATAAATAAACGAATGGAGAAATGAACAAATGAGTGAATTCCTCCCTCTTTCTCACGTCTGTAATCTCTTCCTCTTCACTGTCTTCTTATTCACCCCCTCCCACCACCCAGCCTAAAACTTTGTTGAAATCTCTTACATCATTCAAAAATAAAAATTTTCTTTAATCATCTCTAAATTCTCTCCATCCTTTCTTCTCCCTTGTTTATATAAACTTTTCAAAAGCATACTCTACAATTAGAGTATGTTCTTCTCTAGCTTCTGACCCTCCACCCTGGGGAAACTGTTCCAGTTGAGGAAACAAAAGTCCTCTTAAATGCCAAATCAAATGGCCATTTTCAGCCCTTGCATTACTGTACCCCACTGTTGTATCAGATGGTGTCTCTTCTTCCTCCTATCTTGACCCCTTACCATTTCTTCTTCCTATTTGTACCTCTCTGACTATTCCCTCTCTGTTCTCTTCTTAAGGCAACAACCTTGACTTCGTCATACAATTTTCATGATTCCCCTTTCAGTCCTCTACCATTTATTCATTGTCCTATGGCTCGGGTCACTTTGAATCCATGGTTCATGGCCCTTCTGTCTTTACTCTCTCTTCCTACCTGATTTCATCCTCTCTTAGGACTTCAAATGTCCCCTAAAATCAGATTTTTTAAAAAGCTCTACCTCCAGTCTAGAACTCTTGCCCAAATCTGTATATACTCAGATATCCCATAATCACTTCAAACTCAGCATGTCCAACTCCGTAAAGTCTGAGTTAGTACCCCCATTTTATAATAAGAAAACTGAGACTTAGCAGTTAGACATTTCACCTAAGAGCACTTAACTGGGGAATGGTAAAGCTGGAATTTAAATACAATTCTCCCAGTCACCAAAGCCCATTTTGTTCCACCATGTTACCATGTCTTTGTGTTACAAGAGTAGAAAGTTGACAATAGCCAAAATATCTTTCTAGAGAGTAGTTACATGTATGATGAAATGCCAAAAGATGAAATTTTACACTGCTAATAGAAAGGATAATTTTGATGTATGTTTAATAGGAAAAATGCTCATGACATATATTGAAATTTTTTAAGTGAGACATAAAACTATGTATATTAAAATCCTAATCTGGTTCTTATGATTAGAATAAAGTCTGGAAAGAAAACAAAAAACACTTAATGTTATCATTATGTGATATCATAATTATAGTTTAAATAATTGCCTTTTTCCCTCTACCAGCTCATTTCTGCTCTCTACTAATGCCCCCAATTTCCTTTTAGAGAATCACTTCTTCCTCACTTATGGATCTTGATGATAATAATTGAGGTTCTTTGCTCCCCGTAAGGGAAGTTGAAAAGGATCTCTGGCAGTTCCTTAGCCAGATCTTTTTGCTTATTAGTGCAGTATAAGCCAAAGAGCTTGCTGCATCCTAACATGAGCTAATAAGACTTTTTAGCTGAGCTACACTGGGACACACACACAAAAATGATATATTTCATTCAATTCTATTGCACCTGAACTAGGCAGTCAAGTTTTTACTACATTGATGCCTAGAGCTGCCCTTCTTTTTGTCCTATTTCTAAACTGACTCTCCGGTCTCCTGCTCGTTCTGGATGGGAAACACTCTTACATCCTTTTAATATATTTTCTTTTTTGAGCTGGACACAGTGGCTCATGTCTGTAATCCTAACACTTTGGGAGGCTGAGGTGGGAGAATTGCTTGAGGCCAGGAGTTTGAGAACAGCCTGGTCAACATAGCGAGACTCCATCTCTACGAAAAAGATTTTTTTTTTTTAAATTAGCCGGGTGTGGTGGTACACACCTGTAGTCAGTCCTAGCTATTCATGAGGCAGAGATGGGAGGATAGCTTGTGACCAGGAGTTAAAGGTTATAGGGAGCTGTGACTGTGCCACTGCACTGGGTGACAGAGCAAGACCATTTATCTAAAAAGTAAATACATGAATTTTCTTTTTTGACTAAATTAGCTCTTAATTGGTTTCTGTTACTTATAGCCAAAGAACTCTGACTGATAGATGTCTTTATTTTCTATCTTTCTACATTAAACGTGTTTTGTCTTTATATTCAAAATAAATAAGGAAATGAAAAATTAAAGATCCAGTCCTAAAATAGTAAAATATATGGTCAGAAATGCATGTGACTATAAGAAACCTGGATTAGATGTGTAGCTTAATCTCTACTAATCCATGACTGTTTCTGGTAAGTCACCCCACTCTGTGTTGTCATTCCATACTAACAGCAGATCAATGGCATTACCTTCATATACAGACAGGAAATATTTTGATCTGTGTTTCTAATAAGTTTGTGGCCAACAAGACCCTATCAAAGCAAGGCGTGGCTTATACTGGAAAATAAATGCATTCATTTGGTCAAGTGATCCATTTGTTGAATGCTTTCTTCACTCCATTCAGTGGGTATACAAAAATAAATGGTACCCAGTTTCTGTTCCTGAGAAATTCCTCACCATATTTTGAAGCAAATGCACAGCAGATAAATTGCAAAAAGATGTGGTAAGTGCTATTACAGAGATATGAACATAAAGCAGAAAGGAAAGAACCGTCAGTTTAAAGATTCTAAATACAAGAAAGAAAATAACAAAAGCCTCAGCATTAACTGTTTTAACTAAAAAGTATGTTATAGCCAACAGTGAATATATGCTTATTTGCAAAAAGGAAGATCAAGCTGATGAGAAAGCATGCGAAGTTTGCTATTATCCTTTCAGTGGCAAAAGCATATTAAAGGCTATGATTTTCATTTCTTTTAAAAAGTGCATCTAATAAGTTAAAGATAAAACTTTAATTTTTAGTATTAAATCCCTTTAAAACATTGTAATGACCTTGCCATCAACCTATTTTAATAAAAGAAATTCACCATCAGCATCCCCTCCTACTCAACTTATTTAGTATTTATTTATTTCCAAAATCCAATCCCCATTTTCTCAGTACCCAGAGTACTGAAGTAATGAAGTCCCACTGAAGGACCCACCTAGATTCTGTCTCTTCACCAAGTGTAGGGTAAAATGGGTGGAGTTCTCCTAAACGTATCTTTACATCATTCTACGCCTATTATGGGTTTCTTTCTCACAAGACATGATCTGATACCTGCCTACACCAGAATATTGACAGAGGCGGTGACTCACTCTGCCACCACTTCCAGGTAACATGTTTACATTTAGACTGAAGCCTTCTACAGAAAATATCTTAACTGAAAGAAAGAATAATGACCCTGTTCGTGGAAGTTTTGAATATGATAGACCAAAAACAAAATAAAACATCAAAAAATCTAGACCCAGAGAGTCTAACTCAGTAATTCTGATGAGAGGTCTTAGAAAAATAAATCCATCTGTATAAAAATTTTTAATATTCTCCTTTCTTAGAAGATACTAATATTGGGAAAGAAGTTTGGATATTTAAGGAATGATTAAATAAATAAACATTTCATCTTACCCCGAAATAGCCAAATAAGCTCCAAGCAAAAATCTAGCCCAGGAACATACACACAGAGATGCTTCCGGGACAGGCCACATGTGAAGCTGTTTATGTCTTATGACCTCTACTTTCCCTGTCTCTGCCCTTCCAGGGTCAACTCCAATCCTCACAGGAGCAATTTAGAAATAATGACAGAGGATGAACTTTTTTTTTTCTGAACTAGTTTTTTTTGTTGTTGTTTATTTCTTAAAAAAAAAAGGGATACATGTGCAGAACTTGCAAGTTTGTTACACAGGTATACATGTGCCATAGTGGTTTGCTGCACCTATTGACCCGTCCTCTAAGTTCCCGCCCCTCATCCTTCATCCCTCAACAGACCCTGGTGTGTGTTGTTCCTTTCTCTGTGTCCATGTGTTCTCATCATTCAGCTCCCACTTATGAGTGAGAACATGCAGTATTTGGTTTTCTGTTCCTGTGTTGGTTTGCTGAGGTTGACGGCTTCCAGCTTCATCCATGTCCTGCAAAGAACATGATCTCATTCCTTTTTATGGCTGCATAGTATTCCATGGTGTACATGAACCACATTTTCTTTATCCAGTCTGTCATTGATGGGCATTTTGGTGGGTTCCATGTCTTTGCTATTTTAAATAGTGCTGCAATAAACATATGTGTGCATGTGTCTTTACAGTAGAATGATTTATATTCTTTTGGGTATAAACCCAGTAATGGGATTGCTGGGTCAAATGGTATTTCTGGTTCTAGATCCTTGAGAAATCGCCATACTGTCTTCCACAATGGTTGAATTAATTTACATTCCCACAAACAGTGTAAAGTGTTCCTATTTCTCCACAGCCTTGCCAACATCTATTGTTTCCTGACTTCTTAAAAATCACCATTCTAACTTGCAATCAGATGGTGTCTCATTGTGGTTTTGATTTGGATTTCAAAATGATCAGTGATGTCGAGCTTTTTCTCATATGTTTGTTGGCCGTGTAAATGTCTTCTTATGAGAAGTGTCTGTTAATATCCTTTGCCCACTTTTACATGGGGTGGCTGGCCATATTACCTGAAGTAATTTATAGATTCAATGCTATTCTCATCAAACTACCACTGACATTCTTCACAGAATTAGAAAAAAACTATTTTAAATTTCATATGGAATTAGAGAAGATCCCACATAGCCAAGACAATCCTAAGCAAAAAAACAAAGCTGGAGGCATCATGCTACCTTACTTCAAACTATACTACAAGGCTACAGTAACCAAAACAGCATGGTACTGGTACCAAAACAGACATATAGACCAATGGAGCAGAACAGAGACCTCAGAAATAACACCAAACATCTGCAACCATCTGATCTTCAACAAACCTGACAAAAACAAGCAATGGGGAAATGGTCTCCTATTCAGTAAATAGTGCTGGGAAAACTGGCTAGTCACATGCAAAAAATTGAAACTGGACCCCTTCCTTATACCTTACACAAAAATTAATTCAAGATGGATTAAAGATTGGATGTAAAACCCAAAACTATAAAAACTCTAGAAGAAAACCTAGGCAATACCATTCAGGACATAGGCATGGGCAAAGACTTCATGACAAGAACGCCAAAAGCAATTGCAACGAAAGCCAAAACTGAAAAACGGGATCTAATTAAACTAAAGAGCTTCTGCACAGCAAAAGAAATTATCATCAGAGTGAACGGGCAACCTACAGAATGGGAGGAAATTTTTGCAATCTATCCATCTGACAAAGGGCTAATATCCAGAATTTATAAGGAACTTAAACATATTTACAAGAGGATGAGCTTTGGAATCAAACAGACCTGCGTTAATAAGTAGACTCTGACACTTATTAATAATATGATCTTGAGCAAGTTACTAAATCTCTCTGAACCTTAGTCTTTTCATCTGGAAAATGAAAAATTAATTTATTTCTTGCAGGTCTCTATGAAATTTAAGTGATTCTATATAAGCACCTCATCTGACACATAGAATATGTTCAATTCAGTGGCTATTAGTACACAAGGAGTCATGCTTTTGCTGGCAGTAACAATACACCCAACCTTGCCCTTCCCTAAAAATGACATACAGTTCAAAAAGATTCCTTCTTTTCCTTTCCAAATCCCATAAATAACAAACAATCAAACATGTCTATGCCTTATTTGATAATGTCTGTAAACCAGCCAATCCAAACCTGAAAATGCCAGCTGATGGCTTTGCATTACAAAGTACCTCTGCTGAAATGAAGATGCTTGGAGAGCTGAGACTTGAATTTAAAAGAGTGTCAGTTGTGTCCCACTGTTCTATCACGTGAGGTATTCCAGAATAACTGGTGTCTACAGAATTATTCATACAAGGTGTCAGTGGGCTCATAGGCTTCAAAGGAAGGTCAAAAAGAACTGGCCTCCAGTCTCAGCACATGAACCCTTGGCCACTCTGTGTGGGCCCAGGAGAGTGGAGGTATAGGTGTGTGAGAGAGCCTAAGGAGGATTATCATTTCCTGTTTCTATATTCATACTGTGTTCAGGCAGGAACTCTAAGTACATTTCTTACCCATCAGCATTTTCAGAATTAGAAAATGAGAGGGCTGAGAAGGAAGTTAGAAACCATCAGTGTATGTAGCATTTCTCAAGGTGTGTGGACTCTGCCTCCCATCTATGGAATCCCTAAAGATGGGGTCAGTAATCTTTTTTTTTTTTTTGAGACGGAGCCTCACTTTGTCACCCAGGCTGGAGTTCAGTGGCATGATCTCGGCTCACTGCAACCTTCACCTCCTGGATTCAAGTGATCCTACTGCCTCAGCCTCCCTAGTAGCTGGGATTACAGGTGTGTGCCACCATGCCTGGCTTATATTTGTATGTTTAGCAGATAACGGGATTTCACCATGTTGGCCAGGCAGGTCTCGAATTACTGACCTCAAGTGATCCACCCACCTCAGCCTCCCAAAGTGCTGGGACTACAGGCGTGAGCCACCGTGCCTGGCTGTAACCTGCATTTTTTTAAACAAGCATCCCAGGAGATTCTAAAGCATGTTTAAGATTGAAAACCACTGAGCCAACCCAAATGTTCCCATTTCAAAGTGAGGGCATTAAAGCCTGAAGAAAATGAATGGTTTGTATAAAGCAGTATCTTAACCTCAGTGCTATTGATAGTTTGGTGGTGTATAACCCTTCAAGGTGGGGAGCCGTCCTGTGTACTGTAGGATGTTTAGCAGCATCCCTGGCTTCTACCAAGTGGATGACACTAGCAGCCCTTCTGGTGTGACAACCTAGTGTTTTCAGAAATGGCCAAGGCAAAATCGCCCCGGGTGAGAATCACTGTCTAAAGTCACAGGGATCATCAGGAGTGGAGACAGACCAGCGTACAGTGTCCTGATTCACAGCTCAGCCATATCCCTGCATCTGCTGGCTCCTCTTCTCTTGCAGTGGGAAGCAAAATGAGAGGGAGGGGGTCCCAGGCCATAAAGGTCACTGGGTGAGAACATGGAAGTCAGAGCAAGTAACAGTGCTGCTTTTTGTGGGGGGGGGGCGACCTGGAACATTCCACCTGGCTTTTTCGATGACTTGTGCTTTTAGTCATGCCTACTTCTATTTGTTCCCCTGTTTAAACCTTGATCTTCCAGGAGAACTGGCAGGATTTGAATTGCCAACATCTTGGAAATCCATGCAGAAAGACGCCATATAAAATGTCTTTTAAACTGAGATTGAGTTAAAGGTTCTGCTGTGTAGAAACCAAGAGTGTCATATTCTAAATTTAGTGCCATGCCGGAAGAGGAGGGTAGTGAAGAGCAATGCAAAAGGAATCAGGAAATGTGGTTTCTGGTCCCAGCTCTTTCCAAACTTTAGCAAATCATTTCAGCTTTCTGGTCTACAGCAGTTTCTCATCAAATGGAGGGATTAAAGTAGGCCCCTGTATCTGTGCCTGGAATCATTCTGTGTCCTCCACCCAAGAGGCACTTAACACTGTCATCAAAAATCCAAACTCTACCTTTCTTCCAAAATCTAACTCTGGTTGTGTTTCCTCAATTTTCTTTGGTGATTATGATAATGATGTTGTGGTTGCATAGGAGAAAGTCATTGTTCATTAAAAAAACAATGCACTCTGAAGTAATTAGAAACAAAGTGTAATGATATCTGCAACTTACTCCCAAATGGTACCAAAAATTATAAAATTTGTATCTTATATATACAAATATATATATATTTATATAGTGAGAGGGAGCACAAATATACCAAGAGATTACTAAATGCTGAATCTCATTGAAGGGTATATGGGTGTTCATTTTATGATTTGTTTTCATTTTTCTGTATGTTTTAAATTTTTCAAAGTCAAACGTTGAAGAGAAAAACAGCTCCAATTTTGTCTCCTCCAGAAAGCCTTTCCTGAATTAGCTGAAATAATTCCTCTGGATTCCCATGGCATTTATGTACTCTGTGTTTATCACTTTCTACTTTGTATTATAGTTATTGAAATATTCACATGGCAGGTCATAAAATAGCTAAGGCAATACTCAACTATGCAGAGAACACTTGTTCTAAATCTGTTCTTTCTTTAGTCTACAACTTCTGTGTTCCTCCTCACAAGACCTGCTACCAACAGGAAAAAATATCCAAATAAATTTTAGTCCAATCTTGTAATCTCAAATTGATCACATAATTTAGTTACTTTAGTAACTGAGACACATTTGGATAAAGGCCAGGCCCTACCTGTTCCTACTCCCATTTTTATCCATAGGATGGCAGCTGGGTGCAAAAGAGAAACTGATGTGTTGGGAGATGTCATGGGAAGGGGCCCCCAAGATCAACTTATGAAACTGGCTATTAATAGTATATCCATTGTGCAGACTTTAACTCTACACCCAGCAACAAGGTCCCTGAGGGACATCTTGGTGTTACAAGAAGTAGAAGGAGGAAGTTTTATTTCTGTGTCCTCTGGAGGGCCTGGACAGTACTTTATACCTATAGGTTCTTGATAAATATCAGCATCCACTGTCTTTTTGGTCTGTTTCTCTGATCTCCACAATGTTCCTTCTGCTCACATCACTTACCAAAATGTCATCATAAGTAATAAATAATAAGTTGATATTGGTAAAAAAAAAACTAATTTTCTGAGTGCCTGCTATGTGCCAGGCTCTATGCCAGGCTTTTCACATGTAATATTTAATTCCCACAATAAGTAGATGAGTTAGTACTATAATTAATTTATAATAAGGACAAACGTTGGTCTCTGCATTGATGGATTGTTGAATTAGGCTTCCTTCGCACACTTGGCAGGCTGTATTTGAAACTCCCATTTTCCATGACCCCCAATTTACTTGTACAACCATATCTTTTCTCCAGCCATACTGTTTCACTTTTGTCTCCTATAAATGCTATGTTTTCTGACCACCTGTATTAGTCCATTTTCACGCTGCTGATAAAGACATACCCGAGACTGGGCAATTTACAAAGTAAAGAGGTTTAAAGTACTTACTGTGTCACATGTCTGGGAAGGCTTCACAATCATGGTGGAAGGTGAAAGGCACAGCTCACATGGCAGCAGACAAAGTAAGAGAGGTTGTGCAGGGAAACTCCCTTTTATAAAATCATCAGATCTCATGAGACTTATCACTATCACGAGAACAGCACAGGAAAGACCTGCCCCCATGATTAAATTACCTCCCACTGGGTACCTCCCACAACACATGGGAATTCAAGATGAGATTTGGGTGGTGACACAGCCAAACCATATCACCACCCTACCTTTTTAAGTCACCTTTTGCATTCCCTTCAGCCTCCTTTATACTCCTTCAAAATCCATCTTTTAAGAGCAAACTTCCCTTCATTCAATCAACACACTCTTATTGAACACCTACTTTGTGCTTGCTACCCATTGTCCTAGGTCCTAGAAAGACAATGCTAAGAAAAAGAAATGCAGGCCCAATCTCTGCCCTGGTGGACTTTACAGTGTCTAGTGATTAAGTTTCAGTCTTGTCCCAGTTACTTTACTCTAACAAGAAAACAATCTCCCTGCTTGCACCTCCTTTCAAATACTCATATCTGTTTCACCCATTGGACACTTATTAGGTACAGCTATGTAGAATTCGTCATCCTATTCAGGGATTCTTTATTAAGGGTAACAATAATAATAATATCAGTAACTTCCATTAATTGAATGTCTACCCTATGCCAGGCACTCTACATATACTGTCTCTCGTCCTCACAATGACATTGCCTTGAAAGAGGTAATTTTTCTCTTTTTACTAATGAAGCACTTGCAGCTCAGAGATGATAAGTAATCTGCCCAAGGCCACATAATTAGTAAATGACATTATCAGTGCAAGAACCCAGGTCCCCTGGCTCTGAAGGCTCTCTCCACAACACAGCAAGCTGTCAGACGTCTTTGTTGCATCATGCATTGAGGTAGTGAATAGTCCGTAAACAGTGAGGAAGGGTAATGTGAGGAAAAGAACATGGTTTTGGAAAAAAAACAGACTGGCATTCAACTCCTAGCTATGCCACTTACTAGTTATGTGACCTTGAACAAATTCCTAAACTTCTTTGTATTTTGTTATCCTCATTTTAAAATCACCACAGCAAAAATAAATAAATAAAGTCATGTATCTCGCAGAGCTGCTGTGAGGATTAAATGAAATGATAAATATCTGGAAAAGCAGCATGTATATAATAGGCTTCCGGCCAATGCTTCTTCTCTTCTTCCTTTGTTGATGCAGATCAGTTAAAAGTTTGCCATCTATCTTTTTGTTGCTCATATAAATTCCTAAGTTTGATACTAAGAAACACCTGCAGAAGGGTCTTTCAAGCACCTGCAAGTATATTAAAGAGGCAGATACAGGAACTGAGAGATAAAGGCAGTATGGTTGAGAGGAGATGGAAAACCAATCTAGAAACCAGGCAGTGGGAGGCTGTGTGGTTCCTTTTGTTAGGAAAACTTTTCAAAGGCAGAGTCCTTGAAGCTTTTGTGCATCAAAAGCATTTGAAATGCTTTCCTCGGGTGCACTTACATAGTATTGCTTCTGTGGCAAAGAAGGTATAGTCTTGTCAAAATGCTATTGATTTTTTCAGAAGGAATCTAGAGACTTCATTCACCAATGAAGCCCTGCAAACAAGCCCTAAAGCCCACTTTTTTTTCTATAAATTGGTCACCCACTCCAGAAAAGAACATGGCTAATTAACTAAAGGTTCACATTTATTCAATCTGTACTAGGTACTTTGATAGACCTTGTACATCTACCATTTCCTTAATCTTTAAAGAAAAAAAGCTTTTTAAGGTAGGAATTATAATAAAATTGACACTCAGAGAGGTTAAATATCTTGCACAAGACCACACAGTTAGAAATCGTTGGTGAGATTTGAACTGATTGTTTATTTATTCAACAAATATTTATTGAGTGACTACTATGGGCTGAGTCTGCCTGTTTCTAAAGCTAATGCTCTTTTCACTATCTAATTCTTCCTGGTAAAATAAATAACAGTATTCTCTGTCTGTTACAATGTTCTTTCAGAATGCAAAAGCAGTTTGGCCAGAACATGATATGCTCATGGCTCAGAAAAGATAATCGGGCAGATTGGCCTGGCCAGGCAAGTGTCCATATGTCTCAGCAGCACTCCACGTGTATCCATTCATCTCAAAGCTAGATTTTTAAAAAAGAATGGTCCACTATAGTCAGGAGTGCCATTCTCGGGAAAGTATGACTATCTGTGTTTGATTACTTCTAAAACTTTATAACGAGGATACACTTCAGAACATCTATTTACTAGAAAGTTGAAAAGAGGTGAAGATCAGTACACGCGACTCACTAAAAAAGGAAATTATAATTTTAGTGCCTTACTTTTATATAGGCAATAGTTCTTTCCAGTGTACTATTTACAACATAAATGATGAGATTTTAGCCCCATACCATTCTGTATGATCAGGAAGGGAATGGTTATTATGTCCATTTCTCACAAGAGGAAACTGAGGTTCAAGTTGTCAAAGTCATTGGTACTTTCCAAATGTCCAAGTTCACATCATTATTTAATGGCAGAACCAGGATTTATCTTAGGATCTTTCTGCTCTTTCCAATGTACAATCTTCATTGGTCAGAATGAGCTAGGTTGTATTAGATTGTATTGCAGTAATAAATGGCCTTCAGATCTCAGGAGCTCACTATAATAAAGATTGATTTCTTGTTCATGTTCCTTGTCTGCTGTGGGTTTGGTCTGCTTTGTGTTTACTCCAGGACTTAGCGGACAGAACAGCCTCTATCTGGATCATTGCCAGTAATGTGGCAGTGTGAAAAGTGCAATTGATGGACCTCACACTGGCTTCTAGGGCTTCTGATAGAAAGTGGCTTTCACCCTTATTTCATTGGCCAAAGCAAGTCACAGCATTGCCCACATGCAATATGGCAGGTGTGTATCATCCTTTCACAGGGAGGGGCCCCAAATAGGCATAAAATTATTTCAGTTATATCAGGGTAGTAATGTATAAAGTGGTTGTCAGCCTCCCTTCCTTGTAGCATAAAGTTATTCTTTAATAAATGCGGTACTGACTAAGAATTATTTTAGGTATAATGAGCCAAGCAGTCCACTTAAATCATGTAAAAATTAAATAATTCAATAAATTTAATATTTAAAAACCAACAATTCTCAACTATCACTGTTGAGCACTAAACCCTCTGCATTTGCGAAGAGAGCAACTTTCACTCTGGGAATAAACTTTCCGTTTCTGGCAAGAGAATTGGATAGCAACATTGAAGTTCTACTGTGAATGGGCGTCAGGGTGTCATATTTGAATGTGTAATGAGTAAACATTGGCAGAAACCCCCTTTGCCACGTGACTTCAAAACAAACACCAGTCAGTAGGGAACTACCAGCTGTGCCCAGTAGAAAAAAATGCGCTCATATATTTTTCTTCCATGAGCAAAAAAATCCCCGCCGAGATCACCTCCCCTCAGAATGTAGGGCACGAATGTGTTCTCACATGAGTTCAAGAACAAAACCCCACCTCTGGAAAGTCCTCCTGGCAAAGTCATTTAAACAAATTGCAGAGGAAGACAGAAGTAGGACATGAAACAGAGTTCAGGCATTCACAGAATCTTGCATTCCCTTAAATCAATTCTCAGCTAAAGGAAAAAAAAATACAGCAGAGTTGGGGAGTGGGAGCATTTAGCAAGAGTTTAAAGTAGCTGATTTCTAATGTTGACTACATTATAATGTCCCTTACAATCCTAAGATTCTATGACTCCATAAGTTTATGTGATGACAAAAAGTTTCTGCTTTTTCAAGTACAGAAAAAAAAAGAGAAGAGGCTATGTTTTATGTAATAATAAAATTTAACAGAGAACTGCACCCTCCCACCTCCAAAAAAAATGTCCTGGTGACTATAAAGTTGTCTTGGGCTAGGCAATCTGCATATAGAATTCTGTTCCTTAAAAATTTTTTGGCACTGAGTCAGAACTTGATTTGTAGAAATGACACCTCCCCAATACTTCTTTTAGAGCAGTGAGGGGGAGGTAGAATGAACTGAGTTAGAACTTTACCTTAGACTTTTTGTAAAGGTCACCAAAGGGAAAATCCATAAAGAGTCATTGCCCTTTAGTCACTTACACGTATGAAATGTGTTGTCCTAGGATGAAAGAGAATCATTACTGTACATCACATTTCGGATTAAATAATTGTTGTGTCTTGCTTTTTTTTCATGACTTTAAATAGAATTCAGGTTGAAATGAACCTGGATTAATAGGAGATGTTTCTAAATATGTCAGTTGTGCTTTTTTGATATGCATGGATGTCATTCTACTATTTTGTTGGCATAATTGCTAGCAAATCCCCATAACTGATATTCAAATTTTAGTATAGATGTAAGTAAAAGTGTGTCCAGTTATCAAAATATAGATATAAGTAAAATTGTGTCTTAGTTATCAAAATACCAAATTTCATTTGAGCAAAAGAAATGAGGGGAGAGAAGATGGATATATTAACTTCTCTGATAAGCAACATACTACCCTGCTGCTTTCTCTAGCTACTTACTACAGAAAGAGTGCATGGTCATGAGATGCATGGAGTCTCTAGTATCTAACTGAACACAAAGAAACTTCTCTAATGGCTAGTCATGTTAAGTGATACAAGAGATGCATCCACTGGAAAAGACTGTGGCTCACTTTGAGGATGAGTATAATGTCACAGGATCAAAATATTTGAAAGAGAGAATTTGGAAGCTAAGGTTAATTTAGAATCTATAATTGCTCAGAGTTTTCTTCCCCTCCACAACCAATTCAAGTCTCTCTTAGACTCCTGAATCAAATAGCTGGTGGAGCCCATAAGTAGTAGCAGAAGTCAGTGAAACTAAATAGAGGATCAATAATTGTATATACACACATATATATATGAATGTATGTATACACACATACATGTATGTATATGGAAGTGTATACATAGATATATATCTATACATTTTTTTTCTTTTTGAGACAGAGTGTCATTCTGTTGTCCCAGCCGAGTGCAGTGGCACAATCTCGGCTCAATGCAACCTTTGCTTCCTGGGTTCAAGCGATTCTCATGCTTCAGCCTCTCAAATAGCTGTGATTACAGTCATGTGCCACCATGTTCAGCTAATTTTTGTATTTTTAGTAGAGACGGGGTTTCACCGTGTTGGCCAGGCTGGTCTTGAACTCTTGGCCTCAAGTGATCCACCCGCCTTAGCCTCCCAGAGTGCTGGGATTACAGGTATGAGCCGCCATGCCATGCCCGGACTATATGTATGTATTGAAGATAAACACATACATATATGGAGATTATAGATACACATATGTATATCATATATATCCATACATCCATACATATGGTGTGTGTGTGTATATATATATATGTTTACTATATGCGTGCACACACACACACCCCCCATATATATATTTCCATAGGTATGGTGTGTATATCTCTATATGTATATACCAGATATATATATATAAAAATATATATGTATATACCTTACACATGTAGAGATATACATGTATCATATGTGTATCCATATATATGGTATATATTTAATCTATGTGTGTATCTATAATCTCCATATATGTATATGTTTATTCTCTATATATGTATAATATACACATGTATACATTTCCACACACATACATATATGCATATATACATATATTGATATATGTATGTGCATATACAATTATTGATCCTCTATTTAGTTTCACTGACTTCTACTACTACTTATGGGCTCCACCAGACATTTGATTCAGGAGTCTGAGAGAATTGAATCTGTTGCGGAGGGGAAGAAAGCTACGTGCAATTATAGATTCCAAATTAATCTTAGCTTCCAAATTCTCTCTTTCAAATATTTTGTTCCTGTGACACCATACTCAACACCTTCTTCTCAAACTGAACCAGACTCTTTTCCAATGAAAGTATATTCCATATCCATAATACATGGATATACATATACACACATATGGATATATCCATGTACATATATGGAAATATACATGCATATATGAATACATATATACATACATATTTATATATGTATTTGATTGATTATGGCACAACTAGCTACTCAACTGATTTTTTTAACAAACCCCAATGTTATGCCATTTACAAAAAGAAATGCCTTCTGGATTAAAGACAACTGTAAAAAATAAATACTTCAAGAAAATCTAGCATATCATATATACATATATGTACAATCTATTATGTGGAAGGAGGCTTTCTTGTCAAAATGGAGAAGATATAAAAGAAAAGAGAGACTTACTTGATCATATAAGAATTTAAAACATTTTGTTAAAAGAAAGATTCCACAACAAGGTCAGTAGACTAATGATAGGTTTGGAAATATTTGTGGCATCAGCAACAGTTGGGTTTTTTGTGTTTTTTTGTTTTGTTTTGCAAATTGACAAAAGCAAAGACAATGAATAACGGAAAAAAAGGATAAAGAATTCAAATAGGATATTTACATAGGGGCAATGACCAACAAGCAAATGAAAATATTCTCACATTAAATCATAGTCGGGGAAATGTAAATTAAAGTTACAATGATATATATATTTTTATGTCCATCAGACTGGCAAAAATTGAAATGATCAATAACCTCTATTAGTGGTAGGTATATGGAAAAATGGATGTTCATACATGCTGAGAAAAATTTAACTGTAAAAACTGTTTTGGAAAGCCATTTCGCAGCAGACATAAAAAAACTGAAGATACATGCACCATTTAACCCTGCAATCTCTCTCCTTGGCAACTCTCCCAGACCAATATTACATAGAGCATGTGTAAAAGGGCACCTAATGTCAGTGTTTATAATAGCAAGAAAAGGAGAAGGGACAGGGATCAAAGTAAATGCCAGTCAATAGGGAATGTCTGAATAGGTAACAGCTCATCCACACCATGGATTATTAGGCAGCAGTTCCAAGGAGTTAGACTCATTAGAGCTAAATTTCTACTTATAAGAGATTTCTGTACAGTTATGCTTTACATGAAAAAAGAGATGTAGAAAGTATATATTATGCAATGCTCATAAAACAAACAATAACAAAACTTCCCTTATACATGTGTGTAAGTGTAAAAAGTGTATATATGATATGAGCAAGGGGAAAAATGTAAAAGTACATATCAAGTCACAAACGAGTTACATGGCAGAGAGGGGTGTAAAGGAGGAAAGAAAGGGAAGTAGAAGCTAAGCAAAAGTTTTAATATACTTCTCTAAATAATATATAATTATATGTGTGAGATAACATATATGCATTTATGCAAAAACTATATATATGCTTGTCTATATGAGAAATTAGAAAAAGATTGAAAAGCTAGTCTAAAAGCATGCTCAAACCATGACATAAAAATTAATAAAAAATATCTAACATTTACAGAGCCCTTTCTATTGGCAGACACTGTTCTAAACAGGTACCAACTCAATCCTCACAACAACCCTACGATGGGAATATTAATATCTTTGTTTGCAACAGAGGAGAGTCCAACTTACTTCTCTACAACTTTAGAATAGAACATTTAGTTTCAATTGCAAAACTGAAATTAAGTCAATCATCTTATTTGTTTCTTCAGTAATTTTGGCTTGTTTTCTTGGATGTCTGGATTTAGAAGACAGACTCTAACAGGATATCGTAAATAAAGAATTTAACAGGATACCATAAATATATCTACTCAACTAGCCAAGGTTGGTGAAAGTCATCTAAATCAAGGGCAACTGTCTTCACAAGTAGCCTCTTCCATCCCTCATTTGTTCAACCAGGAATCATGGAACACCTTCTGCACAATTCTGGGCCCAGGGGATTTGTTGGTGGCTATGACAGCCTCTGAATATTTGATGGCTTGGAAGGCTAATAACTCATGTTGCCCTAGCACATTTTTACCTCTTATTCTGAAACTAGGTGAGAAAAATTACTGGCTTTTTTGACAAAATGATGGGGCAGAATTCTAATCCTTTCTGGGAAAGAGACAGCTTCCAAGAACATGGCAGCTCTACCTAATCCAAACTCATGCATGGAAAATAACAGTGAAAGAGCCACAAAAGCAGCCCTCGATAGCTGCCTATGACTGGCACATAGCAAATAATTTCTTCATCACTAGCATTTTAGAGAGAAGTTAGGGGTTGCTAGTTTTTCCTTCTATTTGCATATCTAATTTAAGTATTCTTTGATCTTCCACCTTTATGAAGAGATGCCAAGCACCAGATCATCAACAATAGAATGCTTGATGCTCAAACACCATGACTCCCCACTCCATTTCTCTCCATTCTCTTCCGAAATCCACTTTGTGAGAACCCCTACTAAGGTCACAGTGTTAAAACAGAGATTGTGATCCGGGTAAGGCTACAGAAAGTCACTAATGAATTTATTGAGCAAGAGATGCCACTGAGAAAACCCAGGGCACTGGTCTACCGCTCTGAGTTTGGACCCTGATGAAGTCCCGAATCTGTAAATACACAAATTAAGAAAGCACTTCGATGTCTTGCAGCTCTGAGTGTCCAAGAGCCAAGATGTTCAATTGCACATGTGTGTTTTTGCAGGCTTCTGGCTTTTCCTTCTCTCTCTTAATCTGGCTGCCTCTCACGCCACCTCTGGCAAGGTACACTCTGGGGAGGCCAGAACAAAGTTTCCATCCAGTCATTCCCTTCGGTTAATTATTAGCAGCTCTGGTAAAAGTTGTTAGTGGGGCCGTTGGAAACAACAAACTGAAAATATGTTTTTAGTTTAACCATAAAGTTCATTTGTTTGGGGATTTCAGGAATCCTGTCCTGAAAGGATTCCTGTCCTGCCCAAGATAACAGTGGGCAGAGGTGAGATGGTGAACTAAGAAATGATAGATAATCTTTTCTCTGTAACTAATTAGCTAGGTGACCCTGGTCAAAGGAGGGAAGGTAACTCACAATATGACAAGTTGGGAACTCTGTGTTCTCTCACTTAATCCTCATAAAAACATATAACCTATGTATTTTTATCTCCATTATACAAAGAGACTTAAATCCAAAACTCTCTAAACTTTGCATTAAACCGGCTTCATGCCATTTAATTTACCCAAGTTCCTGTGTTCTTACCTAAGAAAACAAGGAGTTGGAATTAGTTGCTCTCTAAAAGGTCTTTCTAACTCTATAAGACTATGAATCATTTGACCTAGCAGGAAATAAACAATATTTCTCTAATAATTTCCGCAAAGTTTTTCTCTTCTTGGCCTTTATTTCCCCGTAAATTTGGGGGGCAAGTAGATAAAATTGTATTCTTCACATAAACATGATAAAATAGCTGTTCGCTCATTAGTTGTCTAATGACAACCCCTGAGGCTATTGCTTCACTCTTGTTTATATTGCTCAGTTCCGTCAGTTTAGAAGACATTAAAAAGCAGAACTGAGTTGGCTGTTTTACGTTAGTGGTGAACTTTGTGCCTCAACTGTGTTGCAACCCCACAGTTTACTCAACTCCACCTGGCAATTCAGCTGTTTGAGATAAAGTAGATTTTCTCCTGGGGAAACCAGTAGCAATTTATCTTGTTCTTGCTCTACTGCTGGCATACAGGAGGTTGGGCATTTAATAGACAGTCATCTGCCAGTAGGAGGTAATAATTGTTTTTTAGATTAAAAACAAATGAAATATGAAGGGAGTTACTGCCATATAGGAGGAATTGGAGCCAATGCTCAAGTAGTCTTGTCTAGAGCCAATGTAAGAACTTCTGTTGGAAAACTACACTTTTATGTATATGTATGAGTTTCTGCATGTGCATGCATATGAGTGCTTTAGCGTCTTGTAGATGTGTGCATGACAGCGGGTAGGGAAACTCTGGAAAAATAGCCAGTGAAGACCCAAAGCAACTCTTATTTTCTACACTCACAAGTACTATAAGAGTTGGATCGGCCGGGCGCGGTGGCTCACGCCTGTAATCCCAGCACTTTGGGAGGCCGAGGCGGGCGGATCACGAGGTCAGGAGATCGAGACCATCCCGGCTAAAACGGTGAAACCCCGTCTCTACTAAAAATACAAAAAATTAGCCGGGCGTAGTGGCGGGCGCCTGTAGTCCCAGCTACTTGGGAGGCTGAGGCAGGAGAATGGCGTGAACCCGGGAGGCGGAGCTTGCAGTGAGCCGAGATCCCGCCACTGCACTTCAGCCTGGGCGACAGAGCGAGACTCCGTCTCAAAAAAAAAAAAAAAAAAAAAAAAAAAGAGTTGGATCAATTTCTTGTGCTTAAAATTGGGTTTTATTTTGTTTATCTTTTCCACATCCCATATGTAGCCATTTTCTAGGAAAAAATTACACTGATAGCAACAAAATAATTTTTCAAAATGTATATAAGAAACAGTGCAATGTAAGACATGTAGAAGAGAGCCAGAATATGCCTTGGTGGATTGATGAGAATGCTAAGCAACGAAAGACATTCATGCTGCAATCTATACAACTAAGCAGCCTGAAACCTCCTCCATTATTCAAGTTTGAATTCAGAAAGAAGACAATGGCCTTATTCAGCTCCAGTCAATCCTAGTGTTATGCATTGAATTATTTCCCCCTAAAAGTTGTTGACATGCTAACTCCCAATACCTGCAAATGTAACTTTACTTGAAAATAGGGTCTTTGCTAATGATCAGGTTAACATGGGGTCATTAAGGAGTGCCCTAATCCAATAGGACTGTGGACTGTGTCCTTATTAAAAGGGGGAAATTTGCACACAGAAGAAGATACACACACACAGGGAGAATGTGATGTGGATATCAATGCAGAAATTGGGGTGACGCATCTAAAGCCAAAGAATCCCGAAGATCGACAGAAAATCCCCAGGAGCTAGGAAAGAGACATGAAACAGATTCTCCCTTACAGGCTTCAGAAGGAACCAAATCTGCCAGCACCTTGCTCTTGGACTTCTAGCCACCGGAACTGTAAGTCAATACATTTCTGTTGTTTAAGCCACCCAGTTTGTAGCACAGATGCCCCTCAACTTAGGATGGGGTTATGTCACAATATTTTCAAATTATAAAGGATTTATCCAGATGTAGATACTTAATGTGTCACTTTTGCACCATCATAAAGTTGAAAAATTGCAAGTGGAACCATAATATGTTGGGAATTGTATTAATCCGTTTTCACACTGCTGATGAAGACATGCCCGAGACTAGGTAATTTATAAAGTAAAAGAAACTTAATGGACTTATAGTTCCACGTGGCTGGGGAGGCCTCACAATCATGGCGGATGGTGAAATGCACGTTTTACATGGAGGCAGCAAGACAGAATCAGAACCAAGTGAAAGGGGTTTTCCCTTATAAAACCATGAGATCTTGTGAGACTCATTCACTACCATGAGAACAATATGAGGGAAACTGCCCCCATGATTCAATTATCTCCCACCAGGTCCCTCCTACAACACGTGGGGATTATGGAAGCCACAAATCAAGATGAGATTTGGGTGGGTGGAGACACAGCCAAACTATGTCAAGAACCATATGTACTTTGTTACAGCAGCCCTAGGAAACTAATACACTTAGGTTTTCTCCCAGCCAGTTTCTACAACCACGAGTCTTTCCTTTCTCATCTTTATTGGCACAGTGTCTCTAGAGAAGAGAGAAATATTTAAGAAGAGTTGGATTTTTCCTCCACTTTCTTTTCCTTCAGTCTTGTCTTCTCTAATTTCCAAAGAGACTCTTTTTTTTTTTTTACTTTTATTTTAGGTTCAGTGGTACGTAATTGTGTATCACGGGGATTTGGTGAACAGTTTATTTCATCACCCAGGTAATAAGCATAGTACCCAATAAGCAGTTTTCTGGATCCTCACCCTTCTCCCACCCCCCCACCCTCAAGTAGGTCCCAGTGGCTGTTGCTCCATTCTTTGTGTCCAAATGTACTCAGTGTTTAGGTCCCACTTATAAGTGAGAACATGTAATATTTCGCTTTCTGTTCCTGCATTAATTCACTTAGGATAATGGCCTCCAACTCTGTCTGTGTTGCTGCAAGAGACATGATCTCACTTTTTTTTTTTTTTTTGTGAGACAGAGTCTCGCTCTGTCACCCAGGCTGGAGTGCCATGGCATGATCTCAGCTTACTGCAACCCCTGCCTCCCAGGCTCAAGCAATTCTCCTGCCTCAGTCTCCCAAGTAGCTGGGACTACAGGCACCCACCACCATGCTCAGCTAATTTTTATATTTTTTAGTAGAGATGGGGTTTCGCCATGTTGGCCAGGCTGGTCTTGAACTCCTGGCTTCAGGTGATCTGCCTGCCTCAGCCTCCCAAAATGCTGGGATTACAGGCATGAGCCACCATGCCTGGCCTTAAAATAAAAGTCCCCACTAACTCATTCTATGAGGCCAGCATTATTCTGATACCAAAACCTGACAGAGACACAACACGAAAGAGATATGTTTATAAGAAACTCCTCATATTAAAAAAAAAAGTGGCTGCCGGGTGCAGTGGCTCACGCCTGTAATCCCAGCGCTTGGGAGGTCGAGGTGGACAGATCATGAGGTCAGGAGATCACGACAATCCTGGCTAACGTGGTGAAACCCCATCTCTACTAAAAATACAAAAAAAAAAAAATAGCTGGGCGTGGTGGCAGGTGCCTGTGGTCCCAGCTACTCGGGAGGCCGAGGCAGGAGAATGGCATGAACTAGGGAGGCAGAGCTTGCAGTAAGCTGAGATTGCACCACTGCACTCCAGCCGGGATGACACAGTGAGACTCTGTCTCAAAAAAAAAAAAAAAAAAAAAAAATTAAGTGGCTAATTCTACCCAAAGGCCAAATAGAAAAGAAAAGAAAAAAAGGGCAGCTATTGAATTGATCTCGGAACTTATCTCCCCAAAACGTTTGAGCTGAGAACTCTTGGGCCTGGATGGCCCAACAGTAGTTGAAGAAGAGAACAGAAAAACAATTTGCCTCTAGAGAGTCCTTCAGTTCAGGTGTGATATCAAATAATCTAATTGGATTCAGATATTCTGCTTGCAATACATGCTTTAAGATAGCTGCAGTGTTTTTAAGCAGCTGATTGGGCCATATATTTAGATAGGTTTGGTTTTCCAGTTTTGCTACTGTTGTGTCTTCTTAGAGAATTATGGATGAATCCTGATACTTAGAATTAGGTTGGAGTTAGCTGTTGTGTAAAGGAGTAGCTGAAAGGACTGACATAGAGAAGATGCTTTCTCGTATTAATTTAGGAAGGAAGGTGGGTTCAAACAGCTGAGAGGTGAACAGATGGCAGTGCATGCCGGGAGTTCCTGGCAAAAAATCAGTCACTAGAAGGGGAGGTTGAATGGAATGCTTTTGTGTCCAGGTTGCAGGAGAAACAGGAAGCTGAGACTAGATTTGGCAGCTTCTAATACAAAATTTATTAAAGTGAATTGAATTTTATTGTAAACAAATGACAATTTATTTTTCATATCTCTGCTCAATTTCCTCAGATACTTTTCTTGTGAGAGTTGAGCCTCTTAAATCACTATTCTCAGAGAATAGAAAATTCAAATATGACAACGGGGTTTAAACTGTCCATATCATTAAGCTTTGAAAAGATGGCAGGAATCTAAGAAAAAGATCCAAATATTGAGAAGACGTATTCCTTTCTTTCCATGATAAAAATCACAGAAAAAAAAATACTGCATAGGCATAGAGTTAATAAAAGATTAGGATCTTGATCTTTCAATGAGAAAACCTGAGCTTCTGGACAGTTCTAGGAAAAGCCACTGGAAGCTGTTGTCTTTGTAATGAAGGGTTCTTCTGCCAGATAACATGTGCTGTTGAAAGGCAAGTCTTTGCTGCATGACTGGTCACTCTAAGCATGCCTCTGACAAGGACACTTTAGAGGTAGCCACTGTTTCTGAACCAAGCCAGTTTCAAATACTCTTCCTTGCTCAGCAATGGACTATACTTCTTTTTTCACTTTGAGGCCTGTCCCCAAAAGCTGTCTAATAAGCCTTATAGCAGATACCAAAGGCAATTCAAATTCACTTTGAATCATGCTTCAGGAATCAGCTGCCGCAGACAGTGGTGCAACGACACATGCAAATTTCAAATAGCTAAGATACTTTACTGAGGCTTTAAAACATCAGCTCTATTTTCAAGTCAAAGATAAATGTGTCTACTGCTTTTCTCTGGGGTCATCACGTTGCTGCACTCAAGGGGAAACTTCCACCAGGTCTGTCCACTCCATATTTTTCATCCTTCTCCCTATTCAGCAGGATGCCTGGCAGGTTACTGGAACTGTGCTGGATATCAAAGATATAATTTCTGGGGGCACAAGAAGGTCTTTTTAGTCCTTCTAGAATAACATGGAAAGAAAATTCAACAAGTTATATGATGAAGTGTGATAACTATTTTGATAGAGGAAGTAGAATGCTGTGGGAATAGAGAAAAGAATTTCTAATCTAGACAAGAAAAAAAAAAAAAACAGAGAATTCTTCCAAATGAGCAGAAGAGAGCCAGGGAAGGAAGAAAGGGGCATGTGCAATTAGTCAACAAAATCACAGCCCATAACCTAACTCTGATTGGTTCACAAATCAGCCAACTGCTTCTATTAACTTCTTCCCCCAGATATCCACTTGGTTCACTCCTTAATTTCACTTGGGTCTTTACTCAGATGTCACCTTTTTACTGAGGTCTTTCCTCACCACCCTATTTAAATTACACTACACCTCCAACACTACCAATTTCTCTCCCCAACATTCACCTAACTACATATTTTGACTGTTGTTTATTTTTTGTCTATTTTCTTTCATACAAATAGATGCTCCCTTAGAACAATTTTTTTCTGTTATTTTCACTGCTATATCTTAAGCATCTAAGACAGTATTTGCAACATAACAGGCTCTTCGTAAATACATTTGGGCAGTCCATAAATACTTGCTGCCACTAGCTGATGAAGGATCCAAAATGAATTTGTGGGACAGGGTATGCTAATGTTGATGATCTCCACCCAAATCTTCTGATAGTTACCAGTCTTGATTTCAGTAAGCAAGACTTGGCAGCAGGAAATAATAATAATGTTTAATGTTTATTGAGTGATCGTGGTATGCTAGACCCTGTTAATAATCAAATACATCACTTCACAGTTTCCTCAAAATAACTTTGGGAGGTAGGGACTATTATTATCTTCATTTTACAGATAAGGAAATGGAGACACAGAATGCTAACCAACTTGCTCAAGGCCTCACACACAGACATTTAGTCACACCTCTGATAAGTCAGGAGCCAGGATTTGAGCCCCAATAATGGATCCAGAAGACTAACAATCTCCAGAAACGGAACCCATTCTGTACTCTGACAACACCGGACACTGATGTGAAAGATTAAATCTATGCTGGTAAGAAGAACTACAAGAGCTTTGATTCAACATTTTATGCAGGCCTAGATAATTATTTGTTGTAGGGAGACTGTTCTGTGTGCTATCACATGGTTAATGGTGTCTCTCTGGTCTCTACTCACTAGATGTCTCATATCCCAAGTTGTGACAATCATAGGTGTCTTCAGACATTACCAATGTCTTCTTGGGGGAAGGAGACAGAGGAGCAAAATCACTCCCAGTTGAGAATCAGTGACTTAATGTACTACAATAAAACTCATTATTCCACAGTGTAGCACTTTTTTCAAAGCCCAGTGAAATTATGGTATCATTTCTCAAAGTTATTTACAGAAGTTCCTCAAATACTTTTATTCAGCATTTCCATGGGGACTTGTTTGCAGCTACCCCTAAAGATGAGATTGTTCTAGAAGTGGGTAGAGACTGAGAGGGGAGGTAAAATAGCAAAAATGACAAAAGAAGACATGAGGTGTTTAATCACCCTCTTTTTCTTAGGTCAGGGCTATGCTGCCTAGGGCCCTTGTGTTTCCCTAGATTTGAAACATCAACAGACTGCAGGGCCCTCTGGGCATATCACAGCTTCTGCCATGGCTCCTAGAAGCCTTTGAAGCTGACAAAAAAAGGATGGAAGCCACTCTCATCTGCACATGCTATTTTTGCATATGATGCTCCCTCTGCCTGGAACACTTCACTTCCACCTTCCCTTCATCACTTTCAGTGGTAACCCCCAGGCCTATTTCCTTGGTAAACGTTACCTTCAGAAATAATCATGTTTGTTCATTGACTTATCTGCTGAATGTCTGACTTCTTCACCACTCCCCAGTTATCGCTAGAACGGAAGCTCAATGGAGCAGTGACCCATAACTCTATTTCTAATTCCTAGAGAAAAACATGACTGATGCATAATATATGTTCAATAAATATGTGTTGAATTAATTCACTAATCCTAGACCCTACCTTATACTATTTAAGCTTTTTACATGTCTCTCTCTGAACCACAGACAAACCATTCATGAAATGATCTTTATGGGGAAGGCATGACAAGAGTCAAAAGGAAGAGTCTTAAGAGATGAGTCGCTGAACATCATACTATTGTAAGCCTGAAGGGGTGGTTTGGTTTAGGCAGCCCAGTAACCCTGGAAAAGACTTGCAGACAAACTGTTGTCTGTGTACCAAGATCTTCCTATCCTAGTGTGGGAACATTAGTCTCTATGTGACTCAGCAACTTTTTGCTCCTACTGTGCACTCCACCCTTGTTATTCCTTCTTGTGAAGATATCTTGGGACTTTGCCCAACTGACTCCGTGCTCACACTTCATTGTTTTGTCCTCTCTTCTTTCTCATTCAGGAGCTCTCTTGGGAATAGAAGATTTCATGTGGGATGAAGAGAAACACAAATGTAATAGAAAAACAAAACTGGGAAAGGAAAAAAATGTTTTTGAGTGAAACTATGAAGTGACTATAGGTTGATTCATCAGTAGAAACATATGGAAACACTTATCTCAAAATTCAGTAGTTATGAAACTTGAAACCCGCTTCAATATTTTATTCAGAGTTATGTATTTGACCTTCAGGAATTCCATGTTAAGTTTCTGCTCAAAGACCAAGGAAACATCTAATTGATTGATCAAAAGGTTCATAATTAGATCCATTTTTTTCCTGAATCCATATTGGAGAAACAAGAAATAGATGACCTAAAAAAAATCCTTGAGTGGATGTCTCACCAGCCAGGAAAATTCCAAATAAAGTTTGCTTTGTGTCCAAGGGCTGAAATGAGGTGACTGTAATAGAAGTGATAGCAGGGAGCAGGTTGCTATTCTGACCTTGGTCTGCTCAGACTGCTGTAAGCATGGCCATCATTATACAGAAGGTCCAGTCACATCACGTGGGCAGAAACTAGACATTAACTTCAAGTTTTCTTTCCAGTTTTTATTTCTAATATGCCATTCTTCTCCTGGTATAATGACATAATAGCACATGAATGGACTTTACTTGGCAAACCAATGATTCCAAAAATTATTTTCAAAAGTTACACAGTAACCATAACCACAGTGTTCCATCACCAGGACAATATAACTTCAAGTCTCTTTGGCAACTCCATGAGGGGAGGGGGAGGATGAAGGAGTAATCACCTTGTTCTGCAGTTTCCTAGTCAGGCACCTAATATTCTCATTCTACTCAGTCTGTCTGTCTCTCATTCTCTCTCTCTCTCTCTCTCTCTGTCTCCTCTCTCCTCTTCCTCTCTGATCAAATGAGTTACTCTTGCCTCCTCTAAGGTCTTTAGATTCTGTTGCGATCAGAAAACAGGCTTTGGAATCTCTGCTTCAGTACCTTCATCTGAATATTAAAAAAAGGAGCAAAGTACCAACTGTCAGCCTATGTTTATAAAGCAAACTATCTGAGAAAATAATAGAAGTTTATTGACATAGACAAAACAGGCTACATATAGTGGCTCTGATATATTAAATATTTTTATAGTGTACTCATATTTAAACATAGTCAACCAAAAGCCAAAGGTCTTATTAATTAAGCAAAAATCAGAAAGCATATTATTAAATTTTAGTGTGACAAACACCATAACACAGGAAGGTACCACAGGGATGAGATTCAGAGGATTAATTGGGCAAAGAGATCTAGAAATAAACTTTATTTATTTATTTATTTATTTATTTATTTTGAGATGGAGGCTTGCTCTGTCGCCCAGGCTGGAGTGCAGTGGCGCGATCTTGTCTCACTGCAACATCTGCCTCTCAGGTTCAAGCAATTCTCCTGCCTCGGCCTCCCGAGTAGCTGGGACTACAGGCGTGAACCACCACATCTGGCTAATTTTTGTATTTTTAATAGGGACAGGGTTTCACCATGTTGGCCAAGCTGGTCTCGAACTCCTGACCTCGTGATCTGCCCCCCTCAGCCTCCCAAAGTGCTGGGATTACAGGCGTGAGTCACCGTGCCCAGCAGAAACAAACTTCTTTATGGAAATAAAATTGAAAAGAGAACATTGCCAAATAAAAAATGTTTGCACCACACACTTGTTACAAACAGCCAAGATGTTATTCAAGACTATTGCAAAAGAGGAGAGGGATTGAACTCAACTCCTAATTATTGCAAAGACAGCTGGAGATTTATACCCAATGAGGAGAGTGAGGAGGTCAGTGGATCAACAATTGGTAAGGATGAGAGATTCTTGAAGGACTTAGCAGGATTATTTGCAAAAATGGGGCTCAACAGGCCAAATTAGAAGCCTAGACGAGAAGAAGTTTCAAAGGACCCTGACTAAAGTTGGCACAGAAGAGAGTCTTTGTCACTGTGCAGGTGATGGATAGAAACAGAAACTAAAAGCCACTGTACTACACAAAGTTGGAGAAAATTCTCTTTGTGGTTTATTGAGTTTAGGGAGATAAAAAGCACCCTGGTGAAAGGAACCTGCCCACCACATAGCCTGGGGCCTCCTAGAGTATTTAGAATGGAGCATGACATTCTAAGGACATCGGGAAGTGTTTACTGAGAAACCTGAGTGAAAGTATGTCTGAGTCACATGCGACAGCAATCATGAAGTCAGGAATTTATGGAACTCTTAGTTCATCCACTCAACATTCACTCAGCAAGTATTTATGGAGAGCCCAAACGTATTTATGGAGAGCCTATTATGTTGCAAGCACTGTCTTAGGTGCTTAAGATATAGCAATGAAAATAACAGAAAGAAAATTGTTCTCAGGGAGCACATATTCATATGGGAGGGAAGAGACAATTTTAAAACACAACAAATAAATAAAACAGGCAGTTAAATGAATGACATGGAGAGAAATTGGTAGCGTGGGGGTGTGGTGTAATTTAAATAGGGTGGTGAGATCTCAGTAAGAAGGTCACATCTGCATAAAGACCTAAATGAAATTAAGGAGTGAACCCAGTGGATATTGAGGGAAGACGTTAATAGAAGCAGTTGGCTGCTTTGTGAACGAATCACTGAGTTAGGGTATAGGCTGTGACTAACTGCCCATCTTCCTTTCTTCCTTCCCTGGCTCTCTTCTACTCATCCCTCAGGTTTTGACTTAAAAACTTCTCCTTTGGAAGCATTCTCTGTTTTCTTCTTGTCTAGATTATGAACACTTTTCTGTATCCCCACAGCATTCTACTTCCTCTATCAAAATAGTTATCACACTTCATCATATACATTTCTTTCCATATTACTCTATAAAGACTAAGAAAACCTTCTTGTGCCACTCAAAATTATGTCTCTGATATCCAGCACAAAGCAGGAGGCAGAATTACGTTGGGAATCAGACTATCTGGGATTTATATAGTGGCTGTAACACTTTCTTAATACGTGCCTGTGGGCAAGTTACTTGGCCTTTCTGTGCCTCAGTTTCCTCATTTTTAACAATGGGAGTACAGATCTAGCAAGTGCCTGACACAGCGTAGATGCTTGATATAGGAATCTAACAATTGCTACTTCCTCCAGAAACATTTCAGTCCACAGGGAGCATTGCTTTCTGTGAAGTTCAAAGAAAGTGTGGCCCAGTGAAATGAACATGAGTTTTAGATTCAGATAAAGCTGAGTCAGTTTGAATACTCATATCCAATATTTTGTAATTATATAAATGGGTATAAAAATCTTTATTTCAACAGTTTGTTGAGGATTAAAAAGAGACAACACACACAGGGGCCTAGCATACAGCAGGTACTCAACAGACGCTTATTCTGCCATCATCATTACTCATATTTATCTGTTATTATCCTTCATTTGCACTTCACTGTCTGATATCTTATAAGCATCTCTTGTGGAGTCATTTAACTTTTCCTTAGGCCCAAACTCTGGCTTCCCCAGTAGAGTGTAAGTTATTTGGGGTAGAACTATATGTTTCACTTCTCAGAGATTCTCATAATGCCTTGCACAAGACCATTCCCAGAGTAGGCACTCAATATGAATTGAATGAATAATAAATAGGAGAAAGAGAGCGAGAAAGAGAGGAAGAGAGGTTTTGATAAGTCAAGGGTTGTATGAAGAATAGACCTAGGAATGGTTCATGGAAATCAATGTAAATGACTCTTGCAAATGAGCAGACTGAAATATATTTAGAGCTCCCTTAGGGGAAAAAATTTCATTTCCATTCCTAGGATAGATATTTATCTGTTCAGAATCATTCAGATATAGTCCTGCCTGAAGAAAGAGGTAACCTCTCAAATTCTTTCTTGACCTATTATATATATTCTCTCTCTCTCTCTCCCTATTTCTGTGTGTGTATGAGTGTTTTTAAAATCAATGTATCAATAATTTTAGACAGAGAGAAGACAACATGATTGTCTGAATGAGATGCATATTTTTCCACAGGGTACAAATAAAATATTCCAAGAGATAACACAGTTAGATTTCAAAGTATTACTAAGAAGAACTAGCTATGTTTTTATTAGTTGAAAGAATCTCACTGCAAATAAACCAATCTGCTATTTTAATGCTAAACAGAAAAACTTTGAATTATGCAAAAAAATAATGCACAGCTTCTGATGATTATAAAATGCATTACTAAAGGCTATGATGCATCATTTATAGGCTACTATTGGAAATCTGAGCTCTGAGAGATGATTAGTTTAAATAACTGAAAGGGAAAGTGACTTGGCATATGAGGAAAGATAACTATTTCACAAAATAAGCCCACCAAATTTGAGACAATGAATTAAACAACTTACAAATCTGCTCAACAAAAGCATAGGTAAAAAGAAAGATCTATGAATCCTTTTATCAATTGCTTCTTAAGTATTTATTTATTTTTAATTAATTTAATTTTGTCACTCTGTCTTCCAGGCTGAGTGCAGTGGTGTGATCATAGCTCACTGCAGCCTCAGCCTCCTGGGTTCAAGCGATCCTCCCACCTCAGCCTCCCGAGTAGAGGGACTACAGGCACGTACCACCACACCCAGCTAATTTTTTATTTTTTATAGGCGAGGTCTCTCTATGTTGCCCAGGTTTGTCTCCAACTCCTGGACTCAAGCAATTCCCCTGCCTCGGCCTCCCAAAGTGCTGGGATTACAGGCGTAAGCCACCGTGCTTGGCATCTCCTTAAATATTTAAATACAGTGGTGTCTCTCACTCTCAGAACCAAGGACTGTTGGAATATCCAGAGACATCGTTTCAGAGGTCATGAATTTTGTAAATTTTTTTATTTTTATTTTTGCATGTTAACAATATATTTTTTAAATCTTGTATAGTTTAACAACAAAACTGTATTAGTTTTCTATTACTGCTATAACAAAGTACCACAAACTTAGTGGGTTAAAACAACAAAATTTGTTATCTTACAGTTCTGGAAGTCAGACACCTGACACAGTTTTCATTGGACTAAAATCAAGGTGTCAGCTAGCCTGGGCTTTTTCTGGAGGCTCTAGAGGAGAAACCATTCTTGCCTTTGCAGCTTCTAGAGGGTAGCCGCATTCCTTGGCCTGCAGCCTTCTTCTTCCTTCTTCAAAGCCAGTGATGAAGCACGTGTCTGAGTCTGCTACCATCGTCACATCTCTTTCTCTGACTAAAGACTGGAAAGATTCTCCAAGTATAAGAATTCAGATTATTAGATTGGGGCCACCTGAATAATCTCCCTGTTTCAAGATCCTTAAACATAGTCACTTCTGCAAAGTTCCATTTGCCATGTAAGGCAACATGTTTATAGATTAGAATATAGATGTCTTTGGGGAGCCATTATTGTGCAAAACACAAGAACTCTTACCACTTACAATTGGAACAAAAAAGCAGTTTCTTAGAATAATACTTTAGCTTTATAAATCAGCATTTTTCAAATTGGAGTCAGTAGACATGCGATCTTGAATACCTATGATATTTTTAAGATGTTTCTTTATTTGAGGAACACAGACATTTAGTTTTTTCTATTAGTTCTAGACCTGTTGTCTAATCAGAGATAAGATTCCTATAGGAAACAGTTAATTTTTTTCAGCTCTATCACCAAAGACCTCATCTGATAGGGATGCCATCTTGCAAATATATACTTTGGGTTCAAGAGGGTCTATGGTAAAGGGTACATAGCATTATACACAATGTATTCTCATTTCTGGAAAACCAACTCAATAATCGTTTTTTACTCCAGTGTATCAGTATCATCATTACCTGGTAGAAAGAAGAGTCCATTAGACAACTCTTCAAAGAATAACACAGGAGAAAGACTCTTACCAAGGGACTGTGAGCCTGAAGGAACTCACTTTTCCTGCTCTGTTATTTTGCTTCTTTATTATACAGAAGAAACAGGACATCTTTGCTCAATCAACATTAGAAACAGAAGCAGTTCGCCAAGTAGCAAGTGAAAGGTGTTATAAGCAGGCAAGGAACAGTGGGGATTGAACTTCTGGGGAATCTCTGGGCTTCCTGATATTCTGAGTCCTTGTGAATTTTCCTTTTTCTCTTTTCTTTTCTTTTTTTTTTTTTTTAAGATATAGGGTCTCCCTTTGTCATCCAGGCTGGAGTGCAGTGGCAAGACCATAGCTCACTGCAGCCTCAAGCTCCTGTACTCAAGTGATCCTCCTGCCTCAGCCAAGAAGCTGCGACCACAGGTGTGTGCCACCACACCCAGCTAATTTTATTTTATTTTTTAATCTTTTTAGACACAGGGTCTTGCTTGGCTGCCCAGGCTGATCTTGAATTCCTAGCTTCAAACAATCCTCCCACCTCAGCCTCCCAAAATGCTGGGATTACAGGTATGAGCCACCACACCCAGCCTATGAATTTTTCTTAAGAGAAAAATTCTACCTCTCATGGGATTCTCAAAAGTATGTGACTCCCAAAAAAATTAAGAACCACTGTTCTCACATGAGAAAGAAAAAAAAAACTAACCCGAGAATTCTGAGAAATATGATAATCAACCAATAAAGTGGAAAATTAGAAAGATTGGCAGGGAAGTGGAGAGGGCAGAAGGCTTATTTGTATGTTCATATGAGTAAAAAAAGTTCACTAAATCATTGTTTCAAGAATGACTATGAGCAGGGAAAGCTCACAGAGATTTTTTTCATCACCAGCTGTCTTTTTCTTTTCTACCACACTGCACAGCCCAGCACAGCCACCGGATCCTCACAGCAGTATGGAACTTGGCTTTTGCTTTTGGTTCTTGACACCATTCATTACTGTGTCTTCAAGTGTGGAGTCACAGCATTTATAAAGCATGAGGAGTGCAGATGTTCTAAAGACACATTTACACACACACAAACACACACATGCAGACACACAGCCTGTTGTAAAATGAGCTATTACTATTTACTCACATCTCCCCAAATGTACTCTTCCTATCAAATTAACCCAAAATAGAAAAAACAAAACACCACTCTGAGATATTTTTTTACAGCTCATTTTTAATGATTCAGTTTACCACCCCCGACAGCAGTAGCCCCAAAAAAGAAGAAAGTGCATTACTGGCCAATGTAATGGAACTCTACCCCAGAAACAGAAAGGTCATGAGACCAGTTTTCTGTAAATATTTACTCACATTAACCTATGTTTAATGTGTCGAATGCCAAATTCTACAACTGAGTCAACATATGCTGACCTCTCATTGTGTCTTTTTATCACTTTTTCTCACATAAAGAGTTTGGGTTTCCAAATCTCTGCCATTCCATTATAAATACAGCTCATTCATGTTTTGTTAAAACACTTCATGTTACTTCTCGGGTTCCAATTACCCAACAGAAGGTGCATTGAATTTGCCTGGGAAACAGGGACAATGTCTGATTGTAAAAGTTTATGGCATTCCCTCTCTCCCCTCAGAGTATTTTAGACATATAAGAAAGTTAAACCCTGGGGGAAAATATAAACAAGCTGCTTGGAATATACACACAATTACATAACCTATTTGTAAAAATTGCTACCACCATCTTGCTAGGCAGTACAAAAAGCAAACATCTATCCCTACATTACTTACACAGCTATTCTTTTCTTCATCTGCACCAATGGCTAAATGGCCTAAATGATAACTACATCACATCATTTGGCATAAACATACCAAGATTCTAAGTATAAAATTGTGAGATTGCATTCTGCTTTTATTAATAAGCAAGGAGGTAAATATTAGATAACATCAATAGCCTCACAGAAAATGACAATACCAAAATTCTAAGAATACCCCAGCAAAAATATATATTTAAACAATCTTTTTTGGTGATTGGAAAAGACATTTAATTCCCTAGAAAGCAAGAGACTTCATCATATATACATATACATATACATATATATGCACACACATATATATACACATACAAATACACACACACGTATCTCACACTGGATCTTGCACCTATAAGTACCTCATACATTCAACAAAATTGATTATATAATATGGGTGAGAGGAAAGAATAAAGGATTTGGACTCGAACCCATAACCTGGATTAGAATTTTATATTTGCTACTCACCAGCTGTTTGATTTGGGACAAAAGATGTTACCTCTCTGAGCCTTGGTTGTTTTCCTCAAGTATAAATGGGGAAAAAATGCCTTCTTGTAACAGTGTCGAGAAGACTTGCTTGTACCTAGCATATGGTAGGCAATGGATAAATGAAAGCCGTTGGTATTAATCATGTAATTGATCAATTCATTCACCAGATGCTGAGATCCTACTCTCTCTCTCTGGTACTGTGCCATCATGGAACCCTGAATATACTCTGATTTAATGCAATGGTATATATTTCAGCTCATATTTTTTTCTATTGTTCAATTTAATTTATACATATCTATCATCCATATGTAGATTTTATATATATGTAGAATATATATATATAATATATTATATATAGTTAATTAGTTTGTTTGTTTTTGAGACAAAGTTTCACTCCATCATCCAGGCTGGAGTGCAGTGGCACCATCTCAGATCACTGCAACCTCCACCTCCCAGGTTCAAACAATTCTCCTGCCTTAGCCTCCTGAGTACCTGGGATTACAGGTGTGCACCACACCTAGGTAATTTTTGTGTTTTTAGTAAAGACGGGGTTTCACCATGTTGGTCAGGCTGATCTCGAACTCCTGACCTCAAGTGATCTGCCCACCTTGGCCTCCCCGCATGTAGGATTACAGATATGAACCACCGTGCCCGGCTTAATTTATATTCTTTTTAAATTTATCTTATTTTATTTAGAGACAGGCTGGACTGCAGTGGCATGACCGTAGCTCATTGTAACCTTGAACTCTTGGCCTCAAGCAATCCTCCCACCTTGGATCATGTGTGAGCCACCCCACCTGGCCTTAGTTTATATTCTGTACCCTCTTTCTACCTGTTGAAGATACCTAATTCAGGTAAATCAATCTTTCCATCTTTTCTCTGGTGTTATTACATGATTTAGAGAGTAATAAAAGGAAAGATGTAAGCTCACGGTCTGGGGAAGGAGAAAAATAAAAATTAAAAATAAACGATCTATATTAAAACAATATAATAAGTACTATTGCAGTGTGATGATATTTTGAAATATTGGGACCATTTCTTATTTAGAACCCCATTCTTTTGCCCCGTTTTAATATTATGGGGGTTTGGCAAGACAGTATTATAGTTAAAAGCAGAGGAAAAGCTTTTGAGTTTGAAAAGCCTAGCCCCAAGGGAGCTCAGAGACAACAAAATGGGGTTAGACAGAGACTTCCCAATGCCTCCTCCCACCCTCCATTCATCTCACTCTCTACTAAGTAACACTGCTTAGTGTGGGGAGGAGAAGGAGTCAGAAGAAACTGAGGAACTTAGATGCAGCCGGGTCTGTAAGAAGGGTCCGTATGCAGGGGAAGGGGGAATGACACGAACCCCCCCAAAAATGAAGAGCTCCCAGAATAGAAGAATGCAACCCCAGAAAAGAAATATCAGCATGCTGTATCTGGGGGGGCAGGGTGGGGCGGGGAGGCCTCAGACAGCCTCGTTGAGTTAACAGAATGGCCTCTTGTTTCTGAGAGCAATCCAGAAAAGAGACAAGAGTCCTAGCACCCTGAACATTCCCATTTTCCAACACTGCCTGGAAATATACACTTTCACGTGCTCAGGAAGGGCACCAAAGTAGGGAGTTTGGCTGAATATGAAGGTCTTTCAAAGCTGAGAATAAGAGTGATGCTATATGGTGGCTCACGCCTGTAATCCCAGCACTTTGGGAGGCTGAGGCGGGCGGATCACGAGGTCAGGAGATCGAGACCATCCTGGCTAACACGGTGAAACCCCGTCTCTACTAAAAATACAAAAAAATTAGCCGGGCATGGTGGCGGGTGCCAGTAGTCCCAGCTACTCGGGAGGCTGAGGCTGAGGCTGAGGCAGGAGAATGGCGTGAACCTGGGAGGCGGAGCTTGCAGTGAGCCAAGATTGCGCCACTGCACTCATGACTGGGCGACAGGGCGAGACTCTGTCTCAAAAAAAAAAAAAAAAAAAAAAGGGATGCTATCGTCACCTGTCTGGACCAACAATCAAAAGAAGAGAGAAGGCAGAGAATGGGCATCAAGTGGAGCCTACCAAGAATAGGTGATGACTGAGAACACATTCCCTATCTCATTTGGGTCTGTATAAGCCCTTTAGGCTTCACGGGTTTAGACATAACCCCAGAGAAAAGATAGAAAAATATACCCTGATTTGTCTGAGCTTAGATAGCAAGAGGTAGAATGAGGGTTCCAATTGCAAATTCAATTGGGCAATAGAAAAAAATTGTGAGCTGAAATGTGTACCTATTGCAGTAAGGTCAAGGTATGTCCAGGGTCACAGAATTCCACAGAGGAGATGCTGGAAGAATCAGAAAAGGGAGCTTAACTTTATGATTGAAGGATGAAAAGGAGCTCTCTATGCAGGACCAGGAGTGCTCTGGAGAAAAGCTCTGTGCAATGGTACAAAGGTGGGCGTGGTGAGTTTGAGGACTAGGAAGTAACTGGCTGTGCTTGGTCTTAGGGGACCAGATGCGGAGTGGGAGGAAGTGCAGCTAGAAAGGAAAACCTGGATTAGACCATGAAAACTATTATATTGAATGCTCTAGTACTGCAGGGGGAAAATCCTAGCAATTATGTATAGAGTGATTTAGGAGGGAGAGATGAGAGGCTTATACTAAAATTAGAGACCACAAGTCCAATCTAGCTCAGACAGAACATGAAAACAGAACAGATGAAAAGAGAAAGCAAATGAAAATCAAGCAAAAGAAGGCATTTAATAAGTCTAGGAAGAATTAATATAAAAGAACAGGAAGAAAGGGATTTAAATGCATTTGCTTCACTTACGGAAGTCCTAGTTGTGTGTCTAATTTTGATTTTTTCAGAAATCTTATTAGAAAATCTTTTATAAAAGATATCAAATTCTAAAACAATAAAATATCTGCATTCCAATTTGGTATTTCTGGTTAGATATCCCCATTTCTGTACATTTTTAAAGAATAGCTATGTGACTAAGACACGAATGTGGTTAGCTTTGAAACAATGTTTACTTTTTCCATCAAAGTTCCATTTTCAATGAGATTTAGCTCACAAGGTAATGTTCTTTTAGGCAAGTACAAGATTTCTAAGGATTTCCTTCATTATTGCTAGGTAGATTTCTTTTTTGGTTAGGACTTTTCTTTTCTATTCTTGTTTAAAATTATTGCAATGTACTCTTCTTGTTGCACTATAGTTATGGGTCATGTAATAAGAGGAATTCAGTGTTTCTAAAGAAGATTGTGAAACATGCAGAAAGATGGATCAGAGAAAAACATCTTGTATGCTAATTTTAATTTCTTTCCATTTTCCTAGTTACAAATTGCAGCTTCTCAGGTGCCTTTTAGTTTCCTGCTGTGGTACATAGCAAAATTGCTGGAATATAAAAAGCTTTCCTTTGGACAGAGAAATAAGCATTTAAAAAGCAAAGTTTAGTTCAATACCAGAAAACAAAGTTTAATGCATTTCGTGTGTACTGCTATGTCCAGATGCACAATCAGCAAGTTCTTTCTTGCATAAACACTGGGTTTAAACGTTATATATCTCATCATTATGTCAATGCTAAACCAAAGTAGAGAGAAGTGATAAAATGGCCTGACTATCCTAATTCTAAGGCCTACACATCTCAAGCAGTGTTTTCCCTAATGTTTTTCTTTATTGTATTCATTTTTTCTGTTATAAAAATAGTTTAATCATATGACCCAAAGTAAACTGGAAAAGAAAAATAAAAATGCCACTTAAAAGACTAGAATATAGAAAGGCTGCCCGAGGCCAGCAAAACTGGGGTGTAATTGATTAGAAGCATTACAACACACAAGAAAGAATATATTGTAGAAAATGGGGCTGGAACAACAGTAGAAGCATAGAAAAAAGAAAGTCAGAGGGATTAAAATAATCCTACACTAGTTGGGCGCAGTGGCACACACCTATAATCCCAGCTACTCAGGAGGCTGAGAGCTCAGGAGTTCAAAACCAGCACAGGTAACATAGCAAGACCCCATCTCAAAGAAAGAGAAAAATAATAATAATCCAATTTGATATGCAGCAATACTGCTAGGTGTCCCATGTCCTGCAAACAGGGGCAAATGGGGGAAGAGTTCACATTCAGACCTGCTGGAAACACATTATGGGGAGAACTCACAGGGACAGCAATGGTAGCAGGTAGTGTGGGATTCTCTTGCTCATCAATTAGCAAATTGAAAAGACCGGATATCAGACTCCAGAAGAGAGACTCCCAACTCTTGGGTGGGAGGCTTTTACATTACACGATTAATATTGAACCCTCTGCTTACCTGATCAGGGACCAGGAAAAAAATAGCAATATGGAATAGAAGAACTGGGACTCTAAAGTGATCAGAAGCTGGGGCACAAGCCTCGCAAGTGTCCTGTATAATGTAGCAGAGTAGCAGCAGGGTTCACTACCTCTATGTTCACGGGTGGGGATGCACTCACCTCTCCCTGGAATAATGAGAACTGGGGTCTAAACCTTGGGAGATCAGTCTTGGACAATGATCCCGTTCCCAACTTTGTCCACACTGATAAAGACCCTGATTTTTGGCGGATCATTTGGCTATGCAAGATAGAGACTTCATTTCTTGGGTTTTCAATGGTGTTTCTAAGAGCCCATTCCAGAGAAGCTAAGCCTCCCAATAGACTGGCCAAATGAGGTTTCTGCAAACTTATAGGCCAGTTCCTGAACAGGGCAAACTTTTCAAGATTGTGGCAACTTATATAATCCCTTTGAATAATCACCTCACCTCTCCTTCCACTTCTTCAATCTTGCCTCATGCTTTCTTTTTTTGTTTTGTTTTGTTTGGTTTTTTGTTTTTGAGACAGGGTCTCACTCTTTCACCCAGGATGGAATGCAGTGGTGCAATCTTGGCTCACAACAACCTCCACCCCCTGGACTCCAGCGATTCTCCCACCTCAGCCTCCCAAGTTGCTGAGACCACAGGTGCACGCCACCATGCCCAGCTAATTTTTGTATTTTTTTGTAGAGATGGGATTTCACCATGTTGCCCAGGCTGGTATCAGACTCTTGGACTCAAGCGATCCACCCACCGCAGCCTCTCAAAGTGCTGGGATTACAGGCGTGAACCACTGCACCCAGCCATTGCCTTATGCTTTCTGTTCTAAACATTTAACAATCACAATCATAATGGGATGTAATCACCTGAACTGATTAAGAGCGTATGATATTTCAGTACAATCCATAAGTTCACAGAAAAAAGAAAAGAGTGTACGATAGCCTGTTGTGCTAGCTCTCATTAGCCAATAACATATGGTATATGAAGAACATGGGGGCAAAATATATATTCAGTGTCCTGTACAACTATGTGTGTCCTGCACAACTATGACTAAAAGACTATTCTGGAGTCATGCTGTCCTTGAGTGTAATTACTGGCTATACCACTTAGCAGCTGTGTGACAATGAGAAAGTTATTTGGTTTCTCTAAGCCTCAGTTTCCTCATCTGTAAAACAGGAAAAAGAATGGCATGGTCTCATTAGGTTGTTCTCATGATTAGACCAATATAATGTATCTAATGCTCTGAGAACAGTGCCTGGCATACAGTTGGTGCTACTAGCTATTATTCTTTTGTGAGTTGAGACAATCCCTATAAAACACTTAGCATTCTGCCTGGCTCAATGTGTACGAACATTAGATGTTGGCCATTACCACAATTATTAGCCATTCACTTAACAAACCCTTCTCCTTGTTCAGCCAGCAAGGCTGGCAGCCACAGGCAGTGGGCTCTTGCTGCGGCGGCCCTGCTGGTAAAGAGGGCTTCCACTGTTATCTAGCCGTCCTCCCTGAGAAGGTTGCCCTTGCTACTGCCCAACTCTGATAAGGAAGGGGAATGATTTCCAACGAAGACCTTCTAGAAACTCAAATGAGAAGCATCCCTCTCCACTTTCTTTCCCTAGTCTTCAAGAAACAGACACAAGGAAGGGCCAGGAAAGCTTGTCTGAAAGGCTCTGAACAGGCTGAGATCGCACAGCACAGTCCTCATAGGCACCTCAATGAACCATAAAACTTGCATTATTAAAATAGGCTTTCTTTTGAGAGCAGTTTTAGGATCACAGAGAAATTAAATGGAAAGTTTTCATAATCCCTCTGCCTCCACACATGCACAACTTCCCCACTGTCAACATCCCCCACCAAAGTGGCACGTTTGTTATAATGGATGAACCTACATGACGCGGTATCACTCAAAGTCTATAGTTTACATTGGAGTTCACTCTACGTGTGCTTTCTATCGGTTTTTAACAAATATATGACATGTATCCGCCTTTACAGTATCATACTGAGTTGTTTCACTGCCCAAGAAATCCTCTATACTCTGTCTATTCATTCCTCCTTCCCACCTAACCTCTAGCAACCACTAATCGTTGACTGTTCACGTTTCCATGGAATCACACAATATCTAGCCTCTTCAGATTGGCATCTTTCACTTAGTAATATGCATCTAAGTCTTTTCTATGTCTTTTCATGACTTGGTAATTCATTTGTTTCGTTTTTTGTTTGCTGGTTTGCTTGTTTTTGAGACAGGGTCTCACTCTGTAGTCTAGCCCGGAGTGCAGTGGTGCAATCTTGGCTTACTGCCACCTCGACCTCCTGGGCTCAAGTGATCCTCCCACCTCAGCCTCCCTATTAGCTGAGACCACAGGTGCATGCCACCATGCCCAGATAATTTTTGCATTTTTGTAGAGACGGGGTCTCACCATGTTGCCCAGGCTGGCCTCAAACTGCTGGACTCAAGCAATCCACCCGCCTCGGCCTCCCAAATTGCTGGAATTACAGGTGTGAGCCACTGCGCCCAGCCAACTTCATTTGTTTTTATCCCTGAATATTAGTTCATTGTCTGGATATACCACAGTTTATTTATTCATTCACCTACTGAAGGACATATTGGTTGCTTCCAAATTTTGGCAATTATGAATAAAGCTGCTATAAACACCCATCTGCAGGTTTTTGTATGGACATAAGTTTTCAATTCCATTAAGTAAGTCAAGGAGTGTGATAGCTGGATCATATGAATCATATGCTAAGAGGATATTTAGTTAGGTAAGAACTGCCAAACTCTTCTAAAGTGACTGTACTATTTTGCGTTCCCACTAGCAATGCATGAGAGTTGCTGTTGTTCCCCTTCTCACCAGTATTTGATGTTGTCAGTGTTTTAGATTCTGTCTATTCTAATAGGTGTGTAGTGGTATGTCATTATTACTCTAATTTGGAATCCCCTAATTACATAGGATGTTAAGCATATGATTATTTGCCATCTGTATATCTTCTTTGGCATGGCATCTGTTCAGGTCTTTTGCCTATTTCTTTATTGCATTGTTTTCTTCTCTTTCTTTCCCTTTTCTTTTCTTTTCTTTCTTCTTCTTCTTTTTTTTTTTTTTTTTTTTTTTAAATTTTAGAGACAGGGTCTTGCTCTGTCACCCAGGCTGGAGGGCAAAGGTGCATTTATACCTCACTGCAGCCTCAAATTCCTGGGCTCCAACAATCCTCATGCCTCAGCCCTGTGAGTAGCTGGGACTACAGGCATGCACCACCATGCCCAAGTAAGTTTATTTTTTCCTTGTTTGTTTGTTTTTTTTCTGTAGAGATGGGTATGTTGTCCATCCTAACCTCAAGGGATCCTCAGCCTCCCAAAATGGTGGGATTACAGGCACGAGTCACTCTGCCTGGCCTTTTTTCTTATTGTTAATTTTAAGAATTCTTTGTATATTTTGGATAGCAGTCCTTTATCAGATATTCATTTTTCAGGCTGGATATGGTGGCTCACCCTTGTAATCCCAGCACTTTGGGAGGCTGAGGTGGGAGGATTGCTTGAGCCCAGGAGTTCAAGATTAGCCTGGGCAACAAAGTGAGACACCCCACCCCCCCAAACCCCAGTATCTACAAATAACAAGAAAAATTAGCCAGACGTGATGGCGCATGCCTGTGGTCAGAGCTACTCAGGAAGCTGAGACAGGAAGATGACCTGAGCCCATGAAGTCGAGGCTGCAGTGAGCTGTGATCATGCCACTGCACTCCAGCCTGGGTGACAGAGGGAGACCCTGTCTCCAAAAAAAAAGACACATATTTTGCAAATATTTTCTCCCAGTCTTCCCCTTCTCTTGATAACATTTACATTATAATATCTATTATAACTGTTTTTCTTTTCTTTCTTTACAGCAAGCCTATTGCTATTGCTTTTGTGTCAGCCATGAAAAGAACACAAATAGATGGCAGAGACACCACGGTGGAAGAAACAACACACACTGCAGACACACCAACTCAGGAAGGACAGAGTCACTCTCATTGGCTAAATGTGTACAGTCCAGTTTGCTGAGCCAGTGCTTATTGGCTGACTGCCTGTGATAACAGAGCATAGGAACAATATTGATCACAGCATAGTATAAGAGATTATTAAGTATAATTTATTTTAGGGAAATATTTCAGAGACAAATACCATTCTGATGAGTCAAGCACATAAAATCCATGATAAAGAGAATGTTTTGGATGGGTATGGGAGGGAGTTTCAAGGGACCCTGCCTCCTCCTGGAGGGCTGCAGTGTTGCCCTTCCAAGTTAAAACAAAAACTGCCTGGAGAAATGCAAGGGGTCTTTGTGGGGCTCTGAAGACTTCCTGAATCTGAATAAAAATGTTTCTTTATTTGGTTAAGAAGACAAGAGTGCACAAATCCTTGAATCTGTCATAGAAGGAGGGTAGTCTGAGTCTGGCGTGGCCTTCGTGTACTGTGCTGAAGAACACAGAAATTTTTGAGATATTATGCACAAAAGTAGGTTTTGGGTTACCCAAGTGCACTGTTCCTGACACTTGAAATTGTACATGGAGGTAGCTTAGGTGTTGCCCAAATCATGCAGGAAGCTTGAAGAAGATACCTTACTCTCTTATGCAATGCCAAATATCAGACACGCACATCTCCAAATTTAATATAAAGTGCTGAGCTCTGATATTGATATAAAATATTAAACATATTTATAAAGGTCACTTGCTGTTGGAAGTAACTGCTTGAGGAGAGGCTAAGGCTCAAGACACTTCATGTGGGAGTGGCCATGTACTTCAGCCATTCTCCATCCAATCCACCACTAAGGAAGGGCTGCACGATCTTGAAAGTCCAAGAAACGGGCCGGGCGCGGTGGCTCATGCCTGTAATCCCAGCACTTTGGGAGGCCGAGGCGGGCGGATAACGAGGTCAGGAGATCGAGATCATCCTGGCTAACACGGTGAAACCCCGTCTCTACTAAAAATACAAAAATAGCCGGGTGTGGTGGCGGGCACCTGTAGTCCCAGCTGCTCGGGAGGCTGAGGCAGGAGAATGGTGTGAACCCGGGAGGTGGAACTTGCAGTGAGCAGAGATCACACCACTGCACTCCAGCCTGGGCGACAGAGCAAGACTCCATCTCAAAAAAAAAAAAAAGAAAGTCCAAGAAATGAATCTCCAGAGCTGCCTTCTAACTTCAGGACACTCTATGCTCACATTATTGTAATGTCACAGAGGCCAATACAAAAGAGTGAAGAGCTTTCATTCTCCCCTACACACATAGAAGCTTTGCTACATGTGCTCCTGGAGCCGGCTTACAACTCAGTATCCCCACTGCAGGTGGCATATTGACCCAGCAGAGATCCTGAGGTGTACCCTTTCTTTGTCTCTCCTCCTGTAGTTTATCAAGTAGAGGAAACAGTAAATTAGAAGCATCTGAGATTGATCACATCAGCTTTTAAGAAGCTTGCATTTTAATTCAATACAATCCATAGGTTCAGAAAAATGAAAAAAAGAAACTCGCATTTTAGGCCTATATTCAATGCTGGCCCTTATGCCAAGTATCAACAGCCATAATAAATGCCAAATACTCCATTTTGACTTCACTTTAACAGACTGTATTTGCCATTCTGATTTTTTATCTTTAATACATCTTTAAAAATACCCTGAAAAAATACACTGAGTCATAGCCCATAAATTAGAATGTAATCTTAAAAACCCTGAGTCCAACCTCTTCATTTTAAAGAAAAGTAAACTATGTTCAATGGTGATGAAATGCTTTTCATAGGTTGTCTGTGATAGATCTCACTCTGCCAAGGATCTTATTTAAGCTAAAAGACGTGATATGGTACAGTCTTGCTGTTTTTGCTATCCAAAAATCCATTTACCCTTCTATTGGGCCTCAGTTTTCTCAAGGGAACTCTTGCCTCCCTTCACCCCACTCCTCTGTACACTATACACCAAAACAGACACATAGACAGATACCCTCTCAGTCTATGCCATTCTGGTATAGTAAGTGACACAAACATAAAACAATCAGCACATGGCATTTGCTCTGACCATAGTGATTGGTGCAGAAATGGGCAGTGACTCAATCAGAGTGAAAAGAGAAAATGAGACTTTACTGGCAATGCTGAGACAAAGCCCTTCACTCTACCCACAGAGTTGAAGTACAAAGACGTAAGAACCAGAGGTATTATAGCTATCCTACAGTCACAAAAGGCCAGCCTGTGTCAGAATAAAACAACACAGGGGAAAGCAAAGCAAAGGATGTTTTCTTAATCCTTTTATCAAGCCATGCCTGAAGCCAGCCTTGAGCCCTTGAGTTTTCAGATACATCGAGTGAATAAATTCCTTTTCTAACCTAGTCTCAGAAGTTACCTTTGAACTTACTGTTCCTTTGCCTGGAACACCCTCCCCGATAAATAACCACACAGTTAGCTCCATCCCTTCCTTCAGACCTTTATTTTAAATAAAATGCTTTTCAACAAAGCATTTCCTGACTATCATATTTAAAATTTTTTTAAATTTTAAAACCTTTAACTTTTTTTTTTTTAAGAGATAGGGTCTTGCTATGTTGCCCAGGCTGGTCTCGAACCCCTGGACTAAAGTGATGCTCCCATCTAGGCCTCCCAAAGTGCTGGGGTCACAGGCATGAGCCACCACTCCCAGCATCATCTTTAACATTGTCTATACTCCTTCATTTTTTTTCCTTTGTAGCACTTATCAGTATCTAATACTCTAAATTTTATTAATTTCCTTCATTGTCTCACACTACAATGTCAGCTCAGTGAAGTCACATGCCTTTGTGATGTTCATCATTGTATTTCTAGTCTCTGGAAGAACCCCTGGCACAGAATGGGTACTCAATGAAAACTGGTTGAGTTGAGTGGATGAATTAATTTACCATATCTACTTATCTATTACACTGTCTACAGTGATTTTCATTTTGGGAGACTTCTTTTGTGTGTGTGTGAGACAGAGTCTCTCTCTGTCACTCAGGTTGGAGTGAAGTGGTGCAATCTCGATTCACCACAACCTCCACCACCCAGGTTCAAGCAATTCTCCTGCCTCAGCCTCTCAAGTAGCTGCAATTACAGGCATGCACCACCACACCTGGCTAATTTTTGTATTTTTAGTAAGGACAGGGTTTCACCATGTTAGCCAGGCTGGTCTCGAACTCCTGACCTCAAGTGATCCACCCACCTCAGCCTCCCAAAGTGCTGGGATTACAGGCGTGAACCACCGTGCCCAGCCAAGATTTTCATTTTAAGCCTTTTGCTGGTACTCATCATAGGCACAAAGAATAACCACAATAACAAACATGGAAAAGTTATGAAAGTCCCAGAACCTGACAATAATCTCATTGTCTTTCTTTCTTATCTGTAGATAAAGAGGACTGCCTGAAATCCCAAACACCTCAGCTTTCTCTTCTAAAGCATTGGAGTTTGCCTTTTTTCCTCTGCTGGACCTTACCTTTAGGCAGAGAGGTATCCTCCTACCTTCAGGAAGGAACAATTCAACCAAAGAAACAATTAAGTCAGCCTGGGCAACATAATAAGATCCCATCTCTACAAAAAATAAAAAGTTAAAAAAAAAAAGCTAGGCATGGTGGTGCACCTGTCTTCCCAGCTACTCAGGGAGGCCGAGGCAGGAGAATCACTTGAGCCCAGGAGCTCAAGGCTGCAGTGAGCTATGATTGTACCACTGCTGATGGAGATCCTGTCTGTAAAAAATAAATAAGAAACATACTAGGTACTGTTTTATCAAATTGAATAATTTGCATCTCAGCACCTTTCCTGACTCTCAGAAGAATGATCTCTCTTAGGAGTTTTCTCACATTTTTAAATAGCAAGAAAGATAAATGAGTATATTTTCTGTTATTAAAACCTAACCCCAGCACCCTTCTAATGGCTAAGATAAGAAAATACCCATAATGCAGCCCTGCATGAGGCCATTACCATTAATATTAACCTGCTTGGCAGCTCTAGGATAGAGTATAACCACAGCTATTGTTGTTCCTTCCCATGTTCTTTCCTGCAACTTTAAATTAACACATAGGCCCCAGGAAATTCTCCAAACTCTCTGTGGTAGTCCAAAGCTAATGGTGCCATATTACATTTTGAGCACTATTTTTTGAAATACACCATCTATTAGTCCAAATGAAAACTTGGCAAAACAAGGCTGAAGGACAACAAGGACAACTCATTTTGCATTGAATAGAATAAAGAGCAATAAACCTGCAGCCCTTAGATTTCTATTGGAAGGGTGGGGGAGGTGGGGCAGGGAAAGAATAAAAAGCCCTGCAGCCTTGGCAAAACTCATGCGTTACCTTTCCTTTGTGGGAGCAGATTTAAATAAACAAAGGCCAAATTTTTCCATGAGGACTTATGTTCCCAGATACAGTACAGTTGACAGGATAAACACAGATTAGTTAATCATTATTTCCTGCCATGTCCTGGTTATCATGATCTGCTAGAATTTATTAACAAGATTATAAAGGTAGGTGTGCAAAAGAAAACCAAAGAAGAATGTAAGAAGATGATATTAACTTCTTACACCAATACTAGAGCCTGGATTTCTACTTATGGGTGTGGACTCCCACTGAATTCATCACAGATTCCTTCCCTGTCTCCCTAATTAACACCCTCATGCATTCGTACATTGACTGGCTAAGATTAAGGTAAAATCACAGGACACTGTTTCACATGGACTTCTGACTCAAACTTTCATGTCATTAGAAACACGACATAATACTTTGAACATTTCAAATTTAACCAAAATTTCAACTTTTACAGACCTTTATTATTCACTCCTATGGACAAAGCCTTGCACTAATGTTCATCCTTAAACACAAACCTGACCATTTTCCTGACTTAACTACTCTCTGGAGCTACTGCCTACTAGAGAAGAGGTTAAGCATGATCGGATTGGAAAAAATCGAGAGATGAATTCAAAATGGGGGTTCTCGGACAGATTCTGAGAGGAGATGGGGTAAGGAGCATGGCCAGGGCTTTTAAAGCCATTGATGCATTCATTCATTCATTAGGTATGTAGTATGTACTGCTGAGCTGGGTAGAAGGAATACAATGGTGAGCAAAGTGGTCCAGATCTCTCTATCCGTAGAGTTTACAGTACAGTGGGGAGACAATCCTTAATCAAATGGTCTCTCAAATGTGTATAATTAAGAACTGTGGACTATTTGGTACAGGAGCTGTGACAGTGACCTAGTATCTAACTGTATCACTATTAGTCTGTTCTCACACTGCTATAAAGACATACGGAGACTGGGTAATTTATAAGGGAAATAAGTTTAATGGACTCACAGTTCCACATGGCTGGGGAGGCCTCACAGTCATGGTGGAAGGTGAAGGAGGAGCAGGGGCACATCTTACATGGTGGCAGGCAAGGGAGCATGTGCAGGGGAACTGCCCTTTATGAAACCATCAGATCTCGTGAGACTTATTCACTGTCATGAGAACAGCATGGGAAAAACCCACCCCTGTGATTCAATTACCTCCCACCGGGTCCCTCCCATGACATGTGGGGATTATAGGAGCTACAATTCCCATAATCCCAAGACGGGATTTGGCTGGGGACATAGCCAAACCATATCACTGACCTAGTCTAAAGGTAGAAAATGGGGAGTGGCAGATCATGGACGGCTTCCCTGAGAAGTGATCGTGGAGTGAGATCTGGAGAATGAGTGACCATTATGCAGCTAAGTACTGCTGGAAGAAAAACCAGGGAGGGCCCTTCTGGCCATGACTATGTTGGGAGAAGGCAGGGAGGCAATCAACTGAGAGGAGGTCTGTGTAGCTGAAGCCCAAAGAGACAGGACAAAGAATAGCAGCAAATAAACTGTGGGGTGTGTCTAGGGAATGACGGGACACAGTCCTGGCTGGAAAATAACATGCATGGCAGGATACAAATTAAACTGGAAATCATGATCTGGGCCTTGCACATTCTGGAAGAATAGGCAAATTAGGCTCAAGAATTTGAATGGCATTCTCTAGGCAATAAGAAATCATTACAGGCATACAGTGACAAGGTCAACCCTGTTTAAGGATGATTGTTCTAGAAGCAATATTGAAACAGACTTTGGCAAAGTGGGAGAGTAGGGAGAGCCCTGGAAGGAAAAGACAATAATTACAGGCAATTGTAATAGCCAAGTGAGAGAGAGCAAGATCCCAAACTAGGGCAGTGGGAAATGGAAGAAATGAACAGGTATAGAGATACTGTAAAGAAGAATCAGCAAATATGAGGGTTAATTGGATATGGACATGAAGGTGATGGGGGATGTTGGGGGAGACAGAGAGAGAAACTCACAAATGAATGAAAAGGTTTGAGCCTGAACATTATGAGGAGGAGGAGAAGGAGGAACATTATGAGGAGGAGGAGGAGGCCGCCAATATCAGAGTTTGGGAATAAGAGGGTTTTGGGAGGACAAGGCAGGTGGATCAATTGAGCCCAGGAGTTTGAGACCAGCCTGGGCAACATGGCAAAACCCCATCAAAAAAAAAAAAAAGAAAAAAGAAAAGCAAGCAAGCAAGCAAGAAAGAGAAAGAAGAAAGAAAGAAAGAAAGAAAGAAAGAAAGAAAGAAAGAAAGAAAGAAAGAAAGAAAGAAAGAAAGGAAAGAAAGAAAGAAAGAAAGAAAGAAAGAAAGAAAGAAAGAAAGAAAGAAAGAAAGAAAGAAAAAGAGGAGTCAGAGGCTTTGTGTGAGATCTGTTTCAGATATGCTGTTAATGGCATCTGGGGCAGCCAAATAGCTAATTCTGATTAGTTACCATCCTTCAAAAGTTGCGTTTGGAAACATAGATATGCAGGTCAGTCAATCGACAATATTTACTGGGTGGCTACTATGTGCCAGGCATTTTTTAGCTTAATTTTACTATGTGCCAGGCATTTTTTAGCTTAACTTTACTTATGTTTATAGAAATGGGGTCTCACTCTGTCTGTCCAGGCTGGAATGCAATGATGCGATCATAGCTCACTGCAGCCTCAAACTCCTAGGTTCAAGAGATTCTCCCATCTCAGCCTCCTGGATAGCTAGGACTACAGGCACATGTCACTGTGTTGAGCCAGGCATTATTTTATACACTGAAGACAGAATTAGAAATTAGACCAAATTTCTGCCTTCATGGGGTATTTCTTGTATATAAAAGGTAGTTTAAAAAAACAAAACCCATACGGAACCAACGGTTATGTCGTTAATCCAAAAATAAGCCATAAACAAGTGATATATAAGCAAGATATCAGTTCAAAGAATTGGTCATTATCTCATATCAAATTCACAAAATACAACTTTGTGAAGGTTAAGTCTCTCTCCTTAGGAGACACATTAGAATGCAAATTCAAATCACCAACTCTCATCAAACAGCGAAGTAGACTCTACAAGCTCCTTGTGAATTTCATCCAGGAATTTAGAGGACACAGCAAAGGACAGGATAAATAATAGATTCCTATTCTCTAGAAAAGAGAAAGAGGACATACCGAAATGCCACTAGCAAGGCCACTTAGACATCTTGGCCCTTCATCAACACTCAGAGTATGTAATGAATTTCAGAAATATAAATAAACCTTCTTTGCCATTTTTACTTCCACAGAGATGCCAAAATTATATCATATGGAGCAGCAGAAGTGCAAGGGCTTTCCGGCCTAATCATTTTTGAAAATGAACAGATAATGAACAAAATATAATATACTACCTAAAATTATCTTCAGAAGGAATGAATAACAAAAGATTATAAAGCCTCAAAATAAAAACAGGATCTGAAAGCAAAAATAAATTAAATAATTTTGATTAATTTAAAAGCTAAACATCAAACAAGGGGAATACACAAACATCTGTATATCTGTATCTGCATATAAAATCAAGGCTAGAGGTTAAAATTTTAATGATAGGAGATTAAAACTAAAATGCCTGATTTGTGCAGCTTGCCAATGGTTTATTAAAAATCTGGTTTATTTAACTAACTGTTGCTAAAGTTTCATGGCAGAGTAAATGTGAATGAACAGCCAACAAAATGTTGACAAATAATTCAGTTCAAACTGGGGGAAGAGGGAGCTTAGTCAACTAGTTATCAACACTACTTCATGTATTTTTTTATTTTTTATTTTATTTATTTATTTTTTTGAGACGGCGTCTTGTTCTGTTGCCCAGGCTGGAGAGCAGTGGCATGATCTCAGCTCACTGCAACCTCCACCTCCCGGGTTCAAGTGATTCTCCTGCCTCAGACTCCTGAGTAGCTGAGATTGCAGGTGCCCGCCACCACACCTGGCTGATTTTCGCATTTTTAGTGGAGACAGGATTTCTCCATGCTGGCCAAGTTGGTCTCGAACTCCTGACCTCAAGTGATCTGCCCACCTCAGCCTCCCAAAGTGCTGGTATTACAGGCGTGAGCCACTGTGCCCAGTCTCAACACTACTGTAAATCTATAATAATTGAAAACAGTGCACATTAGGCAAGCAGATCACAGAAATGAAGAGTACAGACATAGACCCCAGTATGGGAATTCAGTAAATGAAAAAGTTTCATTTCAATCCAATTAAGAAAGAATTGGTTGAAGCCTACATAACTGGTATCAGAATAACGAGCAACTTATTTAGAAAAATAAAATATATTCTCCACAGAAAAGGAACATCTTGACTGCACTGATTTGGCCCCAAGACTTTTTTGCTCTAGTTTTATTAATACAATTTTTTAAAATAATAATTTACCAACACTGATGAATTTTCCATGAGAATTTTTTTGGGGATTAAATCAATTTTATTTTTTCTTAATCAATTTGCCATATAGCATAATTAAAACATTTCTAATTATCACCATTTCTAATTTTTGTTTGTTTTTCTTTTTCCCCATTTCTATTTTTATCTTATTAAAATTATTTTCATTAAGACCAAAATTTATTTTCATTTAAATCTTCTAATGGCTTGCAGCAAATTGTATTTTTTTGAACAAATCTTTCAGTTAAAACTTTTGCTGCTCTTAGGGAAAAACTAGTATTAGAAAAAAATAGAGGCTGGGTACGGTGGCTCACACCTGTAATCCCAGCACTTTGGGAGGCCAAGGAGGGCAGATCACGAGGTCAGGAGATTGAGACCATCCTGGCTAACACGGTGAAACCCCATCTCTACTAAAACATACAAAAAATTAGCCGGGCATGGTGGCGGGCGCCTGTAGTCCCAGCTACTTGGGAGGCTGAGATGGGAGAATGGCGTGAACCCAGGACATGGAGCTTGCAGTGAGCCGAGATCATGCCACTGCACTCCAGCCTGGGCAACAGAGCAAGACTCCATCCCCCCCCCGCCAAAAAAAAAAAGTAGATTTTTTTTATTTTTATAATCTTAGAGTAGAAAAAAACCTTTCTATCCATAACCCAAAGCCAAAGCCATAAAGGGAGTTTTCTTCTACTACCATTGTTTCTATGAAGTCAAATATTACAGATAAAAATTTGTCAAAAATATTTTATTCTGGATGTAACTAATTAATAATTTATTTTTACCATGTGCACTTGTAAATGTCAACTTTAATTTGTGTTGATTACAGAATAGTAAGGTCAAAAATCCTGTATCTGATTATTACCTTACAGTTTATACACAAATAAATTCCAGGTGGATTAGAAATTGTACAGTACAATAATCCTAAATAACAAAATATTCGAGACAAAATAAAAGCAGATTTTTTTCAAAATAACCTTGGAGTAGAAAAAGCCTTTCTATGCATAACCCAAAAAGCAAAAGCCATAAAGAAAGTTTAACAGCTTTACCCAACCCAGATCAGCTCTCATACTAACATTTTCCAAATTTTCCATGGTGGGGAATATTAGGGCTAAGCGTCAGGGTTTCTTGCTGTAAGAGAGGGTGGAAGTAAGGGGTTAATTAATAACAGATGTAGGTGGGACCACTGGATATTCAAAGATCTTTGGAAATATATGTGAGATTGGGATTCTTAAATTACTTTCAAATATTTTTATCATTACAAATGTAACACATAATCACAATTAAAATTCAAAATAAACCAACAAATTTAGCATAAAGTAAAAGTACTCATGACCCTAGAATCTACTTCGAGATAACTACTATTGACAATTCAATAAGTACCATTCCAGCTTTTTGGGTTTTTTGTTTTGTTGGTTTTTTGTTTGTTTGTTCAGCTTTTTTGTTTGTTTTCTTTTTTACTGAGACAGAGTCTCGCTCTGTCACCCAAGCTGTAGTGCGGTGGCATGATCTCGGCTCACTGCAAACTCCACCTCCTAGATTCAAGCAATTCTCCTGCCTCAGCCTCTCAAGTAGCTGGGATTACAGGTATACACCACTACACACAGCTAATTTTTTGTATTTTTTGTAAAGATGGGATTTCACCATGTTGGCTTGGCTGGTTTTGAACTCCTGACCTCAAATGATCCACCCGCCTTGGCCTCCCAAAGTGCTGGGATTATAGGTGTGAGCCACTGCGCCCAGCCATTGTTCAGCTTTTTACTTGTCCTTACATGCTGGACCACAAACCAGAAGTCCAGGTTTCTTTTAATGCAAATACAAAACACTCTTAGATACTTTCTCACATACACCTAATGTTTTTTAATAGGGTCTTATTAGACAGAATTGATCTATCTGGTTTCATTGATTGAAATACTATCTGCACATGTCTGGGCACTCTTCAGTAAGCAAAGGAAAGAAGCAATGTAGACACTGATTAGTAAGTAGAGATTACTGCTACACCAGTACTTTTAGAACCTTTTTTTAAACTTTCTTCTCTTTGATATAAAAGAAATACATGTTTCCCTTAGAAGACATAGAAAAGTACGAAGAGAAAAACAGTCACCCACAATCCACTACACAGAGCCACTGCTGTTAACTTTTGACGAAGAAAGATTCCATACTTAATAGATGCAGAATAGCTGTGGCCAACAATCTTGCAAAAGCTGGAGTTCAAAAAGAAGGTCCCAGCACCGTAAGATACAGTGGAGTCAGTAGAAAGTCATACGACCACACTCCCAGTAACCTCTGATAAATAGGATGAAGAGGAAGTAAAAAAGTGGTCAGCAACTTCTTTTGAGAAATATGCTGTTGAAATTAACAAAGGCAGAGAGCTAAGGGCAGAAAACCGGGCACCTGCTTGGGGATGGACAGATTCATTTCCGTTGGCTCAGACAAGCTTGCAACCTTGGGCTGCCAACCCAACACTGTGGATTGGCAGAGGGAGTCTGGAATGTGAAAATATCTTAATAAGAAGTTTTATCAGATCCCCTCCTTTCCCCTCAAATTTGCACTCAGGGTGCACAGACATCCCTGGAACATTTTAAACCTGAAGTATTTGTTTGAAGGTCTGCATAGGATTTGACTGTGGAGAGGCCAAGTACAGAAAGGAAGCTTTAGAAAGAACTTCAAAAATTCGTTCCATTTTAAACTAAAAAGAGGGGAAAGTGTAGAGGAAATGGTAGCACTGACAACGTTTTTCAGACAAAGGTGATGGAAACCTTGGGATTATGGACAGTTTCTCACCCATCTCAACTTATCCTCAGACTTCAGAAATGGTCAAAAAGGATGGTTTAAGCCAGGCAAAAAGCTCAAAGCAGGGATGGAACTTTTTCTGCAAAGGGCCAGCGAATATTTACTCTTCGGGCTGTGAAGCAACTCCTCATCTCCACAGCTGTTGCACAAAAGTGGTCGTAGAGAATGCACAAATGACTTGGGGTTCCAATAATGCTTCACCCCTGGACACTGACCTTTGCATTTCACAGAATTACCATATGCCACAAAATAGTCTTTTGATTTTTTTTCTGTCATTTAAAAATATTAAAACTCTCCTTAACTTTTGGCTGTACAAAAACGGTGGCAGCTGGGCGCAGTGGCTCATGCCTGGAATCCCAGCATTTTGGAAGACCAAGGCGGAAGGATCGCTTGAGTCCAGGAGTTCTCGAGGCCAGCCTGGGCAACAAAGTGAGACCCTGTCTCTACAGAACATCAAATGTATTAGCTGAGTGTGGTGGCCCAGACCTGTAGTCCTAGCTACTCGGAAGGCTGAAGCAGGAGGACTGCTTGAGCCTGGGAAGTCGAGGCTGCAGCGAGCCATGTTTGCACCACTGCACTCCAACCTGGGTGACAAAGGGAGACTCTAGCTCAAACATAAAATAAAATAAGAAGAAGGAAAAAAACAAAACAAAACAGGTGGCAAGCTGGATTTAGTTCACAGGCTGGCCTGTAGTTTGCTGACCTCTTGTCTAAAAGCAGAGATCCTGACCCAAGTTTATATTCTAACATAGATAAGGGCAAACTGAGAACAGGGAAGCATTTTAAACACGGAATATTTCTGGTAAAATGTGGGGGAGGAGGGGTCTAGATGGTGAACACACTTTTAGTGCCAGCAATTCAGCTGGGATTATAGTGGAGTTGTGGGGGGAGAGAGGTACAGAAGACAGGACGACTCCCCAAAGGAGTCCACACCCAAGGTGTCTCTCCATGGAGTTGGCCCGTAGCAGCAAGGGAGAGAGGGGTGAGAAAACGCCTCCCTATCCAATTATGCATGCTCTACTTTCCCAGTGAATCAGGCCAGTGAAATGATCAGCAGCAGCAAAGTCAAATTTAATTCAGACTTTTTTTTTTTTTTGCATAAGATGAGGCCCTACTTTGTTCCCAGTTCTCAGATCACCTCCACATTAGTAATTCCAGGAAGTCTTTGTTTACCTGTATATACAAGGCTCTTATGCAAATTCTAGCAGCCAGCAAAATAAGCCTGAGCTTGGCCTTGATGGATTTATTTCTCATTTGCTGCAGGCACAGACCACTTCTATTGAAAGGAGAAAAATACCAGCCCCTCCACAGCCGTTTGCCCAGGAGTCCCGGGCCTGCCTGGCAACGAGCCTGTTTGCCCCTTCTCCAGCTCGGGCCTGACATTACCTAGCCATTGAATAGTCTGATGGGAAGGGTTCAATGCAGGGTTTGCACTTTCCCAGCCATTAGCCAGCTGCAACGCATTTCATTAACTTAGGAGTGTTTTGTACATCAAAGAGAGCCCCAAACAGTGTGATCAAGTGGAAGTAACAGTGCCTGGTCAACATTATAACTTGCAGCTTTTTTTTTTTTCATGGATATAATGCCATCTGGCACCCAGGAACAGCAAAGGCCAGTGATGGAAAAACCCCACCACACTGTTTTGCTTATTGGTGTAACAGTTAATCCTGATAAAGGACAATGCCACAGAGCAACTGCCCTGTTATTATCTTGTATGTCTATTGTCTTACCCGGGCCAAGCTGCCCTGAACCGGCAAAAGCAAAGGTTGCACATGGAATTGCCTGGGGAAAAAATATCTAGGAGACCTGGGAAAAAGGATGTTTTGTCTTTTTGTTTGTTTAATTGTTTAGCATGTGCATCCACAAGCACACGCACATGCACACACATACACACACACGGGAAGAGAAAGGGACTTAAAGGCTTAATCTTTGCAGACTTTTTGGGGAAACATTAAGTAGCTGGCTTTGAAATCTACTAACTAGAAGTCTCTTATAACGTAACATCATTATCTTCTCCTACATATCCCCTGCTTTCGATTATTTTGAAAAATCCTTTATCGTCTCAGATTTTAGATTACAGACCACCAAGCATCCTCCAAATAACAGACTTCTAAACTGGTTTCTGGTGGAAAATTTCTCACTGAAACCTTCACTGCTCTTTTAAAATTAAGGAGAAAAAAATTCTGAAATGACAGGTAATAGAGATTCTGAATAAACTCTTCTGTAGTGTTTTTTTGGGTAGTTTTCAACTGACAAATTAGGAAATAAAATGCTATGAATACGTTGTTTTTATTTTGACAATCTTTAAAACATAAAAGGACAAAAGCCAAATGGATAATCATCTCCCCCATAAAAGCAGGACAAATGATTGGGTTTATGGTTTTTTTTCCCACAGTTTCAAATGTCATCTCCTCAGTACAGAGACTGTTTATAAACTCTTCAGTGACTTTTTTCTGCTCATTGCACAAACTCCTCCCCTCTTCCTATCTTCCTTACTAGCCCTCCCTTCTCCACTACCAGGCCGCCTCCTCTCTGCAGGAGGGAAAGACTGAAATTTTAAGTAAGACACTTTCTTCTCTGGTGTAAATTCGCGTCAAGGGATGATTTTGCAATTGCCATATGAGCAATTATGTAAGCTTTTCAAAAGCATACAACATTTCTAGGGCAATTGTCATCTACACACAGTTATAACAATCTAGATGGTTTTAAAAATAAGTAGCTGTCACCCAATAACCAACCTGTGGTCTGAAATTTTCCCAGAAAATCCAACTGAATCTCTCTTCTTCCACTGTTTTTCTCTTCACTGTCATAAATTGTAGTAGAATTATAACATGTGTAAGAAAATGTACTAAGTTGCTATTTTAGGTTGGCATGGAAATTGAATTCAAAGAAATAAAGCCCCTAGCAGCCAGTATTAAGAAGAAAGTTCTCCAACCTTAAGTATCCTCAATACAATGACTGTTTTCTTCACTCCTTTCCCTCCCTAAGAATCAGTGAAAAAGAGACAAAATAAGCCAGAATGGAGTGTAACTGAAATTTTTGGCAGTGTGAGAAAAAAAGAGTATATGATAGCCAGCTTTCCGACATGTGGCAATCAGATATTAAAACTTGAATTATTCATTTAAAACATGCTTAATGCTTCACATTTTACAAAATGCTGTGAATCTTGCTATAGAAATAAACATTTGCTGGAAGAAAATTTCAACGGCAGATTAAGAAGCATTAAATTGAGAAGAAACATTAAATCAACTGCTCAAAGTAACTTAATTAATGAAAGAGCATGAATTCAAATCCAGGACTGACTGACTTATTTATTTATTTATTTAGTTAGTTAGTTAGTTATTGAGACAGGGTCTCACTCTGTCACCCAGGCTGTAGTGCAGTGGCATGATCTAGGTTCACCACAGCCTCCGCCTCCCAGGCTGAAATGATTCTCCCACCTCCATCCCCCAAGTAGGTGGGACCACAGGTGCATGCCACCGTGCCTGGCTAATTTTTGTACTGTTTGTAGAGACAGGGTTTCGCCATGTTGCCCAGGCTGATCTCAAACTCCTGAGCTCAAGTGATCGGCCCACCTCAGCCTCCCAAATTGCTGAGATTACAGGCATAAGCCACTGCACTCAGCCCAGGCCTTTTAACTACTAATGTATATTACTCTTGTTATGGCATGCATTCACTCACTAAGCATTAGGTAACTGCCTACCATGGACCAGACACTGTGGCAAACATTTATAAATTTTACAAGTGTAAATAAGAAGAGATTCCTGTTCTCATGGAACTCAAAATCTAAGAGTGGAGGCAGGCATTTAAACTAAGAATTACAACAGAGAGTGAAAGGTACTAAAATAAAGGGGGTAGTAAAGGTCTTCACTCTTCCTGCTTTACATTAATGTTAAAATAATGACCCACTATTGTGTTAAGTCAAATAAGCCTTTGCCCTCAAATTATCCTAGAAAAAAATCAATTACTTGTGGCATGTTTTAAATTCCACATTAGGTCTAATTTAATCTGTTGAGTGCTTCCTCTGATTACTCTGGATTTGTTGGTGCGTAATTTTAAAGTGGGGCTCTGTGGTTTCCCCATTCTCATTGTTCAGAAGAGATGTTCACTGCAGGATTTTGCTGACATGCTAACTATTTTAGCTGAAATTTGGAAAGGAGTGGGCAAAAGGAGACTAGTTTAGATGAGAAAATTACACATAATTCCTTTCCTCTCATTTTGTGAAAATCTTAGACTCACAGTTGCTAGGGATTAGAAAGAACTTTAAGCAAACACCTGTCTTCTGCAAGGTTTTTTTTTTTTTTTTTCATTTTGGAATTTAAGTCCAAGTTTTTACTTTCTAAATTGACTATTCAGTCATCATTTCTCTGTGGAATTAATTCCAGTCTTGAGCTGTTCATTGACATCTTCCCGATAGTTGTTTCAACATCTCAAATGTTCATTCTTTTTTTACTCACAACCAGGTTAAGTGTTCCCAAGGGAAAGTTAGTGACTACCTGGAGTTAGTAACTGGCTTGAGGCAAATGTGGTAAGTGGGAGAGAAATGATCAACAAATACTATGGTGCTTACTTTGAGTCTGACTTGATAGATACAGGAGACAAATGCCCGGACTGCTTGAAATTCAGTACATCTTCCAGAATTTTTAATTCAGCACCTATCAGTTTCAAACTAAGTAAAATCAACGAGATAGAGTAATATTCTTATATGATAGAATTTGTCTTCTTTTCTCTCTAAATTAGTTTTTAAAAGGAAAACAAAACTCAAACTACAATCAGTTAGGCATAATAATTTCCTATAGATCTTCCCTATTTCTCTCTCTCTCTCTCTGTGTGCGTGTGTGTGTATTTCTTTCATCTTTGTCTGTCTCTCTAGACTACAGTGTAAAACTAGAGAAAAGAGAGGCATAAAAGAAAAATAAGCAGTTGAGTCCCATTGTACATACAAAGAACATAAAATACTCTGCCATTATTATTGGTATATTGTTTTTACTGGTTTATAAAATGTTTTCTGATATACATAATAATAACATCTGCCTCACAGAGGTATTGTGAGGACTAAATATACAAGTGAAACTAAAAGATTCTACAATAGTTCCTGGCACATAAAAAGCTGTCAATAAGTGTTAGATGGTATTACTATTATTACTCATGCTAATTATTTTTATCACTGTTATTATTGTCATAGCTTGCTAACCATATACTGAAAATAGTTCAGCAAGTCCAAGTTCATATTTAGTTGATCATAACATACTTAATTTAAAAATGAAGGATTCTATTTCTAAACCCTAAATTACTATCAATACTTATTTCACTAGTGTGGGAACATTCATACTGAATTTCTTCCACAAACTAAAAAGTACAATCATACCTTAAGTATAACTTTATTTGAAGGTTTACTATAATAGATTTGCCGTTAGTTAGGAGTGGTGGTGCATGCCTGTAGTCCCAGCTACTGAAGAGGCTGAGGTGGGAGGATGGCTTGAACCTAGGAAGTAGAGGCTGCAGTGAGCCATGAACATGCCACTGCACTGTAGCCTGGGTGACAGAGTGAGGCCCTGTCTCAAAAAAAAAAAAAAAAAGAAAAGAAAAAAAAAAGATTGGCCGTTAAAATTATTCTGAATGATTCTAAATTCCCCAGAAAAATAGTCACAACTTAATTCTGGTCTACTTCCCCAGCCTTCCTAAATGCTGCTTCCTATTTTGTACATCTGATGAACTGGACACAATGGACAATTTGTCAGTCCCCAAGCATGCCTGTACTTTCACATCATTCTACCTCTGCACTCGTGGTGTTCTTTAGCTCGACAATATCCTCTCTTGCTTCTCCTTCTAAGGTTCAGCTCCTCTCCTATCCATTGTAAAGCCTTCTTAGCCAGAAAATATCCTTCTCCCTCTTCTCTGCTTTCAAAGTTCATTCTTCATGCTATGTGCTGAGATATGTCCTTCCTCCATTTTGTTCTATCCCACTGCATGGGAATCCTTTATTCATAGGTTTGTGAGCTCCTTCGAGTGTACAACCTATGTCTTCCTGAAGAATATTCCCAGTGCCAACTATAGTGCCTTAAAGAGGCCTTTATTGTTTGCCAGATTTTAGCAAATATATTTCAAGCAGGAAAGACCAGACCCATGACAAATTACTAAGCTCCTGGTTCATAATCAAGAGTTGAGAACACAGCAAGAAAAAAAAAAAAGACTGTTTTATATTGTTCATTTGGTGACCTTAGGCTTACTGAATCAGCATTTAACATAAATAACAAAACAGTATCACTTGTAATAGTCATAATAATAATAAAAATAACCATTCATTGAGCCAGCCACTTTCTCATATTTCATGAACATCAACTTGATTTTTTTGTTTTTGTTTTTGCTTTTTTTTTTTTTTTTGAAATGGAGTTTCGCTCTTGTTGCCCAGGCTGGAGTGCAATGGCATGATCTTGGCTCACCACAACCTCTGCCTCCCAGGTTCAAGCGATTCTCATGCCTCAGCCTCCAGAGTAGCTGGGATTACAGGCATGTGCCACTATGCCTGGCTAATTTTGTATTTTTAGTAGAGACGGGGTTTCTCCATATTGGTCAGGCTGGTCTCGAACTCCTGATCTCAGGTGGTCCACCAGCCTTGGCCTCCCAAAGTGCTGGGATTACAGGCGTGAGCCACCGGGCCCGGCCATTAACTTGTTTAATCCTCACAACAACTCTATTAGTTATGTTCTTCTATTATTCCCATTTTATGGATAAAGAAACAAAGACACATAGAGGTTAAGAGTTTCTGCCCATGGAATATAGCCAGGAAGAACTGGATGCACAATGAGAGGATAAAATTTGAACCCAGGCAAATCCCCAATTAACAACCACTACACTATATGTGGCTGGTCAAGGAAAATATGATGTTTTATTGAAGACTTTAACAGTAGATAAAGGAATAGAGTTTTTCTAATCATCTAAAGGCTGTTAATAGTGTTGACAATAACAAGTTTTAAATTCTGATTTTTCACTACTACTAAAGATAGATACACCAGATTCTCATTTATTAAATTCATGACCAAATCCAGAATTTGTAGGCTTTCCCTAATCTGGATCCATCTTTCCAATTCTATGTCATCTCCCACTAGTTTCTAGCACACGGGCTACACACTCACTGGCCCACTTACCCTCTATTCTGCCCCCCCCTCCTCAATAGAGAGCCAGGCTACCTCATAAGCATTACTTATACTGTTTTCCTGCTCTCCCTCTTCTCCTCCTCCCACTAACTATTTCCTCTCCACTTTTCATAAACTTACTTTTAATAATACAGCCATCACAGCTTTCTTTTGGTTAGTTTTTGCATGATAGAATTTTCCATCTTTTTATATTCAACCTCTTCAGTATATGTTAGGTATTTTTCTTATAAACAACATACAGTTAGTTCTTGTTTGTTTTTATTTTAATCTAGTCTGACAGTATTGGTCTTTTAGTTGCATTAAGGATTTAGCCCATTTACTTTAATATAATTATTATTAATGCACTTAGGTCTATGACTTTGCTATTTGCTTTTTATCTATACTATCTGTCTATATTATTTTTTCTTTCTTTTTTTATGATTCCATTTTTTACCTTCTATTAACTTGGTAGCTATACATTATTTTATTTCATTTTATTGTTACCTTAGAGATTATTACACTCATTTGTTTTAGACACATGGCTTATTGAAGTCTAAAATAAATACCATAGAACCAGTTCCATTAATATGCTAAGCCACTTTTATATTACTTTGGTTTTTTTCTGAATTTCCTGTTCTGTTCTATTTATTTATTTTTGTACCAGTATTCCATTGTTTTTAATTACTATAGCTTTATATTATATTATGTTTTATATATACAGTCAGCAAAAGCTTCTTTCTTTCACACAGGCCCATGATGCCTGGGCTTGTCTGTTTGGTTTTTCGGGGCTAGCCTAGCATAATTAGTTTTATCATATAGACTTTAAAACCTTTGTCTTGACAGCCAGATCTACCTCCCCCAGCCAGATCTACCTCCCCAAAAAAGAAAATCATTGTGATTTTGATTAGGATTGCAATAATTTTAGAAACAAATTTAAGGAGAACACATATCTTTATAATGTTGAGCTCTTTTAGCTAGAAACATCTTAGATCTCTCAGTGAAACTGCATGTATTTTCATATAAATAGTGCATGTTTCTTAATAAATTTATTTCAGTATATTTTATATCTAATAAATGAAATAGTTCCTTTAATTATATTTTCTAATTGGTTATTTTTATATAAAAATGATTGAATTTTTTCCATTATTAATCTTGTAAAAATAATCTTACTTATTTCTGATTATTTCTGATATACTTTATGAGTTGATCCATTTGGCTTTTGAAGATATGGAATTGTATGGTTTTCCAGCAGTGAGAAATGTGCTAACTTCTTTCCAATATTTATAGTACTTACTCTGTTCCTTCGAATAATAGCACATTAACTTGAGTGGGAATGAATCTCAAGCTTCAATTTTAGGCTTCAGCCTTAATTTACATAAACTAACCATTTATCATAATACCGATCCCCTCACCAAAGTGATTGGTTCAAGGATAAGTAGCACAGACCCAGACTCAGTGTGGTATGGCATGCCATCATAGTGATTTGTTGGGGGATTAGACATAAGATTCAAGAGCTTTCAAGGTTTTCAGAAGAGGAGCTCTTTCTTCTGCTGGACTGTAAGGTGTAAACACATGAAAGGCCTGGAATCAAACCTCTGTGGCCATTTTGCTGCCACGAGAGAAGCTGCACAACACACCAGGAAATGAAAGCTGAAATAATAGAGAGAAATCAAGTCACAACACACAAACCATGCCTGGACTAGATCTGTCCTAGAACTTTATAAAAGCAAACATATCTCACTTCATTTTTTAAACCCTTGTGCATTATTTGCAACCCAAATTATCCTAATGGATACACCAGCTTATTACTATATTCAAGAAACATGCCTAAAACCAAATGACAAAGGAAGTTTTAAAATAAAGGCACATGGAAAATTACACCACGTAAATATATGCAAACAGAAAGCAGAAATGTCAAAATCAAAATCAGATAAGAATTCAAGATCAATATCATTAAGCAGGAAAAAGAGGCATATTATGAAATCTAAAAATATAATTCATGAATTCTTGTAGACCAAAATCTACAGCAGTAAAATACATGAAACAAAACTGTAACAAAGACACGTATAACCTTTAAAAAAATCACAGTCATGATGGGGAATTTTATATCAGAATTTAAGTTTTTTAATTTGTCTTAATTATTGTTTTATTAAAACTTAATTCCTTTTATGGAGACGGGGTCTCACTATGTTGCCCAAGCTGGTCTTAAACTCCTGAGCTCAAGCAGTCCTCTCCTCTTGGCCTCCCAAAGTGCTAGGATTATAAGTGTGAGTCATTGCACCCAGCCTGGGAATTTTATATCACAATTTAGTAAGTCAAATAGATAAAAATAAATAAGGATATAGAGAACATAAGTAATACAATGTAAAGAAAAAGGGAAAAAATTCTACTTTTCCTCATCAAATTTCCACCCACTGCCTCTTTCTCATATGAACATGATGTTTCTCCTATCATTAAAAAAATGAAAAACTCTCCTAACTCCATCTCATTTTCAGCTACCATCTATTTCTTTTTATCTCTTTAGAGCAGAATTGTCCACACTCCCTACCCCAAATTCTTTCATTCTCACATGAACTAACTCCAAGCAGGCTTCTTCTGCCATCATTGGCAGAAACTGCTCTTGTCTCTATCACTAACGACCGTATGTTGCTACACCTGAGCACTTCTCCAGCCTTACCCTACTTGACCTATTAGCATCACTTAATACATTCATTGATCATCCCTCCTCTTGGAAACCCTTTCCCCACTTGACTTGCAGCATATACTTTGTTCAGGGATATATCCAAGATCCCTGTGACCTAAAATTTTCATAGTTTGAGAGTGGAAAGCACATCTTAAGGAACATATAAAACTATGTTTTTAAAACTAGGCTGAAAAATGTGTAATGAGTATTTATTTAGAATGACAAAAGACATCTCAAAAATTATAAATTTTAAAAAGTTGGCAAAATCACAAACATCACAAAATCAAAAGAAGCATTGCTGTTAGGCATTAATTCAGTGCCTAACATACCTTATTTAGTGCATTTTTTGACTACATCTTTGATTGTCTGTTTAACAACCATTTTGTTATATAAGTTTCTACAGAGACAAAAGGAATGTACGTCAGTCTGTCCTTTAGTATGATTGATGAAAATTTGCTATTCCTGCTGCTTGAAGTGCTAGTTCCTCAATCTTAACTAAAAAGTCAATTTCTCAGACAGAGCTTCTCTGACCCAACCTAAATTTGAAATCACCTATCAGTATTTTCTATTCTACCTCTCAGTATTCTCACTTGCTGTTCCATCTGCCTGCAATTCCCTTTCTCTAGACACCTTCACAACTCATTTTCTTACTTCCTTTAGGTCTTTACCCAAATGTCCGTAAGACCTTCCCTGACGATCTCATTTAAAATTACAACTAATCACCTCTCCCCCTACAGTATTACAACACTCCCATCTTCCTGCCTGCTTAATTTTTCTCCATAGTATTTGTCACCAGACAACATTCCATTTTCGAAGATTTATTTTTTTATTTATTGCATTACTATAAAGAAATGAAGATTAATTTTTGTTTGTTTATTGTCTATACACTTCCATGAAAATGTAAGCTCCATAAAAGAATAAGGCAAACTTAGTTGCCTGTTTTGTTTACTTCTGTATCCTCTGCACTGAGAACAGTGCTTTGAACATTGTAGGCCCTCAACAACTTGTATTGAATTAATAAATTTTTGTTTTATGCCCACCTTAATAAATTTTTAAAAGTAGAGATATTAATTAGCCTTTATCTAGTAAAACGAGGTAAGAAAATGACCAAAAAAGTTAAATACTTGAATATTGAGAACTAGTCTTCTAAAAACCTAGTTTATCTTAAGATAAAATCAAAACTGAGATTACAAATTATCTAGAAAATCTTCATATAAAGACTAATAAAATAGAATTTTTAAGTTGTATAAGAAAAAAGATAGATTTAAATGTTATTAAAAATGTTTAATTTATGAAGTATATAACTTAGGATACTTAAAAATAACCATAATAACTGAAAAAAGTTAAGTTATTAGAAGAAAATTAATAAAGGCTGAAATTAATGAAGCAGCAAACAAAAATAATAGCAATGTTAAATAAGTAAAGCTTAGATCCCTGAACTAAAAACAATGAAATAAAACTCTAGACATATTGATTTTTAGAATATGAAAAAATAGAGATGGAGAGAAAGAAAAAATAATTACAACGTTGAAATTGGAAAAAGAAATATAACTACAGATACAGAATATATTAAAATAATTATAAAATAATTTCTGAGGAAAATTAAGTGCAAATTAATATCAATACATTTGTAAGTCTAAAGGAATTGGATTATTTTTTAGAAAGTATTAATAATCAAAGTTGACCTTAGAATACAAAGAAAACATGAAGAAACCAAAGAAGAAGTTGGAGCATCATGAAAGCCATAGACCAAGAAAGGATCTAGACCCAGAAAGTTTCATTGCAGAATTCAATTTAACCTTCAAAATAGCAAATAAAAGTTCAGGGAGTATTTCCCTCTATCTCAGCTCTCACCATACAACTTAAGAGCTGAATATATTCTGAAAATTTTAACGGATCCTTTGGTTTCTGAACTCTTGCTACTCACCACCCAAACCTCAAAAAATCAAATATGACCAGATACTGTATTGTGCTACCTATCTGAACTTTTTCTTTCTGAACTCCAGCACCAATTAAATTTGAATATTAAGAAAATATTTGTAATTCCTATTTTATCCATTTTATTCAAAATACACTGGATTCCCAAAGGTGATTAAAAACTATTAAGATGATCTAGTAAGTTAACACAAGAATATCCAAACTTACTAATTTTAAAAAACACAAAAAAGAAAAATAATTTACTTACAAATATAAGTGCTAATGTTCTAAATAAAATATCAACATATTGAATACATACAGGCATGAAAAGAGTAACATAACATGGTCAAGTAGAAATGTTTCAGAAAACTATAATTATTATAGTAAATTTTTTAAAAATATATCTTTCGATGCCAGAATATAGATATATTTTAAGTAAATATGTCACCAAAAATTCCAAATAAACACTCGGAATAAAATAAAAAATATTATCACATCATTTATCTAAATAATCTTATTTCTGGTTTTATTCTGACACTTTTTTAAAGAAATCTAAATACTAGGGGTCTCCAAAAAGTTCACGGAAAATGCAGATTATGAAAAAAACCCATGCATGAATTTCAAAATTTTGTTGCACCAAAATAAACTTGTACTAACTTGTTCTAAGATGTAAGGACAACATCAGTTTGAAAAAAGCCCCTATAAGAGTAACATGAATTCTGCTAAAATTGAAGTAAGAACAAACATCAAATTTATGGTGAAGCTTGGGTAGAAGAGTGGTGAAATCACTGATGCTTTACAAAAAGCTTATGGAAACAATGCCCCAAAGAAATCAGCAGTTTACAGATGGATAATTCATTTTAAGAAGGCATGAGGCCAAGCATGATGGTGTGTGCCTGTAGTCCCACCTACTAAAGAGGCTGAGGTGGGAGGATGGGTTGACCCAGAAGTTCAAGTGCAACCTGGGCAATACTGTGAAACTCTGTCTCTAAAAAAAAAAGGAGATGAGACAATGTTGACAATGAAACCCACAGCAGCAGACTATCCACATCAATTTGCCAGACAAAATTCATCTTGTTCATGCCCTAATTGAAGAGAACTAACGATTAACAGCAGAAAAAATACCCTACACTATTGACATCTCAGTTGGTTCAGCTTACAAAATTTTGACTGAAAACTTGAAGTTGAGCAACTTTCCATTCCATGGGTGCCAAAACCTTTGCACCCAGATCAGCTACAGACAAAAGCAGAGTTTTCAATGGAAATTTTGAACACGTGGGATAAAGATTTTAAAGAATTTCTTCAAAGAATTGTAACAGGAGAGAAAACATTGCTCTACCAGTATGATCCTGAAGACAAAGCACAATCAAAGTAATGGCTACCAGGAAGTGGAAGTGGTCCAGTGAAAGTCAATGTGGAACAGTCAAAAGCAAAGGTCATGGCAACAATTTTTTTGGATGCTCAAGTCATTTTGCTTCATTTTCTGGAAGGCCAAAGAACAACAATATCTGCTTATTTTGAGAGTGTTTTGAGAAAGTTAGCCAGAGCTTTAGCAGAAAAACATCCAGGAAATCTTCACCAGAGAGTTCCTCTCCACCATGACAGAGTTCCTGCTTGTTTGTGTCATCAAACATGGGCAATTTTGTGAGTTTCAATGAGAAATCATTAGGCATCCACCTTACAGTCCTGATTTGGCTCCATTCGTTTGACTTCATTTTGCTTCCTAATCTTGAAAAATCTGTAAAGGGCACCCATTTATCTTCAGTTAACAACGTAAAAAAAGACTTCATTCACATGATTAAATTCCCAGGACCCTCAGTTCTCTATGAGTGGACTCATCATTTACAAAATTGTCTTGAGTTTGATGGAGCTTATGTTAAGAAGTAAAGTCTATGTTTTTTTTACTTTTATCTTTTAACTCCATTTTTCAAAAACACTTTGAAGTCTCCTCATATATTAAGTAACTTTTAATAAAAACAGCAACAAACATGTTATAAATGGTAAAATTTTAAAGCCAATGCCACTAAAATCAGAATCAAATCACAAATTCTTCTTACCACAATTTTTTTTTCAAAATTATTTTGGAGGATATGAATAATGCAATACGGTAAGAAAACTAAATAAACATTTTTACATAAAAAGATAAATTATGTTTATTTGTAGGTTTTAGACTGTGTGCTTAGAAAACCCAGGAGATGCAACTACAAAACTATTAAGACTAATAGGAAAACCTGGCAAAGTATCGATATGTGAGAAAAATATAGACAAACTAATCACTTTCTTTATATTAATATTATAGATTTAGAAAAAGACATATGCAATTATCTTATTTACGATAGGGATATACTGTAAAAAGTATCTAGAATATATTTAACAAGAAAAACCTACAAAAAATATGTTTTATGTAATTAAGATATGAATGAATGTAAACCTATACAGTTTTCCTAAATGAAATGACTTGGTATTATTAAAATGTTAATCCTACCAAGTAATAACATAAGTTAATACAACTACAATTAGAATTTCAAAAGCTTTTTGTTAAACATTGTCATAAAAATTAAATATGTTATAATATAAAAATTTAAGATATAATAGAAGAAAATTTTTCTGAATAAAGGAAGTCCTGAATATAAATTTTGAAAATGCCCACTAAGCCCCAGGAATAATTTAGTAGAGCTCACAATGTCATTTGCAAAGTATGAGAAATCCTGCTCTCCCACATCCTCACCAGCACAAAACAAAGAGACATAAATAATAATACCATGAACATCCATGTTCCCACTACCTTACCTTAAAATAATAAAACATAACCAATGAAGTTGAAGTTCACTGTGTACACATTTTAGATTCCATTCTCCAACCTCCTGAAATAGCCACTTTCCTGAATTTGGAGTTTATTATTCTCAACCATTGCTTTATAGTCTCATGTTATACACATATAAATGTTTAAATGTTTTCAAACTTTACATAAAGGATAAAAACTTGCATTCCTTCTTCTGCTATTTGTTTTGTTTTGTTTTGGATAACAGTATATTTATAAAATATTGATGCATTATTTAGCTCCAGCTCATTTTAGTTTTTCATCTCCCAGTACACAAATCATTCCCAACTTGTCTCTCCACATCTGAGTTCCTAGTTAATTTCTTCCATTGCCTTGTATTTTTCCACTGCCTTCTCTGTGGTTTCTTCTCATGCCTACCCTCTTTACCTCTGATTTGTTTTCAGTGTTGATTCTGGTCCTTCTAAAGCAGTTCAAAACTGTTTATATTTTCCCCTTCCATTTCTTAAGCATGCCAGCTCTCCTTTCCATTCACCATGGCTTTAATTCCTTTGAGAGGACAAAGGAAATTTAGTCTATTATTTTTATTTCCTTAAGTAATTCTCTTCTGAATATGTATTATTTGTCTTTCTTTTACACATCATTTTTTTCATTATATTTTTCTTTATGAATTTCAGGGAAGTCCCATTTTTCCTACTTCTTATTCATCTTTTATTAGACACAGTTTCATCTGGTGCTGATATTTGCCCAACAGCATTGGTGGATTACCATCATATCTGTTCAATGTTTACCTGATCCCCTTAAATTACTGTTCCTTACAACTTACGCTGGAAAGCTGGACACTTAGTGGTTGCAATATTTTTTTCAGTAATTCGGGTAACTAAGGACAGAAGAGAAGGTAGAGATAGGTGGTGAGTAGCTAAAGTTCAGGTATGGTTATGTTACCTACAGGCACTTTCCCAATTAATTTATGGATTCTCACTCCTGCCAATTCCATGAGGAAATTGTAGTCTTTCTCCTCCTCAAGGTGACAAGTTAACTCTATAGAAAGCCAGGGCAGTGTGAGGGCTCTTGGCTCAAAGACCTTTTGTTAGTAGTTATTAGAGTTCTTACTTATCTCTGTTTGGTCAGCTTTTCTCAGGAGATATTTGACTCCTAGGTACTCCTAGCCCTACCCCTCTCCCAACCCAGTTTCCTTGTAGGCTGCTCTCTTTTTGAGAGCAAGGCAAATAAAAATGTGCCTGATTAGGTCTCTCTTCCCCTGCACCTCCCTTACTTTTGGGTATGCAAGTGTACTCAGAGTAAAGATATGGCCCTCCAGTCTAATGTCTCTGAGAGTTCTTGAATAGGCCTTAAAATACTATAATTTATTTCCTAGTAACTTCATCATTTGAAACGAGGCTAGATCTATGTGAACTCTCTGTCTTTGCTGAAATGATCATTGTTTAACTGACAGATGTTCCTCTTAATATGTAGTATGAGACTGTGGCTGTTCCCTAGTTGATGAAGCATCACTATAAACATGGAATTTTCATAGACAGTAGGGGAATTGTGTGTTCTAATATGTATATGATTCATTTAGAGATCTTGTTTAAATTACAGGGGCAGGGCCTGAGAGTATGCATTCCTAATAAGCTCCCAGATTATGCCAATGCTACTGGCTGCAAACCACACATTAGTCAGGGCTCTCCAGAAAAACAGAACCAATAGAATATATATATATATATATATATATATATATAGAGAGAGAGAGAGAGAGAGAGAGAGAGAGAGAGAGAGATTACATATAGATATAATGTACACACAATCTCTCTCACTATATATAGAGACAGAGAGAGAGATTTTTTGTTGTTGTTGTTGTTGTTTTTGTTTGTTTGTTCGTTTTTTTTAGTAGAGTGGGGATTATATTTCACTATGTTGCCCAGGCTGGTTGCAAACTTCTGGCCTCTCCTGCCTTGGCCTCCCAAAGTGTGTGAGCCACTGCACCCAGCCCATATATGTATAAAGAGAATTGTTATAAAGAATTAGATCACCTAATGATGGAGGCTGAGAGAAGTCCCATGATCCAGTCCACAAGCTAGAGACCCAGAAAAGCTGGGGGTACAGTTTGAAGGCCTGAAAGGTGGAGAGGCAATGGTGTAGATTCCAGTCCGAGTGTAAAAGCATGAGAAACAGGAGCACCAAGGACAGGAGAAGATGGGTCCCAGCTCAGTCAGGCAGATCTAGAATTCAACTTTCCTCTGCCTTTTTGTTCTATTCAGGCCTCAACAGATTGGATGAGGGCCGGAAGAACAACGTGAGGTCTCCCCACACTGAGGAGGGCCATCTGCTTTACTCAGTCCACCAATTCAAATGTTAATCTCTTGCAGAAACAGCCTCACAGACACACCCAGAAATAATGTTTAACTAAATATCTGGGCATCCCATGGCCCAGTTCAGGTTGACAAAATTAACTACTATAGGTTATCTTCATGCAGCATCCAAAGGATGAAAGGGCTGAATAGCCTGGGCAAAAAATTAAAAATAATTAATAGCTAATATTTATTAAAATGTTGACTACATCCCAGCCACAGCACTAAGTGCTCTCTGTGGATTATCTCATTTAATTCTCACAATGGTCCTGTAAGGTACATTACAGTCATGCATCACTTAATGACAGGAATACATTCTGAGAAATTTATCAGTAGGAGATTTCTTGTTATGTGAACATCATAGAGTGTGCTTACACAAACCTAGATGGTATAGCCTACTACACTACACACCTAGGCTACATGGTATAGCCTAGTGTTGCAAGACTACACACCTGTACAGCAGCTTACTGTATTGAATACTGTAGGCGATTGTCACACAATGGTAAGCATGTGCATCTGAACATATAGAAATATAGAAAAGGTATAGTAAAATACAGTATTATAATCTTCTTGGACAACCGTTGTATACACAGTTCATTGTTGGCCAAAACATCATTATGCAGCACATGACTGTATTTTCATTTTATAGAGGAAGAAATTGAGGCACAGGGAGATTGGGTAACCTGAGATTAAACATTTAGCAAGTGACAGAATTGAGCAATCAAACTTCAGAACCTCAACTTGAAACATCATTTCCTGATGCAAACATGAGGACATATTGCTCTACCATACAGAAAGCAGCAGGGCAGCTGCCATGCTTGTATAACAACTATTTTTTTTTTTTTTTTTGCTTATTGAAACTGAAGGGATGTTGGGAAAGACAGACTGGGAGCTTTCTCTAAATTTTAATACAGCATCAGTGCTTCCTATAATGTCCAGGTTAGGAGAGAAGCAAATGGAGCTTTACTAAGGAAGAGAAAGTGATCAATACCAGTGAGAAAGGTGAAAAAAAAAAAAACAAACAAAAACGAAAAAAAAACCTAAGCAAATTCAGTGAGAAAAGAAAAAGCAGAACTTAGAGTCCTTACCCTTCAATTTAAGGAAGGAGAGTTATTGCCTAGCAGAATCTTGAAATAAAATTTCCTTAGAAAGCCCCAGAAAGTTTTGTGTGTATTGCAAGTCCAAAGGATAAGGAGAACTTCTATATGCTTTCTTCTTATTTCCACTGGGCAAAGTACTGCTCTATCAAGACTCAGCCTGCCATGAGGCTTTCCAATCAACTCTCAACCACCACAACAGTTAGGGCTTTTTCCTCTATGTTGCAAAGCACTTTCTGCATAACTCAGAATGCAAAATGTACTCATTCATTTGTTTATTTACATTTTTTCCTCACTAGACTGATTTTTTTTTTTTTTTTTTAGGACAAGGCCTTACTTACACACATAACTTGTACTCTAGGTAAACTGGAATACTCTATTCACTAAACAGCCTTAGCTTTACAGTCTTGACATCATTGCCTTTTCACTATTGGCATCCCTCAGCTCGTCATGAGTTCTACTAAATGCCACTTTTACTACGAAGCCTTCCCCGGCTTCCTTCCCTAAACTCATTTCACCGTACCTATATCATAACATAAAACACTGCCTTGTTATGCTTTGTAAATCTCTTTTCTGCATTAGATTATAGACTCCTATGACTAAGTCGTCATAACCTTTGAATTCTCATTAGGGCTTACTTAGCTGAATCATGCACAATGGCAGACATTCATAAAATCAGATATTGATTGCCTATTTAAAAAGAAAGGAAAGGGGTCAGGCGTGGTGGTTCACACCTATAATCTCAGCAATTTGGGAAGCCATGGCAGGAGGATTGCTTGAGTTCAGGAGTTCAAGGACAGCCTGGGCAACTGTCTCTACCAAAAATACATAAAATTAGCTGGGGCATGGTGGTGACACCTGTAGTCCCAGCTATTCAAGAGGCTGAGGCTGGAGGAATGCTTGAGCCTGGGAGGCAGAGATTGCAGTGAGTGAAAATCGTGCCACCGCACTCCAGCCTGGGAGACAGAGTGAGACTCCATCTCCAAAAGAAAAAGAAGGAAGAAATAAAAAGGGAATTAAAACAAATTTAAAAAAAAAAGGAAAAGAGGTTTAGTTACAATGAATGTTCCTGGACTGGCTAACATAGGCTCACAATAGCTTAAAATAAAGTTTAAAAACCTCACAGGCTCCTTTAAAGAGATCCTCCAGATCCTTTCATTTATAGAATCTTTCCATGTCCAGGCTTCTTTTTCTATTGAACACATCCCTCAACAAGGAGCCATTTTTTCCCATGTTCTTCAGAAAGTTACCATGTACATGTTTTGGGTATAAGAGAGAAGACACAGGAGCCACATTTACCTTCAAACTAAAATCAAAATTAAAACAACCAGATTGAAAAAAAGAAGAAATTCAAAATTCAGAAAGGAATCTTAGAGACAAAAACGTATTAAATTCAATTTTGTTTGAGAGGAAGCTCAGACTTTGCTCATTGTTGAGGTGCCATACCTAGAGACTGAGTAAATGCAGTGCTGATGATAGAGAATTACTGATTTATTCTCAAGCGCATTGTGTGGGCCAGGAGCATCTTAGAGAAGGACAGGAAAAATGTGCTTATTTGCACTCTTCCATTACAGAATAAGGAGAGATCTTTTGCAATTGCCTTCTTTTCTTTCAACTCCAAATGTAAGTGCTTTAATTTTCTACATATTCTCTATTTCTTTCTTGAGGCAACATGATTGGGAAGGGGTGCTGTGTGTCATGTAGAACCAAGAAACCCATTACAAATAAAGAGGAAAGTGTGGATTCTATTAAAAAAACAAAAACAAAGAATCATAGTAATTGTGGGCAAGACAAATTTATTTCTTCAGCCTTTGAAATAACGTCAGCAAGAACCGACTAGTGGCTGAGTAGACAAAGTAAACATAAAATTGTATTAAAAGTAAGGTTCTCGGCCGGGTGCGGTGCGTCATGCCTGTAATCCCAGCACTTTGGGAGACTGAGGCGGGCGGATCACAAGGTCAGGGGATCGAGACCATCCTGGCTAACACAGTGAAACCCCGTCTCTACTAAAAATACAAAAAAATTAGCTAGGCGTGGTGGTGGGCACCTGTAGTCTCAGCTACTCGGGAGGCTGAGGCAGGAGAATGGCATGAACCCGGGAGGCAGAGCTTGCAGTGAGCCAAGATTGCCCCACTGCACTCCAGCCTGGGCGACAGAGCGAGACTCTGTCTCAAAAAAAAAAAAAAAGTAAGGTTCTCAGTGCTCTGTTTACATCTCCTTTTTACTTACAATGGTTTATTCCATTTGTTGTCTTTGGTTTTTTTTTGTTTTTTTTTTTTTGTCATGAAGACAACACAGAAATCCAGATCTTAGGCTAGGGTCTGAGAACCCATCTTAACATCAAAATAAAACACAACAAAAACCAAGAATACTTCTAACAACTTGAAATATTTAATGGAGTACATACTCAGAAATAAAGTCTCCCTTCTGCCAGTTTGGAAAACTGGCACAGACAGGCAAAATGAATTCACAACTTGCAGCCAGTTTGTTCTTTTTTTTTTTTTATACTAGACATCAAGATTTGTTTTTTAAATAATAGAAGGATGTTTTGATTATCACTGTGGGACAAAAAGCCTTTAATTTTTTTATTTCAATCAATCAAGTTCTTCCAGCCTAGACCCATTTATTCTTCTTCATACTCAACTTCCTAAATTTATGTTAGGAAAAAGAATTTTACCTTACCTCAGGCAACAGGACTTACAATGGAGAAAACACCAAACAAAATGCCATTCGCTCCCACCCCCCAAATCATCTTGTATTTATAGCCAAAGTTTTATATCGTGTGTATTCATTTTCCATTTCCCTCACTAAGTTGTCCCTGTTGAGAAGTTCTTAGCACCTGGCCCCTAAGAAATAACTGTTTCACATTTAGCATCTTTTAACTAGTAATCACTACTCTCAGAGAAAAGCCCTGCAGCCTCCAAAGTAACCAGCTCTCTAGTTCCCTGAGATCAGAGGAAAAGGGCTTTTTTTTTTTTTTTTTTTGGAGAGGGGGTCTCGCTCTGTCACCCAGGCTGGAGTGCAATGGTGCGATCTCAGCTCACTGCAAACTCCATCTCCCGGGTTCACACCATTCTCCTGCCTCAGCCTCCCGAGTAGCTGGGACTACAGACATCTGCCACAGCACCCAACTAATTTTTTTTTTTTTTTGTATTTTTAGTAGAGATGGGGTTTCACCATGTTAGGAGGGTCTCGATCTCCTGACCTCGTGATCCGCCCGCCTCGGCCTCCCAAAGTGCTGGGATTACAGGCGTGAGCCACCACGCCCGGCTTGGAAAGGGCTTTTGAGACACACACACACACACACACACACACACACACACACACACACACGGTACAGAGAGCGCTGGGGAGAAGAGGAGGGAGGATGGAAGGAGAGGAGCAGAGGAATAGTGAGGAAAATAATACTATTTTTCCTTTCCTTAGTTGGAATAGTGAGGAAAATAATACTATTTTTCCTTAGTTAACAAAGTGGATTTAAGGCCAGACATGGTGGCTCACACCTGTAATCCCAGCACTTTGAGAGGCCAAGGCGGGTGGACCACTTGAGGCGAGGAGTTTGAGACCAGCCTGGCCAACATGGCGAAAACCCATCTCTACTAAAAATACAAAAATTAGCCAGGGGTGGCGGTGCACGCCTGTAATCCCAGCTACTTGGGAGGCTGAGGCAAGAGAATTGCTGGAATCCAGGAGGCGGAAGTTGCAGTGAGCTGAGATTATGTCACTGCCCTCCAGGTTGGGCTATTGAGCAAGATCCTGTCTCAAAAAAAAATAAAAATAAAAAAGTGGAGTTAAGAGGGCAATGAGGAGACATCTAAAAAGAAAATCAGAACCAACTTCAATACTCAAGACAGATATAAACCACAGATATAAAAGAAGCCTATGTGTAACTGACAGGGTATTGTGTGCATCCTACAACTATCACAAAGTTTCACGGCTACTCCTGGAGACGGACATACTTGCACGTGTTCAAGACCACAGTACCATGATGGTCACAGCAGCCAACACTTACTAAGGGCCTCGTCCTACATCTATTACCCCATTCAGGATTCCAAATACCCTCTGAGGTGGATATCCTTATCCAAAGCCCTTAGGGCCAGTTGTATTTCTGGAATTGAGCATTTTTTGGATTTTAGAAAGACAATATGGAGCATGTTCCTATAGCATAAATCATCTCCCATGGGAGCTGGAATTCAAATGCATTAATCTTCCTGCAGTAAAATGTGTGGATAGACATTAAAGTAGGTTGAAGACCACATTAAATAGGGTCACATTGGGGGACCTCAAGTTTTACTGCCAAAAATGTTTTTGCAACCCTAGATTTTTTAAAATCTCTTTTCAGAGTTTGAAATCTGGAGTTGAAGAATGAATATATTATGACTCCATTTTAAAGGCAAAGGAACTGGGAGTCAAAATGGATGAAGTGCTTTGCCTCTTGGCACTACTGCCAGTGTTTGAACTGGGATCCAACCAGGAAATGTTTGATTCCAGAACCTGTGCCTAGATCTCCTGGCCCTCTGGCTCTCTCTCTCGGTGTCTAAGCAAATGCAGGGTTCTTTTCCCTAGTCTTTCTGCCTATCCTGAAGACTTCATCTGTCTTCTCTGTTCTTCATTATTTTATCTTTCTCTGCAACCTTACCCACAAAAAAAGGACTGCAGAAAGAAAGAAAAAACACTGTTTTTCCTTCCCTAATAGCAGAGAGAGGCAACATCCGCTTTGGTCTACTGAGACACAAAGAGAAGGGAAGGGAAAGGAGGGGAGGAGAGAGAAGACTGCATGGAGGGAGGGGGAAGGGAGAAGGAAGGGGCGATGGGATAAAAAGGAGAGGGGAAGTTGGGAGGGTAAGGAACAAAGGACCTGAGCCTGGATCCACAAATCACCAAAGCATTAAAAAATCCTAACAATTTGGCTGGGCGTGGTGGCTCGCACCTGTAATCTTAGCACTTTGGGAGGCAGAGGTAGGTGGATCACAAGGTCAGAAGATGAAGACCATCCTGGCTAACACGGTGAAACCCCGTCTCTACTAAAAATACAAAAAATTAGCTGGGTGTGGTGGCACACGCCTGTAGTCCCAGTCACTCGGGAGGCTGAAGCAGAAGAATTGCTTGAACCCAGGAGTTGGAAGTTGCAGTGAGCTGAGATCGCGCCACTGCACTCCAGCCTGGCGATAGAGTGAGACCCTGTCTCAAAAAAAAAAATCCTAACAATTCAAGACATCGATGTTGTTTCAGTGTAAGTCTCTGTTGTCATCTCACACCTTCCCCAGAGATGGCTTCTTTAAGTGAATGTTTGCAGTAGAAAGATGAGACGAAGCTTCACATCTACATAGTAGGCAAAAAGGACAGTCCAAGGAGGCTGATAAAATGGTCACCAAACTGACCTAATCCAGCAGCTGCTGGATTGGGTCCAAGGCCAGAGGTCAGAAGAGAGGATGTGCCACCTGGGAAGGTGCAAAAACTTGAGAAAGACATTGGACTTTATCAGGCCAGAAAAATGGGGGTTGATCAATGCATCTCTGGAGGTACAGGGTGACCCTGGTTGAAATGGAGGTAACCTTTTGCATGCATACGTATAGAGCTCTCAGCACTCTTACCTTTACCCTCCCATATTCTAATGTGCTTTCCCCAGGGAAGAAAATGAGTAGCCGCAATGAGTATACCTGGAATTACATGTAACCCTGAAATGTCCATGGGACTATGTGGTTTGTGACTGTTTGTACAATGCCTATCAAATCAAGAAAAAGGCTGAGACTCATCGTTTGTGTTTTTCATTTGAAATCCTAATGGTTAAACTTGAACCTGGTGGTCAAACTAACACCCCAAAATATCAACCCCACATAAATCAGAGACCTGCAAGGGCACAGTAGATTCTGTATCTTCCGGCCTTCAAATCGGGGCAGCTTGTCTGATCATGAGTGCTCTACAGTATTACATTAACAGATGGGTATTTGATCTAGGTCTAAGGTCAAAGGTGGGATTTTAACATCACCCCTTCTTTCTGTAACCTGAGTCTCAACTTGCTATAATACTTCATCCTTTTTAAATGATGTGGCATGCGGCACTTTACCACCAATGCACAGCTGAGGCCTTGTCAATCTGCCTCCCTTGTATATTTCATGTTCCCAACATGAAGAGAGCACTCAATGCCAGTGAGAGCCCCTGCACACAGTAGGCACTCCCTAAATGTTGGTGATTTGAGAAGCTTATGAAAACTCTACCCTCTTGGTTCATAAATTTTGTAGGTGCTTTAGTTTAAATTAAAAATAAAAAAAGGCTTTGCATGTCATGAACACAAGGGCATTCTTTTCTGGTGCACTGATAGATGGTAGTAAAAGAAGTATTTTTTTTCTCTTTGTAACTTTATAAAAATCAGTGGCCAGACATCAAAATAAACCATATCTTTTAAAAAACTAACCTAGGCCAGGTGTAGTGGCTCACGCCTGCAATCCTAGCACTTTGGGAGGCTGAGGCAGGCAGATTGCTTGAGCCCATGAGTTTGAGACCAGTCTGGGCAACATGGCAAAACCCTGTCTGTACTAAAAATACAAAAACTGAGGTGGGAGGATCACCTGAGCCTAGGGAGGTCGAGACTGCAGTGAGCTGTGATTGCATTACTGCACTCGAGCCTGGGCGACAAAGTGAGACTCCATCTCAAGTAAAATAAAATAAACAGCCAACCTTGCACTGTGAGTCTTGCAAGAAGAAAAAATTTAAAAACTGAAAAAAAAAAAAACAACCAACGACATGAAAAAAAAACTATTCGGCACATTACTTTCTCTACACTAATTTAAGAAGGGCAAAGGCATATACATATGACTCACAAATGTATGCAGAAATCTTCCTTTTGCACCATTTCTTGAATTTTACTTTCTTCCTTCCAGTGCTAACTCTGCCCGTCCTACTCTCGCAGCAAGCACATATGTAACACACCCACACACATACACACAAGACTCTATTTTGTTCCCTTGAAATAAATTTCTAGTGAAAGTTCCCACTGAAAAAACAAACTATATTAGACCAGAGATCTGTACTCAAGGTATTGAAATATATTTTTACTCAACAATACCCTAAAAACCTTGAGCTATGAAATAGGCTACTAAGCAACCTCATTTCAATTACCTTTATCGTAACTTGATTGCCTAACATAAAGTGTTACACTAAATGACTAAGGTTAAAAATAACTTTGTCCAACTACACATTTGGATGTTTTAATTTCATTCTACACGGCAGAGTATTTTCCTATCTAAGTTGACAAGTTCAGTGTGAGTAGGTGGGAAGAATAAAAACAAAGGGATACTCATTAAGAAATGAAGGTAGGACTTTTCTCATGAAAAGAGAAGGGCAAAAATACCTTTCAGAGCCAAAGAATCATAGCCAGCATTTTGATAAAGGACAAACTTTGATCTGCATTGATGAATCTGAGAGATCTTCTGGGAGAGATGCCATAGATTATTACAACAAATTATTAGCAGATTCACAAGGCTATAATCACTATCCGTATCCATGGTACCCAGTTTCAAATTAACATGGTTATTTTACTTGTGTTCCCAAATTTAACATTAGGGAATTTTTGGTTGTGGGTCTGTTATCACTAGAAAAATAGATATATTGGTGCTGAAGATAATTTTGAGATAATTAGACAAGACAGTTTAGCATTTACAAGAACAAGTTTGGCAGTTGAAGAATCTATTTATATGACTTAAAAAGAAAAAAAAGGTGTCATGGCACCTGTGGTAAATGTTTGCTTTGGATAAAATTTCTAGATCTGCATGAAACCTCACATAATATCACTATTGCTTTTCAAAGCATAGTTCCTTACTTTTTTTTTCTCATTCATTCCATTCCTCTTTCCCCCACAAGCTTATCCCACCATTTTTAATCAAGTGGCCAGAATTATCTGGTTATTTTTAATTGGGAGCTTTGACAGGGATTCTTTCTTAAACCCAGAGATTTCTGCCTCCTTTTTAGCTTTGCTAAGACTCTCAAGAGTGGGAGAGAATCATATCTGATAGTGATATGGACCCAACATTAACATGCCAAAAGTATTCAATTTTTATGCAGCAAAAGGAAGACAACTTAGACTAGATAGCTACAGCAAATTTCAAAATGGAAGGCGACATTCTTACTTCTCAGGCTGGGGAGCATGGGTGGGGTAGAATTCATGGTGAAATGTATTTGAGAAAGTACCTTTTCATCCATCTTTGATAAGGAAAGTGAAACCAGAGAAATATTCATTTTTATGTCTTAACACCAGGGACTTTCTGTAATGCAGGAATAGGCCAGATACTTGCCAGCACCTTAAAAAAAGTTAAGTGTTCCATGCTGTTTAAGTGACTGAATGATAAAGTTAATGTACCCTTGCTTTTCTCTTCAGTCATATATACAAAAGACCAGGGGCTCTAAATGATAACAAGTCTTTGTACTGTAATCTCAGATTTGGTAAGGAATAGGTGTTTGAGATAACTGAATTTCCCAGGTATTTATATATCAACAAGAAAACTTTTTGTTTTCAACACTTGTCTGTTAGCTTGCCTAGCCATATGTCCTGCCAAAACATTGAGTGCCTTGCTGAACCTGTTCATTATACTGAACATCAATTCTTATTCTATATTTATTGATATACAGTTTTTTTAAAAAATCAGACTTATATTTTGAAGTTCAGGTCTTCTTATAAGCCTGTTTATTATGATTTGCAATTATCTCTAAAAGGGAGAAGAAGGTGTGTGGGGACAGGGCGGAAACTCTGCTGAATTTTCCAGAAATCAAAGTTGTGGTGACTCCTATGGCATGCAATAACCAGAAAACAAATAAAAAGTGGTCAGGAAAATAACTGCCAAAAATCAGGTTGGTTGACATTATAATAGAGTACCCAAGAATGCCAAATTATAATTATATATTTGGGGAGAGATAAGTCTCAAAGGATTTTGGAATTCACTCAACTGTTTGAATGGAATGTTCTTTCCCCAGATATCTCCTGAGCTGTTTCTCTGGTCTCCAAGTTTCTGCTTAAATGTCACCTTATCAGTTGAGGCCTTCCCTGACTATTTTACTTAAAATAGTTCCACTCCAGCAATTCCCTCCCTCCCTCTCTCCTTTTTCAGACAAGATCATGCACAATTTTGCACAACTCCAGGAAGTAACACTCACAGAACTAACACAGCAGCTCTGATCGTCAGCACCTGTCACCATCTAACACAGCATACATATTCTTTGCTTATTTACCTCTCTGAGGGCAGGGATTTTTGTTTGGTTCACTGCTATATCTCCAAGTGCCCAGAACAATACTGGGTGCATAGTAGGTGCCAAATAAATATTTATAAATGAACAATCTGTTAATCTAATTTTGGCATCTTCTAAAGCTCTGGTCTAAGAGTTGTCCCTGACTTTCATATCTTCCTGTCTAATGGGAAAATCAGACATGAATGCAAACAATTACAATGCAACAGGATCAGAAAAGAAACCAATGCTTGGGGAGGTGATATGTATTGGTTAGAAGCTAGTGCTTGATCTTACACAAATCTGGATGCTAGCTCCAAATCAGCCCATAGCTGTGTGACCTTGGGCAAGTGATATAACATCTCTGTATCATAATATTCTCAAATGACAGATGACTATAACAACAAATGTCTACATTTACAGGCTTGTGATGAGGAGTCAGTGAGGGGATGCACAAAGGTACTTAGCACAGTCCTGACACTCAGGAAGGCTGCAGGAAGTGCCTGAGGCATCAGGACAGAATTTTACAGAAGCAGAGCAGCAGAACAGGGGGTTGAAAGCTGCCTAGTGGCACTGGGATGGCTTGCCAGGAAGAGGCACGAATGAAGGAAAAATTGTCCTCAATATGCACAGAGTTAAATGTCACATTGACTTGTCCTGTGCTTAATGAGTGATGGGATTCCTTTTTAAAATGAGGAACAAACCTACTAGTGAAATGAATGTGTAATCAGAGTAGGCAGGAGCTTCTCCAATTGAAAATGGGTTATTAACAAGTCTTTCCACTGACCAAATCTGGCTTTAACCCACGTTATATCTTCACTGATTTGCCATTCTTTCTAAAATGGAGTGTAGAGGGGAAAAAAAAAGCAAAAAGCCCAACTGGTACTGAAATATTATGTATTGCTGTGCTGAGAAAGAAATGCCTAAAAACCACCACCACAGCCCACCAGTGCTTTGACAGCAGAGGTTTTGTTAAGCAGACCACATTGACCCTCTCAGGAAAAAAAAAAACAGTTAATTCAAGATCTGGTCCCAGATCAGGTTCCAAACGAGAACCTGAAAACTACAGGGGGAAAAAGGAGTAAGCTCCCTTTTCAATCACTATCCCTCAGTAGATCCCAAACTCATTAAGAACAGTGTTTTTAGGACAAGACTTTGTCTCTGATTCAAGAATCTTTCAAGACAGTGACACATAACCCTTAAATTGAATCAATTTCACAACGAATTGCACTGTAACTTAGGTCAATATTCTAAATGCTCTCTGGCAACTGATGTTGAGAATTTTGAGAGGAAAAGAAGTACTCAAGGCTAGGACTCAGCTATATAACACTGGCTTGACACTTGTCCCCTCTTCTTATTTTCATAACTCACTATAGAGTGACATAAACAGGCTAAAATGAAAAATAGGGGAGGAGAGAAAGGTATTATGTAAATGTGACATTATCACAATCTTTTTTGATTGATCAAGATTCTAACGCTTAGGCCTAATAATAAACAGGCAATCCTTAGTAAGCTTATGAGTCAGTGATGGGGATATGACTCAGATTTTACTTTAAGGATGAAAAACCCATAGCAAATTGGGCAGGGATGTACTATATTACCAACCCCTAAATCATAACTAGTCGAAAGGCAACGGTTTCTTCTGGAGACAATTTGCTTCATGTTTAAAGTAACCACTGCCGCATGTTTAGGAAGCAAAAATAAAAGTTATAAAAGGAGAGGGAAAACAACTTATTTCTAATTTGAGGCCTGGCTCCACAGCCATATTTCTGAATCAAACATTAAGCGTCCCAAAACGGAATTTTCTGCGGTGGCAAAAATGTTCTAGCTCTTGATCAGGGTGTAGATTATATGGGTGTGCAAAATTCCCTGAACTCTTTGCATTTGATTATACAGATTTTTACATCAACTTAAAGAAAATAATTTAAGTGGCCCATACTTTGAAAGTTATTGTCCAGGAGGTACGTATACTCAAAATGTAAACCTAAAATGAAACTATTTTTTAAATCCTATTTAGGCTGGGCGCAGTGGCTCACACTTGTAATCCCAGCACTTTGGGAGGCTGAGAGGCAGGTGGATCACTTGAGGTCAGGAGTTCGAGACCAGCCTGACCAACATGGTGAAACCCGTCTCTACTAAAAATACAAAAACTAACTGGGTATGGTGGCGTGTGTCTGTAATCCCAGCTACTTGGGACATTGAGGCAGGAGAATCACTTGAACTCGGGAGGTGGAAGTTGCAGTGAGACGGGATCGTGCCGCTGCACTCCAGTCTGGGCACTCCAGCCTGGGCAACAGAGTGAGACTCCGTCTCAAAAAAAAAAAAGAAAAGAAAAGAAAAGAAATCCTATTTAAATAAAACTCCTTTGCAAAAATGACAAGTGCTATATTTTAAAGATATAGAAAATATTCAAGATCTGTTTGAATTGTGCTGTTTCATACACCATGAAAGTGACTCTAATCTAGTAGCTCACAATAAAATCCATCTTTTTATGCCAAACTTTTAAAACGTTAAAGGGTCACTAATATCTGTATCGGGAAAAAAAAAATCAATCTAGCCGTTTGGAAAAACCCAGCCTTTGAGTTCCATTTGGGTCCTTTTTGGACCAACTCCCTGACACCTTCATTAGGAAGTAAACACACTGCTGGTTGCCAACGCTTTAAAAAGAGATAATACTGTTAACAAGGCCTATAAAAGCGAGGTGACCATATGTCCTGGCTGATGCTTATAGTCTGTGTTTAATAATTAACAGCACCCTCTTTTACTCTCAAGAATCACGGTTTGGTTGATAAAATTCTCAAATTTTATCAACCAAAATGGTCACTCAAATGGTTATCAATCAAATGGACACGCTACCTGTAAAGCCCCACGATTTGGCCTCACTCCCATTAATTTCTCTCCATTCCAGTTTCACTGGTCTTTGTCCAACCCCTCCTGTTCACCATTACTCTTGAGCCAGGTTTTGTGCATATTCCTCTCTCTCTCTCGCCTGCCTTCTCCACTTAAACCCCTACTCATTCCTCAGATCTCAGCTCAAGTGTCCCTTCCTCTGGGAAACCTTTCTATGGCAGTCCTATCTCTCTATTAGAGCTCTCAGGACACCACTTCACCACTTCCCTTTTCCTCAGCATGTCTCAGATCCAGCCCAACATTTGTTGGATAACCCTCTCTCTGCCACTAGGTTCCAAGCTCATTGAGGGCAAGCACAGTGACTATTTTTGCAACCCTAGTGCTTATCACAGTACTTGGCACATGGAGGGACTCAACAAGTATGTGTTTAATAAATGAATGTAAGAGATATAGGTGATAGACACAAGACAAAACACCACTTGTATATTAATGACCAGAAAATATCTTAAGAAAGTTAAAAAATAACTGAAAGACTTAAAGGGTAGTGGAAAAAAGTGCAAGAATCTGAGAGGGAAAAAGAGCTTGTATCTAGTGATATTACCTAAGAGCTCCATCCTTAATTGTAACAATGACTACCGGCTTGAGAGAGAGAAATATTCCTGACAACACTGGCCACCTAACCCTTGTTTTAATGGGTTCCAAACTCTTATTCTTACATCACAATCTTAAACATTATAGGGGCACACTGACTGACTTATAAGGCTACACACATAGGTTCAAGCATGGCCTGAACCACACACGAGCTTTAAGATGCAAGACTTCTGAAAGGGTCAGAGGCTGATTTTCCCTAGAAGTCTCTTCAGGTTCAACAAAGAATGGGTCCTTTGTTTCCTATAGGATTGCAAAATAAATTAGCACAAAGCTCTGCTGGCTATCTACTTCCCTGATGTAAACCATAATGCTATACAAGCCCAACAGCAAGCTATTCAATGAGGATATCTGCACACAGAAAAAGCAACTTGAGTATAAACTAAAAGAATCCGTGATCACTGACTCATTTATGACTGGCTAGGGGAAATCAGTTACATTATTAGTGATTCAGGCAAACATTGCATCAGGTTACATCACAGGAAGAAACTCAAATTCAAACTGACAATTTATAAAAAGGCTGCTTTTCTTTGCAGTAAAGGAAATACTCACACCACTCTAGATTAAGAAGATTGAGAACCACTGAGTTCTGTTTAAAAATCACTGTTTGAAAATCTCTTGCAAAAGCATGGCCAAATACCAATGGTTTGAAGGACTAAAAACCCTGGGAAAAGTCAACTTCATATAGCAAAGGGTTGTTGTGAGGATTAAAAAACATAATGGAAGCAAACATGCTTTGTACAGGGCTACATTGCTATATATGTTCGGTTGCATTACTCCATCTCTCAACTTAAGGTGTCTTCAATATAGACAAAGGATCTGAAGGACTCTTTTTTTACTGAGAAAATAGCTCTGAAAACCACAATGTTAGGCACACAGCTCAGGAAAGCTCTATAAAATAAGATGCAAGGCCTGTGTTGTCTATTTCCATCCTTCACAATGGAAAAGCAGTTCATTTTCCTTCCTATATTATTGTATTTCAAAAACGCAAGTACATTTCTTGCAGCTATAGGCTAAAGCAATCTTTCAAGAAACTCCTAACAATCATACTATGATCAAATTGTTAAAACACACACACACACACACACACACAAGAAAACAATCAGCTATATTTTGTTGGCCTCCATGATAGAGTATTCAAATTCCAAGAATCCAAACATTCACTAGCTATATGATTTCATGTTTACCTTGACAACAAATGACTTGTCTCCATTATTACACAAGGAATGATGGGCTCAGAGAGGCTAAGCAACTGGTCCAAAGTCACAAGTTGGTACAAGTCAAGATTTCAACTTATTGGTCTGAGTCCCAGACTAGTATTCTTTATGCTAAATTCCAACTGCCTCTCAAAGAAAGGAGCCTAATTGTAGACTGCTATATGCCTCCGGAACATAGTGAAAGAGTTTCAAGGCTGAAAATAACCAAAGATGGCCAACTCACAATGAGAAGTTAAAATACATGTTCCAACAGTGTAAAAGAAGGTAGATAAATCATGCATCACAATGTAACAATAGTTAAGAGTTTGGATTCTGTGATCAGAAAAGCCTGAATTCAAATTGTGAATTAGCTGTTTACGAGCTGTCTGGCTTTAGGGTAAATTACTTAAGCTCTCTAAGCCTCAGTTTTCTATCCATAAAATGAAGATAAAAAATACTGACCCACTTGCCAACCTCATCCAGTTGTTGGAAGGTCAAATTAGAATATATATTGATAACTTGAAGACTCACAAGTACAATTTGTGGGAAATACAACTCCATTTAGTCTACTGACTTGGGACAAAACTGCCATAAATCAAGACAACTACTAGAAAGTGTACTCAAATCTGCTCATAAAGCAATTGTCAAGTCTAATCATTTTATGGCTTATGGTCATTTATGGAATCTTCTCAAATAAAGTCCAATTTGTTAGTCATCTTTTCCTTCAAAAATTTAGGGATGGCTCAGAACAAGAGGGAAAAGATACAGGGCCTTTCTTGCTAAGCCATAACTACTAAAATAATTAAATCACCCATCTACAACTTCGATAATTCAGTTCTCTTACAACCATGCATATCAATGTTACAAAGACCCTAAGATTTAAAAAAAAACTTCTGAGAAACAAAAATGTGAATTTCAACACACAGCAACACATAGTTGAATATATGGGAACATAGATTTCAAATTGGTGTAACACAATTTGGATATCTGTTGGCTGTAAAGGATGACTTAGTTTTATTATTATAAAGACTTATGCAAATAAGTTAAACTTATACAAGGCAATCCTCTTTGTATTGCTACACTAACTTGTCATTTTAAGACTTACCACTTAAAGAACATAATTATGAGTTATTTTGGGGAGAGCAAATATTCATCTACTTTAGTGAAAACCTAAAGAAATAGTCTCTAAATGTTTCTGATCATGCATCCTATCAACAAAATTTTTAGTGTATGTCAAATATATGTATATTTGTTTAGAAAATGTGCCACATGCTTTTGCATGCACACATGAAAATACATACAAAAATATTCTAAAAGAATGACAAAATAACTTTGGAGATGACCATCTAGAGAATCACTAAAAGTAAATGTACTCACGGGTGAAGTATCTCCTATTAATGCTACAATTTGAAATTATACATAGTGTTTGATGTAATATTCTCCAAATACAGGGATCCAGTTAACTATAATGGTACTAATGTGATGTTATATGTCTGGCCTACACTTGGTCATTTTTCTACCACCAGGAATGAGTCACAAATGGCCTTCACAACTTAAAGGTACAAGAAAAGAGGCTATAATCAAGTGGTTTGTAACAAGACACCTTTAAAAATAGTCTCCCTTTAGAAAATACTGAGACATTTGTGCTTTCCATCCACACCTCCCCCAAAACCAGTTCCCATGAAGTTCCACCTGTACTACCACTTTCACCTGCATGTTCACAGAAACAAATTGAATGCAGAGTCTCCCTGACGATTCATGAACTGCAGAATCCCCAGAGTAGAGATTCCTAAACTCTGCCAAGAGACTGTGCTGTGCAAACCTCTCGATACACAACTATGACCATAGCAAATGAATTTTTATCACCAAACCTTGCAATTCCTTCTCAGTTTAGCTTCCCAGTTTTCATTTTCCCCATCCTTTCCCTTTTTATCCAACTCTAGATTCAAATCATTTCACCTTTGAGCATCAGTACTCTCTTCTAAGCATACGTAATTCCCAAAAGAACACTGCATCTTCAATACTAAAATGATAAATACCATGAAAAGGCTCATAAATAACAGTCAGAAGTTGAACTACATTTTTTTATTCCTATCTTGGACATACTGAGCAATACGAAAAGTGATAAGCCAAGTTAAACCTGCAGTCAAAAAAAAACTGGTGTCAATCATACTCCACAAAGTGTTGAGGAAATGGTATCAATCCTCAGGATTAATACAATCTAAGGCTTACTTGTTTAGGAGCATTTCAAAAATATAACACTTAACATCAGAAGAAAATGATCTATAGGGATAAAGAAAATAAAGATCTATAGGCATAACCAGAAATCAGATCTCATAATGTACAGATTTCTCTATTTACAGTCCCATATATTAAATGATTTAAGGACTCAGTTAAGCAGCTGGGTCGGCTGGTATTACAAACTATCTTACTGTAAAAGATTTTGTGATACTGTTATATTAGTTCCAAATATGAAAATAAACCGGTTATATTTTGATAGCAGCCATATATAAAAGTTCAGTGGCAGAGACTGAGAGATAAGTCTAAAATGTTGGCAGTCTGTATACCTTCAGATAAATAAGAAATCTATTCAGTTTTAGACAATCCAAGATATACTTTTTGAAGACTTCCATGCATAGATAAAACTATTGACAAATGTTCTCCATATAGCCTATCAAGAGGATTTTATCACATCATTTGAAATAGGGGTGAAAAGGGGAGAGGAAGTATCTTTAAACTTCAATATGCAAAGTACAACTTCAGTTATCATACCTCTCTTCTGTAAAGAGGAAGAAGAGAGAGTATCAGAAATGTTAAAAGTCACGCAGGGAGAAGTCCAATAGTAGATTTATTTGCTCCCAAGATTAAAGGGAGCCTGGAAACCTGTAGTCATTAAACACTAGCCATCGGGAATACGGCTTCCTTCCTTTTAACTTGAAGGCCAATTTCATAAACTGCAACACCTATACAAAACAAAATTAATTACTTGCAATGTGTGAGTTATAATGACTTAAGGAAACTATTTGTGCAATGTACCTGAAAGCCACTTTCTGGTGGCCTTTCCAGTCTATTATTATAGAAATATTGCACATAAGGATAAAGACATGAGATTCCCATTCCAGATGACAAAGATAACAGCCGCATTATCCTGCATGAACCAGGGTAACTCTTGCTATACAATCCACTTGAAGCCTTGTTTCAACATTACAGAGGGAGGCACTACTTAAATTTGGAAAAAAGGAAATAATTTCAAAACTACCTGTTAAAACTTAGAAAGTAACACTCCTCAAACTTACTGCCAATCACAACTATGAATTCCTGGTGCCAAAGGCAACAATAATTTTGAAAGTAGTCATCCTATCTTAAAAGGATTTATAATAAAATATTTCAAAACATTCCCCAGAAACAGTGAACAAGAAATACATCACAAACAGCTACTGTACCGCAGATACAGGTTCAGCTCAATTGTCTGGGGAAGGTAAGGTTAAAGTCACAGGAAACAGCTGGTCTCAGAGTGATGTGTGCAAGCCTTTTTCAAAGACAAACTTATAAACAGCTCCTCACAAGCCAGACATCACCTGAATTCTAAAATAAACATTTTTATTAACTGTTTCCATCATTTTCAAAGATTGAAAAAGTCTGATGTCAAGATCTTCAAAAACAACTTTCCATTTGAAAAAAGGCTTTATGATAAAAAAAAAAAATGGTTGAGGTACTTAGTTTCAATGGAGTTACCAGATGAAATGTAGTTGGTAAACAACAGTAGTCAGCACTGGGGTGAGACCCATTTAAAAACAACCCTACCTGGTGTTTTTATTGTAATTCAAGTTTGAAATACCGAGGAGCTTTTTCACAGAATAGGTTTAAAAATAAAACCATAACAATTGGCAAGGGTAGTCCATGTGTTGCGGGTCTACGAATTCTAACTCTCGAGAATGGTGTGCCAATAATATCCACAGACATTTGTACTCTAAATACCTGCATATTCAGTGGCCTATTCCTGTGTTGTCTACAAAATCAGAATAATTTATTCCTGGGTGTAGAAATAACTTCTTAAAAGTTATTTGAGATTACTAATTTCAAGTAATTACTAATTTTATTTCAGACTGCGTATTTCCAGTGTCAACATGTTTACATATATACCAAAAAAAGGCCACTATATGTTAACTGTGTAGAGCAAAATTCAATTTTTCCACTTTCAATTTCCACTGAAAAACGCTGTTATCCTCTACAACTAAACAGCAAGTCCTTCTATTATATGGGGTAGTGAAGTAATCTACACTACAGCATTATCAAGGTTCACTTAGGTTTTTAGTATTTATCTGAAATAAAAGTCTGAAAATGAGGAATCGAGAAAGTCAGCATTTCAACTTTTGAGAATAAAAGTTCATAAACATACCTTTTGTTGAATTCCAGCTTATGTGATTTTTATGTACATCTTGCAGGTGATGAAAAGCAAAAAGCAACCAATCTCTCTGTGGTGTTTAGCCTGTTCTTTAAGACTATGGGTCACCTGCCCCGGGGAAATTTCTAATTGAACAAAGAATCCATGGGGCAAAGTAATTGTTTTTCAAAGGTGGGTCAGAATGGAACATTTATATCTTCACTTCAACAGGGAAGCAATGAAATGTAATCCTTTGAGTATCACATTTTTGGTAGATGCTACCGTGGTCTCTTATCCTTATTTCATGAGATCATTAGCCTGTGAATGTGTCCATGTTTTGACTTTAGAAATTTTTAAAACATGCTACTCCTGTGTTTCCTGTAAAACCTAAACATGTATATACAGAGCATCTTCATTCCTCATCAAATGTTTTTCCAGCATGACCAGTGTGCAACAGAGATTCAGTTTATAGAACCTGTCTTCTAAGAAAAAATACTTTTAGCTAAACCTCTATAATCATGACAAGAGATTGATTAAAATGCCAAGATAAGAAACGATTTATTATAGAGAGAAGAAAAATTTCTCATCCAAAATATAGAAATCTGTACAACTTTGCCACAATCAATATACATGAACTGTACAAATTTACACCAGTTCATAATTTACCAAATAAAAGATGACTAACAAAGTTCACAAAATAGATGGTGGTTTGTGGAAAAGACTTTTACCCAATTAAGTACAAGGAAAGTTACAAACCAGACCTCCACTTTCTAAAAATAAGAAGTTTACTCAGTCTTAGAAAACTACAAGCTAGCAAATGTACAGAGAGCTGGCTGGTGCTAACACCACAGTTGAGACAGTGTCTTTTTAAGGGTCTTTTTTAAAGCCTGTTGCCATGGCAGATTCTGGTCACTTGCTACTTTCAAGGCCAAAAACACAATACAAGGTCTGACCATTTCCCCAGGTCATGCTTACTAGTTTGTCTTTATGTACATTTATACATATTTAAGTGCTAGGTAAAAGTCTTGTAAAATTTCCAGTACTACCATGTTTAAAACGTTTAACTTTCCTATTAAAAGCTGCCGAAAAGGTTAACAATAACAACTTTCAAGTGTAATAGTGCAAATTCCCCTGCGAGATTTACTGCAGAGAAAGATTCTTTGAAATACAGATTTTCTTTAAAAGGATTGATGTAAAAATTTAGGTATGTCTGGGAGAAACTGAAACCACCCTAGGACTTCCCTCCCTAGCAAATAAAGTGATCATTTACTTGGACTCACAGGCTATTAAAATTAATCATTGAAAGGTACTGTCCAAACTATGGCACTGTCACTTAAAATTTTTTTTTTTTTTACCATTCTATCTTGTGCCAGATCTTCACAGCTGTGACATGGTTTAAATTCCATAATCCATCCCCAAGAGGAGCCCACCCAAAGCAAAAATCAAATTTATCCATCATCATCAGATGATCCATCCACAGACTATATCTTAACCTGATACAGTCATCATATTGTAGTTTTTGGAAGGGCTCGTTCTGCCCAAGAGAAGTTCCTCCTTACAGCTGATTCGGCTGTCTACCATTTGCACGTTGGTGCTGTTTTGAGTGCTACCTCCTGCTGGTGAGGCTTCATACAGCACACAGATGGAGCCATCCTCTCCAATTCTGTAGGACACTTCATAGGGGTCAACCCAGAGTGTGAGTTCACTTGGGAGAAGCCTGAACAGCTCCTGACTGCTCAGTCCAATCCGCTGTGCTGCCTGTCCAATCAGAGGATCCATTTTATGGTTGATGCGAATACAACGGTAACCCGATCCCTTGCATGGCTTTTCTGGGAACCAGTGATGTTTATAATGTTCTATAGAAGAAAAGAAGAACAGAGAAACAACGCTTAGGATCGTTAGCTCCCACTGCGGATTCCTCCTACCCCAGGCTCCTTTGAGGAGCGAAAATGAAAACTATCAACTTTTTAAAATGTCCAGGATTGCATCCGTTGTTGTGCATGTGCGGGGATGGAAAAAGCGGGCAGGGTTTTAGAAATAACACAGTAGTACCGGACAAAACAATCTCCAGGAACCAACCGGTTGAGCCGCCAAAACAGGAATCAGGCGCGCAGCCTCGGCCAGTCGGGAAGCCACTGGCACCTATGGCCAGGCGAGAAACTGTTTACTTTCTCCACCCCACCCCAGATGCACACAATGGAGTTGATGGCTTTGGAGATGAGAAGCGCCACCGGACTGTTAACCCCGAAGGGAAGAAAAACAAGCAACCCTAAACCACGCTCTGGGCAGGGCTGTTAATTGTGCCGGTGACAAATCCGATGATTAATGGGCAGGGGCAGGAGGCGCGGGGAGACGGCACGTCCGTTCTGAGCTGGCTCCGGGGCAGCGGCGCAGCTTCCCACCCCGGGGCTGGGCCGCCGACCACGCAACGGTTGGAGGGGGCTGAGGAAAGGGGACGTCGAACCCACCCCAGCCCCACGGCTCCTTTGTCCCCAAATCCGCCGACGGTCCTCGGACCGCAGCTCCCGCCTCGGTGGGCTTAAGTTTCTTTGTTGTGCGTGTTGTCTTCTCCTCTCCGTTTTGCCAGCTGGGGGGAAGGGGGCGCCCTCCGTCCAGCCCCTAAAGCCTCGCGGGGAACCGCTGTTAGCGGCCACCCAGCGCAACCACACCGGTCCCGCGGCGGGGCCCAAGCGCGACCGGCCCCGGGGCGCTGCCGAGGTTCCCGCAGCCCCGACGGCCGGACTCTGACCCAGGGATGTGGGGCCCGCGTCCCTCCGACGCCCTCGCCCTGCTCACCTGCCAGCAGCTCCTGCAGGCTCTGGCTGAAGGTCTGCAGCTGTCGCTCGCTCGTGAGCCCCTTGGTGCGGAGAAACTTGGAGATGAAGGACACGGCGGCGGCGATCTCGCCTATCATGGTGGCGGCCCGGGTGTAGAAGGGATGCATGGGGGCGGCGTGCGGGGGCGGCCCGGGGCGGCTGGGGCTCGGCGGCGCGGCCCCGACGGCGGAGCAGCCACCCCGGGCTTCCTCACCGGGCGGAAGGCTGAGAGGAAGAGAGGGCGTGAGGGGCGGACGACTACTTTTGTCTTTCTTTCTTTAGACTAAAAAAGTTATTTTCGAGACAGGAGGCGGCAGGAGAGAGGAAGAGACGAGCGATGGCGGCCTGGTCACATCGCTCGGACCTCCCCAGCTGCCTCCGCCTCCAGCTCCGCAGCATTCGAAGATCTCAATAGCTGCATTTCCAGCTCCGAGAGGCGAAGAGATGCAAGCGCCGTGCAGCACCCTTTATAGTGCCACGAAAAGGAAGTGGCGTAGCTGGAGCGTGATGGCCGACTCCAGCCAATCCGAATATCGCACCATTGTGACGCAAGCCGGTTCGGAGCCGAAAGGGGCGGGAAAAGAGTTCAGGAGGCGGGTCCAGAGATAGGGAAGAGAGGGAGGAGCTGACGTAATCCGCTTGTAAACAAATAAACCCGGAGTGGCGGCTGGAGACCCAGTTGCTTGTGTCGAGGGAGGGAGGGAGGGAACAGAGGGTGCGCGTGTGAAAGCTCCGCCCCCAGCCCTAGCTCCTCCTTCCCGCTTCAGCAGGTCCAGGCTCTGCGCCAGTGCATCCTTCTCCAAGAGTGCGCTGCCTGGGCCCGCTTGCCCTGGAGTGTAAGTGCTGGGTAAATAAGAACCGCCTGGCGCAGGCTGTGTCTACTCTTCACGCCGCCTTCTCAGATCGGGCTGCATGTCCCCACTCCGTGTTTACATCTCGTTCCCGCTCCGGGTCTCGGTGACTGGCTCCTCAAGCCGGAGACGCGTGTGGTGCGGCGCGATGCGGGCGCCAGCGCTGTGTGTGCTGGCGGTGCGCTGCCTTAGTGCGGGGGAAAGTGGAGGGAACGGTCCTGCGGGGCGTTCTGTCCAAGAAAAAGGACTGCAGCCTCGGGGAGCCAGGGTCCCCTCGCAGACGAGCTGCCAACGCCGCGGAGCCATTTCTGTTCCACCCTAGGGGAGGAGTAGGGGGATATCTTTTAAAAGTTTAATTGCAAAATAAGTAGGTTAGTAAGGCCATTTGTGGTTGCTGTTTCAGTAACTTCAGCAGTCAACGGAGAGAAGAGTGGAAACCTTACTGGATGCGGACAGGAGAGCCAGTTACTGAAAGCAGATATAACGCGGATCCTGTAAAGAGTGGTGTGTATCCAAAAAAAAAAAATCTGTACAATGTATTTTAAAACTTGTGTGCACAAAACTGAAGATTTTCTTTTTTACCTAGTCCAAATGCCGTCCTAGCCTGAGTCCTGCTCTTTATAAAAATAAAATAAAAAGAATTTGAAGCTTGTGAAAGTATTAAGTGTAGACATTCAAGTTTATTTGAAACCCTACCAAAAAAAAAAAAAAACAACCTTAAAAACCAGTGTAACAGGAAGGCGGGAGCCTGCTAAAACGATTAGGCCTAAGACAGGGTTAACCCCAACTCCATTAAGGAGAAGGGGGAAAAGAAAAAAAGAAAGATGAAGGGAGGCAGGCAGATGGAGAAAGCAAACAGGAGGCAGAAGTTGAACTCTACCAGATGGAAATAAATATCCCGACCTTAGTTGATCATCAATATTGCAAAACACACCACTTTGAGTGTTTTTTTTTTCTTTTTAATACTGAGCTAAAGGATATAGAAATGAAGCAAAAATAATGACATTATAAAACAGGAGAAAACGTTTTATTGTTTAAAAAATATGTAAAACTCGATTTGAAAAAATAACTTCTAGATTATTTTTTCATTAGTACACATAACTAAGTAGTTACATGTGAAAAAATTAAAGAGTGGTTTTTTTTTTTCTTATAGAACTTTTCAGATAGAACTCTGCTTAAAAATAGTAATTTCACTGGAGGCATGAAACCTCTTTTACTACTCAAAAAGAAGATCGAGAAGCAAAAGTAAATTCATGAAATTACCATAACACTAGAATAACAACTCCTGGTCTCCCACCTAACCTGACCCACCCTTAGTTCCCTGCTTTCACTTACATTGTCGTTAATGTGTCACTGAGTACAAATTAGGAGTCAAGTGAAAGTTTTTCTCTTCTAAACCTGGTCTCCAACTTGGCCTCTCGGTCATGTGCTTAAATTGTCTCATCTAAAAAACAGAAATATTAAATCAACAAAATGCTAGGATTGGACTCAGACTTCCCCCAAGCCCTTGTTCTCCATACTATTTTTAACTGCCTGCACTAGCAGCAGCAGGACCCCTTCTGAAAGCCTTATAAAACCAGTTGAACAGGGTTAACAGAAAGTTTAACCCATAGACTCAGGGAGAGTTACTTCCCGCACTGAGTTTTTCAAATTATATATGTGTGTTTCCCACCTTAAATCATCCCATTAGGAGACAAACTGATTTGAGAAACTACAGTAATTTTTAACTTGGGAATCTACAGAGTACTCAGAAAAAAACTGGAAATAAACATTAGTCTTAAACGTAAGCCTTAGATGGTACATAATGTTCATTGCTAATAGTTTTCAATTCCTGACATATATATGTTTAGTCACATTTTCTGGAAGTTTAGTCAGGCCCTTCCCATCTGGGAAACAAGCAGGTATTTCTGGACAGCTTTTGAATTACAAAGGTGCTTTCTGTGTTGTTGTGCTAAGTTTACCAAGGCTCTCCCAAGTACTTTATTATTATCATGCAATTTGATAGTAATTTATGAAATTTTTTTTTTTTTTTTTTGAGATAGAGTCTCGCTCAGTCACCCAGGCTGGAGTGCAGTGGCGCGATCTTGGCTCACTGCAGCCACCGACTCCCAGGTTTAAGTGATTCTCCTGCCTCAGCCTCCCGAGTAGCTGGGATTACAGGCATGCACCACCACGCCTGGCTAAATTTTGTATTTTTAGTAGAGATGGGGTTTCACCATGTTGGCCAGGCTGGTCTCAAACTCCTGATCTCAGGTGATCCACCCGCCTCGGCCTCTCAAAGTTTAGGGATTACAGGCGTGGGCCACCACGCCTGGCCTGTCTAATTAATTTCTAAAACTTAGAACATTTCTAATCAAAGTATTAAAAATCTTAGGAATGCTGTCAAAACAAATTCAAAAAATGAACCTGGGTTTTAAAATAAGTTGACAAATAAAAGCACAAATATTAGATATTGTTTCCCCAGTTGGACCCGCCCTTTCCCTGAAGGCACATTAGGGCCAGGGCCTTCCAGACTGAGCCAGAGGCAACCTGCCTGTTGCTAGTCAGCTAGCTGCAGTCACTAAAGTTGTGCTTATTACGCACCTACTTCCAGATAGAGTGCTAGGTGTCTAGAAAACTCACAACTTAACCAATAAGTACAGAGTCAAGTGAGAGTTCTTGAGAGAGTGTTAATGGCAAATAGAGACAGGGCACTTATTTATTTGTGTGTTGCGGGGCAGAGGGAAAATAAGAAAACCCCAAAAGTGAATGATCTCAGCTAAGCCAATGAAAGTGACCCAAGATTAGTTCTCCTTGGAGGAAAGGAACGGGCTTGATCTTGGAGTATCTCAAAGGCATAAACCAAGGAGGATAAGTATTGTTGAAAAAACTGGTAGATGGAGGCAGGCATAGGGTACTTGAGAGTACTCTTGAGAGTGTTTTTAGCAGACAGATTATATGATCAGATTTATCTTTAAATAAGTTAGCTTTTCTTGTGGGCTTATGTCTTCAACTAGATACCTATGCCTCTTATTTATCTATTTTTTTGTTACCCGCAGAAAGGAGAAGACCACTTTTAGTTGCCTCCCTGCTAGCACCCTGACTTGCTCTGCTTGAATAAGAATCCAAGGACACAAGCTAAGACATTTGCACTGGGTTTAGATCTACTGCGATTCACAAAACACAAAAGAACTTTCAGTCAGAGGGTGACACATAATGATTTTAGACAAAACTCAGTTTCTTCTGGTGGAAGCTATTCAGATTGTTTGGAGAGTGGGAGGAAAAAGGAGTGAAGCATCGCTTAACAACAAAAGTAATAATGCAGGTTATTATCATTTTATCATTAACAATGCATCAGTGCTAAGTGTTTTACATGCTTTCTATCTCTCTCTTTTTATTTATTTATTTATTTATTTTTTTTTTTGAGACTCACTCTGTTGCCCAGGCTGGAGTGTGGCGGTGCGATCACAGCTCACTGCAACCTCCGCCTCCTGGGCTCAAGCTTATCTTTCCACTCAGCTTCCTGAATAGCTGGGACTTCAGGCACGTTCCACCACGCCTGGCTAATTTTTGAATTTTTTGGTAGAGACGGGGTTTCACCATGTTGCCCAGGCTGGTTTTGAACTCCTGGGCTCAAGCGATTCACTCACCTCAGCCTCCCAAAGTGCTGGAATTGCAGGCATGAGCCACCGCACCCAGCCATGCTTTCCCATTTAATTCTCTAAGAAACCCAATCGAGTGAGTATAGTTGACAGCATTTAACATATAAGAATACAGTCTTAAAGAAAATAAGTAATTTACCCAAGGTTTTACAGCCAGATTTGAACTCTCAAGTCATGGACTACAAAATTTGAGCTCTAAATACCTGGTAGGGTTTTCAAGGGAGCTCCTGATATTACCTTTCCTAAAAAGGACCTTGAGAAATAAAACCTGATAAAGTTAGAAGACCATCTGGAGATGAGTAGAGATAGTAGTAGGAAAAAAAAAATCAAAACTCAAGGCAGCTGAGGGGACATCTCATAGCTGACATAATCTGTAAGATACAGCTACATTTATTAAAAGGCCCACTGGAAAATGAAACAAGGAACATATTAAAATGTTAATCTGCCAAATAATTTAACTGGAATGAAAATTATCCCTAGGTACAGATAAGAGAAAGTAGCAAAAGTGCTTTCTATTTAAGACCATTTAAACTTTTCATTTCCCCTTTGGCCTAAATTGACAAAAGGAACCAGGGGCCTGGTCAGTTCCACAATCTCTCTTGCCCAGCAACTGAGGCGGGCCCTGGAGGGTTCGGTGGGGGAGGTGGGAGGGCAGCAAGGAGGGATGGTTTTGTGTCCAGGTCACTGTTGAATCTGATCAGTGGCCTCCGGGAATTCTCACTCAACTTTCTACTGCATAGCTGCAGGGCCATTTCTCAAAGCTGGGCTCCTCCCCAAACCTTCTCCTTCCTGGTGCCAGAACCTCCTGGCCTATCTCTTTTTAAAGCTCTCACCGTCTATATTGTCACCGGAGGCAACCACGTGGTGGTCAGGGTTACTGAGTGTTTATCTGCACCCCCCAGCTGCCAAAGACCTCTTCAATTTTAAGGTTTAACAGTAGACAGCCGGGCGCGGTGGCTCACGCATGTAATCCCAGCACTTTGGGAGGCCGAGGCGGGCAGATCACGAGGTCAGGAGATTGAGACCATTCTGGCTAACACAGTGAAACCCCGTCTCTACTAAAAATATAAAAAAATTAGCCGGGCGTGGTGGCGGGCGCCTGTAGTCCCAGCTACTGGGGAGGCTGAGGCAGGAGAGTGGCGTGAACCCGGGAGGTGGAGCTTGCAGTGAGCCGAGATCGCGTCACTGCACTCCAGCCTGGGCGACAGAGCGAGACTCCCTCTCAAATAAAACAAAACAAACAAACAAACAAAAAACAGTAGAGTGGGGAAAGAGTTAATAAGAATTAACTCTGGAACATTGGAAACTTTGAAAAATCGTACAAAGTTCTTACAAATTATGATCCTGGAGTATAGTATTTATAACTTTCTGAAGGGGGAAGTGGGGTACATGGACCTCCCCTTCCTTGTATTCATTTAGTTTTTGAAACAGGGTCTCTCACTCTGTCACCTAGGCTGGAGTGCAATGGCAGGATCACAGCTCACAGCAGCCTCTACCTCTCGGGCTCAAGTTATGCACGGCCACTCCCCCCACCCCTACCCCGCAGCCTTGCCCATCTCAGCCTCCTGAGTAGCTGGGACTACAGGTGCGCGCTACCATGCCCAGCTAATTTTTTTGGTTTTTGTAGAGACAGGGTTTCCCTATGTTGCCCAGGCTGGTCTTGAACTCGTGGGCTCAAGCGATCCTCCCTCCTCAGCCTCCCAAAGTGCTAGGATTACAGGCGTGAGCCACTACGTTCAGCCTCCCCTTTCCCTTAAACTAATGAAGCAAGGGATTGGGACTTCTCACTGGTTCTCCCAATGTGTTCCCCAAACCAGCAGCATCAGAGTCTTCCTGGGAACTTGATAGGAATGCAAAATTTTGCCTTCATTCTAAACCTGTGAATTAAAAACTCTGGGGATAGGGTACTGTCTAGGTACTAATGTTGGAGAACCATTGCTGTGAAAAAGTAATGGCAAAATTCTGTAATTAAAAACAACACTGAAGAGATACCTGCACTTCCATGCTTATTGCAGTACTATTCACAATAGCCAATATATGGAATCAACCTAAATGCCCATCAGTGGATGAATGGATAAAGAAAATGTGGAATATATACACAATGAAATATTCAGCCATTAATAAAAGCATGAAATCCTGTCATTTGCAGCAACTTGAATGGAACTGGAGGTCATTATGTTAAATAAAATAAGCCTCCTTTTTCCTGTGCTGGAAAAACAAAATAATTTTAGAACAATTGAAGAAAAATAAGCCAAGCACAGAAAGACAAATATTGCGTGTTCTCACTCATATTGGGAGCTTAAAAAGTGGATCTCATGGGGATGGAGAGTAGATTGATGGCTAGATGGCTACTAGATGCGGAGAAGGCTAGGTAGGAGAAGGGATGAAAAGAGATTCACTAATGGGTACAAAATACAATTAAATAGAAGATTTACTATCTAGCATTTGATAAATCAATACAGTGACTATATTAAATAGTAATCTATTTTATATTTCAAAATAGCTATTAGAGAATAATTTGAATGTTCTCAGTATAAAGAAAAGATAACTGTGTAATGTGATGGATGCCCCAATTACCCCAGTTTGATTATTACCTATTATATGAATGTGTCACAATATCACATGTACCCTGAAAATATGTACATCTATTAGGTATCAATAAAAATAACCTGGCCAGGCACGGTGGCTCACGCCTGTAATCCCAGCACTGTGGGAGGCTGAGGCGGGCAGATCACGAGGTCAGGAGATCGAGACCATCCTGGCTAACACTGTGAAACCCGTCTCTACTAAAAATACAAATAAAAAATTAGCTGGGTGTGGTGGCAGGCACCTGTAATCTCAGCTACTTGGGAGGCTGAGGCAGGAGAATGGTGTGAACCCAGGAGGCGGAGCTTGCAGTAAGCCAAGATTGTGCCACTGCACTCCAGCCTGGGCGACAGAGCAAGACTCCATCTCAAAAAAAACAAAAAACAAAAAAAAAAACCTCACTTTTTTTCAGGTATATACCATATCCAATAGAAATCTTTTTCCTTAAAAGAAAAAGCACATCAATTGAATAGGTAAAAGCTGCCTTTAAAATGAACTAAGTTTTCAGTGAGTTATTTGCTTCCTTTAGGTTCTATAGTCTGGGTAAACTCCATTCTTCCCAGTTTCTGAGACAATAAGCAAGCCACAGCTACTCTTGTCCAGTAATGGTGTTCACATTTTGCTCTCGAGAGAGGATAATACTCAGGAAGCTTGGTAGGATACCCATATAATCAAATGTTGGCATATTCTATACTTTATTTTTACTTTTTTTTTTTTTTTGAGACGGAGTCTTGCTCTGTTGCCCAGGCTGGAGTGCAGTGGTGCAATCTCAGCTAACTGCAAGCTCCGCCTCCCGGGTTCACGCCATTCTCCTGCCTCAGCCTCCTGAGTAGCTGGGACTACAGGCGCCCGCCACCACGCCCGGCTAATTTTTGTATTTTTAGTAGAGACGGGGTTTCACCATGTTAGCCAGGATGGTCTCGATCTCCTGACCTCGTGATCTGCCTGCCTCGGCCTCCCAAAGTGCTGGGATTACAGGCGTGAGCCACTGCGCCTGGCCTATTTTTACTTTTTGTATACTTTATTTTTACTTTTTCTTTTACTTTCAAAGAAAAACAGCAGGGCTGGGCATGGAGGCTCACACCTGTCATTCCAGCACTTTGAGAGGCCAAAGCAGGAGGATAGCTTGAGGCCAAGAATTCAAGACCGCCCTGGGCAACATATTGAGAACCCCCTGTCTACAAAAAATAAAAAATTTACCTGGGGTTGGTGGTGCGTGCCTGTAAGTCCTAGCTACATGGGCCACATGGGAGGCTGAGGCAGTAGGATTGCTTGAGTCCAGGAATTTGAGGCTACAGTAAACTATGATGGTGCCACTGCACTCCAGCCTGGGCAACAAAGCAGGACCCTGTCTCTTAAAAAAAAAAAAAAAGAAGAAGAAAACAAAACAGCAACTTGTTTTTTTGCTTTTTTTGTTTGTTTGTTTGTCTTTATGGAAACTCAAATTTAAAATCTCAAAGTAGATTAGAATTTAGGTGCATTAAGATGAAGTCACAGCCGGGCGCGGTGGCTCAGGCCTGTAATCGCAACACTTTGTGAGGCCAAGGAGGGCAGATCTCGAGCTCAGGAGATCGAGACCATCCTGGCTAACATGGTGACAGAGACAGAGACTCTGTCACCATGGTGTCTCATGGTGTCCCTGTCTCATGGTGACAGAGACAGAGACAGAGGAGCGAGACTCCTGTCTCTACTAAAAATACAAAAAATTAGCCGGGTGTGGTGGCGGGCACCTGTAATCCCAGCTACTCAGGAGGCTGAGGCAGGAGAATGGTGTGAACCCAGGAGGTGGAGCTTGCGGTGAGCTGAGATGCAGCCACTGCACTCCACCCTAGGCCACAGAGCGAGACTCCGTCTCAAACAAACAAACAAAAAAAGATGAAGTCACAACATTCTCTTTAAACTAGGTAGTCAACTAAAAAAAAAGAACATTCATGTTGCAGAAGTACTGTATAACAAAACAAATAAATATAAATATAGAAGGCCTACATATAGATATCCAACATGATTGTGGAAAAGATGTGGACTCTCATGCATCTGAATATACATCAGCGGGAATTCAAGGATTGAAATCCTACTAGTAAATACAATTTAGGATATATTCACTTAATGGGGCATAGCAAGTTAGACACTTAAATTCCTGAAAAGACTATGTTCTAGCCATGGAAGAAAAGTTTTCTAAAGAAAAAAAATAGTTATGACTGGCATATCAAAGAGCATGTATTTTTCTTTTGAGACCAAGTCTTACCCTGTTGCCCACGCTGGAGTGCAGTGGCATGATCTCAGCTCACTGCAACCTCCACCTCCCAATTTCAAGTGATTCTCGTGCCTCAGCCTCCTGAGTAGCTGGGACTACAGGCGTGAGCTACCATGTCCGGCTAATTTTTGTATTCTTAGTAGAGATGGAGTTTCACCCTGTTGGCCAGGCTGGTCTCTAACTCCTGACCTCAAGTGATCCACCTGCCTCAGCCTCCCAAAGTGCTGGGATTACAGGCATGAGCCACCGCACCGGCCAAATTACATGTATTTTCTGATGAGGATGAGGATGAGGATAAAGTGATAGCCTCCCCACTATTTTGTGTTCTCTCATCCATTTACTTAATAAATACTTATTTTCCCTAAGTGAAGCAGAAGCAGTCTTCAGCTAGATAATATAGTGGGCCTTCTGAATCCTCAAGTTCTGCACTCATGAATTCAACCAACCATAGATTGAAAATATTTGGAAAAATCTCTGGCACAGTGGCTCACAGCTGTAATTCCCGCACTTTGGGAGGCTGAGGTGGGAGGATCACTTGAGCTCAGGAGTTCAAGACCACCCTGGGCAACATGGCGATACCCCATCTCTACAAAAAATACAAACATTAGGCATGGTAGTTTCAGATACTTGGGAGGCTGAGGTAGGAGGATGGCTTGAGACTGGGAAGCAAAGGTTACAGTGAACAAAGATCACGCCACTGCACTCTAGCCTGGGCAACAGAGGGAGACCCTGTCTCAAAAACAAAGAAAAGAAAAGGAAAATATTCTGAAAAAACAAAACAAAAAAAAATAATACAACAATAAAAATAATACAAAATTTTAAAATACAGTATAAAAACTCTTTACATAGCATTTACATTTTATTAAGTATTGTAAGCAATCTAGAGATGATTTAAATTACAGTCATGAGCTGCATAATGACATTTCAGTTAATTAGAGGCCACTTGTAAGAAGATTCTTCCCCTAAAATTATAATACCGTAATTTTACAGTTCGTCTTATAAATATCATTATGTTTAGATACACAAATACCATTGTGTTACAATTGTCTGCAATATTCAGTACCTTAACATGATGCATAGGTTTGTAGCCTAGGAGCAATAGGCCATATACCATATGCCTTAGGTGTGTAGCAGACTCTACCATCTAACTTTGTGTAAACACACTCTATGATGTCTGCACATGATGAAATCGCCTACTGACGCATTTCTTAGAACTTTAAGCAATGCATGACTGTATACAAGAGGATGTGCATAGGTTGTATGCACATACTATGCCATTTTATATTAAGGACTGGGGCATCTTTGAATTTTGGTATCCTTGGAGGTCAGGGACCCAATTCTCTGAGGATACCCAGGGAGAGCTGTATTCACAATCTGATGTGGTTGAATGTTGTTGGGTCGAAGAAAACAATTCCCCAAAATATGACACTTTGCCATACTGACTGCTTTGGAAATTGAAAGTCCTGAAAAATTAGCCTCAGAACCACGGTCTCTCTGTGACCTTTCTCCTTTCTCCCTGCCTCTCATATCCTCTTTCCCAAAGCACCAAGAGAGACTCTGGAATGTCCTTATCTGACTAAGAGAGCTTAAGTGCAGTTGTCTTAATACTCCCTTCCAAGAAATCTGGTCAAATAACCAGGAAAGAGCAACCACCAGAGAAGAGCAGAGACTGGAGTTACTATGCTAAGACAGATTTTTCATCTATTCTTCTGAGTGCAGCTCCAAGAAATTACCTGGGGGACTCTATCTGTGAAATATGACAATGGTTGTTCTTGCCCAGCTCCACTCCTCACCTTCCCATAATGTCTGCCTTCAGCCTCCCTAATCTATCCATTCTCCCTAATGACTTAATACCTATCACAACAATTATATACATTCCCCATCTCCCCTTGAAAAAGGGTATATAAGTGTCTGAATCTGTGATATTCTGAAATATACATGTGGTTTCCCTCCTGCTTCCTGGCATACAACCCCTAAAATCCTTGGAATCTCCAAAGTTCTTTCTTTTTGTATGCTAAAGTAGACTGATAGCTTCAGAGTAAGACTGGTCACCTGAAAGCCAAAAGCATGATTAGAGGGTTGGGACTTTCAGCCCTACCTTCCAACTTCCACCAAGAGGAAAGGGGCTGAAGGTCCACTTGCTCACCAGTGGCCAATGGGTTAATCAATCATGCTTATGTAATGAGGCCGCCATAGAAACCCAAAAGGACAGGGTTCAAAGAGCTTCCAGATAGCTGAACATACGGAGTTTCCTGGAGGGTGGTGGGCCCAACGAGGAAATGGAAATTCCATGCGGGTATACCTCACCCGCCTAGAGAGGAGGTCTTCGGAATCCCAACTTGAAGCCAGTAGACCAGAAGTTCCAGAGGCCTGCTTCTTGATGAATAGATAATGAAGAGAAAAAAAAAAAGGAAGAAAGAAAAAGAAGTTCCAGAGGCCTGCTTCTTGATGCATAGATAATGAAGAGAAAAAAAAAAAAGGAAGAAAGAAAAAGAAGTTCCAGAGGCCTGAGCTTGCTACTGGTGTTTGGGGTGGTGGGCAGTTTTGGGGTCTGAGCCCTCAACATGTGGGATCTGACATGATCTCCAGGTAGATAGTACTGGAATTGAATTGGAGGACACCCTTTTGTGTTCACTGCAGAAGTGATTGGTTGGTTGGTGGTGGAGAGAAATTCCCACATATTTTGGGGTCACAGAAGTCTTCTGTGTTGATTGTTATTGTGTTGGCTTAAGAGCAGAGAAAAAACATGGTTTCAGAATTTTTTCTGAAACAGTACCACACTGGGTATTAGGGCAATTACTCTGTGATTTCCTCCCCATGCATATTAATAAGTTTGCATACCTAGTCTCCTGTTCTACCTGTTGCCAAATTTTCAGTGAACCTTCAGAGGGCAAAGTGAAAGTTTTCCCTTTGGCCCTAAAATATGAAAGCAAAGCATCCTTTTATTAGCATTAAAGCATGCGTTAAAAACATTCCATATTTGCATGGTTTTTATTTAAACCTTTCATCAAGCAAAATGTAGAAAATATTATCTTCTGAAAGCCAATTTGAATTTTAACTGTAATGCTGATCATCAAACTCAAAGAATGGTTGCCATGTGTTTTTTTGTTGTCGTTTGTTTTTAATGTCTGACCCTACTGCTTATTTCACAAGTAGATTTAAAAAATGAAACAGTAGTAAAAGATAAACCATTAGAGTACTCAAGGAATGGTTCTTTTCTTGGTTTTCTCCCTTGTAGAAACAAAGCTGTCTGTACACTATTTAGATGATGGGAGATTGTAATAGTTAAGAGAACTTCTATCTTTATACTCAAAAAGTTCTATCCTTAGTCCCTTTGAACAGATGATGTTCTTGCCTTTTTTTAAGGAGCTTTATTGAGATATATTTTACATATTATAAAATCCTCCCATTTCAAGTGTGCAATTCAAGGATTTTTAATTTACTGAGTTATGCACCATTACTATAATCAGTTTCAGAACATTTTCATAACCTCTGATACAATTTCACCTTGCCCCCTGCCCCCACCGCCGCCCACCTCCACACCCACCTCGCCCCCAGGAAACTGCTAGTCTATTTTCTGTCTCTATAGATTTGCTTTTTCTGGTAATTTCATATAAATAAAGTCATATAATAAGTGGTCTCTTGTGTCTGACCTATTTTGCTTAGCACAATGTTTTTGAGATTCATCCATGTTTATCATGTATCAATAATTCACTATTTATTTACTTATCTATTTTGCAGTTGTATCTTCCTAGAATTTTCTCCTGAGAAAAATTATCTATCAGGAAAGCTTAATTTTATAGTTGCATGGCAGGCTGACCTCGACAGACTTTTGAAGAGTATTTCCACTTCTTTCCATGGCCTTTCCCTTTCAAACATTCTTCTCTCTTATCTAATGCCTTCAAGATGTCATTTCTTTATGGCTTAACCTAGGCAGTCCCCTCCTAGCCCCTTACCTGATGCAGAATTAATCGTGCTCACTTGTGGTGCCTAGCATATTTCAAACACCCACACCCCAACATCCAACTGCACAAGGAATAAGTTAACTGAATGAGAGGGAAAGTTTCTTCCTCAAGACACTCACTTCCTAGTATCCTCAGGAGAGGGAGAGACACACATTTCAGGTTGGAAAGAGAGTAATGAGCGGACTGTGGTTACATCGTCCAAGGACAAATATTCGCCAGATAATTTAGCCAAGAGGATTTAACTAAACAGTTAAGCTCTTAACGGAAGCTTTATTTAGGCTAATTCTAACAAACACGATCAGCAGACAAGTTCTTTTTAAAGAAAGTTCTCTTTCATCTGACTAAAAAGAAGGAACACATTTAAACCAAAACAGGAACTACTCTGGCAATATATGTGTGCAAAAATAAGCACCCTATGGGGCTCTTTTTAAATTAGCCAGAGTGCACAGAGAAATCTTTGAAAAGAAAACTCTGGGGGAAAAACATTTTTCTTGATTTCATAAACACTCATTGTTTAATCATCTGAAGAAAAGGCAAACTTATGATTAAATTCCCCCTCCTCCTAAACTGATGAACTCTTAGTTCACCTCCTCTCCCCAGCCTGATGTACTTAAGGAGGCAGGAGAAGTAACTTGAAAACCAGCCTACCAGAGAAGCAAGAAGTGGCCTAGGAGGTCCTAGCCTCAAACTGGATGCACACACATAAGGCTGCGCCTTGCAGGTCTGGCACAGAAAATAGTGTTGTCAAGTTGCAGCCATAGTATATTAATATGCTATTTACATTTCATAAGCAGTGGATAACTGGCTTCAGTTTATTTTGCTAACTTAAAAAAAACCATTAACTTCTAGGACATCACACCTAACCCTTTCCTCTCCCCCATGAGCAAGACAGTCATAGAATTTCAATCAGGACCCTTAGAACCTCTGAGACCAGCTGTAGCTTCCATCCTTACCAATTGTTCAGATATGGCCAAAGAAGTGCTATTTATATGCTTTTCTGGACTTAATCTGATGAGAAGAATGAGTCTTAAACAGAATCAAGATACAATTATGTGGCTTATGTGGCCGGGTGCAGTGGCTCACCCCTGTAATCCCAGCACTTTGGGAGGCTGAGGCAGGAGGATTGCTTGAGCCCAGGAATTTGAGACCAGCCTGGACAACATAGTGAGATCTTATCTCTAAAAACAAAAACAAAAACAAAAACAAAAAACTTGAGGTGACTAAATATGAAGCAAATACTTTTTTGATCCTCCTACCTCAGCCCCCTCAAGTAGCTGGGACTACAGGCATATGCCATCATGCCCAGCTAATTTTTGTATTTTTAATAGAAATGGGGTTTCACCATGTTACCCAGGCTATGAAGCAAATACTTTACAGATTTAAAAATAAACAAAAAGGCTAATAAGCTGTGTAAATAAGATAGGAAGAAATTTTACAAGAAATGTGGGTTTGGAGAGCATTGCTATAAATAAACAATAAATTTATTTTTGAGCTTCCTGATATCAATTAAGAAAAAAGAAATGCAATAAAGCATATGGCCTTCTCTTAAAAAAAAAAAAAAGAAAAAAGAAACTATCAAAAGAAAAACACATATTAGCATTACACTCGAGTTAGTGGATCACTTCATAATTAGATCTTGATAGAAGGAACAACTTCACATAATTTTGTAAGACATTCATGCTTCAGGTTGCTCAGTTTTTTTTTTTTTTGTTGTTGTTGTTGTTTTTGAGATGGAGTCTCGCTCTGTCACCCAGGCTGGAGTGCAGTGGTGCAATCTCGGCTCACTGCAACCTCTGCCTCCCAGGTTCAATTCTCCTCTCTCAGCCTCCCAAGTAGCTGGGAGTACAGGCGCACACTACCATGCCCGGCTAATTTTTGTATTTTTAGTAGAGACAGGGTTTCACTATGTTGGTCAGGCTGGTCTCAAACTCCTGACCATAGGTGATCTACCTGCCTCGGCCTCCCAAAGTGCTGGGATTACAGGCGTGAGCCACCGTGCCGGCCCAGGTCACTCACTCTTAATTTGACTCTCCCAATAACTACTGAGTACAAGTTTACTGCAAAATGTCTGATGTGTAAGTGTTCTAGTTGTTAATAAATACATTCCATGAATTTGACTGTCTGCTATGTATCAGGTACTGGCTAAGCACTGGAGCTACATCCGCTTACAGAAAAAATCTGTCCTACACTTTATGGAATCTAGTAGAAAGACAAAACTAAGCAAATAGCATAAACAAGTACATATTTGCTATTCTGAAAACTGCTATGGGAGAAAAATAGAGCAGCTATGAAAGTGTAACCTAGATAGGGACAGGGCAGAGGGACCTCACAGAAGTCTTTCCTAAAACAGTGATTTTTACTGAAGGATGAGTTGGAATTAACCTGGATGGAGGGTGGCAGAATAAGAGCTGCTGTTGAGACTAAGAAAACAAGTGTTCAAAGGGGACAGAGGTATGTTCAGAGCAGAAGTTTTTGATCTCTTAGTGAAGAGAATAAAACGAGAGACACCAAAGATAAGGCTGGAAAACTATGTGAGATCAGAATCTGAGGCACCTTGTGATTGTATTTAAGATATTCATCATATCTAAAGAATGAGGAAGAAGTTATCCAAGAGTTCTAAACCAAGGAATGACATGATCAAATTTGCCTGTTAAAAGTTACACTCACTCGGCAGGGCGTGGTGGCTCATGCCTGTAATCCCAGCACTTTGGGAGGCTGAGGCAGACTGATCACTTGAGGTCAGGAGTTTAAGACCAGCCTGGCCAACATGGTGAAACCCTGTCTCTAGTAAAAACAAAAAATTAGTGCATGCCTGTAATCCCAGCTACTCAGGAGGCTGAGGCAGGAGAATCGCTTCAACCCGGGAGGCAGAGGTTGCAGTGAGCCGAGATTGTGCCACTGCCCTCCATCCTGGGTGACAGTGCAAGACTCTGTCTCAAAAACAAACAAACAAACAAAAACACTCATTAAGCACCAGGGGCAATGGGGACAAAGCATTCTAATGTTATGAAAATTTGAAGGTGAAGATCTGTCCCTTATTTGCTTTTCAGGAGAGATATGAGAAGATCTATAAGTAAGACTGGATCCCTTAAGAATGCAAGGCTGCATCCCTTTAGATCTGCTCAAATATTCAATAACACTGTACTTGAAGCCCCAGAAATCTAGATCAGTAATGGTCAAAACTTGTTCTATAAAGGGCCAGGCAGTACATACTTTTTGACTTTGTGGACCAGAGGAGCTTTGTCACAACTATTCAATTCTGAAAATTTTTTTACATTTAAATTTTGTCAATGTTTATATATCTAGAGGGTACAAATACAGATTTCTTACATATAGATATTGCATAATGGTGAAGTCTAGGCTTCTAGTGTGCCCATCACCTGAGTAGTGAACATTGTACCCAATAGGTAATTTTTCAGCCTTCCTACCTTTTGGAGTCTCCAATGTCTATTATTCCACTCTCTATGTCCATGTGTACCCATTGTTCAGCTCCTACTGATAAATGAGAACATGTGGTATTTAACTTCCTATTTCTGAGCAATTTCACTGAGGATAATGACCTCCAATTTCACCCACATTGCTGCAAAAGACATGATTTCATTCTTTTTATGGGTGAGTCATATTCCATATTGTATATATGCCACATTTTCTTTATTCGTTCACTGATGGACATGTAGGTTGATTCCATATCTTTGCTGTTGTGAATAGTGCTACAATAAACATATGAGTGAAGGTATCTTTTTGATGTAATACTTTCTTTCCTTTTGGCTGCATATTTAGCAGTAGGATTACCAAACCAAATGTTTTACTTTTAGTTATTTGAGAAATCTCCATGCTGTTTTCCATAAAGGTTACACAAATTTACATTCCCACTAACAGTGTATAAGCATTCCCTTTCCGCCATGTCCTTGCCAACATCTGTTGTTTTTTGACTTTTCAATAATAGCCATTCTGACTGGTGAAAGATGATACCTCATTGAGGTTTTAATTTGCATTTCTCTGATTAGTGATATTGAGCTTTTTTTAAATATGTTTGTTGGCCACTTGTTTGTCTTCTTTTGCAAACTGTCTGTTCATGTCTTTTTATTTTTATTTTATTTTATTTTAAGTTCCAGGATACATGTGCAGGATATGCAGGTTTGTTACATAGGTAAACGTGTGCTATGGTGGTTTCCTGCACAGATCATCCTATCACCTAGGTGTTAAGCCCAGCATGCATTAGCTATTTATCCTGATGTTCCCTGCTCATGTCTTTTTCTTTTGCCCACTTTTGTTTTTTTGAGATGGAGTCTCGCTCTGTCGCCCAGGCTGGAATGCAGTGGCGCAATCTCAGCTCACTGCAACCTCCGCCTCCCAGGTTCAAGCAATTCTCCTGCCTCTCAGCCTCCTGAATAGCTGGGACTACAAGTGCCCACCACCATGCCTGGCTAATTTTTGTATTTTTAGTAGAGATGGGATTTTGCCATGCTGGCCAGGCTGGTCTTGAACTCCTGACCTAAGATGATCCACTTGCCTCAGCCTCCCAAAATGCTGGGATTACAGGCGTGAGCTACTGTGCCTGGCACTATTTTTTTTTCATTTTTTTTGAGACGGGTCTTGCTTTGTCACCCAGTGCAGTGGCAAGATCTCGGCTCACTGCAGCCTCAACCTCCTAGGCTCAAGTGATCCTCCTTCCTCAGCCTCTCAAGTAGCTGGGACTACAGGTGCACGCCACCACACCTGGCTAATTCTTTGTATTTTTATTTTGTAGAGATGGGGTCTTCCTATGTTGCCCAGGCTGGTCTCAAACTCCTGGGCTCAAGGGATCCTCCCACCTAGGCTTCCCAAAGTGCTGTGACTACAGGCATGCGCCACTGCACCCAACCTTTGCCGAGTTTTTAATGGAATTATTTGGTTTTTCCTTGTTGAGCTGTTTGAATACCTTGTAGATTCTGGATATTAGCTTTTTGTCAGATCCGTAGTTTGCAAATAATTTTTCCCATTCCAAAGATTGTCTCTTTACTCTGTTGATTATTTCTTTTAAGCTTTTTAGTTTAATTGAATCCCATTTGTCTATTTTTGTTTGTTGTATTTGCTTTCAAGGAGTTGGTCATAAATTCTTTGCCTAGGCTAATGTCCAAAAGAGTTTTTCCTATATTTTCTTCTAGGATTTTTATAGTTTCAGGTATTATGTTTATGTCTTTAGTCCATCTTAAGTTAATTTTTGTATTTAGTGAGAGGTATGAATCTAGTTTCATTCTGAATATGGCTATCCAATTTTCTCAGCACTATGGGGGTCCTTTCTCTGGTGTATATTGTTGCTGACTTCGTTGAAAATCAGTTGTTTGTAGGTATGTGGCGTTATTTCTGGGTTCTCTATTCTGTTCCATTGATCTATGTGTCTATTTTTATACAAATACCATGCTGTTTTAGTTACTATATAGTCCTTTGGTATAATTTAAAGTCAGGTAATGTGATGCCTCCAGCTTCATTCTTTTTTCTTAGGACTGCTTTGGCTATTCAGGCTCTTTTTTGGTTCCATATGAATTTTAGAAGTTTTTTTTTCTAATTCTCTGAAAAACAATGTTGGTAATTTGATGGGGATTGAATTGAATCTGTAGATTGCCTTGGGCAGTATGGTCACTATAACAATGTTGATTGTTCCAATCCATGAGTGTGGGATGTTTTTCCATTTGTTTGTGTCATCTATGATTTCTTTTATCAGTGTTTTATAGTTCCTTTTATAGAGTTTTTCACCTCTTTAGTTAAATATATTCCTAGGTGTTTTATTTGTTTTTTATTTTTGTAGCTATTGTAAATAGGATTGCCTTCTTGATTTGGTCCTTGGCTAGATCGTTATTGGTGTACAGAAACACTACTGATTTCTGTAGGTTAATTTTGTATCCTGAAACTTTACTCAATTCATTTATCAAATCTAATAGTTTTTTGGTGAGGTCTTTAGGATTTTCTAGATAAAAGATCATATCTTCAGCAAACAGGGGTAATTTGACTTCTTCTTTTCCAATATGGATGCCTTTTGTATTTTTCTCTTGCCTGATTACTCTGATAAGGACTTCCAGTACTATATTTAATAAGAATGGTGAAAGTGGTCATCCTAGTTCTGTGCATTTGCATTTGTATTTCTGTGGTATCAACAACTCTGCTATTATAGTGTGGAAGCAGCTATAGACAATACAAATTTGGCTGTGTTCCAATAAAGGTTTATTTACAAAAACAGAAGAAAGCAGATTTAGTTCTTGGGCAATACTTTGTCTATCCCTCATCTAGATCAACAAGCATCAGAGAGATGATCACTATTGTCCTCTAGGTATGGGGATTTAAAAGGGGGGGGCAAAAAAACGGATGATCATGATAGAAGATTTTGGAGGCCAGAGAAACCATCTAAGCAAAAACACTTTTAACAGGATAACTTTACTCCCTTAGGGCTTTAGTTTTGAGCAGTACTGCATTGTGATGGGATTGCCAACATTAATTAAGTACAAAATGCACCTTTTGTGAGCTGAACAAATTGACCCCGTGAACAGAATTATCATCCATGTAGATTCTGAAGTGTATAAGCTCCTTAGAGCTTATAAGACACATGGATTTGTGTCTGTTTTGTTCAATGTTTTTTTTCTGTTGTTGTTGTTGTTGTTAGTTTCTCTTTTTGCTTTTTTTGTTTTGTTTTGTTTTTACCCCAGCTGGATGCAAGGATACCCAAGTTTTGTGAATAGAATAAGATGTTAATGAGGTGTACCTCACAAGATGAATGTTTAATTAATGACCTTTCAGCAATACAGCTCTTGAAAAGTCATATCACTATTGGTAAAACTCCTTTTTATTCCCAGCGTAAAGATTTTTTTACCCAAACACATTAAATATACATACTAAGAGAAATTGTCTCAACATTATGATTCCAGGCATGAACACACTCACCAATTCACTCAACAGAGTTTCTAGTCAAAATATCACAGGAAAAAAAATTAAATGGAATCCGCTATTTGGATAATCCCAAACATGTTTGTTTTGCTTGTGAACACCAAGCAAGAAATGAAGATATAGCATCGTCATCTCTTATAACCCTTTGGTCTGTGTGTGCATGTACTATTTCCATGCGGTGTATGTACATTGTTTGTGCTTTGCATTTTTGTGCCTGAAAAATGATGTTTAAAGCTTATTTTAAGCAAAACTGACCTCAGTAATAATAAGATTCTTCAAAAGATTAAAAAATACATAAGAAAAATAGTGCAAAAAGAAGGAGATTTCCAAATCGAGATTCTCTCACTTCTTCCCTGCACATCCATCACCCACTATCAAGTCATCTCTTTCTCCTTTGCTGAGTACAAAAATTATTCATTGGATTACTATGCTTGATTACTTTCAAATTCTTTATTATTACTTACACAGATGTGCTTTTATTATATACATATGTGTATGGAGACATACTAAATATGTATATAATTTTTGAAAATTGTTTGGATGTCTTAGGTTAAGATGTACTACATAAAAACTTTCTCATTAAAATGAATGAAGTTTGTTTTGTTTTGTTTAAAGAGGTCACTTAAAAGCAGGGCTTTAAGAAATTAACGTTATTCATCAAGGTATAGGTCAATCAATTTCCGTTGCAATCCAATGTATTTTAATTAGTACAACATAAAAATATTGTTCAGAGAAAAAGTTTATACTCTTCACACTGCTAAAAAGCTCTATGACACACACACACACACACACACACACACACAGCCCCTAGGCCTGGATCCTAGAACAGTATCTAACATGCAATAGGGACTCAATAAATATTTCTTGAATACCAAATGACTTTTAACCCATAGAAACAATATTGGTTTTGCTAAAAAGATGCTAAGCTATTTAGACAAAAATTGTTTAAAAAGTGTCATGATGATGCCTACAGCATAAAAATCTTCTCTTTTAGATAAGGAACAGCATTGAACTTGTTGTTTTTTATGGCAGAAAAGCATAAGAAACACTAAAATCTGCATCATGTTAGTGTAAATGCTTCAAAGGAGAATTAAAGACAAAGAATGATTTCAATCACATTTAAGATTATAATTTGCTCAAAGAAGTACATAACTACCCAGCACTGTGACTATTTTGTTCACCAGTACATTCACAGCACTTAATATAGTACTTGGTAAATAGTGGCATCAATACATATTTGAGGAATGAATGAACTCAGAAATTCTGTGGCAGTAAAAGCTCTGATGGAAGATTAAGAATCTTGAATCAATATCAAAATCATATGGCCTGGCTAAGTGGTACCTGTCTATGGAATCAAAGATTGATGAGAGATCCATAAATATTGCAGAAGGAGTCTTGGGTTATTTTTAGCTGCATTTCCCATCCCCTATAGATTTAAAAGTACCAAAAAGGTCAGTAGTAGAATAGTGCTGTTCCAAATGTTCCTTCTTTTACAGGCAGAATATTAAATGGAGAAGCCAGACTTTCAACACATAGAAAAGAAAGCTAGTTCAGAATGTTGAGAGACTTGGGAGCTGATTGATTGAAGGTGGCACTTAGAAGGTTGCCCTTTTTAAAGATAAAGGCTGATACTGTGACTCTGTCCCAGGGGACCTGAGTAAAGAACTCCTCAGAGATGTGGGACCACTATTCAGAACAAGATTTGGAGAGCTGGGGCAGAGAAGATTTTACCTTGGGGATTTCTTCAGCTGCGAGTAGTAAATTGGTTATGCCTTAATGAATGAAGTTTGTCAAATTTTAAGATAGGATGTTATTACGCCTTTTAAAAGAATGAGGTAGAGTATAACATCTGATTTGGAGTTCTTTCCAGCATTTTAAGGTCTTTAAAGAAAACAAATTGGAGAAAAATAAATAAATATAGATCATGCTGTACATATAGTATTTATCTGTGTATGTGTATATATATACAAACACACACACAAGTATCAAAGGATTATATATGCATAGAAAAAAGTTTAAGGCAACACATCAAGGGGGTACTCCTCTGAGGGGTATGTTTAGAGAGGTAGTTATTTACTTTTTATAATCCTGGGTACTGGCTTTCTAGATGAAAGAAAGTTAGATTGCTACATTGTATATAAAACAAATTCTATTTGAATTACATTACTAGAATAAAAACCAATAAAAGAAAAATCAGGAAATGTGTAGATTTACAAGTGTGACTTTCTTGGTCTGTTTGTGATGCTGTAACAGATACCATAAACTGGGTAACCCATAAACAACAAACACTTATTTCTCACAGTTCTGGAGACTGGGAAGTCCAAGATCAAAGCACCAGAAGATCTGGTGTCTGTGAAAGCCTGATTTCTGATTCACAGAGGGCCATCTTCTTGCTATAGCCTCACATAATGGAAGGGGCAAGGAAGCTCTCTGGGATCTCTTTTACAAGGGCATTAATTCTATTCATGAAGTCTTCACTCTCATGACTTAATCACCTCCCAAAGGCCCCACCTAAAAATAGCAACACATTGGGGATTAGAGTTTCAAGATGTGAATTTGAATTTGGTGGGGAATACAAACATTCAGTCTATAGCAGTGAGGATGGGTGGAAAAACTTTCTAAGTAATTCAGGAAGACAAGAATTCATAAAGGAAAAGATTAAAACATCTGTGAAAAACAAAGCAAAACTAGACGTTTGTGTATGATAAAAAGCATCATTAAAAAAACAAGATAGAAATGCTAGGGCAGGAACCACCATCATCCGGTAATTTGCCAAAATGATGAACACAACGGGAAAGATGAGAGGCACCCCATATGTGATTTTTAGGCCTTTTAGAAAACATGAAGTTGTTCCTTTGGCCATGTACATGCAAATCTGTAAGAAAGGTGATATCATAGACATCAAAGGAGTGGGTACTGTTCAAAAAGGAATGCCCCACAAGTGTTACCATGGGAAAGCTGAAAGAGTCTACCTTGTTCCCCAGCATGCTGCTGGCATTGTTGTAAACAAACAACTTAAGGGCAAGATTCCTGCCAAGAGAATTAATGTGGGTATTGAGCACATTTAGCATTCTAAGAGCTGAGATTGTTTCCTAATGCTTGAAGGAAAATGATCAGAAAAAGAAAGAAGCCAAAGAGAATGGTACCTGGGTTCAACTGAAGCGCCAGCCTCCTCCACCCAGAAAAGCAGACTTTGTGAGAACCAATGGGAAAAAGCCTGAGCTGCTAGACCCTCTTCCTTATGAATTCATGGCATAGTAGGTGTTTAAAAAAAAAAATCCAAGACCTCTGGACTGTAAAAAAAAAAAAAAAAAAAGAGCTAGGCTAGGCAGAAAAAGGAACATTGGTGACACATGTGAGAAACAAGGAATTAATAGTAATATTAAATATATAGTAAATAAAAATTAAGGTATAATAATATCTTCACATAAAGAACTACAAATTGAAAATGATAATTAAACAAAAGAAAAATAGGCAAAATATAAGAATAGGCAATTTATTAGAGAAAAAAGTGGACAATAAATATAGTAAACATGCAATCTTAGTAGTAGTCAGGAAAATGCAAAACAATACAATATGCCAGTTATTATCAGATTGATGGATAGTAAAAGATTAATGTCTGGTGCTAATATAGTTATAGGGAAATGGAAACATCATACTTTGTTTATGAAATAATAATTAGCTATAATCTTCTTGGAAAGTATTTGGTAGAATTTATCAATCAAAAATATGCTATGCTTTGACATCCCACTTTTGATAATTTCTTTAATATAAATTTTATAGAAAAAGTCAGTTTTTATAGAAAAACTCAATATATAAAAACATATAGAGAAACACATACGTTCCCATACACATGTGTTAAGGGTATATGTTTATTGCAGCATTTAAAAATAATGGCCCCAAACTGGAAATAACCGAATGTCTATCAATAAGAGAATGATTTTGTGAATGATGAATCATTCATACTATAGTAATTTCATATAGCTAATAAAAATTATTATATCTGTGTACATTGACCAAGTCTTAGAAGAATAAATATGATACATTTAAGTTAAAAAAGCAAGTTGCAGAGATATGAATATGATTTCTAAAATACTGTAATAAAAAGAAAAACCCTAGTGAGAACAGAGAGATATTAAAGGGCACATATTAAAGTATGAACATACTCTATGACAATTTATTGGTAAACCTCAGTGTAATTTTTTTTACTGCAAAGAACAGTGATTTGAAGGGAAAATTAGATCAAGAGGAATTTATGCCTCTATACCATTAGTAAGGGGCCCCCAAACATGAATTATTGACCATAATTGCTAGTCTTAGGGCCTCTTGTAGTCATCTTGGTTTTTTTTCCCCTCAAATATTCTTTATAAAAGTACTTATTAGTAAATTTCTATGTTGCTTGAAAATAGTGTTAAAAAGTAAGGTTTTGAAGCAAGTAAAACCTTGTAGCAATTGACTGCTAAGCTTTTCATTGTTTTATAGCATTCCTTAGCAAATAAAAAACCAAATCAAAATCCTGTTTCCTGTTGCTCAGATTATGGGTGGGCCTTTTCTAGATGAAGTAAATAGTTACAGACTGCATGGAACACAGAAGACAACATACAAACTGAGAAACTCTGTCTTGTAAATGTCATCTTTCTGAGCTCATCATCCAAGCTGAGTGTACAGTCATTGCAGAGTAGTGTTAAGTCAGAATAAGGGTTTTATTTTGTTTGTTTGTTTGTTTGTATTTTAGGCTAGCCAAGTGAAGCAGTGGAAGTGGAGGAGGAACAAAGAAATCTGTAACTAGTTTTGATCAATTAGTTGTAGACACCATGCACTCAGACCAGCCAAGTCAGAATAAGTTTAAAGCAGGAGTGATCACCTTTATCCCCAAATTACCCATCTCAGAGATGGAGATAAACAGAGAAGGCCTAAGGCCTAAGTAATAGGTAGTTATGACTTATCCACATAGTACCTCCCTTCTTGGAAATCTCTGAAATACTCTCTCATTTTCTTTCCTCCCACTTCCATCCATGGCTACAGGAGTAGTCATGATGGGTACCTAAGCATAGCCAGTGAATTTATTCACTGGGGGTTTTAGATCTGGAAACACTGGAGATTAAGATGATCTCTGTCCTGTAGTTGTATGCTCTGCAAGTAAAATCTTGATACCGTTGGCAGCCATTTTTTCCTACTATGTAAAGAATACACAGAGAGAGAGAGAACAAAGAGAAAAGGAGATAAAAGGTATAGAGAACACCTTGGGGATATTTAAGCTCCTGGCTCGAGTTGTTCCAGAGCATTATCCTGTCCTGTAGGCTGGCCCTTCTTGTGACTTGGTTATTCACCTTCCCCTTAGATTCTATGAGACCCCAATAATCTGCCAATAAGTTCCTTTTATACTTTTTCTTAAGGTAGTGTTTTATTTATTATCCCTTGTAACCAATACAATCCTAAATAATTAAGGATTCTTATTAAATAATTAACATATTGATAAGAATATTCCAGATGTAAGGACCTTGAGTTAACAATTACAAATATTAAGTGAAGGCAGACACATGTCCTTCTCCTTCCACTTGGGCTCTGACATACCCTCTGGAGCACTCCAACTCCCCCGTCACCCGCAGCCTTCCCCTGAAGCTCATGCCTACCATGCTTAGTTCTACTTAATTTTTAGGACTGACTTTTCAGGAAAGGAAAGGGAAGAGGACAGGGAATGTCAGTAGAGCGTTTTACAGAGCATGAGGTCTGCATAGCTGGCATATGGTAGAGATCAGACAGGCATGCTCCTGACTCTGCTACTCCATTATCATACTGCTAAACACCATGAAACACTGTGTAAGTTTGCGCTATTATAGTTATTTTAAACTGTTTTTATATTTAGTTGCTTACTTTTAAATTTATATTTACACAGAATTGTTTTTAAAGCAGGAAGTACAAGAAACTGATGTGGAAATACACATTATTAATAAGGAGCACGGATTTGACTTCATTAAATTTGTAAACTTCTGAACACTAAAAAATCAGAATAACAAGGAAAACATGAATGACAAACTAGGAAAATATATTTTTAGTAGTTTAAAATAGTTAATATCTTTAATTAGACAGAAGAGCTGGCATCTTTTGAATTTCTCATTCAGCTAAGAGTCAGTGTCCACAGAACAGCTTACAAGTATATAATCACATCTTTTTTTCTTCTTTGAGACAGGGTCTCACTCTGTCACCCAGGCTGGAGTAGCGTGATCTCAATATTGGCTCACAGCAGCCTCGACCTCCCAGGCTCAAGCGATTCTCCTGCCTCAGCCCCCCAAGAAGCTTGGACTATAGGTGCATGCCACCACGACTGGCTAATTTTTGTTTTCGTTTTGTTTTTTTGATAGAGACAGGGTTTCACTGTGTTGCATAGGCTAGTCTAGAACTCCTGTGCTCAAGCAATCTGCCCACCGTGGTCTCCCAAAGTGTTGAGATTACAGGCGTGAGCCACCCCACCTGGCCAGATTATCATATTTTAGAAGACTCTTTTCAGAGTCTGTCCTCTACCTGAAGAGATCAAATCGGGAGCTAGTGTTATACGCCAAAATGATAAACAACAAAGAAAAACCAATTTTAAACATACGACATGCATTCACATCCATGTACACCCAAGCAGAGAAACAGGCAGTGAATATGAAGAGGTAATTCCCAAATGAAATCCATTGATGAGGGACGGGGGAACAGAAAGAGTATAGCAAGGGTAATAGCAATTGCTGGTCCTGGCCTTTGATACCTTATGAGCAGCCTCTGGGGTTCTCTTTTCTGGCAATTTTGGGAGGCTTTAGGGCTATTTACATTTTTCCTCAGAAGACTAATTTAGCCTGTGGTCTTCCTAAATTCTCTGGATGATTATTTTTAACCTGTGTCTTTAAAGCTGTCTACCAGGCCTGGCAAGAAGATACAATTTGAAGCACAGGAAGGAAGCCTGCAGAGCTACCTCTGGGATGGACACTATTCTCTGAGGTGCTGCTTCCTCTTCCCCGCTGCTAAAAGTGAATTATTAAAGGGAGATTAAAATAAGCTAAAAATTTAATTAACAAAGTAATGAGATCATCAGAACCAGCAGACATAATAAAAACAGGACAGATCCACCCACAGACAGTCCTAAGTCAGAAATAACTGAAGATAATAACTTGTTCTGAGTAGCAGATGTGACGTTGAGGGCAGGGACGTTTCTTAACCAAAGACTTGTAAATTCTCCACTGGACTACCCCGGAGGCTTACGTGCCCTGATGTGTCTATGGGCTTTTAGGCTCTCAGCTGTTTGCAAGTTCTCTGCACTCTGCTGACCTCAAAGAAGTCACATGCAAATTTCTTTCTTTCTTTTTTTTTTTTTTAATGTGAGACGCAGTCTCACTCTGTTGCCCAGGCTGGCGTGCCAATGGCACCATCTCGGCTCACTGCAACCTCTGCCTCCCTGGCTGAAGTGATTCTCCTTTCTCAGCTTCCCTAGTAGCTAGGATTACAGGCACCTGACAACACGCCTGGCTAATTTTTGTATTTGTAGTAGAGACAGGGTTTTACCATGCTGGCCAGGCTGGTCTTGAACTCCCGACCTCAGGTGATCCACCTGCCTCAGCCTCCCAAAGTGCTGGGATTACAGGTGTGAGCCACCACGCCCAGCCGCAAATTTCAAAACTGTAGAGTTGGAGTGTGTTTCCTTAAAAAGTGTCGTATGCGTGGTACAAACAATGCTCCTATTTTAGATTCTGTTTTTGGCTGGGCATAGTGGCTCACACCTGTAATCCCAACACTTTGGAAGGCCAAGGCAGGAGGATTGCTTGAGGCTAGGAGTTTAACAGCAGCTTAGGCAACATAGTAAGACTCTCATCTTTATTTAAAAAAAATAGATTCTGCTCTTGGGGAATGTTCGTCTGGTTTATAGCTCATTTCCCTACACATTCCCATTCCAGTCCATAACTGATTTCTTTATGGACACCAGGGGTGGGTTTTATAGAATGTGCGATATCTATTACTTTAGCTGAGGAATTCCAGACCAGCCTGGGCAACATAGTGAGACCCCATCTCTACAAAGAAAAAAAAAAGGAAAGAAAAAAAAGAATCCTATAGAAAACCAGGTTGCAACAGTGAGAGGTAATAATACTACTAAAGTTATAAGCAAGAATAAACGGTGTCCCAGAAGAAAGCCTTTGAAAGTAGGCTCTGACATTTTGCTAGTCTACAAGCACATTTTAAAGCAGTTGCAATATTAAACTACTTTAGAAATTGCTGATTTCGGATATTAGTGACAACATTTTAATTACAATAGCATTTAGGATAAAAATGATATCAGTTGGCATGATAGTATATTTATAAGAGCATTTCATTAAAGCAATTACACTTTTGGTATTCACCTCTCTCCCCATGAGAACTATGGTATCAGTTGAGCTCATAAGAGCTCGCTTCAGCCAGAGACGGGTGAATCCGGAATCCATTTTCCAGGCTTCACTTTACACATTCTAAATCTTATCAGATTTTAAGCAGGTGAAACAACAGAAATGACATACAAATCAACCATTCCTCCTTTGGTTTTCTTCTTTGCTTTCTACTGGAGAAGGTTGAAACTTAGGGTTTTAATGATTTGTACACCAGTCTTTCATGCATTATTGCCATAGAACCTGAAGAGTCTGCGCCTGATAATTACCCACATTATCCTCATTTAATTTCTTCACTGAAATACAAGGCAGACCTAGATTCAGAATAGGTGATGAACTAGACCTGTAGCATTTGTTTTACTGAAAGACAAAATCCAAAATTCAAATCAGTGAGAAAGGGGAAAAAACAAACATCCTTCAGATGTGACAAGTATTACATGGAGGTAGCAATGGCTGACATGTCCTATTCAGCTAAAAGGTTCAATGTCAGAGGGGGGATAAATAAATGCCGCCAGGCAGGGAGTGGTTTCTATGGAGGATTTAGCATTTCCCCTCTTGACTAGGATTATAGAATAAAGAAGATGCTCTTTAAATTTGTGGACACCACTAAATTTAAAGGCTAACATATCTTATGAAGATGAATTAGGATGAGAGTAGGGTTTGCCAGATAAAATACAGGATGCTCAGTTAAATTAGAATCTCAAACAAACAACACTTTTTTTAGTATACAAACAATTATAATTTTTAAGTGTGTTTTAAGCAACATTTGGGACATACCTATATGAAAAAATTATTCACTGCCTATCTGGAATTCAAATTTACCTGTGTTCCCTGTGGTTTTTATTGCCAAACCTGGCACCGCTAGGTGGGGGACTTGTTGGGGAAAACAGACTATAAACAGTGATGAAAAAAAGGTATAAGACTTAGAGCAGTGAGCAGCTTGTTTTGGAACTCAAAATGATCCCATATATCTAAAGAAATTCTTAGACTGCAAAACAATAAAATTGGTTGAGAGAAGAACCAACCTTCTGAGATGGTAAAGCTAAAAAAACAACAGTGAAAACCTTGGTTGTATGCTTCTAAATGGCAATTTTTCTAAAATTTTCATTTTATGTTTATTTATTTATTTTTAGAGATGGAGGTTTTGCTATGTTGCCCAAGCTGGACTCAAACTTCTGGACTCAAGTGGTCCTCCCTCCTCAGCCTCCAGAGTAGCAGGGACTACAGGCTCATACCACCTATGCCAACTTGGGCAGCTTTTATTCTTCCTTTCTTTCTTTCCTTCTTTCTTTCTTTCTCTTTCTCTTTCTTTTCTCTCTCCCTTTCTCCCTTTCTCTCTTTCGTTTCGAGACAGGGTCTAGCTCTGTCACCCAGGCAGAGTGCAGTGGCAAGATCACAGCTCACTGCAGCCTCGACCTCCCAGGCTCAAGTGATTCTCCCACTTCAGTCTCCCGAGTAGCTGGGACTACAGGTGTGCACCACCCCACCTGGCTAATTTCTTGCTTTTTTTGGTAGAGATAGGGGCTCATTATGTTGCCCAGGCTAGTCTCGAACTCTTGGGCTCAAGCAATCCTACTGCGCTGGCCTCCCAAAGTGCTGGAATTATAGGCATTAGTCACTGTGCTCAACCTTTTCGCTAATTCTTTTTGCTTTTCCAATCTGCAGGTTTTCACTTTAGGTAGATAAGCAATAAGTGTTTTTGAACGAAGCAATTCTTTCCTTAAACATAACCCCCTTTCCAGTGCGTTTACAAGGTTCTTAACAATTATTGGCTTTATTTTGTAAGAAAATCATGACACTTGCCTATTTCTTAAGAAAAAATCAGGGATATTTGTGTAGCCATCAAAGTGAGAAAATATCCAAGTTTGAGTGAAACCAGAGTCATTAAATTGTGACTACCCAGTCCACAGGAGTTCACAGACGCAAATTACCTACTTGGATGAATCTGTCCCCAGGATAATTTTCAAAACACTGAGCTCAATTCAACCAACAAGCTAATCAGAAGAGATCCACCTTGAAAGAAAAAAGTCAGGCAGCAGCCTTCCAAGGACTTTTTTCTATAACCCTCTCAGCAAGGGAGTGAGGACCTTTTAAGAATTAAGCTTTGTAACTGCCCTATTGTTATTTGTGGACTCCCTCTGCTATTGTTTCCTCCATAGTGATTGACAGACAAACCCCTAAAATGAGAAGGATCAGTGCGTCTGTCTGTAGAGAGTGACAGCGTTGAAGCAAGACATTCAGAAGCCAGCCTGACACAAAGGGGACAAGAACAACTGCCACCCCAGCCCCCATCTCATTCCAACCCAAGAGACGGTGAGTCTGAGTCTAAAGAGAGTATGAGGGTCCAGGTGTGGTGGCTGACGCTCCTAATCCCAGCACTTTGTAAGGCAGGAGGATTATTTGAGGCCAGGAGTTTGAGATTAACCTGGGCAAAATAGTCAGACTCTGTCTCTACAGAAAAAAAAAGAAAAAAAAATTAGCCAGTGATACAGGAGTTAAGAAGAAATCATTTTGGCAGATAGTGAGAGTACGGGAGTCCCTGATAAGGTTTTCCTTTTAAAGAAAAGCAGCCCCCAGATCATTTCTTTTCTAACAAAGCAGCCTGTAAAATCGAGCTGCAGACATAGACAAGTAAGCTGATTGCACAGGTGAATGCCCTGGCAGTTGTGACAACAGGAAAAGGCTACCTGGGACTACGCATGATCAACATGGCGGCTCCATCTTTCCTTCTCTTTGCTAGCCACATGTGCAGTAAGGAGCAGATGAGATGGTGCTGGCTAAGCGGAAAGCCCATTTACATAATAAGATTAGGGTGGGGCGACCAGCCTTCCCTGCGCTATGTAAGGGACACCCCTGGTCAAACCAATCCATGGGCCCTACGTAAATCCGATACTGCCTCCTCAAGCCTGCCTATAAAATGTGCTGTGGTCTGCCATAGGCCAGCTTTTCCCTTTCGGATGCCCCTCTGTCGAGAGAGAGAGGGAGAGAGGGAGAACCACAACGCTACTTTTCTCTCTCCTCTCTCCTTTCTTCTGCCTATTAAACTTTCCGCTCCTTAACCCACCCACGTGTGTCCATGTCCTTAATCTTCTTGGCAAACCGCGGGTACCTACGCCCAGACTATGACGTCGCTTCATTAGGTGTGGTGAGAGGTGCCTGTAGTTCTAGCTACTCAGGAGGCTGAGGCAGGAAGATCCCTGAGCCCAGGAGTTTGAGGCTGCAGTGATCTATGATCACGTCAGTGCACCCCAACCTGGGTAACAGAGAGAGACCTTGTCCTCACAAACAAACAAACAAAAGGAATAAAGAGAATGGAGGAATAGATTTGGCTCTTGAGGGAAGGGAGGCTGAGGAAGGGAAATGTGAATTCATTTGTACATATACAAATCCATTTGCATGTATACGTACTTTGGGAAGTAGGGTACATATCTTCTATTGTATTTTTAAACTTTTAATTTTTTGTACTTTTTTCACTTTTATTTTACTTTGAACCCTGAGAAGCTACATATTTTAAAGAATTTTAAAGATGGCCTTGTCTGAAAGTTGGACAGGTAAAATGACTTTGAAGAAACAGTTGGAGGCCCAGCACAGTGGGCACACCTATAATGCTAATATAGTATTTGTTGGGAAGCCAAGTCATGAGGATTGTTTGAGGCCAAGAGTTCAAGACCAGCCTGGGCAACATAGTAAGACCCTATCTCTATTTTTTTTTTCTTCGAGATGGGGTCTCACTCTGTCACCCAGGCTGGAGTGCAGGGGCGCTATCTCAGCTCACTGCAACCTCTACCTCCTGGTTTCAAGCTATTCTCCTGTCTCAGCCTCCCGAGTAGCTAAGAATACAGGTGCCCCACCACCACACATGGCCAAGTTTTGTGTTTTTAGTAGAAATGGGGTTTCACCATGTCGGCCAGGCTGGTCTGCCCACCTTGGCCTCCCAAAATGTTGGGATTACAGGTGTGAGCCACTGCACCCAGATCCTATCTCTGTTTTAAAATAGAAAAAGAAATAGTTGGAAAAAACTTGCTTCTTTTTCTAAGCAATAAGATGTCATGGTAGCATATTTTTTTCATGACAATCCTATTGGTTCCTTACCATTTCCTAATTCTTAAAGGAATAAAACATTAAATTTTAAATAAATAAACTTTTTGAAGTACATTGAAAATCTTTCTGTTCTCTTTGCTTATTCAGACTCATTTTATATAGCAAAGGGAAATAAGAAGATAATGAAAAATTTACCTACTTTACACTTTCACTCATGGTCAAGACCCCTCTGTTTACCTATGTCAGATTAATAATTGCTCCTTAGTAAATACCAAGGCCTTCTGAAAACAAAGACATCCTCAATACAGCTTCAGAGCCTGGCTCTGGGGTGAAGCAGCTTTAGAACATACCAACAGTATTTGTTGTAGAAATATAATAGAATCCTTGTGACATACTTTGCTCATGTGCTTTTCTGTCTGAGGACAAAACCTCTATCACAGAAAACATAACACCTACACTCACCAAGAATCTAGGTGTGATGGGAGGGGAGGTGGAGGTGAACTTCACAAAGTCTAGAGATCACCCATTTCACACATTCCAAGAGCTGAAAATAAGTGTTCTTGCACCTCCAAAGTTATTCTCACAAAACGAGGTGCAATGATAAGTTAACATCTAGGTTTCAGTTACCACTTAGCTGCAGGGGAGTTTTAGAAATTATTACACTGATGAAATTAGATTTAATAAAATATTTCTTTTAAAAAGAAGCCTTAAAGAGAGCCTATATATTGCCATGTGTCATGGCAACCTGTGATCAATTAAGCAAATAACTTAGAGATCAGTGACCTTTTGTTCCAGTGAATTGGTAATCATAAATGTATATACATTTTGCAATACAGTCTCCTCTTTTAAAATATATGCATTTTTTCATAAGCAGAAGACTCAAATGTTCTTTTTTTAATGCAATGCTACAGTGCAGGATTTTAATCTGTTATGCATTGATATCCATGTGTCTGAAATGCTGGATGCAACTCTATTTGAAGCAAGGCGTTGGGCACTCAAGAGACCATCTTCTGTTTAATCTAGAGGGTGAGAATGGCCTGTCCAACCAAGTCTGTGTCCTTCTTTCTCCCTTATACTTTCATTTTGCTCCTGTACCTTTGAATAGATGCGTAAAGAACTTGTGAGAACTATAAGTTTTATCTGCTTCAGCAAGTTCTCCCTATGCAGGGCATGGTGGCTCACACCTGTAATCCCAACACTTTGAGAGGCTGAGGCTGGTGGATCCCTTGAGCTCAGGAGTTTGAGACCAGCCTGGACAACATGACAAAATCATGTTTCTACACAAAATACAAAAATTAGCAGGACATGGTGATGCGTGCCTGTAGTCCCAGCTACTCAGGAGGCTGAGGTGGGAGGATCAATTGAGCCCTGGAGGAAGAGGTTGCAGTGAGCCCAGATGCTGCCACTGTACTCCAGCCCAGGCAACAGTGCAAGATCCTATCTCAATAAAAAGAAGGAAAGAAAGTGCTCCCTCATCACCCAAGATAATGCACTTTTTCCCCCCTCTTTGTTACTATAGCTCCAGAGGATCCATTTAATATGCACCTTTCTAAAAATATTGCAAACTCTTTAATAAAGTAATCTTCTTTGTGCCCCCATGACCTGGCTCTGTATGGGACACACAATAGATACTCCCTAAATGTAGGTCGAGTGCATGGGTTAAAGTAAAAATAAAGTAAATGGCGAGAAGGAGTTCCATATTGTTGGGGTTCAGAAAGCAAAATCCTGAAGACTAGCACTTTGGCATGCTGAGAAGCTTTAGAAGCTGCCTAAGAATCAAAACCCTTCTAACACCTTGTCCTGTCCCTGCCTCTCCAAGAACAGGGTGAGTTTCTCTTTCAATTTTTCTTATCTGATCAGGAAAACTTTTTTCCAAGAGAAATGCAATTGTCTTAAGACTCCCTTTTTAGAAATATCATCAAAGAACCAGAAATGATCAACCACCAGAGAAAAGCAGAGACTGGGGTCACCATGCCCAGAAAAACTTTTTATTTATTTATTTTTTTTGAGAAAGGGTCTCTCTCTGTCATCCGGGCTGGCGTGCAATGGTGAAATCTGGGCCACTGCATCACTGCAGCCTCAACCTCCTGGGCTCAAGCCGTCCTCCCATCTCAACCTCCCAAAGTGCTGAGGTTACAGGCATGAGCCACTGCACCCAGCCCCAGACAGACTTTTCATCTGTTCTTCTGAGGGCAGCTCCAAGAGATCACTTGGGGGACTTCATCTGCATAAAGCAACGTGCGACACAGTTCCACTTCTCCCCTTCCCATAATGTCTGCCTTCCACCTCCCTGACCCATTCATTCTCCCCAATGATTTACTGCCCTTCAAAAGAATCTGCATTCCTCGTCTCCTCCTTCCCCTATGAAAAAGGGTACATAAGCTTTTGTACCACACTGGGTATTTGGGTAATTACTCTGTGATAGCCCCCTCTGCCCTTGTGCACGTTAATAAATTTGTACGCCTGTTCTCTTATTAATCTGCCTTTTGTCAGTGGCTTTGCAGCAAAACTTCAGAAGCAGAGGAAGTTTTCTCTTTGTCCCTCCAAGACATTTGGAAAACCACTACTGTAGTGGATTGACTAGTGTCCCCTCAACATTTTTATCTGCTCAGAATCTTGGAATGTGGCACTATTTGAAAACAGGATCTTTACAGATATGAGTTATGTATTTCAAGATGAAATAATCCTAGATTTGGAGTCTACCTTAAATATGACGACTAGTATCTTTATAAGTAAAAGGAGAGGCCAGGCACAGTGGCTTATGCTTGTAATCCCTGCACTTTGGGAGGCTGAAGTGGGAGGATTGCTTGAGCCCATGAATTCAAGACCAGCCTGGGCAACATAGTGAGACCCCATCTCTACAAAAAATAAAAAATAAAAAGATAGCTGAGTGTGGTGGTGCATGCCTGTAGTTCCAGCTACTGGAGAGGCTAAGGTGGAAGAATTGCTTGAGTCAAGGAGTTCAAGGCAGCAGCGAGCCATGATTGTACCACTGCACGGCAGCCTGAGTAAGAGTGAGACTCTTGGAAAAAAAAAGAGAGAGAGAGAGAAAAAAAAAAGAGAGAGGGAGATTGGAGACAGATATCCATAGAGAAGATGACCATATGAAGATGAAAATGGAGATTGGAATTATGCTGCCATAAAGCAAGATACACAGGAACCACCAGAAACTAGAATAATCAAGGAAGGATTCTCTTCTAGAGTTTGCAGAGGGAACATGGCCCTGCTGACACCGTGACTTTAGACTTCTAGTCTCCAAAACTATGTGAATAAATTTATGTTGTTTTAAGTCATCTAATTTGTGATCATTTGTTATGGCAGTCCTAGAAAACTAACACACCATCGTTTGGACTGCAACTGTGATCCTAGATGATTGCAAAAGGGCTGCAAACTTATTTTCTCTTCTCATTCCCAGAGAACTAAGAAAAAATATATAGATACACCTCAGAGATAGTGCGGGTTTGGTTACAGATCCCATAGTAAAGATAATACCACAATAATAAAAAAGAAACTCATAAAATTTTTGGTTTCCCAATACATGTAAAAGTTATGTTTAAACTGCTATGTCTGTTAAGCTGCAGTAATATCATGTCTAAAAAACTCAGTGGACAAACTTTAATTAAATTTTTTTTTATTTTTGAGACAGAGTATCTCTCTGTCACCCAGGCTAGAGTGCAGTGGCACGATCTCGGCTCACGGCAACCTCCGCCTCCCGGGTTCAAGCGATTCTCCTGCCTCAGTTTCCCATGCAAGTGGAATTACAGGTGCATGCCACCATGACCGGCTAATATTTGTATTTTTAGTAGAGACAGGTTTCACTATGTTGGCCAGGCTGGTCTCGAACTCCTGACCTCAGGTGATCCACCCGCCTCAGCCTCCCAAAGTGCTGGGATTACAAGCATGAGCCACTGCGCCCGACCTAAAAATATTTCTTGCTAAAAAAAATGCTAATGATCATCTGAGCTTTCAGTGAGTTGTAATCTGTTTGCCGGTAGAGGGCCTTGCCTTGATGTTGTTGGCTGCTGACTGATCAGGGTGGTGGTTGCTGAAGGCTAGGTGACTGTAGCAATCCCTTAAGATGAAACAATAATAAAGTTTGCCACGTCAATGGACTCTTCCTTGCATGAAAGATTTATCTGTGGCATGTGATCTGTTTGATAACATTTCACCCACAGAACTTCTTTCAAAATTGGAGTCGATCTTCTCAAACTCCGTCACTGCTTTATCAACTAAGTTTGTCATATTCTAAATCCTTTATTATTTTAACAACGTTCAGAGCGATCTTCCCAGAAGTAGATTCCATCTCATGAAACCACTTTCTTTGCTTAACCATGGGAAGCAACTCCCCATCTATTCAAGTTTTGTCCCAATATTGTAGTAATTCAGTCACATCGTCAGATGCCATTTCTAATTCTAGGTCGAGCTATTTCTATCACATCTGCCGTTCCTTCCTCCACCAAAGTCTTGAATCCCTCAAAGTCATCTATAAGGAAGAAGAATCAGCTTCTTCCAAACTCCTGCTAATGTTGATATTTTGACCTCCTCCAATGACTCATAAGCGTTTTTAATGGCATCTAGAATGGTGAATCTTTTCCAGAAGGTGTTCAACTTTGCCCAGATTCATCAGATGAATCACTATCTATTGAAGCTGTAGCTTCATGAAATATATTTCTTAAGTAAGAAGATTTGAAAGTCAAAGTTACTCTTTGATCCATGGGCTACAGAATGAATGCTGTATTAGCAGCCATGAAGACATTAATCTCCTTGTACAACTCCCTCAGAGCTCCTGGGTGACCAAGTGCATTGTCAAAGAGCAGTAATATTTTGAAAGGAATCTTTTATTTATTTATTTTTTTCCTGAGCAGTAGGTCTCAATGGTGGGCTTAAAATATTTAGTAAACAATGCTGTAAACGTATTTCCTGTTTGAAATATCTGCAAGTTTGAATTATTGAGCGAATCACCAAAACTGAACATGAGACACGAAGTGAGCATGTGCTTTTGAAAACAATAACACCAGTAGACTTGCTAGACACAGGGTTGCCACAAACCTTCAATTTGTAAAAAATGTACCAACTGCAAAGTGCAACAAAGCAAAGCACCATAAAACAAGGTATGCCTGTATTTAGACTGAGTAAGTGTATAACGTGATATCCGAGGACATACACATAACTTTACATATGTCATAATTTACTTATGTAATTTACATATTTTACATATGTAATTTACATAATTTACATATGTCATAACTTTACATATGTCACAATTTTAATTGCTAAAATTATTTCCCCATTTGACAAATGAGCACATAGGGGTTGAAAGAGTTTAAATAACTGGTGTCAAAAAGTGTGTAACAATAAGACTAACATTTGAGTGATTACCATGTGTTAGGCACCATGCCAGGCTGTTTATATAAATTATCTTAGCTCATCCTGACAGCAAAACTATACAGCTGGGTACTTTTCAATATTTCTCTATTTTAAAAATGAAAGAACTGAGGCACAGAGTGTAAATGATATGCCCAAAGTCTCTGGTACTTGGCAGAGGAAGAATTTGAACCCAAGGAGAATGATTCTAAAGCCCAGGTCCTATGCTGTATGTGGACACTGTGTCTTCACCAGCCCCTCCATCCCTGCCTCTGATTTCACAGGCACTCCACACACCCACTAACTGCCCTTTAGCATCCTGTAATTGTGATTCTATTATCTCGGCCATTTCCAATAGAATGCTTTCTTTAACTCTCTTACCAGTACTCTTATCACATCAAAACAGCAATAAAGTATGCTTATTTTTCCTGATTTCAGAGTTAATCTTTACAAAATGCTTTGGATATATGAAGCAAGTCTAGCAGCCAAAATATTATATAGGTTTCTACGATGTGTTCTGTTTGGGATTCCAGCAGCAAATCCACTCTGTTTTTTCTACATTGTTTGATCACAGTCAGTATTCTGCGTTTAGGCAGTTCTGAAGGGACCTTCTTATTTGTCACAATTATACAGTTGTAGTTTGATAAATGTTCAGCACCCTGGTACAACAATTGATTCTGTTTTTGTTGTTTTATCCCCCTTTTCCAGAATTGTATATTTCCACATATGCTGGACAATAGGCAGAAAGTGGAGACCCAAAGAACTTGTGATATGACGGACATAAGAAGCTTCAGTTGGCCTCAAATGTCAAATAATATCCTTCCTGAATAATCAAGAATGTCAAGCTTTTACTTTCTACATCTTGGACTGTACTTTGTACCAATCTCAAGTCCCATATGATGCACTTTCTAGGTGAAAAGTTTTTTTTTACAGACCTTAAATTTTTCTTTATTTACTTTTTAGAGTGATGGTATATATTAGTTTCACCACGTTAGTAATTCATGCTATATAAATGATAAGCCAAAGTAAGAAAAATAGTGAAATGAATTGCAAATCTAACTACATTTTTTAGTTTCCATAATCACCACAGAAATTGCTGTTAGTGCACTTGATCCAAGAAGAGTCATTCACAATCTCTCCCTTGCATGTTTCCCACCTGGATACAGATTCGTTTAGAGGTCAGCCTCTGACACAAGATCAGTCAATCCAATGCCTGCCATTATAGTTTTGGAAAGGTGCCTAAAAAGACATTAATTTTCCTCCAAATGACAGAAACTAAAGGCAGGTGAATGCGGCAGCTATTGGTGTACTTGGATGCTGAGGATCAGGCAGAGTGGCTTGGTAATGAGAGAGATGAATGAGACAGACACCCAGAGAGAAAGGAAATTAAGGAGCAGTAAAAGCATTTTACACCCCTCCCTCCACTCTGCCAACCCTCAGGGCTCATACACTTTTGCTAACTATATCACTTATGTGCTGTTGTATACCAAATTACCTCAAAACTAAGTGGCTTAACACAACAGCATGTATTATCCCACAATTTCTGTGGGCTGAGAATCTAGACAGGGAGTAGTTGGATCCCCTGTGTCAGAGTCTTCCACGAGTTTGCAGTCAAAGTCCTGACTGAGGTTGTGGTTTCATCTGAAATTTCAAATGGGGAAGGATCCTTTCCCAAGTTCACTCATATGGCTGCAGTAGGATTCAGTTTCCTGCAGACTGTTACACTAATAGCCTCAGTTTCTCACCACCTGTTGGCCAGAGGCTGCACTCAGTTTCTTGTCACATAAGCTTCTCAGCTCACAGCATGGCATCTGCCTTTGTCAGAGTGAAAAGAGAAAAAGCCACCAAGAAGGAAGTCATGGTCTAATCTTGGAGGAGAATCTTATGACTTTTGCTGCTCTCTTCTTGTTAGAAGCCACTACATCCAGCCTCTACTCATGGGAAGGAAATGACACAAGGTGTGGGTATCAGGAGGCAGAAATCTTTGAGAGCTGTTTTAAAAGCAACCTAACACACTGACATATTTCAGTCCTTAGGCACTGTAAAATAGCCCAAATATCCCTGCAGTACATCTGAATGCTTGCCTAAATTCTCCAAAATTCTTTTCTATTATTTACAATCAAAACTTCTTACATATATCGAATAGTTTAATTAAATCCAAATTTAGAATCAAGAGGCAATTGTATTATGAGAAAATATATTACTACATTTCTAAGTTCCTTTGTCACACATACACAAACACAACTAACAGAGTATTTAATAGTGATAAAGGCTGAGATATGAGAAAACAAAATACTAGGAATTCTTACTACTAGGAAAATAAATCCTATGAAGATGAAAATTGCTGAAATTTTCAAGTAGATAGTGAAAATACATGGTGGTTGTGGCATTTCTTCCTCTCCTCCCCTTCTTCCTCCTCCTCCTCCTCCTCATCCTCCTCCTCCTTCTTCTTTTAAAACCCTAAATACTTTCATGGAGGTCATTTATTTTTCCATGCTTTTCATTTTCTAAACATCTTAGTTTTCTCTCATCATCTTATACAGTGGAAAAAGTAAGCAAAAAAAATAGGATAACACTATGATAAATTTGAATGTTTCTCTGCTTCAGATTACAAGGTACGTTTTTGTGGTAATTATAAAAATTGAAAAAAAAATGGTGAAAACCCCTTATCTTGGGTTACTGTGTCAAGTAGGAAGTTGAGCAGCATTTCAAAAAACACCTTTAGCAAAAGTCCCCTCCCTGGTTTTTCCTGCAAACATTAACCTCAAGCGTTTAGTTCCTTCCATATTATTTATACATTTAACCTCAAAATTTTATTTAAGAAGTCACAAGAAGATCTAAGAAAAGGCCCAAATGTCAGCCATCTGTGGACCAGACCTGAAAATCTTCCTGGAGGAGATGAAAACCTCTCATTTCATAGAACTGAAAAAGGGCCATTGTATAGACCAGCAGCTGCGGTGCAGCTCCTCCAGGTCTCACCACTGAATCAGGAATCCTATAAATATGCACCTCAACCACATAAACAGTTTCTCTTCAGTTTCTGGATTGGAGTTTATCTTTGCTGTGCAGAATCAATTTAGCTTTGGACAGAAAAATTTGCAAGAAATCAAAAAAGCGGGTTTAAAAAGCAAACAAAGAGACAGGATGGGCACGATTTCCTAAACATACCAGAACAGAGCCATGTGTTGGATGCTATATAAGAAAGCAAAGAAATTCCCAAAAGATTACCTCAAGTTGGTTTCTCATTTTGGTAAAGATTTCTTGTGTCTCTTGGTTCTATCAATTTAAATAGAGCCTGAAAGATACAATGACAGTATAAACTATGTCCAAAAGACCTCCGAATCGGAAAGGGAAGTTTGGTGCCTCCCAAAAGGAGGGTGAGGGGCAGGAGAATATGGTGAATATATATCACTTTTCGCAGGCGCCTCTTCTGGATTTTGACCGTTATAAAGCAGAACAAATAGATAAAGAAAGAAGACTCACAAATGGCTTTTTTCATTAAGATGATATACCTTTCATTTCTACTTTTTCTCAGTTGATAAGCCCCAAAATAACACAGAGACACTGAAAAAAGCCTTCTTACAACCTTCTTACAATTTTCTATACTGCCAGTTTCACCAGCCTTTTAGGTGTTGGTTGGGACCCTACTGGCCTCTAACGCTGGTTTTTTCAGTAGTGTATCCACCAACTGGTTCTGATTGGCACTTTTCATCTTCAAATATGCGATGTTCTGCCTCACTGACAATGGCAGATGGGCCAGTAAATCTCAATCTTGACCTCACATTAGGATCACCTGGGAAAGTGTTAGAAAAACAAAATCCCAGTGTCCAGGCTTCTCCCTGGACCAATCAAATCTGAATCTCTAATGGTAGGATTCATGCACTGATATTTTTTGAAGCTTCCCAATGACTGCCATGTGTGGCCAAAGCTGAAAACCCCTGTTAGATTCTATTTTGGTATATTAACTATGATCTTAACTAATGAAAGTTGCTGAACTGCTGGGGAACTTGACTAAGCAATGGAATATCCCTTAGAAACACAATGAACACCCACTAATTTTAGGCAGTAACACAAAATTATTGGGGCCTTAATATTCTCTTTAGAGAAATACATTCCACAGAATTCCACAAGTTGTAGATGACATGTTCTCGCTTATGAAAGAATATGCCACCAGGTTCATAGGAGAAAAAATATGGTGCTGCTTTTACTAAGCCACCAAAGAGAACAACATAAGAAAATCATCAATTCCTAACTATGGTGAAAGTGCCTATAATATATCACAAACATGAGAAGCAACCTTTTCACCATTAAGTGGACTCTGACAAAGCAGTTAATAGAATCTTGAAGTCTAGAAGGAATCCTTTAAGATGTGTAATAATACTATTCTACACCTGAGGAACTTAGGGTCAGAGATAAGTGGCTAGTCTGATAATTTACTGCTCATGAGGGGTGTTATAAAAACTGCCCTTGTCCTCATTCCTAGTCCAGGGGTTGCATTTTTAATGTACACAGAAGCATTTAATTTCATGTATGGCCAATAGTAAACGCTCAATAAATTGTAGCTGTTGGGAGAAGTAATGATGATAGTATTAATGATCACATTGGTAATAATAATGTCTACGGGGTTTTCCAGTGTTATAAACACTGCCTTAAAATCCTTAGCAAATAAAAAACTATTTCTTGCTGGGCACAGTGGCTCATGCCTGTAATACCTGCTACTCAGGAGGCTGAGGTGGGAGGATTGATTGAGGCCAGGAGTTCAAGGCCACCCTGGGCAACATAGCAAGACCCCATCTCTAAAAACAACCAACCAAACAAAAACCTATTTCTTTTGTTGATGACACCTTATTTATTTGAAACACAAGAAATTTAAAAAGCAAAATAATAAACAGGGGAAATAAAAAGCCTTTCATTTAGAGCTGCAATGAAAATTTAGCATAGTCTTTCACTATTGAATGACTCATCAGTTGAACACTTTATGTAATTAATTATAAAATATATGTAATTTGATCTGATTTTGTCTAGAAGATTCTAGAGTATCATTTTCCTTATGCAAATACTATACATATGTTTATATCTAAAGAGTTAAAGGTACTTTCACAGGTTATTTAATTCAATTCTCACATACAATTAGAAAACGGAGATATTATCCCTCCTTCTTTAAAATTAAAAAAACATAAGCTCAGAGAATGAAAGGGGACGTGGCTAAAGTGGCTCCACTAATAAGTGGCATGGCCAGTAGTTCATCACAGGTTTTCCACCTTTGAGACTGTCCTTAGGTTACTTCTTTGGACTATGTCACTCTGGCCTTTTGAATAATTAACTTTACAGAGCAAGAGTGTAATGCTATGTCCCTGGCTTTCATCAGGCAAAATGTGAAACACATCCATTTGAAAACTTGCTTTTTGAAAACACAGGACCTCATTATGTTGTTCAGTGTCTCTCCTTTAAATTCTCAACGACAAATTATTCTCCGAGTTCAGAGTCAGGAAAGTATCTATATCATCCACCAAAACCGGGAGCTTTCTTTTGTTAGATCTAGAGAGTTATATGATCCATTGAATGTCCCTCCTTGCCTTGGCTTCTAGGGTGCTCAGAGCAAAGTTTTATACTTAGTCACTCCGGTTCTGGTTCTTCTCAATCCAAGTTTCTATTGCATCCTCTCTCTCTTCCCCTTCACCTCCCAAACCACTACCACCTTTAATATATTACTTTCGCTTTTTGTATTTATCAGTGATTCAATTTTATTTTACTGTGATTTTGGTAAACATCCGTAGTGTTCAACTACTTGGCAGATTTGTCCCCCTTTTTGTGATAATAGAACTCTAACACTTCTTGGTTACATCACATGTTTTACTATCTGATGATTATGTTGGTCATCAATCCTTCTTCTGCAAGGAACACAATATAACAACATTACAATGCATCTTTGTTTTGTTTTTGCTGATTTGGGTAGAACATAGCAAAAATAAAAATGCGTTCATTTTCTGTCATTTTGGTAATAAATCTGAAGCCATGCTTAACAGAATAGTTTTAAGTTTAAAATGAAATAATTTTATAAATATTTTACCCTTTTAAAACAAGGACGTCTCAGTTCTTATGGCATCAAGATGCTCAAATTAAATTCACAAGGCTCTTCAGGACCAATTATATCGGTGTTTAACCCTCCCAGTGTCTTTTTTGCATCTTAATATCATTGATTTCTTTACCAATAATGCCAAATACAGAAACTACCCCTGCTTATATGGCTTATATGTGTACTTTGTGTATATGTGTATATGTGTACTTTGTGTATATGTGTATATATATACTTTGTTTCTCTAATTGGTATTATTCAGATTCAGTGCCTCAAAATTGGCGATAATCTCACCCATGGTCCTCTTCTCAAAGGTTCAAAATGTGGCTTAAAGTATTTTATGTGTGCATGTGTGGTTCACAGAATCAGTTTTATATCTTTTAGTTATACCTCCTGTTACTGACTGTTTATGCCTCCTCAAAACTCATATGTTGTTTGGGCATGGTAGTTCGCGCCTGTAATGCCAGCATCTTGGGAGGCCAAGGTGGGAGGATTGCTTGAGCCCAGGAGTTTGAGATCTGCCTGGGCAACATATATCTCCTCTCTACTAAAAATAAAAATAAAAATAAAATTAGCTGGGCATATTGGCATGCACCTTTAGTCCCACCTACTCAGGAGGCTTAGGTGGCAGGAACACTTAGGCCTAGGAGTTGAGTCTGCAGTGAACCATGGTTGAGCCACTGCACTCCAGCCTGGGCAACACAGCAAGACCCTGTCTAAAAAAAAATGTATATATATATACACTATATAATATATATATTAAATATATAATAATGTATAATACATATATAAATATATATTAAATATATGCGTGTGTTTGTGTGTGTGTATATGTATGTATATGTTAAAGCTTTAACCCCCAATGTGATGATATTTGGAGATAAGACCTTTGTGTGGTAATTAGGGTTAAATTAAGTCATGATCATAAACCTTCAGGATGAGATTAGTGGTTTTCTAAGAAGAGGAAGAGAAAGGGAGAGAAAGAGGAGAGAGCTCTCCATCATGCTGAGGACATAGCTAGATGGCAGCTGTCTGAAAGCCAGAAAGAGAGCTCTCACCAGACACAGTCTCTACCAGCACCTTGACCTTGGACTTCCCAGCATCCAGAACTGTGAGAAATAAATTTCTGTTGTTTAAGCCACCCAGTCTGTGCTACTTTGTTATGGCAGCTGAAAGTGACTGAGACAGCCTATGGATGCTTCCAGTCTGTTTTCAAATAAGTTATAGTCTTTCCTTTTTATATGCTATAAATATAGCAATTTGGAAAAAAAGTCTGGTAAAATCAAGAATAAATAACCGGCTGGGCGTGGTTGCTCATGCCTGTAATCCCAGCACTTTGGGGGAGGCTGAGGTGGGTGGATCACCTGAGGTCAGGAGTTCAAGACTAGCCTGGCCAACACAGTGAAACCCCGTCTCTACTAAATACAAAAAATTAGCCGGGCGTGGTGGCGCATGTCTGTTATCTCACCTACTTGGGAGGCTGAGGGAGGAGAATCGCTTGAACCTAGGAGGCAGAGGTTTCAGTGAGCCAAGATTGCGCCATTGCACTCCAGCCTGGGCAACAAGAACAAAACTCCTCCTCAAAATAGATAGATAAATAAATAAATAACCAACTTTGTAAAGTGGTAGTTTATCTCCATGACGAGAAGATTTCCCATTAAAAGGCAAATCTTCCTTTTCAAAAGTTTGAAAGAGTTCCTTAAAAAGAATATCGTCTGGTTAAATATAAGTTGCTGGAGATTGCAAAACCCTAAGAAAAGTTTTTGGCTTTTATCCCATAACAGTTTCATTTGAGAGTAAATTGGATACATTTTCATTCATGCACAACTCTGACATTTCCTCCTTGTTTCTTCCCCCTTTATTGACAGGCAAACAAGTACATACAGTCAGTTTCATTCTGTTCTTTCGATTCTTTCACATTATCTTTTTTCCTCCCCTTGGAGCAGTATGGTATGGTGGAAGAATTCTGGTGTCAGAGAAAAACTACCATGTGCCATTCACTGTGCAAGGTGCTTGGAATAGAATGATTAAAAATACAAGTTAAAATTTTCTTAATTTTTTTTTTTTTTTTTTTTTGAGACAGGGTTTCACTCTGTTGCTCAGGCTGGAATGCAGTGGCACGATCTCAGATCACTGCAGCCTCAACCTCTCAGGCTCAGGTGATCCTCCCACCTTAGCTTCCCAAGTAGCTGGACAACAGGCCCGTGCCACGACACCCAGCTAATTTTTGTGTGTTTTGTAGAGAGGCGGTTTCTCTATGTTGCCCAGGCTGGTCTCAAACTGCTAGGCTCAAACAATCTGCTCTCCTTGGCCTCCCAAAGTGCTGGGATTACAGGCATAAGCCACTGTGCCTGGCCCTAAAATAAATAAATAAATTAATTAATTAAATAACACATTGCTTTGGTCAAGAATCTCACATTCTGATAGAAAAAGTAGACAAACACATAAATGTGGGTCCAATAGTGCTCTTTCGGAGCACTTTGTCCTACTAGTTTTATTATAGCTAACAACTCTTATTATCTCTCCCCTTCCACTTCTTTTAATGCCTCTTTTCTTTACAAGGTTATGAACTCCATGAGGGCAGTATCTGTTTTGCACACTGCTCTATCCACACTGTCCCCAGCATAATTATCTAGGAATTGGGAGAAAAAAAAAAAGTCTGGCAAGCCCCTTGAAAAATTCAGTGTGATATTATTTTTAAAGCCATTCAATGTTAAGTGACATTTCCACTTTAATCTTAAGAAGAGGAGAAAATCTCAACCTTCCATTGTTACACAACCTGAGAGCTTTTACTCCTAATTCTTTACAAATCAGTTAACTACGTGTAATTCCTATCACTGGACATCATTTCTTCTCTTCCCTGATTTTGTATTAGTAAAGAATCAAGTCAGGTACCAGTTCTCACCCTCTCAGACTAAATACATTAAACCAGCAACAGTGAAAAAAGAAAATGAAATTGGCTTCATTTTCCATGCACACAAGGATGCTCAGTTTAAATAATAGCCTTCAGTGTTCCATGGTTAGACTCTTTCTACACATTTCTGGTGTCAGGCTGCAACCTGGTTGTCCTTGCAGTAAATAAATCAACAGGGTGCATAATCTTGTTCTGTAACCTCCTGCAAATCCCAGGGATGTGCAGATTTCATCAGCTCCAAGGTATATGAGGCTGGAATTTGAAAAGAAAATCCTCTCACTCTTAAAGAAATGCCCTTAGCAGGGATTTATACTGATAAGTCACCTTCACCTTTAGTGATGTGAATGTGTGTTTAATTCTTTTACCAAGAAGAGTTTACGGAAACTGGGATCCTGAAGGAATGCTGGGTTTTTGTTGCTGTCTGCCATTAACTTATTTTGTTTTCTAAAATCTGATTCCTCAGAAAAAGGATGCATTTGAAATTATAATTAAAAACAGTTAATTCTTGTTCAGTTGATATTATATTTCAAAAGATATGCATTTATAATTTATTATATTGTGTCCTACAAATTAGAAAACCAAATCAGAATAATGTTCACAATTTGGAGAAATTTCAGAGATTCTCTAAGTTATTTTTCTACTTTCAAAAATGATGGGAAAGGAGAGGGGAATATATGGGTATAAAGTAAGGAGCCCCTCTGGCTCTGAAAATCAACTCAATGGTAAATGGCTGAGATTTTCTAGCCATTCTGACCCTATTTGAGAAGATTATTTTGCTTTGTTAGATCAGACCTTGTGTCAGAGAACCAAGTGTCAACTTTCTACTTAAAGGTTAAGCAGCAAGAGTCAGTACGTCTGGTTACACAGAACACGATCTCTTCTTGACCAGTAGCATTACTCTTCCTCTTTGCTGCAGAAACAGTTTTCCTAGAGATCTCAGAACAGTTCTTATGTGTAGGAAAGAAACTTTCACCTCTGTATTTCTCCCCAAGCAGCAGATGCTACAATATAATAGGAAAATAAGAATTTTATTGAGTTTTCTTAATGGCATCAACTTACTACCCTCAAGTCTGTTTTTTTTTTTTTGTTTTGTTTTGTTTTGTTTTGTTTTGTTTTTTTTTCAAGTCCTAAAGGCTAGAATCTACAGCTTTTTAAGAAACCCCATCCTGGCCGGGCACAGTGGCTCACTTTCAGAGGCCAAAGGGGTGGATGGCTTGAGGTCAGGAGTTCGAGATCAGCCTGGCCAACATGGTGAAACCCTGTCTCTACTAAAAATACAAAAGTTAGCCTGGTGTGACGGCCAGCACCTGTGATCCCATTTACTCCAGAGGCTGAGGCAGGAGGATCACTTGGACCCGGGAGGCCGAGATTGAGATCGGGCCACTGCAATCCAGCCTGGGTAACAGAGCCAGACTGTCTCAAAACAAACAAACAAAAACCACAAAGGAGAAGATTTTGCTATTGTGTATACTAGAATATTATGTCTTCAAAAGGTGTGAATAATAATTTATTATTGAAGAGTAATCTAGTTTCATCACATTGTAACTTTCCTTAAGAGCAATTTATAGTGTTTAAGAGACAGAGAGGAAGAGAGAGAGAGGTCTGCGTGTGTGTGTTGGCGGGGGGATTACTAAAATCTCTTAACCTCATAAGTTTGTCAGTGTAATTTGATCTTTCTGTCTGAGGTGCATAGGGAATAGCATTTACTGAGACTAATGTTACCAAGATGGTGAAAAAACTGGCCATTAATATATAGGCTTTCAAATGCTGAAGTAAATGTAAATAGGCAATGTTACCCTTTGTTACTTAGTTACTTAGGAATACTATAGTTTCTGCCCCCTTCCCTACTAACTCTCCTTTCTCAGCACATACTCTCCACCACACAAAATCTGTTTCTAAATTTATAATCAAATTACAGGCATCTGGAGAACCCAGCCACTGAAGTAAATTGTTTTCCATAAGTCATGTTTGTGATTTGCAAATGTTGAAAAAGCAAATACTAAAATTGTAATTTTTAGATGATATATTACCATTGGAAACATTTCATTTAAAAACAACCATATAACCCCAAACCCTAAGCCTGGAATATTTGATTTGGCTTTTTTTGCAAAAATCCATCTTTTTTTCTTTTTTTTTTTTTAACCCAAGTCTTAATACATATGATGAAAATTAAGATAATTAAAACCTAATATGGAAAAGTTTTAAAAATACTTACAAGTTGATGTTATCCTTCCTTTAGTACACTTAAAAAATTGAATAGGCTCAGAAATGTTGGTATAAATTCAATTCACCATATGTCTGCTTAATAATTATTTGGAAACAACAAGGAACAGACCTCCCACAGACAACTCTCTGTGTTACTAGATTTCTTCAAAGCATGGACTCAGAGTACAATTTGTCTGGATGACACAAAGGCTGATTGGGAAAAAAAAAGAATACAATTTGTTTTGAGCTCGAGAATGGGTAAGAAGCAGGCCCCAGGTAGACTAGCGAATGAATTTAACGGTTTGTTGGATGGTTACTCAGGACGACCTTTATTTAAATATATACAATGGGCCAGGCGAGGTGGCTCATGCCCGTAATCCTAGCACTTTGGGAGGCCGAGGTGAACAGATCAACTCGGATCAGGAGTTTGATGGATCAGGCAACATGGCAAAACCCCGTCTCTACAAAAAAATACAAAAATTAGCTGGGCGTGGGGACAGTGCACCTGTAGTCCCAGCTACTTGTCAGGATGAGGCGGGAGGATTGCTTGAACCTGGACAATCGAGGCTTTAGTGAGCCACAATCATGCCACTGCACTCCAGCCTGGGTGATAAACTGAGACCCTGTGTCAAAAAAAAATAAATAAATATATTTATGTATATACATAAATATTTACATTTATATATCTATGTATTTATATTTATATAAATGTCTATTTATGTGTATTTATATTTATATAAATGTCTATGTGTATTTATATTTATATAAATATATATTTATGTGTATATATATTTATATAAATTTATATTTATATAAATATATATTTATGTGTATTTATATTTATATAAATATATATTTATGTGTAAATATAAATATATATTTATGTGTATTTATATTTATATAAATATATATTTATGTGTAAATATAAATATATATTTATGTGTATTTATATTTATATAAATATATATTTATGTGTAAATATAAATATATATTTATGTGTATTTATATTTATATAAATATATATTTATGTGTAAATATAAATATATATTTATGTGTATTTATATTTATATAAATATATATTTATGTGTATTTATATTTACATATTTATATTTATATAAATATCCATTTATGTATTTATATTTATATAAATAATTTGTATAAATATCTATTTATGTATTTATCTTTATATAATATGTATTTATGTATCTATCTTTATATAATATCTATATATTTATCTTTATATAAATATCTATGTATTTATCTTTATATAAATATCTATGTATTCATCTTTATATAAATATCTATGTATTCATCTTTATATAAATATCTATGTATTTATATTTATATAAATATCTATTTATTTATATTTATATAAATATCTATTTATGTATTTATGTTTATACAGTAGTTGGTCCAAGGGTTGTGGGCATTGTTAAGCTTATTTAGCACTCTTTCTCCCTGCACATCACAACCATGCTTGACTAGCTAAAGTAATGATAATAATAATACTAAAAATAAAAATAAACAAATATATACAATCAATTGTAGCCTTTGATCCTTTTGTATTCAAAGGCATTATGAACTCAACATTAGAAAATGTGGAAGGAAAGAGGTTATAATGGCCTGTAGAAATGATGAAATCCAGAATTTAAAATGTGTGCAGTACCAAGGAACGTTGATGCTGGAGAGAAAAGATTGGGGCTCAAGTTGGCCAATTACCCAGTTTTAGCATCTTTATTTCTAATATGGCAATGTAATAATTATTGCTCTTGGTTCTCGTAAAAATTAAAATAGATGAATATGGAAAATGTGAATTATAAAGCAAAAGCACTATGTAAGTAAGATACATTATTATTCTTTGAATTATACAACAGAAAAGGTCTAGGATATCTACATATAGTAAAGTAGGTTTTTGGTGGGGGGATAACATTGGTGTGTTAGATCTGGCTCTTGCTGGTTTGCACTGGCTTGTGACAGCTGATAAATTTTTAGGAATTATGTGAGATGGTTGACATCATGTTGATAGCCTGAAATTGGCTGTGGTGAGAGGGTGGTATTTATACCATGGTCATTGTCAAATAACTGCAGAGAGGGTTTGTTGCCCTTCCTCACCTCCCTCCCAAGGATCAGTTGACCAACACATCATTGGGTAACTTATTCTGTATGTTTGGATACTGTTCTAGTAATCTGTTACTGTGTAAGAAAAGCAGTCCAAAACTTAGCAGCTTAACCCAACAGCTATGCTACCATCTATTATATCTCACATTCTGTGCAGTGACTGGTCTCAGCTCAGTGGTTATTCTGCTTCATGGATGGTCAGCTAGGGCTGCAGTCATCTAGAGGCTTGGCTGGACTGCATTATCCAAGATGGCTTATTCTCAGGTCTTGTAGTTGGTACTAGCTGTTGATTGGGAGGATGCCTAAGACTGTCTGTAGGAGCATGTAAATTATCCTCTACCTGGTCCTCATGTGATTTGAGCTTCTTACAGTATTAAAGCTGGGTTTCCAAGTGTGAGCTACAGATCTCTTAAGGCCCAGTCATCAGAATTATACAGTATTACTTCCATTATAGTCTATTGATCAAAATAAGTTGCTGGTAAAGAATTTGCTACCATGTTTAATTCATCACAGGTATTATGATATCCACATTTATATAAACCCAAGAGTATTCATTAAGTTGTGGATGCTAACATTTTAAGTAATTCTCTCCTCTAACTTCTTACACTGGAGATAAGGTTTACTGCTTTATGCTACATATTTTGTCAAGCTTAAAGTTTCCTTTAGTGAGGTCGGGCATGGTGGCTCATGCCTGTAATCCCAGAACTTTGGGAGGCCAAGGTGGAAGGACTGCTTGAGGCCAACAGTTTCAGACCAGACTAGTCAACAAAGCAAGACCCCATCTCTACATAAAATTTTTAAAAAATTAGCTGGGTGTGGTGGGCACCTACATTGGTGGTGTGCACCTGCAGTCCTGGCTACTCAGGAGGCTGAGGTGGGAGGATCTTTGAAGCCCAGGAGAGCCACTCACTCTAGCCTGGGTGATAGCATGAGACCCTGTCTCAAAAAAAAAAAAAAAAGTTTCCTTTAGTCTTGGTGTTCCACCTATGTAACTGGCCAAATATATCAAACTACTGAAGACTTTCTGAAAATAGAATTTTTAAAAAATTTACTACATATTCTTTAAAACAAAATGAGTGTTTAAAGGGGTGTATCAAATGTTTTGAAAAACGAAAGGAAGCCAATCATAAGCCTAATCAGAAATCGTTTGAGTGGCTGCATGATTCAAGTTTGTAAGGCTGCAAAAGACAGTCTCGCATTCATCTTGTTATAGAAACTATAGATATCTCTATCTATTTATCTATCTATCTATCTATCTATCTATCTATCTATCTATCTATCTATCATCTATCTATCTATCTATAGATCAATCAATCTATCTAGACAGCTAGGTTAGATGTAGACTGGAATGCTACAATACTGAAGTCTAGGGAGGTCTTGTGATTAGTAAACATTATAGGATATGGGATATGGTCAGTTAGAATGCTCCCAGCTTCAAGATATAGAAAACCTAATTAAAGGAGATCTATCGTTTCACATAATAAGCAGTCTTGAGTTTGGTGCTTGCAGGGTTGCTTAATTTAATAGCTCATTCATATCAAGGTTTTTGCGTCTGCTTCTTTGTTTTTTCTGTGGGCAATGGCCCTCACAGTGGGTGGCACTATATTGTATTGCCCAGATCCAGACATGAATTCCTCATATAGCAATGTCTACAGACAGAGCAGCCAATGGGAGCAGGTGGAGGGAGCGGGTGAATGGTGAAGGAGTGGTAGCTCCTCATCTCTCTCTCTCTCTTTTCATTTGGGAAGAAACATCTTCCCTAGATAATGCTTCTCAAATTCTTATTGCATCTCTTTGGCCAGAACTGATGCCCATCCTTTAACCACTCACTAGCAAAGGGGGATGGATTAATCATGGTTCAGTTCAGCCAACCTTCTGGAACTCTATGGACAGTGGTCTAATCTTTCTTGAACACATCGTTATCTGATACCTGGACAAAATTGGAAATGTACCAGCAAGGAAGAAGTGGGATATGGCTACTGGGGCAATCAACAGTGTCTTCCAGGTTTATCCTTAAAATCTCAATATGGTTCTGTGGCATCAATCCATTTAGTAGCACCATTTTTCAGGAGCTAGAAGCACAAAAACATGGTGAAAGACCCAAGAAGCAGGTGTAAGCTTCTAGACAAGTAGGGTGTGGTTCAGGGCAGTCTTAGCAGAGAACAGAACAATTACAGAAAGTAACTTAGATTTACTGGGCACTGACTATGGAACAACCACTGTGTGAGGAACCCCTCCAGCCCATCCAACATCATATTTAATACTCAAAAGGAAGATATTATTAGCTCCATTTTAGAAATGAGGCTCAGAGAGAAAACTGTTAGGAGTTAGTAGAGCTAGACAGTAAAATTCAAGACTTTTTAACTCCAAGGATAATCTAGCTCAACCCATGTTGATGAGCAGCTATTTCACGCTCCACCTGATAGTAATACTCCTCTTTCCCCATTTAATTCCCCAGCATTTTCACTTCTCAACCATCCCCATACTAATGTTGAAATGGAGGAAGGCAGTGAATAATAACAGCCAGAAGCCTCCAAACTTTCCAATACATCCCAATCCATCCTCTCAATGTTCTGTCCTGAGGAAATAATGAGAAAAGCAAAAAATAGTCATACAAACCATAGTGACAATATATTGCAATCCTTTATTTAATGTCACTGACCTCATCAATTTGACCAATTTAAGGTGGACTGATGATTGGATGCATCAATATCAAGGGTGAATACCCTGAATACTCAGATTAAAACTCAAATTGGTTTTGAGATTCAGAATTATTTCGATATTGGATATTTTCACGGTTAATGGTACTAAAAGACCTCACTGCATAAATGCTTTGACCTCAGAAATTTGGTGAGATATAGAAGGAGATTGCCTGTATGTCCTTATTCTTTCTAGCTGTTCTGATGGAGAAAGTGGATGATTGACCTCTGCTATAGAGGACATTGCAGCAAGAAAACAGCCATTAGACTCTTCATCTAACTTTCCTTACTAGGCAGCCAAGTTCATCAAAGATTATTATGTTTTCCCCTGAATCTTCAGGAGGCCATTGTATATAGGCTTCTCCTTTGGGAAATATTTTCGAGAGGAACATATTCTACGAGGCTTTCTTGTGGGATGAAGGTAGCCAGGGCTCCATTTTGGCAGGATATTTTCAGCCCATAGATTTGGTTGATTACGGGCCTGCAAACACACTGCCCTATGTTAAATAGAGTGAAACAAAATTACATCACTAACCATAACATTTTCTAACATATAATGTTTCTTTTTTGTCATAGAAGATACTTCAAAGGATGGCAAACATCCAGAGGGAATTGCAAAATTCAGGCAATTACTCAGATTCTCTAATCCCAAAATGTTTTCTTAAAATATTTTTGCAAATGGCCACATAATTGTCTATCTAGGTTTTGCAGCTTTCATCCTAAAAAACAATGCCATTTAGACTGTGCTTTAACTTTAGGTCTGAATAAGTGATATCATGATTATAACTCTCTCTGTCTCTCTTAATAATGTCTTGTTTTCAGTAAAAGAGATCAAGAACTTGGTGATAATGGAATGGGAAACAAAGGAACAGTAACAAGTAAACCGCCCAATAGGGCCTTTATCCTTGTTTCTCTTGGCTCAAAACACCCCCTGCAAGGGGCAAACATTTCTCTGGGGAGATGATCCAACCAACAGTTTGAGAAAATAGTGCTTCTAGAAGCCTTTGGTTGTGAGAATGAATTGAGGTGATTAGAAGGGTGCTTGCGTGGCCAGATTCTTTGTTTCAGTACTAAATTGGCAGCTGCGAAAGATGGAAGAAAAACTGACTCGAAGAAAAGAAAAGCAATTCAAACAAAAACACATTGCACTGGCTATCGTGGTCCTTAGGTTCTGGGGCAATTGTCCCCAGTGCCTCTGTGTGGGGTATGTGTGGTACAGGCTTGTATTGGGGAGGGGAGGGAGCCATCCTGCCACTGGGCATCTGGAGGGAAAAATCCATCCAGCTGTTGCTAATGGATGGTCTGATTCATACATAATGCAAGCAGTCAATTCTGCATGCCCATGCATATTATCAGATATATATGTTACAGAGGGAACAAACAGTCATTTTCAACCTCCAATCCTTCTGGGGAGGGAAGAATGAAAAACCCTTTTGTCTTTTTGTGTACCTTGAAGGTGGGTCTGAAGCTAGGTCTACAGGCAGAGCCTTGGGGGAATCCCTGGCACCCCCTGGCAGCCCTTCTTTGACTTGTCTGGAGGAGAAATGTTTTGAAGCATATGTTAGTAAAATATATATCTGATTATTAACTCACTTCGATGGGAAACATAAACTCTCTGCTTAGTTTCTCTTAGGATTTCACACACAACGCCATCAAAAAATGTATCTTAAGCTTTTTCATCACCTACTCTTTCTATTTAATCTCCTTCAGACATCATGATCAGGAAGAAATTAATTTCCTGCTTTGGTGAGGAAAGTTTTAGCTTCCAAAATTGACCAGACTTTCCTTCCTGCTCTCTGTTTTTTAATCCCTTTCTCTTTGGACCTTACAAAGAAGAAATCTTGTAATGACAAGGGTATACATTTAGAACTTCTTTCCAACTAAACCCTGCCTGCCATCTTTTACTGAATTACTATGTTGTAGGGTGATATGTTTGACAGATATCTAAAGAAAATCAGAAAGCTGCACAATGTCCACATTTATGAAGCTGATAAGTTATGAATACATATGATGAATCTATATGGTGAAGTTCATTAGTCTCCCTCCCTCATGCGTCCTTTTCCAGAACCTTCTGTCTCTCTTTGTCACCTCCATCCACAAGGTATAACAGAGACAAACATGTTACGTTGTAACTCAGATCTTAATTTGGGGTGATTATTTCAAGGTTAGCTAATGAAGTAGGACTTTTTTTCCTTGGGACAAAGAAAAGAGGACATTCTTACTATTCAGAGCTGTAAAATTCCAAGATGTTGGCTGTAATGTTTTCCACATGTGGCAAAAGCTGGTCTGTAGTGACAGAAAAGGTTAATCCTGACAATTTTGTTGTGTGTGGTTGCAATTTCTTTTTTCTGGGATCAAGTCATATTCCCTTCTTGATTTCCCTGAAACATCTCAGTGTTCTCATTAATAATAAATCATCGTCTTTGCTTAAACTAGTTTGAATTAGGTCTCTGTAACTTACTGGGAAAAGAGTCCCAAGTGATACAGCAGGTATCGTTCAGAAGAAAGTCAAAACTTTGCTCCTGGTGTGGATCTGTGTTCCTTGCTGTGAAGAGAGGGCAACACCTTGGCTTAGTGAAAAGACAACAGGGTTTATCACTGACAGTTGTTTTAAATTCCTGTTTTGTCATTTACTAGCTCTGTACACTTGAGTAAATCACTTAGCTTCTCTGATATTATTATCTTCCCTGCAGTATTGTTCTTAGGTTTAGAAAGAGGGCGTGTAAAATAACAAGCATAATAATGAACAGTAACTCTACTCTAAAACTTCCTATTGCAATGACTTGAAAAGGACTCTCAAAAGTATAAAATGTCACAGCTGGGTGCAGTGCCTCATACCTGTAATCCCAGCACTTTGGGAGGTCAAGACAGGAGGATCGCTTGAGCTAAGGAGTTCGAGACCAGTCTAGGCAACATCATGAGACCCTGTCTCTAAAAAAAAATTATTTAGATTAGCCAGGCATGGTGAGACATTCCTGTGGTCCTAGCTACTGAGGAGGCTGAGGTGGGAAGATTGCTTGAGCCCGGGAGTTGAAGGCTGCAGTGAGCTATAATGGCGCCACTGTACTGCAGCCTGGGTAATAGAGCGAGACCCTGTCTAAAATTAAAAAAAAAAAAGGACTAGATATGGTGGCTCATGCCTGTTATCTCACCACTTTGGAGGGCTGAGGTGGGAAGACTGCTTGAGCCCAGGAGCTCGAGACTGCAGTGAGCTATGATCGCACCACTGCATTCTAGCCTAGGCAACAGAGTGAGACTGTGTCTCTAATAAATAAATAAGTGTAAAGCTACAAAGCAGAGTCAGAATTTATTTGGCTCAGTTTTTCTTCTTTGCTCCTCTCTCTCTTCCCTCCTTTCCTCCTTCTATCCCTTTTCTCTCTTGTTTTATTTTCCTTTTAGAGAACCAGAGATGGCAGAGGAGTTCAAGTATTCATTCATGATTGCTAGGGGTCAGCTCCAGGTGTAGTGAGAACTCATTATGAGCACACGTTCTTGCCAGAAGAATTTTCTCAGTTGTTACAGATTCTACTGCTCTGGGTCCAGGATTCTCAATGTGACTCTCTGTCTTAGGTTGGAGGCCTCAGGCATTTAGAGGCAGAGATGTGCACACAGTGGTTGACTGAGGAGTGCTCTTGGGAGCAGCACCTGTAGGCTAGCCAGAGAGCCAGCAACAGAATGGGGCAGAGGGAGAAGTTGACCTGGGAGGCGGGTGCAACCGGGGCCTCAGCCCATCCATCCCACACACAAGGAGCTCTGGAATTGAGATGACCCTTCAGAGTTTTCCCTGCATCCAGGGTGGATCATGGAATGCAGGTAATTCCCAGGAAGGGGAATAACCTGGGTCAAGTCTGTTTTCATCCAACGGCAAATTCTAGAGAGAGGACCCTCCACAGTCAGCAGTTAGCACGCCCAGCAGTTGGCAGAATGAAGGGTTCTGAAGTGGGTATCTGACCTGTGCATCACAGCATCCACCACTCTCCAACTCAGGAGTAATCTATGTCTTTCAATTCATCATTGTAGTAACTGAATATTGAGCAAAGGGCTCTTTATACAACACAGGAGTCAACCATATAAAACACCTTAAGAACATATTTTTATTCTTTTAGTTAAAAAAAATATTTTTTGAGACAGGATCTCACTCTGTTGCCCACTCTGAAGTGCAGTGGCCCAGTCATGGCTCACTGCAGCCTCGACCTCCTGGGCTGAAGCAATCCTCTCGCCTTAGCCTCCCAAGTAGTTAGGACCATAGGCATGTGCCACCACACCCAGCTAAATTTTTGAAAAATATTTTATAGAGATGGGGGGTCTCCCTATGTTGCCCAGGCTGACCTCAACCTCCTGGGCTCAAGCAATTCTCCTGCCTCCGCCTCTCAAAGTGTTGAGATTACAGGCAAAAGCCATCATGCCCAGCCAAAAACATATTTTAAAAATATTACTTTTTTCCCCTTAATCTTGGAGTATCTGTTGACTTCTGTGATTTGAGAAAAATATTCTTCAGTCGCAGCCTACCACAAGAAAAAAAATCCTGTGGCAGAAAGTAATAATAAGACATTACCAATTGTAGCGTCCTTTTTATTCTCCAAACGAGGCGCTGAATTCCCTGATTTGAGGCCATCACTTCCATTTTAAGATGGTGCATTTTAAATCCCTAGATGGGCTGATCCTAAGAAATGTATCCACTAATCTCTGTAATCCAATAGGGCACAGAGACAAAAGACCTGCATTGTCAGCACAGGCTGGGAAAGGGCCCGATGTACTAAAACTGATGAGACATGAAATTCAGGGTCTTTAAGGGCTAGATAGAATGGATTAATAAAAAAGAGGGAATAAATAGAGGAGAATTTAAACTTTCACCCTGCCTCTTTATGTCTTTCATTCAAAAGAGGATGACAATATACTTGATTATTTTAATCAAGTTGAAAATCGTTCTCTCTGAGGATGTCTGAATGATTCATTATAAGCTTTATTTGAGTCTCAAAGCTGGGGCTTTTACCCTTAAATGATTCTGCTGTGAGAACTCCACATTTAGGATTTTGTTGATGACTCAATTATTATTTTATTTACTGGGCTCCTACAATACTAAAAGTCATTGAGTAGCCCTACTTATGTTTTCCAGTAATTCTTTTTGCTACCAATGTGCCTATCTAAACTCTAGTCAAGTGATTAAGTTCATAGTGGGAGAAAATATTACCTATTGTTTTGCATGATGCTTTTGAAATAATGTATTGATAGGACAATATACTTTTAAGCTAACAATGTTGATTCATGTACCATAGTAGATATTCGTGGGTGCAATGAATGTCTAGAATTTTTTTCTTTCTTTCTCCTGGAAACTATTGGCTTTCTAATCCTAATCATATTGTTATATCAGGGAATACAAAGTTTTTATATGACCATGCCATGCGCCTGCCAGAGTTGATTGTTCTAAGGGGGAGCATTTGACCAAGACTGGGTCAATATTTTCTGTTTCCAGAATTCTAAAGCCAGAATGAGGGCAGAGAAGTAAGACTATCATTGCCAGTGAGATCCTCCAGATGTAGGCCTTGAAGAACAAAGGTGGCCTTAGTCCTCACCAAGTAAAGCATGCCATTATATAGCAAGAAGGGAGAAAACTAATAGATGGAGAGAGAAAAAGCAAGCAGACAATGTATAAGTACCTATTTCCATTTTTTTTTTTTTTTTTTTTTTTTTTTTTTGATACAGATTCTTGCTCTGTCACCCAGGCTAGAGTGCAGTGGTGTGATCATGGTTCACAGTAGCCTCGACATCCTGGGCTCAAGCAATCCTCTCACCTCAGCCTCCTGAGTAGCACGCACCACCATGCCTGGCTAATTTAAAAAAAAAAAAAATTGTAGAGATAGGGTTTAGCCATCTTGCCCAGGCTGGTCTCAAGTTCTTGCACTCAAGCAATCCTCCCACCGCGGTCTCTCAAAGTGCTGAAACTACAGGTGTGAGCCACTGAGCCTGCCTTCCAATGTTTTTTGAGAGCTTAAATGAATCCCTAACCTTCACAAAGTTTGACCGGTCGGCCCTTATTTGATTATTTCTAATACCCCAATATGCTTTCCATGAATACCCTTTTCTGCTAGCCCAAACTGTTTATATAATCTCTAATTAAATAATATGGAATATCAGAACAATGGTGATTAGTTTCTTAGGGCTACCATGGCAAATTACGGCAAACTTGCTGACTTAAAATCATAAATTTGTTCTCTTAAAAGTCCAGAAGCCAGAAGTTGAAAATCAAGGCTTTGGGAGAGTCACATTGTCTCCAAAGCCTTCAGGAAAGAATCCTTCCTTGCCACCTCTTGCTTCTGGTGGCTGGAGGCTTTCCTTGACTTGGGGCAGTATAACACCAATTTCTCTCATTGTCTGACATTGCCCTTTTCCCTGCCTCTCTGTATCTCTCACATCTTCTCTGTCTTTCTCTTATAAGGACATCAGTCACTGGATTTAGGCTGGACCCTAAATCCAGGATCGTCTCACCTGGAAATCCTTAACTATATCTGCAAAGACCCCTTTTCCAGATAAGTTCACATTTACAGGTCAGTTCCTGGTGGAAGCATCTTTTAAAGGGCCACTATTCAATGTACATTTGATTCTCATGCAGAAGTGATTTTGCCTTCTAGAGTTTATCCAGCTTGGAAACATTTTTGATTGTCACTATTTGGGTGGATGGTGGTAATGACATGTAGGGGACCAAGGTAGGGCTACTGCTCAGCATCTTACAATGCCACAGGACAGTCCCTCACAACAAAGGATTATCTGATTCATGATGTCACTGGTGGTTGAGAAACTCTGCTTTAGACATATGACTATTGTAATATACAATCTCGCTAATGCACTGTTCACAGCTAATACAAATGCAAACTAAATACTGAGACTGATCTTATAGAATTGACTATCACTTAGGGGAGTCATTATGACATAATTTAATAAATAACCCATTGAAATTAATAGAAGTGTCATGAAGCAGAATAATTACCTAATTATTTCACACTTGTAAAGTCTTATAGTCCCCCAAAAGCTTACACTGTTATTTCTGTAAGCTTAAAAGTCATATTTTTCACATTTTAATCTTTCTGAAATTTGAAATGAATATAACGTATACATTTAATGTGTACATTTGATGTGGCATTGATTCTTACTTTGCTTTAAAAACTGGCCCAGGCACGGTGACTCATGCCTGTAATCCCAACACTAACTTTTCTTTGTTTCTTGACCTTGAAATTCTTGAAGATTGTGTGCCAATTACTTTTTAGGGTTCCCTTCAGCTGGGGTTTGTCTGATGTCTCCTCATATTTAGTATAGGTTATGCATTTTGGCAGGAATGTCACTAAGTGGCATTGTGTTCTTGTTGCATCACCTCAAGAGGCATATGATGTCACTTTGTCCTTATGTTGGTGATATTAGCTTTGGTCAGTTACAGTGCTGTCTGCCAGGTTTATCTACTGAAGAGTTACTATATTTTACTTTGTAATCAATAATTAATTTGCAAGGAGATACTTTGAAACTATGTAAATATCCTGTTCCTCATTAAAATTTTACCACTAGTTTTAGCATCCATTGATGATTTCTAACTTTGTGGCCGCTTCTCTATATAGTAGTTGACACTGTGCTGTCAGGAAGAGCTGTCCTTTCTCCCTCATTTACTTACTCAACCCTTTGTTCATGGTATTATACAGTGGTGGATTCTCTGAATGTTTGCATTGGTCAAGATGATCCTAATGGACACTAAAGTTTGGAACCACCATTTGAATGAAGAAAGTGATGTCCAAAGAGGTCAATTAACTTATTCAAGGTCATCTAATTAGTGGAGGACTAAACCCCTCTCTCCAAAATTCATGTCTGTATGTTCTTCATGCAGTAATCCCCAGATCTGAAGAGTGGGCACCTATTGATTATCTAAATGTGAATCACCTGAGAAACTTGTTAAAATGCAGCTTCCAGGTCTCATCTCCAGAGATTCTGATTCAATGCCTCCGGTATAAGGCCTTGAGATTTGTATAGAAAAGGGAAACAACTCATAAAGCACTTTTTATCTACTTACCTCAGTACTTTTTAGAAGGTAAATATAAATTGTGATGTTATATCTTTGTTTTTAAGATAGCATGTATAATAAGCACTATCAATTTAATAAGTTATTTTTATATTTATTTGTTTGTTTGTTTATTTATTTATTTTGAGACATTGTCCCACTTTTTCACCCAGGCTAGAATGCAGTGGCACAATCATGGCTCACTGTAGCCTCAACCTCCAGGCTCAAGCAATCCTCCTGCCTCAGCCTCCAGAGTAGCTGCAACTACAGGCACCCTCCACCACACCTGGCTAATTTCTGTATTTTTTGTAGAGATGGGGTTTTGCCATGTTTTCCAGGCAGGTCTTCAACCCTGAGATCAAGCACTCCCAAAATGCTGGGATTTTTATAGGCATGAGCCACCACACCCAGCTTTATTTACTTTTTAACTTTTGTGGAAGGCAATCAACACAGTTACTATCAGAAGATGAGTTCATGCACCTAAAAGGAGGGACAGCAAAGGCATTAAATGCAGCTTTCAGGGAAGTCCTTTGTAAATGCCCTGGAGTAGAAGTCGCGTACTTTAATGTGCATAAAAATTACATTGAGACCTTGTTAAATGCAGATTCTGATTCAGCAAGTCTGGAATGAGTAAGAGTCTGCATTTCTAACAAGTTCCTAGGATCCTACTGTTCTGAGCATGACACTTTGAAAAGCAATGCTTAGGCGGGGCGTGGTGGCTCACGCCTGTAATCCTAGCACTCTGGGAGACAGAGGCAGGCAGATCACGAGGTCAGGAGATGGAGACCATCCTGGCTAACATGGCGAAACCCCGTCTCTACTAAAAATACAAAAAAATAGCCGGGCGTGGTGGCGGGCGCCTGTAGTCCCAGCTACTCGGAAGGCTGAGACAGGAGAATGGGGTGAACCCGGGAGGCGGAGCTTGCAGTGAGCCGAGACCGTGCCACTGCACTCCAGCCTGGGCGACAGAGCAAGACTCCGTCTCAAAAAAAAAAAAAAAAAAAAAAAAGAAAAGAAAAGAAAAGCAATGCTTAGTCAACAGCAGGCATCTTCAGACCTGCTGCCCATTTTTGTAAAGTTTTATTGGAACACCTAGTCGTGTCCGTTTGTTTACATGTTCTCTGTGGCAAAGTTGAGTAGTTGCAACAAAGGCTATTTAGTCCACACATCTTAAATGTTTATTAACTGACCCTTTTGTAGAAAAAGTCTGAAGACCTCTGGTCTAGAGTGATTACTATCACAGAAATCTGCAATCAGAATGTGTTAAGTTTGCGTTTGGACTTTGCCACATTTGTCTTTGTGCCTTGTCAGTCAGCTTCTCTGAATCACAGTTTCCTGTCTGTGGGGAGAGGATAAGAATAGCACATGCTTTATAGAGCTGTTGAAGGATTAAGCAAAACAATACCAGTAAGGAGCTTAGCACACAAATATAAGTGTGCTTCAGATACTTGGGGACCGTGTATAAAGTTTATATCCCAGCCGGGTGCAGTGGTTTATGCCCATAATCTCAGCACTTTGGGAGGTTGAGGTGGGAGGATTACTTGAGCCCAGGAGTTCGAGGTCAGCCTGGGCAACAAGATTCTGTCTCTACAAAATATAAAAAATTAACTGGGTGTCGTTGTGTGCACCTGTAGTCCCAGCTACTCGAGAGGCTGAGGTTGGGGGATCGCTTGTGCCTGGGAGTTTAAGGGTGCAGTGGGCCATGATCGCACCACTCACTATGGCATGGGCATGGGTGACAGCAAGACACTGTCTCAATAAATAAGTAAATAATACAAAATGCAATAAAAGCTGCCTAGAATGCATTTTTTTTTAAAGTCTGCATTCCTAGGCTTCACTTGTGAAGATTCAATTCAGGAGGTCTGGGGTGGGGCCTGAGAATCTGTTTTTGAAACATGTTTTCCAGAAGTTTTTTTTTTGTTTTGTTTTTTTGAGACAGGGTCTCACTGTGTCACCCAGGCTCAAGTGCAGTGAAGTGATCTTGGCTCACTGCAACCTCTGCCTCCTGGGCTCAAGCGATCCTCCCACCTCAGCCTCCTGAGTAGCTGGGTCTACAGGTAGGAGCCACCATGCCTGGCTAATTTTTGTACTTTTTGTAGAGATGGGATTTTGCCATGTTAGCCAGGCTAGTCTTGAACTCCTGGCCTCAAGTGATCCACCCACCTTGGCCTCCCAAAGTGCTGGGATTACAGGTGTGAGCCACTGCACCCGGCCAGAAACATGCTTCCCAGAGGATTCAGATGCAAGTGATCCACAGGGCCAAGTATTGAGGGAAATGTTTAGCAACTTCTCTTGTTCACTTCATGTTCACGCCCCCATCCCATTCTGCTTCCTTCCTTCCACCCTCTCTTCACTATCTGTATCATCCTCAGGAAGGGCTGCTGGGCCTTGCTGCTCTGCATTTCTCTGGCTCCAGGTGCTCCACTCAACCAGCCCTATGCCTAAATTTGTTCTCCAGCTTGTCCGCAGGACTCCAGTTTTAGACTTTGATCCTAAATTAACAATACCTCTGAGTGGACATATTACTTACTTCATGCTCAGAACTGCTTTTGAATGATTAGGTTTTCTCTCCTTTGCAGATCTGTTATTGCCCTCCCTTGATCCCATTTTAAAACAGTGTTCTGCAAGTCAACCTGGCTATGGCCTAAACTCATATTTCGGATGGAGTCCGACCATCATTTAGATGGTAGAAACTAGAATAGACCACTGAGTGTGGGTAAATGGTTTTTACTGCTATTGTCAGAGGATAGTTGATGGAGCAACTGATATCTGGTGCACAGGTGCTCTGAGAAGGTTATTATGGTTTCTGAACATGTGGCTCTTTCCTTTGAAAGTACTGTGCCCTAGAAATAGTAAGTTCAAAGTTTTTTGAAAACCAGTGTGATTCATATCCCGCCTCACAATATATAGTCACTAATATAACAGACGACTTTGCAAAAGATTTCTCAACTGCCTACTTACTCCCCCATGTGCCTACACACACATATACAACAGCAACAAACCCTTACTAATTTGAGTGAATTTTATTTCTGAAGAAAGAAAGCTATAAATGAGCCTGAGCAACATAGCAAGACTCTATCTCTGCAAAAAATACAAAAATGAGCTCTCCGTAGTGGTGTGCACCTATAGTCCCAGCTACTCAGAAGGCTGAGGCAGGGGGATCACTTGAGCCCAGGAGTTCATGGGTGCAGGGTGCAGTGAGCTATGATTGTATCACTGTACTCCAGCCTAGGTGACAAAGCAAGATCCTGCCTCAAAGAAATAAAAAAAATAAAGCTACAAAATAAATATTGAAAGCCTGAATATCACCAGTTTAAACCCCAGGATTTCTTAAGAATATTTTTTTGACCTGTCAAGAATTCAGTGGTGTCTAGTAATTTTCATTTTGTACCAGTAATTAGCTTAGTAGTTAACAAAACCAGACTCTGAATCTTTTCGAGTAGCCTCAAATTGCCCTTTGACACCTCAATTACTGGAGGAATAAAAGGTGTCATTTCTGAAGACGTGAAGAGTATTAGAGTTCATTTCTGATCTAATTAAAAGTCACATTTTAATATCTTTTTTACAGTTCAAAATTTCTAGTCTAGCGCTACCTATGACCCTTGATTAACACTATTCTCAGAGTGTGATTTTTTCCTCAATATAAGCAAGAAATATCTAGCTTGATGAGAGTCTAAGATATTTTGCAAATGCTTTTAGTTTTTTTTCTATGTAAGGTAAAGGAAAAAGAAGAGTCATATTTATCTAATTTTCTTTCTTTTTTGGTAGAGACAGGGTCTTGCCATGTTGCCCAGGCTGATCTGGAACTCCTGAACCCAAGTGATCTGCTTGCCTCGGCCTCCCAAAGTGCTGGGAGTACAGGCGTGAGCCACTGCATCTGGTCCAATATTTGGCTTATTTTATATCTAGTCCTACATACTGACATTTCTTTAGTTTAAGAAATTGAAGCCCTGACTATACATACAAACTATTTTGATTGAAATTCACTTAAGCCGAAATAGTTGCATTTGGTTGATTTTTATATTTTATTATTCCTTTTTGGCACAAAATGTAGTTGTTCAACTTTTTTATTTTTTTCACTTCTTAGCAGCATGTTGAATTTTAAGATACTCTCTTCCTTCGTTGCCTGTTTGTGCCCATTTTCTCACCTCATTCTATAGTTAGGGCATATTAATATATAGAAGCAGAGTTGTAACCATGAAAAGCTGAACGAATGGAGAGAGTTATGTCAAGCATGATAAGAACATGAAGAAGAAACTAGTCTTGTGCTATGGTTTTGATATTTGTCCTCTCTAAACCTCATGTTGAAATTTGATCACCAATGTTGGAGGTGGGGCCTAATGTAAGGTGTTTTGGTTATGCAGGTGGGTGCCCCACAAACAGATTAATGCTCTCCCTTCAGGAATGAGTGAGTTCTCACTCGATCAGTTTTCAAGAGAGCCAGATGTCTCAAAAGAGCCTGGGACCTTCCCCTGCTCCCCCTTACTTCCATTCTTACCATATGATCTCTGCACACACCAGCTCCCCTTCACTTCCCACCATGAGTGGAAGCAGCCTGAGGTCTTTACCAGATGCAGATGTTGGCACCATGCTTCTTGTATGGTCTGCAGGACCATAAGCCAATAAACCTCTTTTACTTATAAATTTCCCTGCGTCAGGTATTCTTTTATAGCAACACAAAACAAAGACATTTGTATTTGTGCATCATTTTTGGGAAGAATCATGAAAACCCAAATATGAATAAAATAGAAAAAAAAATCAACATTCTTTCTAATCTAAGAGAAAAGCTCGGTATCATAGCAATGATGCCATTTATTGATTACTTTTTGCCAGGCTATGTGCCAAACGATTCATTCATTTTTTTTATTCATTAAAAAAAAAAAAATTCATTGGCCAGGCACAATGGCTCACGCCTGTATCCCAGCACTTTGGGAGGCTGAGGCGGGAGGATCACTTGAGGCCAGAAGTTCAAGACCAGCCTGGGTGAAATAGCAAGATCCTCATCACTACAACAACAACAAAAAAATTAAATTAGCTGGGTGTGGTGGCATGTGCTTGTAGTCCTAGCTACTTGGGAGGCTGAGGTGGGATGATCACTTGGGCCTAGGGGTTTCATGTTACAATGAGCTATGATCACATCACTGCATTCAACATGGGTAACAGAGTGAAAGCCTGTCACTAAAAATAATTATTGAGCTCCTACTTCTTGCACTGTTTTTAGTCCCACACAGCTGAGGATAAAACATTTTTTATTCTTTTCTTAATTTATTTTTTATTTTTTATTCTCAGATGGTGTCTCACTCTTGTTGCTCAGGCTGGAGTGCAGTGGCACGGTCTCAGCTCACTGCAACCTCCGCCTCTGGGTTCCAGTGATTCTCGTGCCTTAGCCTCCCAAGTAGCTGGGATTACAGGCACCTGCCACCACTCTCAGCTAATTTTTATATCTTTTAGTAGGGACTGGGTTTTACCATGTTGACCAGGCTGGTCTCCAACTCCTGACCTCAGGTGATCTACCCACCTCAGCTTCCTAAAGTGCTGGGATTACAGGCGTGAGCCACTGCACCCGGCCACAGTATTTTTTCTGCCATGAGAGAAGGCATTCTAATCTTGGAAGAGAGACACTAAACAAAGAAACAAATACATACATTAAGCGTAATAATAAAAAGAATGGAGAGACAGGTGATTGAGGGTACCATTTTATATAGGCTATTCAAGGAAGACTTTAATAAGCTGGAGTTTGAACGTAGACCTGAAGGAGGTAAAAGAGTGAGCTCTGAGACTATCTAGGGGACAGAATGTTTCAGGCAAAAGGAAGAGTAAATGCAAAAGCTGTATGGCAGAATGTGATCAGCAGTTTTGAGGGACAGTGTGGCAATCAGTGTGACTGCAGTGGAGTGAGCAAGGGGGAAAATGCTAGGAAACAAACCAAGGAAGTGAGTGGGAGGTAGATCATATAAAGCTTCAAGATCATCATCAGAACTTTGGAATAAACAAGGGAGATGGAAAGCTACTGGCATGCTTTGAGCAAAGGAGGAACATAATCTGAATTAAGTTTTAAGTTTCATCACGTTGATAGGTTGAACTGTAGGAGCCCACAGGTGAAAGCAAGAAAACCAGTTAGAAATGCTTGTAACTTATGTCTAGGTTGAGAGTGACAGAGATTGGCTGGTTGTTTATCAAACCCATTTTCTCTTTCTCCTAGACACAGCTGGATTATTTCTCAGATGTCTTTATAGTCAGATATGACTATCTGACTGAGCACTGGCTGATATTATACAAGTAGAAGTAATGTATGCCACTTCTAGGCCTGGTCCACAAAACTTCTGATGTGCAACCCACCGTGCTCTGCTCTTTTCTTTCTGCAGCTTTAGATGCTAACATTGAAGATGCACAACCATGAGGATGTAGGAGACTGGATCCCTGAATCACTGCTTGGATGATAGCAGCAAGCTTCTTTGGCGTTAAACAACTTAGATATTCTGATAAAGCATCTACTGTTGCCTTAATTAAGGAGAGATGGATAATATTTTCTTGGATGAAAGTGATAGAGGTGAGGATGAAGAGAAGTGGTCAGATTCTACATACAATTATCAGAGAAACAGGAGTTCCTGAGAATATGGATATGATGAGAAGGTAAGAGAAGAGCACCAGATGATCTGAACGCTTTCGCCTTGCACATTTGGAGGAAGGAGCTGCCATTTATTGTGCTGGAAAGATTGGAGGAGGAATAGTTCCACAAGCAGAAAACACATAGTATAATTTTGGATATGCTACTATTAAGATGCCTGGTGTTATGTTATCTTCATAATTTTATATAAATATTATTACCTTAATTTTTAAGCTGAGGAAATAGAGTCCTGGCAAAATGATTTGCTCAAGGGAGTAAGTTTTAGGACAGGAATTGTTTTGTTTTGTTTTGTTTTGTTTTGTTGAGACAGGGTCTCACTGTCACCCAGGCTAGTGTGCAGTAGCATCATCGTGGCTCACTGCAGCCTCGACTCCTGGTTCAAGCAATCTTCCTGCCTCAGCCTCCCAAGTAGTTTGGACTACAGGAACACACCACTATGCCTGGCTAATTTTTAATTTTTTTTTTTTTTTAGAGACTAGGTCTTGCTTTGTTGCCCTGTGTGGTCTCAAACTCTTGGGCTCAAGCCATCCTCCCACCTTGGCCTCCCAAAATGCTTGGATTACAGGTGTGAGTCACCATGGCTGGCAACATTTTATTTATTTTCCAAATTTTTTTAATGTTTAAAATTGACACATAGTAATTGTACATGTTTATGAGTACATAGTGATATAGTACATGTAATGTATAGCGATCAGAGTAATTAGCATATCCATCCTTTCAAATATTTTATCACTTACCATGTTAGGAAGATTCAGTATCCTCCTAGCTATTTGAAACTGTATATTACTGTTAACTGTAGTCATCCTACAGTGCTATAGAACACTATAACTTATTCTTCCTATCTAGCTGTAATTTTGTATCCTTTAACAAATCTCTCCCTATCTGTCCCTTCCCCCTACCCTCCTCAGCCTCTTCTACTTTTTACTTCTATGAAATCAACTTGTTTTAGCTTCCACATATGAGCAAGCACATGTGGTGATTAACTTTCTGTTTACTTCACATAATGTCCCCCAGGTCCATTCGTGTTACCACGAAAGGAGTCCATTCTTTTTTATGGCTGATTAGTATTCCATTGTGTATGCATACCATGTTTTCTTTATCCATTCATCTGTTGTAGGATATGTAGGTTGATTCCATGTCTTGGTTATTATGAAGAGTGCTACAATAAACATAGGGGTGCAGATGTTTCTTCAATATACTGATTTCCTTTCCTTTACATAAATGCTCAGTACTGGGATTGCTGGATCATATAGTTAGTTCTATTTGTAGTTTTTTTGAGGAATCTTCATACTTCTTTTCCATAGTGGGTATACTAGTTTATATTCCCAAAAAGAGCGTAGAAGAGTAGTTCTCTTTCGGCACATCCTCACTGGCACTTGATTTTTTTTTAGTTGTTGGTTTTGGTTTTGGGGTTTTTTTGGCTTGTTTTTTGTCTATTTGATTAATAACCAACCTAACTGGGGTGAGATGATACCTCATTGTGGTTTTGATTTGCATTTGTTTTGGTGATTAGTGATGGTGAGTTTTAAAATATATATTTGTTGGCTATTTGTATGTCTTTTTTTTTGCCTTTTTTCTTTTTCTTTTCTTTTCTTTTTTTTTTTTGACGGAGTTTTACTCTGTTGCCCAGGCTGTAGTGCAATGGCGTGATCTCGGCTCACCGCAACCTCCACCTCCCAGGTTCAAGTGAGTCTCCTGCCTAAGCCTCCTGAGTAGCTGGGATTACAGGTGTGCACCATTGGCTAATTGTTATATTTTTAGTAGAAACAGGGTTTCACCATGTCGATCAAGCTGGTCTTGAACTCCTGACCTTGTGATCCACCCACCTCAGCCTCCCAAAGTGATGGGATTACAGGTGTGAGCCACTACACCCAGCTTGTATGTTTTCTTTTGAGAAATGTTTGCTCAGATCATTTGCCTGTTTTTTAACGGGATTTTCTTTTTTTTTTTTCTTTTTCTTTTTTTTTTTTTTTTTGCTTTCGCTGTTGAGATATTTGAGTTTCTTGTATATTCTAGATATAAGGCCCCTGTTGAATGAGTACTTTGCAAATATTTTCTCCCATTCTCTAGGTTGTCTCCACTCTGGACTGTTTCTTTTGCTTTGCAGAAGCTTTTTAGTTCTATGTCATCCCATTTATTTATTTTTTGTTTTTCTTGGCTGTGCTTCTGACATGTTCATAAATTGTTTTTGCAGACCAACGTCCTGAGGATTTCCCCTATATATTTTTTTCTAGTAGCTTTTATTGTTTTAGGTCTTATGTTTATGTCTGTGATCCATTTTGAGTTGATTTTTGCACAGCATGAGAAGTGGGGGTCTAGTTTCATTCTTCTGCATATGGATATCCAGTTTTCTCAGTATCATTTATTCAAGAGATGAGACAGTTATTTCCCCAATGAGTGTTTTTGGCATCTTTGTCAGAAATCAGTTGGCTGTAAATAAGTGGATTAATTTCTGGGCCCCCTATTCTGTTCCATGTGTCTATGTGTCTGTTTTTATGCCCCAGTACCACCTTGTTTTGGCTACTATAGCTTTGTAGTGTATTTTTAAGTCTGGTAGCGTAATGCCTCCAGCTTTGTTCTTTTTGCTCAGGATTTCTTTGGCTATTTGAAATCTCTTGTAGTTCACTATAAATTTTAGGATTCTTTTTTTACTTTCTGTGAAGAATGTCTTTAATATTTCGATAGGGACTTGAGTTCTTAGCCACTCCAGCATACTGTCCTTTCCCAGAATGTATTAGAAGAGCAAATGTACCCAAATATATTAAATACATGTAGGAAATTAAAAACTTCAAAATTTAGATGGTACTCTCTGACTTAGTTAATTTAAAGAAGAGAAGGGGTGGACAGAGGAAAAAAGGGAGAAGAAGGAGAGTAAAATGCTATAAAAATGATTTTATTTTAGGAGAAGGGGAGTAAAATGCTATAAAGATGATTTTATTTTAGGAAAAGCAGAATTGAAGTGCATTTTTCATTTGCATTATGTAACATGAAACCTTCCTTCTTATTCTGAAATGGGCATCCTTTTGCTCTGGGGAAGATTAGAACCATTTCAGCAGGAATACTAAGAGGAAGTTGGAATAAATATTGTCTCTAAGATTTAGAGTAGGGTATTTTAGATTCCTCAGCAAGACAGAAGTTTTGAAAGCAGGACTTTGCAATGAGCAACGAACTTACTTCTAAACTCTCTTAGTGACCCTTAATATTAAAAAGCAGGCCTAGACTCCCAGATCGTGGAGTTTCTTCTAGAGCATAGTGAGGATGACTCTTACCATTTAGACTGAGCTGTGAGGTTTAGTGCCCTTAGGAAAAAGAACATCATGCCTTAGAGAAAGTCCATCCCAGAGATTTGAATAAGGGGAAAGCCTGCTCTTCCAAAGCTAGTAACATATAAAAGAAAAATGAAAATTGTTCAGGCACGATGGCTCATGCCTGCAGTCCCAGCACTTTGGGAGGCTGAGGTGGGTGGACTGCTTGAGCTCAGGAGTTCAAGACCAGCCTGGGCAACATGGCGAAACCCCATCTCTACAAAAAATACAAAAATTAGCCAGGCAAAGTGGTACGCGCTTGTGGACCCAGCTACTTGGGAGGCTGAGGTGGGAGGATTGCTTAAGCCCAGGAGGTAAAGGCTGCAGTGAGCTGAGATTGCACCACTGCACTCCAGCCTGGGCAACAGAGCAAGTTCCTGTCTCAAAAACAAAACAAAACCAAAAAAAAAAAAAAAGAAAGAAAATGAAAATAGAGAGACAGTAAAGGATTCTCTATCTAAATCTACATTCTGGCATCAATTTCTTCCTCTTAGGCTAAAATTTTGACTAGGGGAGAACATGATAAATTCATTTTGATGTGTAAGTTCTTTCTTAAGGCAGCTGTATTGGTGGACTATTTTCCCAGGCCAACCCAAGAGAGTGCTATAGACTGGATGTTAGCGCTTCCTCCCAACAAATTAATATGTTGAAACCTAGTCCCCATTGTAATGGTACTTGGAGGCAGGGCCTTTGGAAAGTAATTAGGTCATGAGAGCAGAGCCTTCATAATTGGATTAATGCCCTTGGGAAAGAGTCCCAAGAGAGCTACCTTGTCCCTCTCACCAAGTGAGAACAGAGTGGAGAAGGTACCATCTATGTACCAGGAAATAGACCCTCACCAGATACCTAATCTGTGGGTATCTTGACCTTGGACTTGCCAGTCTCCAGAGCTGGGAGAAATAAATTTTTGTTGCTTATAAGCTACCAAGTCTATGGTTTTCTGTTATAGCAGCTCCAGCAGACTAACACAGGGAGGTTGCAGGTTTTTAGATAGAGCCCAGCTTGTGGCATGGGACTGCCTGTGTCCAGTATGGTATAGAACAATAGTGCTATATTGATAAAGGGAGGCAACTCAATACATAAGCTTGAAAAAGTTTTTCTCCTTCCTGGTGGCTTAAGTAGTTGTTCACAGACTTTACATATTCCCATGTGACCTGACGAAGCAATATAGGAAGTGCTGAGAGCATGGTAGATTAGCTAAGTCCTGAGGTTGGAACAATGAAGCTGTACAATGCAGCGAGTTTGCTTCTTGATGTTGCAAGTCCAATATTTGAATACAAGTTCTGGTAAGTTACAGGCCAGAAAAAACCAGCCATATCTCAGGTGATTATAATCTAGAAATAAGAACAGATGAGCAACTTCATGGCAGAAACCAGTGAAGACCTTCTGATAGTCTGCAGATCAGAGGTCCCTCACAAAGTTACTACCAAATTGTGAGCTGTCACTCTCTCATACAAAGATGGCATCTTGAGGATGAGCAAGGAGAAGGAAAGCAAAACCTAGAAAGCTGAGCAATTATCTGAAATATTGTGAGTCATTCAAAAGAGATTATTCAAATGGAAACATTGAGACACCATTATTTGGTAAATTTAAAATCTGTCACCTCATCTCTCACTGGAGTTAGGGTTCATGATGGAGATACGAAATCTGATCACAGCTATAGAAAAGCAAAAAGTTTCTCTTTCTTTTTCTTTGTCCAATTCACTCTCTATGTATGGTGAATGGATGACCCATTCCACCTGTGAGGGTTTTTATTATTTATTTATTTATTTATTTATTTTGACAGGGTCTCACTTGGTCCTCCAGGATAGAGTGCAGTGGGGTCATCTTGGCTCACTGCAGCCTCAACCTCCTGGGCTCAAGTGATAGATATGCCCACCTTAGCCTTCCCAGTAGCTGTGACCACAGGCATGTACCACCACACCCAGCTAATTTTTTTGTATTTTTCTGTAGAGACAGGGTTTCACCGTGTTGCCCACGCTGGCCTTGAACTCCTGGGTTCAAACGATCTGCCCACCTCAGTATCTCAAAGTATTGGGATTACATATGTGAGCCACTGTGCCTGGCCCCACCACTGAGTTTTTATTCAAATGTTACCCTTTCTCTCTCTCTCTTTCTGTCTCTCTCTCTCTCTTTTTAAAGAGTTGGGGCATGCACCACCATGCCTGGCTAAGTCTTTACTTATTATTAATTGAGACAGGGGTCTTGCTATGCTGCTCAGGCTGGTCTCAAACTCCTGGTCTCAAATGATCCTGCCACCTCAGCCTCCCAAAGTGTTGAGATTACTGGTGCTGGCTCCTATGCTGTTTTATAGGTCAGGTTGTCCCAGCTCCAGTTTTGTAAAAATGCTTTTTGTATTTTGGCCTTGATGGTAAAAATATAGACTAATTCACGAAATAGTTTTTGAGTGACTACTCAGTGCTGAGTAGTCTTTCACTGGGGAGACAAAGGATGAATAAGCACAGCCTTTTACTCACATTTATAAGAGACAAGTTGGGGAGCAGGACAAATTAATAATTAAAGCAGAGTGCAAAAAATGCTGTAATAGCCGGGCGCGGTGGCGCACGCCTGTAATCCCAGCACTTTGGGAGGCCGAGACGGGTGGATCACGACGTCAGGAGATCGAGACCATCCTGGCTAACATGGTGAAACCCCGTCTCTACTAAAAATACAAAAAATTAGCCGGGCGTGGTGGCGGGCGCCTGTAGTCCCAGCTACTCGGGAGGCTGAGGCAGGAGGATGGCATGAACCCGGGAGGCAGAGCTTGCAGTGAGCTGAGATTGTGCCACTGCACTCCAGTCTGGGTGACAGAGCAAGACTCCGTCAAAAAAAAAAAAAAAAAAAAAAAAAAAAAAGCTGTAATAGAGATATGTATGAAGCTGTAAAGCATTAGCAGGTGGGATAAATGGTCCCAGCACTTTGGAACCCTATCTTTACAGAAAGTTAAAAATAAATCATTAGGGTAGGTAGTACTAAGTAGAGAGGAAAGGGAAGAACGTGATCTACTCAAGAATTGAGGAATCAAGAAAGGATTGTTGAGAGAGAAGGCAGAGGCTGTTATTTAATGGGAGAATAGTTGAATACAGATCAGAAGGAGGTAGGTGATGATAGGTGTATCATCAGTGGGAGGGATGGTCCAGGACCATCATGAGAAGACGTGGAAACCAAAGGACCGTGTGCTCAGGGAATCAAAATTGTTTGTTTGGGCTGGGACATTGTATTCAAAGTGAGGGGTGGTAGAAAAGGAAACTGGGAAGGTAAAGAGAGGTCAGCATGTTCTTAGGAAGGGTGGTGAGTAGCATTCTGATGGGTATGTGCTCTACGCTGCTGATCCTAATAAAGGATTTTAATGGAGTCAGTGCCATGATCTTTGATTTTAATAGCCCTAGGAGCAGTATCAACAGGGATTGTTGAGTTGAGAGAGACCAGTTATGCCAGATGCTAAGTCTAGGCTTGACATAATTTTCAGCATTTTCAGTGCTAAAGATCACCTTTCATTTCAGTCCTGACAGCCTGGGGAATGCCATAAATCAGACTCATCTACTCAGGACCTAAAATATCACACACTTCTTTATTTTTTTATTTTTTGTAGAAAGGAAGTCTTGCCATGTTGTCCAGATTGGTCCCAAACTCCTGGGCTCAAGCGATCAGCCACCTCGGCCTCCCAAAGTATTGGGATTACAGGCATGAGCCACTGCCCGCAGCCAGGTTTTTGGTATGTATTAACTAAAAATACAGATTTCATTAGACATAAGAAAAGAGAATTGGGTAAATTATTTTATGAGAAAAGTTGAAATAAAAGAATAAAACATGCATGAAGAACTTTTTGCCAAACTATACCTTATTGCTAGTAACTCAATGAAGACAGTGTCTCAGGCTATCAGCAATTATAATTTTAGTTTTATAGAACATCAAAATCATATAACAGCCTCAGAACGTGGATTAATACATGGTTCAACATTAAATCCTGTCTTCAATGATGACACTTACATGCCATCAGATGATATTAAACTATAAACTTTGAGAACTCCTTTCTCATTTTTCTCTAAAGTTATTTATCTAGCTAAAGGGAACCACTATTTCCATTGTTAAAGAAAGAAAATAAATGAGATTTCCTCTAATAAAAAAGTCCATTCTTATTCTAAATCCTAGCCAAGGAGCCCCACGAATAATGCCAAAAGACAGCTTGCCGTTTCATCTTTCACCTGCATGCTAAGTTTTCATAGATTTAACTGTAACCATTAACTGTTTCCTATCACCAGCTTTTTATCAGAAAAATCCATAGTTAGAAACATTGGAAAATCATTTCAAGGAGTGGTTCTATGGGCAAGCAAGAAGTAAGTTTTTCTATTTTGAAATAGCTAAAATGTCTTTGTAGAAAATTACACAGAAATAATCATATATCATACAGCACACTAAGAGATGTAGTTATGTGCCAAGACGTGGAATTATGAAATCAGAGCTTGAAGAGAATAAAAACGGCCAAGACAACTGCGGTAAACAGCAACAGTGCATTTTACTTTTATATTTCCCACAATGCCTCCATAATGGAGTTTCCTGACAATAGAGCAAGGTTACCCTACAGGGACAAGGTAAGAAAGAAAGAATTCCCAAGGACCAATTAGAAGGCCAGAGTATGCCATGGGTAGGTCTCCTTGAACAAGGGATTAAACAGAATGGAAGTGCAAATACATATTCAAATCCAACACGACAGATGGTGAAACATTTGTGGGCAACATACAATGTGCACCCCTCTTCTAGAGATGCTGCCCAAGGTTGAATGAGAAGTTTTCTGGAGGCTGGTTAGCAAAGAATTTAGATTTAGATTCAAATTATACTCATGCACAAATCTGCTTGTTATTTCTTGTGAGACTTGAGAAAATGTGACCTGCACGTTCATTCAATTGTCAAATCTTTTTTGGGCACCCCTTCTGTGCCAGGCTTTGGACTAAGTGCTCGAAATTTAGTGATAAACAAAGGAACAGGTCCCTGATCTCAGGAAATTCACAGTAGAGATATTAATTATTATTAATTAATTATTCTGGTAAGTGATAAAGGAAAGATTCATGTGCTATGAGAATTTGTAAAAGGGGACATCCACTAGCCTGGGGTACAGCACAGCTCTGTCCCTCAATTCCTTTATTGAAAATATGGAAAACAGAACAGGCAGGGTGGCTCATGTCTGTAATCCCAGCACTTTGGGAGGCTGAGGCGGGCAGATTGCTTGAGTCCAGGAGTTTGAGACCAGCCTGGCCAACATGGTGAAAACCCATCTTGACAAAAATACAACAACAACAAAAAAATTAGCTGGGCATGGTGGCATATGCCTGTAGTACCAGCTACTTGGGGGGCTGAAGTGGGAGGATCACTTTAGCCTGGGAGGCGGAGGTTGCAGTGAGCCAAGATCACACCATTGCACTCCAGCCTGGACAACAGAGCAAGACCCTGTCTCAAACAAAACAAAACAAAACAAAACAAACAAAACAGAGGAAGTGATATTTCTTGTTTCACATCATTGTTGTAGGGATAAAATTAATGAATATATGAGAATATGTTATATAAAAGTTAAAAACGACATATGTTTTAAAATGTTGTCACGATGATTTCTAGGATATGCTAATATCCCTGATAATTTGCTATAAATCAGTCTTTACTGCATACACCAGTAATCTGTACAGACTTCAGTTACTTAGTTACGTTCTAGATACTAAATCCTCAGTAGGTGGCTGGTAATGGCTGACAGGCTTTCCAGCCAGATGGGAGATCCTACATAGAAATGAGTTGGGATAAAAAAGCAAAAATAACATTTTCTTCACCATACCTGTAGTCATGATGCCTAAAAAAAACCCCAACCTGCATTTTATAAGCTTCAGTATTTTCATATCATCTCACTATATTTCATGTCATCCAATAGCATGCTTATATCATCCAACAATATTTTTAGCTTTTTAACAAGATAGTTTTGCTATCTGATTTGACCTTTTTATTTGACGTATATATATTTTTAAGAAACAACTGTCAGGTGAAATATTTTGATTATACATTTTGAATCCATGATTTAAGTATGTCTGACAGTCATAAATGTCCCAGAAGGCAATGAGATTCATGTCCCAAATTTTATAGCTTTATGTTTAAATTCTGCAGCCAAACTAAGTATTTCTTTTTTTCCTGAAGATAATTAAATATTATTATAGTGGCTGTTTCTGCCTGAAACAATTTCTTTGACTTGACATTTATTACTATATTTTCAGCCAGGGAAACACAGTGTTCAACTTTCCAAAGTCCAGATTTCCACACATGTACTATATTATTTTCATCTCAAAATAAAGGAAACTACTTGTACCTTGAAAAAGAAGAGGCTCAGTCAGGCACAGTGGCTCATGTCTGTAATCCCAGCACTTTGGGAGGCCAAGGCAGGAGGATTGCTTGAGCCCAGAAGTTTGAGATCAGCCTCGGCAACAAAACAAGACCCTATCTCTACAAATAATAAAAATAAAAAATTAGTTGGGCACAGTGGCACAAACCTATGATCCTAGCTACTCGAGAGGCCGAGGTGGGAGGATCATTTGAACCCAGGGGGTTGAGACTGTAAGGAGCCATGGTTGTGCCACTGTACTCCCGCCTGTGTGACAGGGCGAGACCCTGTGTCAAAAGAAAAATAAAGCAGAGGCTCAGCTTTTCAAATTGTAGGATCCTTTTTTTTTTTCCACTACCATAAGGCGTTCTGATTAAATCTACCTTAGTTACAGGGTCTGGTTTATGGATGGAGACAATAGGTAGCATAGTAGCTGAAAAAGAGAGAGAGAGAGACAAAGTTTATATTAACATTTAGTGGTTTTATTGCAACAATCTTCCACTGAGTTTATAAAACAAAGCTCTTTGCCTAAGCTCTTTTACGTAACTATCTATAGTTATAGTTTTATCAAAGACTTCTTTCTTGGGTTTGTATTGGGGTTTTTTGTTTATTTTGTTTGCCTGTTTATATATCTCTATATATATATTTTTAATTATACTTTAAGTTCTAGGGTACATGTGCACAACGTGCAGGTTTGTTACATATGTATACATGTGCCATGTTGGTGTGCTGCACCCATTAACTCATCATTTACATTAGGTATATCTCCTAATTGCCTGTTGTTTTTAATGCATATACCTAATCCCACATTTCTTGATGTCATTTTGCAAAGGAAAAGTTTGAATTTTCTGAGACTTTCTTTTTGAGAGAACACAGTAGCAACATTTAATCTCATCTTTGGATCCCAATCCAGCCACTGGTATGCTTTGATACCAAGTAGGAAAAGGAAGTGCTTAAAAATGTAAAAGGCTCTCCCTCCCTTTGTTTATTTACTCCTTTTCTCTATTTTTATTCTGGCATGCTCTGTCTCAGTGACTCAGGGGAAGGATGATGTCAAGCTGTTGTCAAGCCAATTGCATGGAAAGAGAAGAATTAACGTGTTCTCCCTTCAAAATGATGGATTCCATGGCTCCACATTCATCATCTGGCTCATGATTACCAACTCTTTGCAGTCCATTGCAGGGTGACCTCGTTAGCACTATCTGTGCACTTTCTGTGATAGCGGGCTGCCTGGAGGCCCTGCATGTGTGGTTCGGGTTAATGAGGGTCTGAGTCATCAAGTTAGAAACTCACCTTTCCAGCCATCAGATCCAGAAATGCTAGAAAAAGGCACAGGGCTCATAATCAGACATGCCATGTTGACGAAAGAGTAATGTCTCATCCTGGTGAGATCGTCCACAGGACCTGTGCTGAATAATTGTCAGGCAGCCATGAGACCACAGTAAGCTCCCATACTATCTAGAGGTCAATTTATCATCCAAGATGGCCTGCTTTGCAGATTGCTGCATGCATACCCTCTGCAGCACCAGGTAGCAGGCAGCAGGAGAGGTAGCCCCACAATAACACAGCATGTGTCCCTAGAGCATCTTCTTATTGAAATGGGAGATTTAAAACCTTTTAAAGAAAACTAATGGTCCTGTTTGCTGTCTAAGGATAAAGACGAGTACATTTTAATGGTGAAATAAAGAAACTTCAAATAAATTTTTCACTTGAAGCTGGCCTTCTGAGTCCCTCTCTCAAACCTGCCCCCATCTCACAGTTTCCCACTCCCCTGCTGCTCAGGATACTTCAGTGGGAAAGTTTAAACAAAACACACTAAGACAGTGTTTTCCAAACAGTGGGTCATGACCCATTAGTGGACTGTGAAAATAAATTTAGTAGATCACAACCAACATTAAAAAATAAAAAAAAGAAATAGGAGCTGGGTGCAGTGGTGTGTGCCTGTAGTCTCAGGTACTTGGGAGGCTGAGTGGGGAGGATTGCTTGAGTCTAGAAGTTCGAGGCTGCAATGATCTATGATGGTGCTTGTGAATAGCCACGGAGTCTAGCCTGGGCAACATAGCAAGACCCTGTATCTAAAAAAAAAATAAAAATAAGAAAAGAAATAAAATAGAACATCTGGATTGCAATGAAATGCATTCTTTATTGGATATAGTGATAAAAACTCTTTCAAAGCTGTTGCCCTAAGTGATAAATTTTGGTAACTTCTTCCTATATAAAATAATTATTTAAAAAATCCTGAAAATGAATAAAACAAATGTTTTATGATGATTGATACTAGCCATATCTGGTGATTAACAGGAGTAATAAGGAATAACATGCTCACTCCAACGCTCATAAGCCTTATCACCTAGATATTTTTTCTTGAAGCAATCTCCACATTCTCCATAGTGGAGACTATAACTGATTCAGGGTATGGTGGAGCATGTGTGTGTGTGTGTGTGTGTGTGTGTGTGTGTGTATGTTTGCATGTGAGTATGTAATCTGGCTCCTGTGGAAAGAAAACACATTGCTGGAAGATGAAATCACTGGACATAATTCTTTATTTCAAGCCTTTTCAGTTACACAGCTTCTTTTAAAAGTTTGACATGCAAAATTGTTAAATATCAAAATGCAAATCATGTAATTTCTCTTCCAGATGTCCTGCTTAGCTGCATATTTTTTCAGCCTGTGTATGTAACCCCAATGCTCAGTAACATAGCTTTCTGTTCAAATCATCTGTTTCTATGACCTTTGCCTTTATTGATTCGTTTTCTTTTTTCCTATTTTTAATGTTGCCTTTGAGATTAAAGTCATTTTTCTTCTGCAATAGTAAGTGAACAGTGACTTTGCTACTAGGAAATAAATTTTTTGATAAGGAAAAAAACGATTGGTAGCTCCATAAAGTGTTTTATTGTCGTTGTTTTTGCTGTTGTTAATGAACCTACTCAGAGAGCAATGAGATGTAAACACTGTCTCCCTCTCGCATAAAAACAAAGGTTATATAGCTAGAACCCAAAATGATCTAAAGAATAGCTAAAATGTATTGAGCACTTATTATGTGCCTAGAAATTTGCTCAGCTCTTTAGAGGTTTAGAGCGGTTTGGATGTCCTGCTCAAATCTCATGTTGAAATGTAATTCCCAGTGTTGGAGGTGGGGTCTGGTGGGAGGTGATAGGATCATGGGGGTGGATTTCTTATGAATGGTTTAGCACCATCTCCCTGGTGTTGTCCCTGTGATAGTGAGTGAGCTCTCACCAGATCTGATCATTTTAGAATGTGTGGCGCCTCCCCTCTCTCTCTTGATCCTGCTTTCTTCATGGAGTGTCTGCTCCTGTTTCGCCTTCCACCATGAGTAAAAACTGCCTGAGGCCTCCTCAGAAGCAGGTGCAGCTATGCTTCCTGTACAGCCTGCAGAACCATGAGCCAATTGAACTTCTTTTCTTATAAATCACCCAGTCTCAGGCATTTCTGTATAGCAAAGTAAGAACACCTAATACAGAGGTATTATCTCATTTAGTCCTCACGGCAACTTTAAACAAGAGGCTTTATTATTATCCTCACTTTTCTGAAGCTAAAACTGACTCAGAAATGTTAAGTAGTTTGCCTAAAATGCCTTAAGTAGGCCAGGTGCGGTGACTCATGCCTGTAATCCCAGCACTTTGGGAGGCCGAGGCAGGTGGATCACCTGAGGTTGGGAGTTCAAGACCAGCCTGACCAACATGGAGAAACCCCATCTCTACTAAAAATAGAAAATTAGCCAGGTGTGGTGGCACATGCCTGTAATCCCAGCTACTTGGGAGGCTGAGGCAGGAGAATCGCTTGAACCCGGGAGGCAGAGGTTGCGGTGAGCCAAGATTGCGCCGTTGCACTCCAGCCTGGGCAACAATAGTGAAACTCTGTCTCAAACAAACAGACAAACAAATAAATAAATAAACAAAATGCCTTAAGTAATGGATCAAGGATTCCAGAGAGGTGGCCTAACTCCCCTGGCGTTGTTTCCAAACACTGACTTCTTGCTAAGACTCTTAAATCACCACACTCTGCTATTATACACTCTGCCTTCTTTACAAAATAAAAAAAAAAATTGCAAACAGCAGGTAATATTTCTCATATTTATTCACACATTTACTCACTCAATCAACAAATATTTATTGACTATCTGCCACATGTGAGGATCTAAGCTAGGTGCTAGGAATACACTGATCAATTGAGTCAGAGATAATAAATCCATAGTGCAAAGTAAAATACGTAAAAATGTATGTTTCACAGGCTCAGTTCCAATCATAGTTCTCTGTGAACTATGTAAGTGCTTGGGAAAGGAATGAGGAAAAGAGGAACATTCTGTAAAGTCAATTTTAGGAGCTTTAATAGCAGTACTTCAAGAGTGTATCACAAATTAATTTTGCAGCCAGTATCCACTTATTTCTAAATATTGTTCCTAAAAAGAACGATGAATGCAATCAAATTTTAAAGACTATTTGCTTAGCTTCATTATTATACTAAAGTGGCTAATAAACTAGCTAGTTTTTAAGTACTGTCTCATTCCAATGTTTGGGGAAGCTTGGAATTTAGTAGTAGCTACAGCTGTAGCAGCAGAAGAGTCCATGGTATTTAGGAGGAAAGGGACTTTGGTGAGCTTGCATTACCATTTTGCTAAGTAGCATGAGTTTCTTCACCATAAAACACATACCCATTTGGTTCTTCTTGGGTCTTCTTCCCATCACCAACATTCAACGGTGCACAGTCATAGAGGGATAACCCATCAACCCCTCTATTTCTATTTATTTATTTTATTTAGAGATATGAGGTCTTGCTGTATTGCCCAAGCTGGTCTTGACCTCCTGGGCTCAAGCAATCCTCCTGCCTTGGCCTCCCAAAGTGCTGGGATTACAGGTGTGAGCCACCACGCCTGGCCTATCCCCTTCATTCCTAGATAAACCATTAACACAAGAAGGCTTCAGCAAAGTTCATCTGGTGCAAGGTGTAAGGAGCAGAGAGTGTGTGGCCTCCAGTGTTAGCAGGCTTGGGGTCAAAGCCAGCCCTGTGTCCTCTTTAATGGCTGTGTGACTTCCAGCAAGTTGTCCAACCTATTTTAAATTTTTAAGCTCTTATAAAATATTTCAGCCACACAGAAATGATATAGGTGATATAGAGAATGATGTAATGATTACTCATATATTCAATTCCTAGCCTAAAAATAAAACACACAAATAGAGCAGAAGCCCATATGTATATTTTGGTTTGACCTCATTTACCTTCATCAGAAAAGAACCATCCTGAATTTGACATTTGTCACTTCTGCCCATATCCTTAAACATTTACTACATATGTATTTTTGCCTAGGTAGTATGTACCACCATTTGGCATGTTTTGCAAAAAGTACATGAATTGTATTATATTGTTAATATCCTCTGTCACATTTTTCACTCAACATTCTGTTTGGGAGATTTATTCATCATATGATGCCTTTGAGTTTTAGTTTCTTCATCTGTAAAATGAATACAGTAGACACATTGCATAAGGTTGCTGTGAAGATCTTAAACAAAATAATAGAATGTGCATGGCACAGTATTTGGGACATTTGTAGATGCTTCAGAGAATGTCATCCTCTTTCCATACCTAGTGAAATAATGTTCTGCATCTGGCATCTGAGAGGCAGCAGCCACTTGGCTTGCTCAACTGTAATGTTCAAATTACAATTTGCCACTAAACATTCCCATTGGTATAAAAATGGCCCCACACAGCAAAGGCGAGCTGATTATAGGCATTAGCATCTAATGTTCCCTGAGAGGACTCCGCCTAAGTATGCTGCTTTACATAGCTATAGTCATAATTTCCCTCTGGTTCTTCAAAATCAGAGTTAGATTTCTGAATATGGAAAATATAAGAGTAATGCTCAAATGCATTCCACACATGGAATACTCTGAAAATTCTATGTTAATCATCTCTGAAGACATTACACAAGCATAAGCAAATGGCACTGTAATTTAATATGCTCCACTTCTATTTTTTCCTCAGCCTATTCTTTCCACACACTTGTATATAATTCCCTATTTTTGTTATTTTGTATTTAATTGCCTCTGCTAAAGCAAACATATTGCAGAATTGCCAATTATCTTATAAATATGTATTGCTTTCATTGAGAGGGCTTTCGTTTTTCTGGAATTCCAACAAATTTCAATCAATCATTTATACTACAAAAATCTAGTAGTTTAGAAATCTTTTAAAAATTTGCCTGAGTTTTAGGTTTCTTATAACGTTTGGTCTAATGTTGGCTGAAGGCATGTCTCTATAATATCAAAACACATGGTAATTCAATCATTTCAGTAAAATTTACTGTCAATTTGTTAAAGGGGAAAAATCAAACTGATAGCTTTGTACAGGGTAAACAACTGATTTATTAATTAAATCTTTTACTTTTCTCCAGTTATTTATTTGTTGTATAAATGTAGGCACAGTTGTAGAGAACACAGACATCTGCTTGCAGTAAAAAACATTAAAAAAGGGAAATTCTCACTATCTTAATGCAGTAAAATGTGCGGAATCACATACTAACAGTAATCATTTGGTGGGAGGAATGGAGCTTATACTCCAAAGGTTTATTATTTTTCAACTGAACTTGACTTCCACATAAAAGCCAGCACCAAGCCCTAAATGTGAAATACAGTGGATGGCAGTTGTGTATAAATCTGATTAAAAACGTTATTTGAGAATCCTACTTCCACCAGCTGATTTAAGAAGATGAGCTTGGTCATTTGATAAAAAAGAACTAGATTTCTAAACTCTCTCTCTCTATATATACCTACATATATATATGTATATATGCAGAGGACCTAATTGTTACAAAGGTAATGCCTAAAGGATCACTTGGTAGTGTTTTTTGTTTTGTTTTGTTTTTTGTTTTTTGTTTTTTTTGAGACGGAGGCTCGCTGTGTCGCCCAGGCTGGAGTGCATTGGCGCGACCTCGGCTCACTGCAAGCTCCGCCTCCCGGGTTCATGCCATTCTCCTGCCTCAGCCTTCTGAGTAACTGGGACTACAGGCGCCCACCACCACGCCCAGCTAATTGTATTTTTTGTAGAGACGGGGTTTCACCATGTTAGCCAGGATGGTCTCGATCTCCTGACGTCGTGATCCACCTTCCTCGGACTCCCAAAGTGCTGGGATTACAGGCGTGAGTCACCCACCACGCCCAGTCAGTAGTGCTTTTCTTGAAAGGAGCTCAGCCCAAGGTAGATTTAGTGGTGATTTTCAAAACATCCATAAAAGATTATTATTCCAGAGCTATTAGTTTGGCATAACTCTTGTTCCCCTTTTGTAATTACGATCTGGTATGCAATTGCTAAGGAGATGTTAAAAATGTCTATATTATTTACATTGGACATTATTCTTCAGAGGTGGTAAGAGCTACCTGCAAGTCATACAATATGTTACCAAAATACTCAGTTGAACTAAATATTTTTGTTTTTCAAATGTTTTTCATATTGCTAGAGATGGGATTTCGCCATGTTGGCCAGGCTTGTCTAGAATTCCTGGCCTCAAGTTATCTGCCCACCTCAGCCTCCCAAAGTGCTGGGATTATAGGTGTGAGCCATTGCGCCCCGCCATAATTGAATTAAATATTTTAAACTGAAGATTCAGTTAACATTGACTCGCTTGGCTCCAAGACCTCCAACAACAGATAGGATAAAATTGCATTGTTGCCCAGGCTGAAGTACATGGTGCAGTCATCACTCACTGGAGCCTCGACTTCTTGAGCTCAAGCAATCCTCCCACCTCAACCTCCTGAGTAGGTAGGACCAGAGGCACATGCCACTGTGCCCAGATAATTTTTTTATTTTTATAAAGGCAGAATCTTACTGTGTTGCATGAAGCCTAAACTTCATGGCTAGCTCTTCAGTCCACAAATCACTGAGTAACAGATGTGTATCATGATCAGCAACTAATCACGTCACATCTCTCAACATTTGTCAGTGAATGGTCACTGAGCATCTGTTACTCGGTTCACACATAGACAGCAAAGCATGCAGTTGTATTGCCTCCTTGTCTCCCAGGGATAAACCTTTGTGACATTTTACAAAAATGAATAATTGAGAGAGGGAATTGGCCAAAAAAAGTGAAAGTGCAGCAAAGAAGCAAAAATGATAACACTGAAAGTGAATTTTGACTTTCATGTAAATGGAGTTATAGAAGAAATAGCTGATTGTTGGAAGGGTGACAATGTTGCCTTTGGAAAGGCTCAATCTGTGGACAGAGGAACTTAACTAAAGGGAACTTATCGGCATAAATGAGGAAATAGTTGTGATGAAATGGATGAAAATGTCCCAGAGGAAGACACCAGAATTTCTATGTCTCAACTAATCGTCAAGCACTTTTCTAAGTTTTGGATTAGCTTCTAACATTTTATCCTTTACACTGCCAATGTCATGAAATATCTGTGAGAAATCCTTTAATGGCAAGATTTTTGCTGGTGTCTTCCTCTGGGACATTTTCATCCATTTCATCACAACTATTTCCTCATTTATGCCGATAAGTTCCCTTTAGTTAAGTTCCTCTGTCCACAGATTGAGCCTTTCCAAAGGCAACATTGTCACCCTTCCAACAATCAGCTATTTCTTCTATAACTCCATTTACATGAAAGTCAAAATTCACTTTCAGTGTTATCATTTTTGCTTCTTTGCTGCACTTTCACTTTTTTTGGCCAATTCCCTCTCTCAATTATTCATTTTTGTAAAATGTCACAAAGGTTTATCCCTGGGAGACAAGGAGGCAATACAACTGCATGCTTTGCTGTCTATGTGTGAACCGAGTAACAGATGCTCAGTGACCATTCACTGACAAATGTTGAGAGATGTGACGTGATTAGTTGCTGATCATGATACACATCTGTTACTCAGTGATTTGTGGACTGAAGAGCTAGCCATGAAGTTTAGGCTTCATGCAATTACTCACAGCTAATATACCATGGTAGCTAAACTTGAACCATGTTGTTGGAACTGGTGTTACTTAACTCAACCATGGTAACTGAAATTTGTGCATTTTAGAACCATGAGAAACAAGAACTGTCTGCATTTGATTTCTTAAAACAATTCTTGGGGAAAAGATTAAAACTGCCATAATCAGTGTCACAATAAGAGAACCTGAAGCATTTACTTTTGGGTACCAACAAAGCATGTGTCTCAATTTTAAATCATTAATAAAAAATGTAATTTTATCCTTAATTTTTTCCAGTGTAGAAGTTTTTTTTTTCTTTTTTTAAAGCTAATCTTATTGCCACTCACTCCTTGGAATTAATAAATGTAACTATTGATCAAATTCACAATTGAAATATTTTGTATTGACATGCAAAATAATTTCCTAGGATCACACTTGAGTAATCAACTATTAGTTTCTTTTAGAATTTATCTTACATTAGCGTAAACACACACACAATCTCTTACTCATCCATGCATACTTAATGATGTATATAAAACAATGACATTGAACCCATAGAATGTACAAAGATCAGAATACAGATGTAGAAATAGTGCTTACATATGGAGTTTACACATTGAATTATAACATACATACACAAAGTCAGTTCTGCTATAATGCTTGTTTGAGAATATGCATTTGTCCTATTAGGGAACAATTTGAACACAATGCAAATTTTGCATTTGCGTATGCACAATTTCACACAAGAGAAACACTAGGTATGTGCAGAAAACTGCACCCAGATGAACGAAGCTGCACAGGGCTACACAAAAGGCCCACACTTCAGACATCTACCAGCTACGTTATTTCACCATGCATATCCTGAGCCACATTTGTCCACACCCATTGTGACAACTGTCTGTTAAGTTTTAGATAACCCTTTACAATTTCATAACAAGTAAAAGCTATAATCCTTCAGATGCTTTCTTCCACAAGCAAATTTCAGGTCCCTTTCAAAGTAAAATCACATATTTATTATAGTATTTGTGCATTTTTTAACCATTTAAGATGGAAAAAACTGTGTTACTGCTTTTTTAAATTGGTTTCTATCTTTTTTTATGTGTCAGTGACAATGGTACGCCCTAACCCCATAAGGCCTGTGGTTTTTATTGTGCAATTTTGCATAGTGCACTGATTTTTTTTTTGAAATGTACACATCGTGTTGCATAGATTTATGTAGACTATAAAAAGAATGTATATGACTTTTTCTCTCCAAAGATTAAAATTTACTAGTATAAAATTATTTAAAGTCTGAGTGGTGGAGCCCATGGTGTGACATTGCTTTTCAGGGCTTTAAACATCTTCTATGTGAGAAAGCCAAGTTTAAAAAATAGTCAAAAGGATGATTACCCAATCGAACCTCTAAAAACAAACCCATGACCGTGAAGGCTGTTTGCCTATTCTATCAGTAAATTCATAGTTGATGAGGAGAATTTTCAGCTTCTGCAGAGAGGCTCTATCTGTCTAGCTTTGAATTGTCTAAACTAGTTGTTCTCAAACTTGAGTGTGCCTTGGGATCACCTGAAGGGCTTGTCAGATGCACGTTGCTGAGTTTCTGGATCATTAAGTCTTGGGTAGTACTCAAGAATTTGCATTTTCAATAAGTTCCCAGATGGTGCTAGGGCAAACTTATCCACTAGGCACAGTAACACAGCACCTAAAAGTTGGACACTAAAAGTCCAATTTACTTTTAGTGAACCATGAAAATAGTTTGATTTTAATCTCTCTTCAAATCAGAATAAAATAATGAATATGATAATAATGAATGTATATGAGGAATCCAACCTAGAATATATTCATCTTTATATTAACGCAGTATAAAAATATTAATTCTATTTGTTTATGTATTTCTAATGAAGGAGGGGACATGTGAAGGCAAAAGGGCCCCTGGTCCATGGAAGTCATGATGTGGCCCTGGCTGATGCAACTGCTGCTGCAGGAAGCATATGTTGAGAAGCGCTACTCTGAACTCACTGATCTTTTGAGATTTGTTAGTGTTCTGCTTTTCATTCTGAACTCTTTTGACTCTGTGCTGTTTTTACTCAGAAGAAATAAAGTTTTTAAGCCCCCTGCAATGCAAAGGAAGTCAATGGAACAACAAGCTAGTTTAAGCTCAGGAGATGTGAGGAACAACACATGGTCAGAAATGTGTTTCTGATGTGGTCTTTCTATTCCTCACTCTGATGTAAGTTTTAAATTACAACTACATGTGTTGTACCTCCATCATTGCAAAAGAACCAGTTTAAAGATCCAACTAGTGAAGAATCTGGTCTATAAGACAATGCCTTAATAACACTCCAGATGCCATACTGTTCAAAAAACACTTACACTTTTCCATTTAGGATCCATCTGTTCCTCACAACCCCCTGTTCCATAGGTATTGCATTGTACTGAGCAGCAATATTCTAATATTTGGTAGCAATAAGAATAAACAAAAAACGTCCCCCACCCCACAAATCACTCACAGGATAAGCAGAGTTTAGACAAACAGCCCCTTATTACCATGGGGCAACTCTTATTTTTGTTACAGCTCCTGTGTTCCTACTCTTTCCAAAATCATTGCTACAAAAACTCAATAAACAATGAAATAAATGCATTCATAGTGTACTATAACACCTTAAGCATTCTCAATACTCTTTCCTACTTAATATAATCACTAATGAAAAAGAGGTTATATATGAAACAAGCAAAGCTTTTGTTGTATTTTTGAAATTTTAGACCTTTTATACATTCATTTTGGAAACTATGAAACCTACTGACTGACAGGCAAAAAGAAGAAAGTAAAAATAATTCATAAGCCCACTTCAGAGATAAATAACCATTGGTAATATTTTGTTATTATTTACATATATTGTTGGTTTTCATGTATAGTATTTTTTAAAATAGATGATACAGTTTATAATGTTTACAATTTTACTTTAAAGCCTAGCAATATATTACAAACCTAAAGAATAAATCATGGAGTTAAAATTTTTGCATGAAATTCCATATGAATGGAGTTTCTGTTCTTAAATAACCAATTCCTTATTATTGGAGATTTAGGTTGTCTCTTATTTTCTGTTACAAACAAGGCTCTGAAGAACATTTTTTGTGTGGATGGTCAAATATTTATTTCTTTAATTTAGGGAAATGGAATCCCTAGGTTAAAAAGACTGCTATTTTTAAGGTTTCTGACTCATATTTTCAAATTGTGCTTTAGCTCCAGGACTCCTCCGATTAACATCAACAAGGAGGTACTATGCAGTGAAATTGGCTCCACTATCTGATATAAAAAGACCAAATAACTCTGGAGGTACATTTAGCAATAATTGAAATCTGGGGCAAAACACATAAAATGTCGTCACGAATTGATAAGAATGCACCAACGCAGGCTGTGGGGTGGGAGAAAGGAGACGGAGGAGAAGAGAGAAACTGGACCGTGAGCAATGTGCTCTTCACTTCCGGTCCCTGGCTCCTTTACCATGCATCAGCTCCTGAGGGGTCTATGTGGAGACAGAGGAATATCTCCACTTCAGCTGAAGAGGCAGTGATGACAGGAGAAAAATTACAGATTTTAATAATTATTAAAATTCTGCCCTTTAAATTTTGGTGCCTTGGGGCAAAGTTATGACCAGCTCATCTAAGTTGTAGTTCTGAGGAACTTCCTGTCTTTACCTTGGTGGTCTTGGAGAAGTGATACAACCCAGCCCCCATGGCAGATGACTCTAGAAGAGACCCTTCCAAAGCAGGATAAGTTTCACCCTTATGGGAAATCAGGATGGTAAGTTTCACCCTTATTGGAGTGGTAGGGCTCCCTGGAGTGTTGTGTTGAGAAGGATCCTGAGCTGCAACCAGAAGAGGTGGGCAGAGGGCTGTGATTGGTTGATAATGTCTGTTATGGGCACAGGAATGGAGATTAATAGACTGACACCAGAGTATTCATTAGGCCTTTTTTTTTTTTTTGAAACAGAGTCTTGCTCTGTCACCCAGGCTGGAGTGTACTTGTGTGATCTGGGCTCACTGCAACCTCTGCCTCCTGGGTTCAAGCAGTACTCATGTGTCAGCCTCCCCAAGGAGCTGGAATTACAGGCAAGCACCACACCTGGCTAATTTTTGTAGTTTTAGTAGAGACAGGGTTTCACCATGTTGGCCAGGTTGGTCTTGAACTTCTGACCTCAAGTGATCCGCCCTTCTTGGCCTCCCAAAGCGCTGGGATTACAGGTGTGAGCCACCGTGCCCTGCCTATTAGGCCTCTTCTAAATTCCCTTTTAATTAATGCAACTGTTGGTCACCAAAACAACACTCCTTTGATTTACCTACAGCCAGTCCTTGTACACTGCACACCTTCACCCCAATTATAGTAATAGGAATCCACCTGCTCAAGGCATTGTTTTTCTTTAAAACATATTGTTTTTAATAGCGACAGGGTCTCATTAGGTTGCCAAGACTAGTCTCAAACTCCTGGGCTCACGTGATCCTCCTGCCTCAGCCTCCCAAAATGCTGGGATTACCAGCATAAACCACTGTGCTCCTCCCTTTTTATTAAGTGAAAAATATTTTAATGAATTTGTGTGTTTACAGTTTTTTTCCCATTTTCCCTGTTTTCTATTTTTTTAAAAAAGGTGAAAAAGTATAAAGTCTATTACCATAAATTTCAGCTTCCTGTTTATATGAACATTTAATATAAAGTAGAAAAAGGAAAACATAGGGGAAAAGAAAACAGAAGGAGAGAAAGTGAGGGAGATATTAGCTGAAATTTGTAGAGGGGAAAGAAATGTACACTTTATCCTGCAGAGAAAAAAAAATGAAGGTAAATATGGACATGAGTTGGGAAGAAAAAGGAAAAAAGGAGGAAGCGAGAGGGAAGGAAGGAGGGATGGAGAGAGTTCTCACAGTTCTTGAAAAGACTAACTGTGCTAGTAAAAATGAGCAGAGTGAGTGAGTACAGACAGAAGAAAATCTGTTTAGTCTTATCAAAGTTAGTTGATGTAGGCTTTGAGATGCTGCCTCATTGGGAGCCCAGAAGAATTTTTGTTGAATATGCAATTACATGAAGAAGCCAACAAATAGTACCGGTCAATTTCTTCTAACATCTTGCTTCCAGGAATGCTTCGCTTCTATTAAGGCTGATAGTTTGCCTAAGGACAATGAATCAGAATGGTGACATCTCATAATATTCTCATATACAAATTCTCCTAACTCAATAAAAGTAAATGCAAATCTGCTGTCAGAAGCTATAGTGTCTGGCAAAACATGTGATATAAATAATTGGTGTGGGGTTGTCATTTTGACAGCAGGCATTTGAAATGAAACTGAGGTTGGACTGAGGCCACTGGCATTAGTTTTAACACTTGAATAATCCTGCAATATCAATATGCAATTTTGACCAAAAATTTCTTGAGTCACTTCCTAGGAAAATGTTTGTGCTTTTGGAGTGTTATGTTTAATTTCTTGACATGTACTAGACTAATCTGGTCTTTTGTTTTCTAATTCTTCTTGAAAAATCAAATTGATTTAAAATTTTAAAAGGTGTACACATCTAATTTGACATGTAAATAACACATCAGCATATAAAATTAAAACTGAGTGTCTCTTCAAAAAGAAGGAATGGGCCGGGCATGGTGACTCAGGCCTGTAATCCGAGCACTTTGGGAGGCCGAGGAAGGTGAATTGCTTGAGTCCAGGAGTTCCAGACCAGCCTGGGCAACATGGCAAAACCTTGTCTCTAAAAATAAAAATAAAAAATTAGCCAGGAGTGGTGGTGCGCTCCTGTAGTTCCAGCTACTTGTGAGGCTGAGGTGGAAGGATCGTTTGAGCCCAGGAGGTCAAGGCTGCAGTGAGCCCTGATGGCTGGTGCCACTGTACTCCTGGGTGGCAGAGCAAGACCCTGTCTCAAAAAAAAAAAAAAAAAAAAGAAGGAATGTTCCTCAATCCCCAGGAGTAGTTAAGAGTTTCCTAAACCTGCACATCCTGCACATGTACCCCTGAACTTAAAATAAAAGTTAGAAATACTTTTTTTTTTTTTGAGCCAGAGTCTCGCTCTTGTAGCCCAGGCTAGAGTGCAATGGTGCGATCTCGGCTCACTGCAACCTCTACCTCCCGGATTCAAGCGATCCTCCTGCCTCAGCCTCCCGAGTAGCTGGGATTACAAGTGCCCACCACACCCAGCTAATTTTTTGTATTTTTAGTAGGGACTGGGTTTCACCATGTTGGCCAGGCTGGCCTCAAACTGCTGACCTCAGGTGATCTGCCTGCCTTGGCCTCCCAAGGTGTTGGGATTACAGGCGTGAGCCATCGCGCCCAGACAGAATTTTTTTTTTTAAAGTTTAAAAAATAAAAAACAAAAAACAGTTTCTCCTTTGGCTGTGCCTCCAATGCATCAGGCACACTCTTCAGCCTCAGGGCCTTTGCCCTTCCTCTTCCTTCTACCTGGAATGTTATTTTCCCACATATGTCCGTGGCTTGCTCCTCACTTCCTTTAGGAATTTCCTCAAATATCACCTTGTTTTTTTGTTTTTTTGTTTTTTTATTTTTGAGATGGAGTCTCGCTCTTTCGCCCAGGCTGGAGTGCACTGGCACGATCTTGGCTCACTGCGAGCTCCGCCTTAGCCTCCCGAGTAGCTGGGACTACAGGCGCCCGCCACCATGTCCGGCTAATTTTGTTTTTGTATTTTTAGTAGAGACGGAGTTTCACCATGTTATTCAGGATGGTCTCAATCTCCTGACCTTGTGATTCACCCACCCTGGCCTCCCAAAGTGCTGGGATTACAGGCATGAGCCACTGCGCTCGGCCAAATATCACCTTCTTAATGAGGCCTTCCCTGACTATCTTCTCCAACACTGTAGCCCTGTCTCTGTCCAACATTCCTACCCCCGCTCCACCCCACCAAGGACTAGAAGCTCCATGAGGCAGGAGTTTTTTGTTTGTTTGTTTGTTTTGTTTTTGACAAGGTCTTGCTCTATTACCCAGGCTGGAGTGGAGTGGAGCAATCACAGCTCACTGCGGGCGCAAACTCCCGGGCTCAAGTGATCCTCCCTCCTCAGCCTCCCAAGTAGCCGGGACTACAGGTACGTGCCATCACCCTGGCTATTTTTTTTATTTTTTTTATTTTTAGCAGAGGCAAGGTCTCACTTTGTTGTCCAGGCTGGTCTCAAAATCTTGAGCTCAAGCAGTCCTCTTATCTTGACCTCCCAAAGTGCTGAGATTACAGGTGTGAGCCACCACACTCTGCCAACAAGGATTTTTTTAGAACTGTTTTATTCTTGCTGAATTCCCAGAGCCCAGAAAAATGCCTGACACATAGCAGGTACTCAGTATATATTTGTTGAATAAATGAATTTACACTTATTTTTAGAAATATTGGAATATGTTATTATACATACAATTTGACAGCTTTTTAAATATACTCAAAAGTGGATCATAGATATCTTTTCATTTTGGTACTTAAAGATATCCCTTATTTCTTTTAATGGCTACATAGTTTTTTTCTTATGAAACAAGTACTATAAACTGGCCATTCTTCTTCTTATTATTTCATTTCATTTTAGTTTTTTGAGACATGTTCTCACTCTGGTTGCCCAAGCCGGAGTGCAGCGGTGTAATCACAGCTCACTGCAGCTCCAGCCTCAACCTCCCAGGCTCAAATGATCCTCCCACCTCAGCCTCCTGAGTATCTTGGACTACAGGCACATGCCACCATGCCCAGCTACTTTTTAAAAATATTTTTTGTAAAGATGGGGTTTCCCCACGTTGCCCAGGATGGTCTCAAACTTCTGGCCTCAAGCAATCCACCCACCTCAGCTTCCCAAAGTGCATTCTTATTTTGATGTACATGTGATTTTGCTCCAATTTTAATTAATTAATTTATTTATTGGGGAGATGGGGCAGTGCTCCAATTTTTAATACAAAAAAATAATGCTGCAATGAATATCACTGCTCATATATTCTCTTCGGGCGCTTTCAATATGACAATAGAGTCCAGGCCACCAGACACTGTTTCTTGGCAAAACTTTCATATACAGTGAGTCCTCAATGTCATTGTAAATAGATTACTGGAAACTGCTACTTTATGCAAAACCATGTATAATGAAATCAAGTTTACCATAGGCTAATTGATATAAATAAGAGTTAAGTTCCTATGGCATATTTCTGGTCACAACAACATCACCAAGTTTCTATATAAACACTCAAAACCCTTATAATACTAAAAATTGAAGTAAATAAAATAATTTGTATTCATTTATTTATCCATTTTCCAACCCTCTGATTCCAGGTCAGGGTCTTGGGTGGCCAGAGCCTGTCCTGGTGGCTCAGGGTGTGAGGGAGGAACGAACCCTGGACAACATGCCATTCAGTTGCAGGGTGCAGTCACATGCATACTCACACTCACTCAGACTGGGGTCATTTAGACATGCCAGTTAATCTAAAGTACACAACTTTGGGATGTGGAAGGAAACCAAAGTCCCAAGAGAAAACCCACCCAGGCCTGGGGAGAATAGGGAAACTCCACATTGACAGTGGCCCAGCCAGGATTTTCTTTTTTTCCTCATCAACATTATAACAAAACAATGTTGAACAAAATGATATCATATGAGGACCTGCTGTGTACAATTTGCAATTTGCTGCATTTTTTTGTGGCTAAGAATATGTGATAACTACTTTATGAAATACCATATCATTTCTCTTTATTATTAGTTCATAAATGAGCAAATAATTCTTATTCTTTAAATTCATCAAATAGTGTATCCAACAGAGTCCCTAGCAAGAACAAATGGCACACTCAAAAAGGGTGGCAGAAGAGAGTTTAGTAAAATCATTTACAAAAGTGTAAGCAGGGTTAAGGGAAACCGTCAGTAGTCAGTAAAGCACCCCAGGGTTGGCAAAAGTGGGAAGCCGTTACTGGTTCTGGCTGAAGGGGAAAGAGAGGGAACAGTTCCTAGAATATAGTGAGACCTGCAGCTGCAGAGAGAGTCATTCACTGGAAGCTGTGTTTTCAAATAAAATTATGTAGTCATCGCTAAGCTATGGCCCCTTCAGGGAGAGAGCTGGGGGAACAAAGACCTGAAGCTCTCTTTCCTCTTACCTTTCAAGTTCCCACTAGAACCCTTCACTGGCTGGACCCAACCAGAAGCCAGGGGGCAAGGAAGCAGTCCATAGAGTATCAGCTCCCTGAGCCCAGAACAGAGTAGAGAACAATGGAGAGTGAATCTGGAGGGACAAATCAAAAATATCTAGCACCAATAGTTTTCTGTTAGCTTTGCTTCTTCCCTCCACATTTGGTTAGCTCACTGGCCATTACCAGGGAGTTCTAATACCAAAATGTCCATAGTAGACAGCACTGCCTACACAAATAGAATTTGCAGCACTGCCTACACAAATAGAGCATTCAATGCTCTTCTAGGCTTACAGACAAGAAAGGAGTTGTAAGCACAGTAACTGGGAAGCTCTAATGATGCAAACATGATAGGGTGCACCACCACAACTAGTACTAACCTTTTTGTTTTGTTTTTTTTTTTTGCTTTGTTTTTTTGAGATAGTCTTGCTCTGTCACTCAAGCTGGAGTGCAGTGGTGCTATTATGGTTCACTGCAACCTCGACTTCCCAGGTTCACATGATCCTCCTGCCTCAGCCTCCACTGTAGCTGGGAACACAGGTGTGCACCACGAGGCCTGGCTTTTTTTTGTTTTTTTTAAAGTTTTTTTGTAGAGGCGCAGTCTCACTTTGTTGTCCAGGCTGGTCTCAAACTCCTTAGTTCAAACCATCCTCCCACCTCAGCCTGTCAAACCGCTGGGATTAAAGGTGTGAGTCGCCATGCCCATCCTGGTATTTTAATCTTTAAAGCATGATTTTGGAGCCAGATAATTTTTGGGATTGGATCCTTACTTCTGATCTTTGCTAGCCATATGAACTTGGGCTATCCAATATGGTAGCCACTAACCACATGTGGTTATTTAAATTTGTATTTATATAAACTAAAAGTAAATAAAAATTCACTTCATTTGCTCTTCCTACAAGTCAGGAGCTCAATAACTTACGTGGCTAAGTGGTTACCATATTGGGCAGTACAGATATAGAACTGTTCCAGCATTGTAGAGAGTTTTATTGGACAGTGCTGGGCTTAATGCTTAAACTCTCTGAACTCATCATACAATAGCACTTAACTGGTGAGCTTATCTGAGGATTGAATAACTTACTATACATAAAGTTCTTAGCAAACTGCAGGTCACAGAGTAGGTGCTCAGTAAATGGTAGCCATAGAACTGACAACAGTAACAACAAAAGCAGCAACATAATTGTGACATATCATATCCCTGGGGATACTTTCAGCAATATTCTTACACAAGGCTTTCTGCCAAAGCTGTGGAGGCTTCCAGGCTTCAGCAATAATCACACAGCTGTTGCTGATGAGAACTCTGTGTCACTGAGCTCAGAGGCTCCTCATTATGAAAGCTCCTTGGCATTGCAGAGAACTGACTAGCAGGCCTCCATCTTGCAAGTGTGGTCCTGCACGTCTCTTGAAAACACTGCTCCAGGCCGGGCGCAGTGGCTCACACTTGTAATCCCAGCACTTTGGGAGGCTGAGGCAGATGGATCACCTGAGGTCAGAAGTTCAAAACCAGCCTGGCTAAAATGGCGAAACCCCATCTCTACTGAAAATACAAAAATTAGCCAGGCATGGTGGCACACGCCTGTGCTCTCAGCTACTTGGGAGGCTGAGGCAGGAGAATCGCATGAACTTGGGAGGTGGAGGTTGCAGTGAGCTTACATCACGCCACTGCACCCAAGCCTGGGCAACAGAGTGAGGGTCTATCTCAAAAAAAGAAAAAAAGAAAGAAAAACACTGCTCTGTCCCAAGACATTTTTCCATAATCTTTTGAATATGATACGATTCCTGTTTTTTTCTGGTGGCTTGAAATGGCATGCTCTGTCAACATATTCTTTTCACAGAAGCTGATTTTGTTTCATTTTTCTTTGTGTCTGCAAACAGAATATGGTTTTAATCTCCCACAGGACTTGTAATTATCATCTTAAGCTTCTAAGTAACCATACTATTGCATCTCTATATCATGTCAAGTAACCAGTTTGATTCATGTTTTAATGGAAATTGTTTAGTTATCATGTAGTCAAATTTACAGAATATATTAGTGATTTGGGGACATAGGTTTTAGAATCTCTAGAATGAATCCCCTATTCCTTAAGTGGAATGAGAAAACCATTGGTCAGCCACCAAATATAACTCATTTCTTCCACTTTTCTCTATTTCCATTATTCCATCTCCATATTCCAAATCACCATTATTTTTCTTCTCATAATCAATTTTCCACCCTGCTTAAAACATCCAATGCCTTCCTGATGCTCTTAGAAAAGAATCCAAATGCCTGTCCATGAGCTTTTATTTTCTTCAGAGAACTTACGTCTAGCTGTAATTATTTATCTGCTCTCCTGTTTATTTTCAGTTTCCCCTCCTGCCACTGTTCCTGCAGATTTCAGCTCCATGGGAGCAGGAATCTTGTTTCCTCACTGAACATTATGTTCTCAGCTCCTGGAAAAGTGCCTGTTACAGAGCAGAAGCTTTCAAAAGGCTTCAAGGCCATCTTCAGGCAGGATGTAAAGAGTAAGCTGCAAGCTTTTAATTTACAACCTAGTACCATGTTTACTGCATTCCGATGTTTTTCTCCCAAAGCCCAATAAATGGTTTTTAACTTTGTTATGTTTGTGCCATAACCACTCCGAGTGGTCTAGTGAATCCTATGAATTCCTTTTCTAAATAATGTTTAAATGCATAAAATTTTGTAAAAACAGGATGACAAAAGAAGGCAACTGCTCAGGTACAGCTATCAAAATACTTAAAAATTTCAGAGCTTCTTTATCACTGTGTTGAAGAACAAGCTCTAGCGGAGGGCCTAAAACCACTGTTATTTTCAGACTACAGCAGTTCATAAACAATATTTTGAGATGTCTGTAACAATTGTAATAAGATATAAATAAATCTGTGATTTCTGCTGGTGACAAAGTCACAGGTACAGCTGCCACTTCTGGGGCTTGTTGCCTTTCTTCTTAGTTAAAGAAACTGACAAATTTCAATTAGAGGTTAATAAAAATGCAGATGTAATTTTTTTTTCATCCACATTGATAGATCTCTTGGATTCTATGCATAGACCTTGGTGGTTCCCTGGGTCTCAGGTGAAGGGACTTGAACTGAATGTGAGAGAATGTGTGTTCAGGTGTGCATTTCTGTGCATCGTGGCTATAAGCGCATTCTCAGCCATGGTGCTCACCTTGGATATTGTCTGCCACCTCAAAAATGATCCAAGACCTTTTTTAGTTACTGGTGTCATTTATTCATTTGTATTTCAAATACTGGGAAAGAAACACAAAAAAAGCTCACTTATGATTCCATCATTAAAAAAATATATAAACCAGGTGAGAATCACCTCTTTCTAACCACCTTACCTCCTAAAGATCATCACTGTTAAGAACTGATGAATATAATGCATGATTTAAAAAGCAAAATAGATGTGTGTGAATGTGTGTGTGTGTGCACCCGCGCATCAAACATATATCTACAAGAATGAAGTGATATTGAACAAATTCATTTACTCTTGGCTTTTTGTCACTTAATATATGTTAGACTTGTTTCCAGATTACATTTTATTTTTTTAATGACTGCTTGATATTCTTTTGTATGATGCACCACAATTTATTGATATTTTCTAGTAAGTGCTTTTATTTGCCACCACACATAATGCTACAATGAGCATCCTGTATGCATGCTTTTCTGTATCCTTGCTAGTATTGTACAAAATAGATTCCTAGATGTGGAATAGTTAGGTCAAGGAGTATGTTTACTTAAGATTTTAATATAGATTACAAATTACTGAAACAAAAAGGTATTTAATTTACATTTCAATAAGAATATCTATTTCCTAACTCTCCTACCAAAACTGGAGATATATACAATTATCCACCCATCAAATTGGCTAATACATATTTTAAAAATATATAACATATATATTTAAAATATAGTATATTTAAATCTATTTGCCACTATATAACATACATTTATATTTTATATATTAACTATATAAATATTTAATTATAATTATAAATATTTAAATTTAGTATATATTCATATTTTATATATTAAGAATCAAATATATGTAAATACATATTCCCTTTTTTTTTTTTTTTTGAGATGGAGTCTTACATTGTCACCCAGGCAGGAGTCCAGTGGTGTGATCTCAGCTCACTGCAACCTCCACCTTTCAGGTTCAAGCAATTCTCCTGCGTCAGCCTGCTGAGCAGGCTGAGTAGCTAGGGTTACAGGTGCCTGCCACCACACCCGGCTAATTTTTGTATTTCTAGTAGAGATGGGGTTTCACCATCTTGGCCAGGCTAGTCTTGAACTCCTGACCTTATGATCCACTCGCCTCGGCCTCCCAAAGTGCTGGGATTACAGGCGTGAGCCACTGTGCCCGGCCATATTTGCCAGGTTGATGGGTGAAACTGTTAGCTTACTACTTGAATTAATTTACTTTCCCCTGATAACTAGTGAAATTGGTAATTTCTTCATTACTTTATTGATCATTTATATTTCCTTTTCTGAGAATTGCCTCTGAATTTATAGTATTCATTAGTATTTATACCTGATATTAATCTTTAACATATTAATTAGTATATGTTATTTTTATATAGAAGATGACAACCCTTTATCAGTAGAGGATGTTACAAGCACTTTTTCCTAGTCTGTCTTTCTCCTTCGTGTGTGTGTGTGTGTGTGTGTGTGTGTGTGTTTTCAAAAACAGGTGGTCTCAATTATCCAAGGAGAACTGATACAAGAATTCTATTTTAAGTAAGTCTGCTTTTAAAATGGACCAAAATGTCATAATAAATCTATTTTTCAATGCATTTACTCTTTACCTTGTAAAATAAAATGGAAAACAAGGAATTAAGTTGATTTTGTCTTATATTAAGTTTAATTCTAAAACTTAGTTAATTGTTAAAACATGCAAATGCAACTATTTTAGTTTGACAATGAATAAGATATAGATCAAATTTGTATTGCAGCACTTTAAAAAGACTGACACAATATAAATGCTTTCCCAGTATAATCATTGCTACATGTTTTGCAATAATATGAGAGGGCTTTATTCTTTTGTCTAAGGTCCCGTATAGCAGTTGTTAACTGTCTGATCATTTGTTGGTGACTTTGTCAATGATAAAAACAATTCTCCACGATCACTGCTATCAACTTGGTGACATCCTGAGATATTTATGAGAATTGTAACCTCACAAGTAAAACTTATATGAAATTTAAATTGCATTGTTTATTCACTATTTCCAACATTAGACCATCATTAATTCATTAACACAATGAGTTAAAATAGGTATTAATCACAGAAGTAGAGGGCTTAATATTTATTAGTGAGCATTTTTATATTATGACCACTTAGACTTCTGCTGAAACTAAAGGATCTTCAGTAATGAATATTCGGAAAACTGCAACCCTTAGAGTAAAATCTATTCTTTTATAATTTTTTTTCCCATTGTGTCTTCTGGTGTCCCTGCCATGCTTAGTTTTTTTCCAGCCTGGTGATAATATTTTCATATTTATTTTTTCCAATAGTTTTATTGTTCTGCTCTTTATAATTAGATATTTACTTAATCTGGGATTAATCCGTGAAATATATTAGGTTGGTGCAAAAGTTTTTGTGGTTTTTGCCATCACTTCAATGGCAAAAATCGTAATTACTTTTGCACCAACTAATAGTTCTCTAATCTTGTTAGAGGATTTTTATTAGAAGACTTTTGTTTGTTCATCCAAAGAATAACTTATATTACCAACATGCCTCAGTCCTTTGGATTTTATAGACCAGCAAAGTTTAAGTACTTGTAGAGCTGACATACAGTTGTCAGTCTTTAATTTATCCACCTAGGGGCTTCAAAACGAAAATATTTCCATCTACTAACCCCATCATTTTACACAAATGACACCAAAAAGTAAAATCTTAGAATAAAACAATTCAGATTTATTAAAACTTCACTGTTTTAATCTTATCTCTCCTCTTTCACGGTAGATGGGTGAGAATCTGATCACAGAGCCAAACTAGTGTGGGGGCCAGTATTTGGGATCAGCTGCTTTAAATAATAACCAAACTCTCCCATGTCAATTAAATGCACACTCACTCATCCATAGCCAGGGAGTCCATTTCAACCCCTGCATCTTAGAGCAGAGAGATCCCCAACCAGAGTGGAGCGTCTGTTCTTATACATGGTAATGGCAATACTCCATCTTCTTTCACGTTGTAAAGATTCTGAAGCTCTTGAGCATGGTCACTTAACTGGAAGAAATGAAAAGCTGAAATGGATAGGACTTGCCAAGAATCACGAAGACACTTTCAATAGAAAGCACCTAACACTGAGCACAGTTCACAAAACCCAATTATGAACAATTGGTTGTGCTGAATGAGGTCAGTTGCACCATGATCTGATGAGATGAGTAGGTCATTAGATTGTCTAGTTGCTCAAATAAAGGCATCGGGTGAAAAGTTGCCATAAGAATCAGGTATTCTTAGTATTTATTGTTGTGCATATATTGTTGGATGACACATTGTTGAAAATTTGTATTTGGTGGTTTGTTTTTCTGTTCCTCCATTCACATTTACATAAATTATTTCACCCATACCCAGGAAGATTACATTAATACCATAATGAGATTTGAATGTCAGTGGACGTGTTCCTTTGTTTATCCCTGTGTCTGGCTGTGTAAGCTACTTATTTATATGGTAGTTCTCAATAGCACTTGTACTGCTATCATTTCATTCATCTCAAGTTCTGTGTTATCCAAATAAAAATGAATCTCCACAGGCATCAGTTTGGGATTGTTGCCTTTGAAATATAATAGTAAACGGGCTGTCTCAGCATCTGTGGAGCTTAGCTCATTCCATCACTTTCCAGAATTATAATTCCCCGATTGGAGTCTCAGAAATGTAGTGATGGGAGAAAACGGCTATGAGAAAAGAGACAACTGATCAGAGAATTCAGAGTGCTAGAAGATGAATTTTTATGTCTTTGCACTTTTTCTTTTCTCTGGACAGGTGTATTTTGCAGAAAAGTCATGTTTTTTAAAAGTTGCCTATATGAATTTCTATGTAGCAAATCACAGTAGTCTATTTACTTCTATAAAATTAAATGTATGTTTTTCAGGGGGAAAATATTGATCGCCACATATTAAAACTCATGCATGTATCACAATTGCATTTTAAGAGCAAAAAAAAAAACAAACTTTTTAAATAAAACATGAGGAATAAACCCAAGAAATAAATTACAGAATAGAAACACAAGGGAGCTTCAGTCATTTTTGCATTTGGAAGAAGCCTGAAATTTTAAAAGAAAAATAACAACACTATTGTACTGAACAGAACATGCCAGGGGCAGAACTGAACAACTGTCTTATGAAAGACATTTTTCATTTTTAACGAGAGTATGCCTGCGTGTACAAGATGACAAAATAATCAAGTGAAGAGTGAATAATTCTGCACATCAACAGGTTGTTTCATGTTAAATTGATGCAATGCCAACCAGTTGGTTTGGCTATTTCCCCCTTTGGAATATTTGTCTAAACAAATACTCTTAAAGGAAGAAAGCAGCTGAGCTTCAGTAAAATAAGACCTCAACTTAGAGTCCAAAACCTATGGCCATTATTTCATTCCTTTTCATAGCTGAGTAGTATTCTATGGTATATATATATATATATATATATATATATATATATATATATATATATACACACACACACATGCCACAGTTTCTTTATCCACTCATTGACTGATGGGCATTTGGGCTGCTTCCATATTGTTGCAACTGTGAATTGTGCTGCTATAAACATGCATGTGGAAGTATCTTTTTTGTATAATTACTTCTTTTTCTCTGGGTGGATACCCAGTAGTGGGATAGGTGGATCAAATGGTAGTTCTATTTATAGTTTTTCAAGTAATCCCCACACCGTTTTCCATGGTGGTTGTACAAGCTTACATTTCCACCAGTAGTGTAAAAGTGTTTCTTTTTGACTGCATCCATGCCAACATCTATTATTTTTTGATTTTTTGATTATGGTCATTCTTGCAGGAGCAAGGCAGTATTGCATTGTGGTTTTGATTTGTGTTTCCCTGATCATTAGTGATGTTGAGCATTTTTTCATACGTTTATTGGCCAGTTGCATATCTTCTTTTGCGAATTGTCTATTCATGTCCTTATTCCACTTTTCAATGGGATTGTTTGTTACTTTATTGCTGATTTGTTTGAGTTTCTTGTGAAATCTGGATGTCAGTCCTTTGTCAGATATATAGATTGCAAAGATTTTTCTCTCACTGTGGGTTGTCTGTTTACCTTGCTGATTGCTCGTTTTGCAGTGCAAAACCTTTTTAGTTTAATTAAGTCCCATCTATTTGTTTTTGTTGCACTTGCTTTTGGGTTCTTGGCCATGAAGTCTTCACCTAAGCCAATGTCTAGAAGGGTCTTTCCAATGTTATCTTCTGGAATACTTATGGTTTCAGGTCTTAGATTTAAGTCCTTGATCCATCTTGAGTTGATTTTTATATAAGGTGAGAGATGAAGATGCAGTTTGATTCTTCTACGTGTGCCTTGCCAATTATCCCAGCCATTTGTTGAATAAGGTGTCCTTTCCCCAGTTTATGTTTTTGTTTGCTTTGCTGAAGATCAGTTGGCTGTAAGTATTTGGGTTTATTTCTGGATTCTCTATTCTGTTCCATTGGTCTATGTGCGTATTTTTATAACAGTACCATGCTGTTTTGATAACTATGCCCTTATAGGATAGTTTGAAGTAAGGTAATGTGATACCTCCAGACTCATTCTTTTTTCTTAGTCTTGCTTTGGCTATGCAGGCTCTTTTTGGTTCCATATGAATTTTAGGATTGTTTTTTCAAGTGAAAAATGATGGGCTGGGCGCGGTGGCTCACGCCTGTAATCCCAGCACTTTGGGAGGCCGAGGCAGGTGGATCACGAGGTCAGGAGATCAAGACCATCCTGGCTAACATGGGGAAACCCCGTCTCTACTAAAAATACAGAAAATTAGCCAGGCATGGTGGCGGGCACCTGTAGTCCCAGCTACTCGGGAGGCTGAGGCAGGAGAATGGCGTGAACCTGGGAGGCAGAGCTTGTAGTAAGCCAAGATCGGCCACTGCACTCCAGGCTGGGTGACAGAGCGAGACTCAGTCTCAAAACAAATAAACAAAAAAAAAGTGAAAAATGATGAAGAATGTGAAGAATGATGGTGGTGTTTCGATGAGAATTGCATTGAATTTGTAGATTGTTTTGGGTAGTATTATTTTCACAATATTGATTCTACCCTTACATGAGCATGGGATGTGTTTCCAGTTGTTTGTGTTGTCTATGATCCCTTTCAGCAGTGTTTTGTAGTTTTCCTTGTAGAGGTCTTTCACCTCCTTGGTTAGGCATATTACTAAGTATTTTATGTCTTTTTCAGCTGTTGTAAAAGAGGTAGAGTTCTTGATTTGATTCTCAGCTTGGTTGCTCCTGGTGTATAGCAGAGCTGCTGATTTGTGTACATTAATTTTGTATCCTGAAATTTTGCTGAATTCATTTATCATTTCTAGGAGCTTTTTGGAGGAGTCTTTAGGGTTTTCTAGGTATACGATCACATTATTAGCATTAGCAAACAGTGACAATTTGACTTCCTCTTTACCAATTTGGATGCTCTTTATTTTTCTGTTGTCTGATTGCTCTGGCTAGAACTTCCAGTACTATGTTGAATAGAAGTGGTGAGAGTAGGCATCCTGCAAGGAGACTCTTGATATATATGGAACCTCAGCTTTCCCAGGCATGAGCCAAGAGTGTCTTTACACCAAAAAGAAAGCTTTGCTACCGCTAGTATAATTTGACAACCAAATAATTTTTAATCATTCACTAATTCATGCAATAAAATATCCTTTGTTGCCTACCATGTGCTATATGCACATTAAGGCTCACTTATTTGTGAAGATGATATGCAGCAAATGTTAATATGATATCATAAATACTATAACAGACTGGAGAAAAGTATGGGAGGAAGAAAGTTGGTTCATTCCTGAAAAGTCACATAGAGGCAGATATTTAATAAATGATATTGGTAAAGATTAAAAAACAAAAGGATTCAGCTATAATGGAATCATCTCACCATCCCTGTATGTATATGTGCAATGCATGCATGTGTTTATGTGTGCATTTTTGCATTTTTTCTAATTTATTTGTCAACTTCATAATTTGGAAAGTCTTTTCTTGCATCTTGCTGCTCACTGACTTAACTCCCACATGAACGCTGATACTAGGTTACCAGTCACAAAAGGCAACACAGCAGCTAATGGAATCCTGTCTTTCAAAGATGTAACTAGTTTTGATGTGACTAATCTTGCTGTTCAGTCAAATAAAGCAGCTCTGTGCTGACTGTAATATTTAATTTATACAGTTTAGATGATTGCTTTTTTTTTCTTTTCAATACAGGGCTTCACTTTATCACCCAGGAGTGCAGTGGTATGATCACAGCTCACTGAATTGTCGACCTCCTGGCCTCAAACTATCCTTCCATCTTGGCATCCCAAGCAGCTGGGACTACATGCATGCACCAGCATGCCTGGCTAATTAAAAAAAAAATTTCAGTAGGGACAGAATCTTGCTATGCTACCCAGGCTGGTCTCAAACTCCTGGGCTCAAGCAGTCCTCCTGCCTTGGCCTCCCAAAGTGCTGGGATTACAGGTGTGAGCCACTGTGCCTGGCCTACTGCCTTTCAATGTAAAGAAAAACTAAAATAAAATGAAATAAAAATCAGCCATGGTATATAACCTGCACATGATCTGTGTTCCTATATTTTTATTGTCTGACATTCAGAATAAACCACAATCATCATTTCTCCAGATCCTCAGATCATAATCACCTGGAATATTTGATTCTCTGGAAGATGTGAGAATTTCTCAGCTTATCTGCTCCTAAACAAATTTACTTGCTAAGGAGATTTCATAAGAAGCAATTTAACTCTGGGCCTCTTAAGTTTATATAAAATGAAAGAAAGGCATTAGATCTCTGGGTTTGCTCCCTCCACTGACATCTGGTTTTGCCTTTTCAGCCATAGAGATTCTAAAGGCAGTGCCCCATAGAAATGATTTAACTGTTCCATTGTATTGTTAGTGTCTGTAACTGCCCAATACCACAGGTTTGAGATCATGTGTGGTGTAAGTGGGCAGAGGGTAAATAGATTGAGTACCTGAATCACCAGAAAATTTTTCCAAAGTGTACATCACTTTTTACGCTCCTCCTCACCCCAATCAGTTGTAGAACTAGCAGTCAAATGGCCTAAAATGGCCTGTGGGTGTGTTCTAAATAGAGCTTAGGGCTTAAACCATTCCCATGTCATTACACATCTTGTCGAAAATTGTGTTTATAGGGAGCACGAAGGAAGTCCAGGAATGGAAAAGATTAGCTGGGAATTTTTTAGTATAGATTTTTATCGTCAAACGGAGTTTTATTGACCATTTACATAAGAACCATTAACAGCCAATCAGGAAACTTCTGAACCAACTTGAGCCACCTTACTTAGCAGTTAACTCAAGTTCCCTTATGAATGCAAAATAAGTAAGTTTCACATAAATATGCTGGTAATACATTGCATAAGGGTATCTGCTTGCCTTGTTATAAGCCACTGCTGAAGCCAAGAAACCAAATAAACTTGAATAATGCTTGAGCATAATCATGCAGACATGTAAGATGGAAAACTATGATTCACAGATAAAGGAAAGGACTTACTGAGACTCATCAGCAGAGTCTTAGCCTAGGTTTCTCCAGAAGCAAATCCTGAGTCAACCTGGTGTGTAGGTTTAATTACTTTGGAAATGTGATCCCAGGGAGCAGGAATGAGGGCTAAGTGAAAGAAGGGAGGAAGAAACCTGATGAAAGGAAGGCTTCTCCAGTTGTCCATTGCTGTGGTTAGCTGATGCCTGTTGCTGCAGGATCTTTTCTTTTTTTAACTTTTATTTTAAGTTCAGGGGTACATGTGCAGGTTTGTTACTGTAGGTAAATGTGTGTCATGGGAGTTTGTTGTACAGATTATTTCATCATCCACGTATTAAGCCTAGTACCCATTAGCTGTTTTTCCTGATCCTCTCCCTCCTCCCGCCCCCCACACTCTGACAGGCCCCAGTGTGTGTTGTTCCCCACTATGTGTCCATGTGTTCTCATCATTTAGTTCCAGCTTATAAGTGAGAACATGCGGTATTTGGTTTTCTGTTCCTGCAGTAGTTTTCTAAGGATAATGGCCTCCCAGCTCCATCCATGTCCCTGCAAAGGACATGATCTCACTCCTTTTTTATGGCTGCCTAGTATTCTATGGTACATATGTACCACATTTTCTTTATCCATTCTATCATTGATGGGCCTTTAGGTTGATTCCATGTCTTTGCTATTATGAATAATGCTGCAGTGAACACACATGTGCATGTGTCTTTATAATAGAATGGTTTATACTCCTTTGGGTACATACCCAGTAATGGGATTTCTGGATCAAATGGTATTTCTGTCTTTAGGTCTTTGAGAATCACCACGCAGTCTTCTACAATGGCTGAACTCATTCACACTCCACCAACAATGTATAAGCGTTCCTTTTTCTCCACACCCTCACCAGCACCTGTTATTTTTTGACTTTTTAATAACAGCCATTCTGACTGCTGTGAAATGCTATCTTATTATGGTTTTGGTTTGCATTTCTCTAATAATCAGTGATGTTGTGCTTTTTTTCATATGATTGTTGGCCATATGTATGTCTTCTTTTGAAAAGTGTCAGCTCATGTCCTTTGCTCACTTTTAAATGGGGTTATTGGTTTTTTCTTATAAATTTGTTTAAGTTTCTTATAGATGCTAGTATTAGACTTTTGTCAGGTGCGTAGTTAGCAAAAAATTTTCTTCCATTCTGTGGTTTGTCTGTTACTCTGTTGATAGTTTCTTTTGCTGTGCAGAAGCTCTTCAGTTTACTTAGATCCCATTTGTCAATTTTTGCTTTAGTTGCAATTGCTTTTGGCATCTTCATCATAAGATATTTGCTTGTGCCTATGTCCTGAATAGTATTGCCTAGGTAGTATTGCCAGGGTTTTTATAGTTTTGAGTTTTACATTTAAGTCTTTAATCCATCTTGAGTAATTTTTGTATTTGTTGTAAGGAAGGTGTCCAGTTTCAATCTTCTGCATATGGCTAGCCAGTTCTCCCGGCACCATTTATTGAATTCCCCATTGCTTGTTTTTGTCAGGTTTGTCAAAGATCAGATAGTAGGTGTGTGGTCTTATTTCTGGGTTCTCTATTCTGTTCCTTTGGTTGATATGTCTGTTTTTGTACCAGTACCATGCTGTTTCGGTTACTGTACCCTGTAGTATAGTTTGAAGTTGGTAGCCTGATGCCTCGAGGTTTGTTCTTTTTGCTTAGGATTGCCATGGCTATTTGGGCTCTTTTTTGGTTTTACATTAATTTAAAAATAGTTTTTCTAGTTCCATGAAGAATTTCAATGGTAGTTTAATAGGAATAGCATTGAATCTATAAATAGCATTGGGCAGTATGGCCATTTTAACAATATTGATTCTTCCGATCCATGAGCATGCAATATTTTTCCATTTGTTTACATCATCTCTGATTTCTTTGAGCAGTGTTTTGTAGTTCACCTGGTAGAGATCTTTCACCTCCATTGTTATCTGTATCCATAGGTATTTTATTCTTTTTGTGGCAATTTTGAATGGGAGTTCATTCCTGATTTCGCTCTTGGTTTGACTGTTGCTGACATATAGGAATCCTAGTCATTTCTGCACATTGATTTTGTATGCTGAGACTTTGCTGAAGTTGTTATCAGCTTAAGAAGCTTTTGGGCTGAGACTCTGGGGTTTTCTAGATACAGGATCACATGGTCCACAAACAGGGATAGTTTGACTTCCTCTCTTTCTATTGGGATGCACTTTCTTTCTTTCTCTTGCCTGATTGCCCTGGCCAGGACTTCCAATGCTACGTTGAATAGGAGTGGTGAGAGAGGACATCCTTGTCTTGTGCCAGTTTTCAAGGGGAATGCTTCCAGCTTTGTTGCAGGATCTTTTGAGGAGGCTTAGCAGATGTGTTTGGGAGCTATCCATTGGATGATATAAGGGGAAGTGGTATTCACTGGCTCCCACCCCACAGTGATCAAGGGTATTAGATCCCCAGTACTTTTGGATTGTGCAAGTGTGAGTGATGTGGACTCCCACAAACATCCAAAGCTGACTGTCAGAAAGTTGAGGTGAAGTATGCCAGCTTGCACCTGCTAAAGCTGGTCAAAACTTCATAGAACTGGTTGTCACAGCTCTTATTAGATAAGAGGGTTGAAAGGATTTAAAGTCTGCCCAAGAATTTTCTGGTATATTGAAAAACATAACAGCTTTTGAAACTAAAACAAACAGAGGTTTTTCACAGTGAGGATATTCAGTACCCAAACCAATATTGGATATCCAAAGGAGGATCTTTAATAAATAGAAAGCTTGGGAAATGGATTTGAAGTAAAAAGAACAGGTCCTAAATCTTTCTGGCAATGTGAACCTGGACAAGTTACTTTCAATTTTGCTGAGCTTCAGTGTCCTGATCTTCAGAAACAGGGATAAATAATATCCTCCTCATGGAATTCTTGAGTGCTAAATGAGATATTGCAAGTCATAGCATGGTTAGCATTTTGAAAAACGAGGACTTATCATGATAATTATTAGCAATCGATCAGAGACAGCACACAGGGCACTGTGGAGGGGCCCCTCCATTGTTAGGGGCTGTAGATTTCAGTTGGCCAGGACTAGAGGAGAGAAAGAGAACAAAGGTGGTAACAGCTGGTGGGAGCTAGTGGAAGAGATTTTTCTGGACCCTGGGGGACTACAGATTGTGCAGAACAATCAAAGCCAAGTTGGGGGTTGGCAGTCAGAGATCACACTGAGGCCAGAGGTCAAGTGTGGTTACCCCTGGTCAAAAGCTAGGAAATAGAAACCTCAAGCTGGAGGTCAAATCCCTGCCAAGGGTCAAAGGCAGGCAAATGGTCATGCCAGTAGATGCACAGCTCCATTAGAGGCCTTCCTTGTCAGGAAGCTTATTGTGGATTCCCTGCTACCCTGAAACAATAGCTGATTTCCTAGGGGTGGTTAGCCAGGTTTCTGAGAAATCAAAGATGCATAGCCTTGCAAATGATCATGCAGCAGTTAACAGAAAAGTTCTAACTGAAATGTCTTTATCATGTACTTATACCAAGAAGATATGTGCTATTCTCAAGGATGCGTACTACTTTGAGGAGTTCTTGTTTACAATGTTCAACTTCAAGGGGTGACTAATTTTTCTGATTTTGTTTGACTTGCCTGCATCTTTCTTCCCTGGTCCTATAAGTTGGTATTATGGCATTGGTATTATGATCAGAAATCTCTTGAAATAAGCTCCCTTAGCCTCATATGTCTAAATGCCTTATGTCTTTTTTTTTTTTTTTCAGGGTCTTACTTCATTGCCCAGGCTGGAGTGCAGTGGTGTGATCATGTCTCACTGCAGCCTCAACCTCCTTGGCTCAGGTGATCCTCCCATCTCAGCCACTGAAGTAGCTGGGACTACAGGTGCACACCACCATGCCTGGCTAATTTTTTGCATTTTTTTGGTAAAGATAGGGTTTCACTATGTTGCCCAGGCTGGTCTTGAATTCCTGAGCTCAAGCAATCCACCTGCCTCAACCTCTTAAAGTGTTGGGATTACAGGCATGAGTCACCATGCCCAGCCTGTGTTATGTCTTAAAATGTTTTACATTGTTCTACCCTTTACCAATTCCAAACATCCATCCACTCATTCAACCATTCAGAGATGAAATTACTTATTCATTTAACCAGAAAATATTGAGTATGTATCTTCTACATTACTGCCTCAAGGGATTGTCAGGGTAAACTGAGATAAAACACATAGGATATCTGGCAAATAGTACACACTCACTACAGGCTTAGTGCTGGCTTATGTACTTGTCTTTTATCATATGCTATATATCTTATAAAATGTTCCATACTTTTATTTCTCTATTAGACTAAGAGTTTACATGTGACATATAAGGAGATAGGTGTGTTGTGATATCTCATTGAGGTCTTGATTTCATTTAAAGGCTAATGGTGTTGAAGATCTTGTCATGTGCTTAATTTCTATCTGTGTATCTTCTTAGTAAGGTGTCTCTTCATATCTTTTGTCAATTTCCTAATTAGATGTTTGTCTTTTACTGTTAACTTTTGAAAGTTGTTTATCTATTCCACATACTAATCTTTTGTTGGCTATGTGCTTTGCAACTATTTTCTTCAAGTTTGTAGTTAGTTTTTCCATCCTCTTAGCAGAGTTGTTCACAGAAAAAAAGGCTTAATTTTGAGTAGGTCTAGTTAAATCTAATTTACCTATTTTTTTCTATTATGGACTTTGCTTTTGGTGTCAAGTCTAAGACTTGACTTTTTTGTGTGTTTTACATTTAAGTCCATTACCTATTTTGAGTTAATTCTTGCATAAGGTGCGAGAGCTAGGTCAAGATATTTCTGCTCATGAAAGCCCAATTGCTCCAGCACCATTTGTTGAAAATGCTATTTTTCCATCACTAAATTGCTTTTTCACCTTTGTCAAAAATCAATCGGGCATATTTTTGTGGGTCTATTTTTTGATTCTCTGGTCTGTTCCATTGATCTATGTGTTTGCCCTTTGCCAATACCGTACAGTCTTAATTACTGTAGCTTTATAGTAAGTCTTAAAATGAGGGAGTTGATTTCTCCCACTTTATTCTTCTTTTTCAAAATTGGTTTAGCTATTTTAATTCCTATGTTTGTTCATCTAAATTTTAGAAATAGTCTTGTCTCAATCTACAAAACTCTTGCTGGGATTTTGATAGGAATTGCGTTAAACCTGTATATCAATTTGAAGAGAACTGACATCTTCACTATGTCAATATTTCAATGCATAAATATGGTATGTCTCTCTCTAATTAGTTCTTCTTTGATTTCTTTCATCAGCATTTTGTATTTTTCAACACATAATTCCTGTATACATAAGTACATATTTTTTGGTTGATTGTAAATGGTATTGTATTTTTAATTTTGGTATTCATGTGTTCACTGTTACCATATAGAAAGACAACTGATGTTTCTCATGTGTGCTTTTTTGTATTCTGCAAACTTGCTAAACTCACTTATTGATTCTAGTGGGATCTTTTATTGTTTTGTTTGTTTGTTTATTTGCTTAGATTCCATGGCATTTTCTACACAGGAAATCATGTCATCTGGGAATAGGGGAAGTGTTATTTCTTCCTTTCTGAGCTGTATGTCCCTCATTACCTGCTTAAAATGTAACTGTTTTAAATATTTCCTCAGTATACATTTAGAACCACATAAGATGCTGTTATAATTTTTGCTTCAGCCATCAAACATGATTTAGAAGACCCAAGAAAAGAAGCAATCCATTGTCTTTAACCATATTTTTGCTCATTGCACACATTTTATAAATAAACATTTCTCATATTTTCTCTTTCTTCCTAACATTCGAAGGTCCATATTTTATTATTTCCTTTCTGTTTAAAGAACTTCCTTTTGCCATTCTTCTAGAGAAGGCCTGCTGGTAAAAAAAAAAAAAAAAATTCTCTTAGTTTTCCTTTATCTGAGAATATCTTGATTTCCCTTTCATTTCTAAAGAAATTTTCACTAGATACAGAATTCTGCATTGACAGCTCTTTTCTTTCAGCACTTGAAAAATGTTGTACCACTTCCTTCTGTCATGCTTTCTGATAAGAACTCCACTGTCATTTGAGCTGTTTTTCTTCCTTAGGTAAATTGTTGTTTCTCCGTCACTGCTTTCAAGACTTCTTCCTAGTCTTTAATATTTGGAAGTTTGATTATGATGTGCTTTAGATATAGATTTCTTTGGGTTTATCCTATTTGGGGTTAACCCAGTTTCTTGATTCTATAGGTTATATCTTTTGTCAAATTTTGGAAGTTTTCAGCTATTATGTCTGGTACTTTAGCAACCCCAAACTCTCTCTCCTCTTCTTCTAGCACCCCAATGACACAAATGTTAGATCTTCTGGTATAGTGCCACATGTGCCTGAGGCTGTTTATTTTGTTCCCAGTCTATTATATCTTTGTTCTTTGTAAGTTTATTTGTTTCATTTTTAAAAGGAGAGATGTATATACAAAAGTCAGAAGATAAAATATTTCAGATTCTTTCTGATGAATGAGATTAGTAAGCATTTCCTTTTAGAACACAACATCTATGAATTTCAGCCCAGGACTTCAGCCTGAACACAGACCAATCAGTTGAAAGCAGTTGGTACAGTCAGGATCCAGGTGCCCCAGAGAAAAACAACAATACATTCTTTATCTTATTTAAACCACACCACAGAGAAGGTACTACTAGCATTACCACTTTACAAATGAAGAAGATGAGGTTTAAAGAGAGGCAGAGTAACTTGCTAGAATAACAGCCAATTAATGGCGGAGCTAGGATAGAAACCGTGGGGCACCTTTGAAATTATGCCTCATAGACTTCCAACTACAGGATGCATTATTGATTAAGGGACCCAGCTACTGCTCACTGAAACCCATTGCTGGGAATACTATGATAAGTTTGTTCATTGATAATACGGGGTCCTCTGACAGCTAACTTTGTTTTAAGAACTCCTCAAGATCCTTGCCAAATCTCTCCTGGACTTTACTATAGTCTAGGACACTTCAACCCAACCTTCCCTCCCTCCCTCCTTCACCTGGGGTCAGACATGTATCACTGATGATAACTCCCCCAGGCTTTTCCAGCTTCCTCTCCCATTTTCTCCAACACTGGCATTTTCTCTGAAAAAAAAAAAAAAAATCCCTGTATATTTTATCCCATTTTATCATCTGTTTCATGGAGGACCCAATGAATACAATCAGGTAATTCGATGTAAGAGCCCAAGCTATTGAACACCACTATGAACGTGGGAAAAAGAGAAAAAGTGTTTCTGTGGGATTATTTGACATTTCACCGAGAGGAACAAAGAAAATATGTGGGAAGATGCTATAATTTCTTAAATGAAATGCAAGTGCAAGTTGTCATTAGTTAAAGTTCATACAACATGGTTTGCCCTGGGTTCTGCCTGTGTTCTGCCACTGGCCAAGGTGTGGATCATTTCTAATTTATCATTTAGTCTAATGATGGCCTTCTTGTGAGAAGTGCAGGCTTATCATTTTAATGTTTATAATACTTAACATAGCACGTGATTTATCAGGCATGTTGGTAACATTACAACTCCAAGTTGTTTTTTATCCAAATAAACTGAAATTTGGCAACAAGTTTGTAGAAATTGATGTAATTTGCACCCCAGCAATTATCCCCTTCATCACCATTCCAATTTTCTAAATTATCTTTAAACAAGGGTGTGGTGAGTTCCTGGAGAACTGATAATAAACTACACAACCCGTCCTACTTGTCCTACATCAGCAGTTATTGAAAGCTCACCTGTTATCATCTTGGCCTACTCAACTGGAAAGCAAGACTGAGTGTGAGAAGCTCTTGCTCGCTTAGGCTACACCACCTCATTTGAATGAATCGCTTAGCTATGCTCAATAACTAATGCAAAAATGATTCTGTTATTGTTGTTAAATGGACTCCTGACACTGAATAGTGTCAGAATAAACTGAAGCTTACCAAAATGCCAAGAATATTAAGCAGGATATTTCAGAGTATATTGAAATAAGAAGAAAAACATGGAAAGATAAGCTGATTACTTGGAGTAAGTAACACATGGTTCATCTGTGACAAAAACAAGGAAAAGTCATTCATTCCTCTATGATTTCCTTTTTACCATCAAAGACAATAAATTGGAAAATATAAAAAATAGAAGGTCAGTTTAAAAAGGGAATGAAAGCTAGAGATAGATGTGCAGATAAGAAAGTACATGACCATTTTATGAGCTCAAGTCTGGATGAATTACATTCCAAGATACTAATAATCATGGCAAACATTGACTATCAGATGCAAGGGCTTTAAGTGCCATATATATATTATATTATATATATTCTCTATGCCATACATATATATGTATACATTATCTAGAATATACATATTCTCTACGCCAATTAGGGGAAAAAAACGTAGAAGGTAGATGCTATTATCCCCATTTTTCAGATGAAAAAACTGAGGCCCAGGGAATTAAATAGCTTGCCCATGGCAGGGCTGGGATTTGAGCCCAGACAGCCTGACTCTGGAGCCTTCTAGCCAGTGGATGGCTACAAGTCAGCAGCATTGTTATTGCCCAGATACATGTTGGAAATGTGGAATCTCAGCCTATGGAATCAGAATCTGCATTTTAATAAGATCTCCAGGTGATTCTTATGTACACTGTGGTTTGAGAAGCACCGTCCTTGAGCCCATACACTGACCTGCAGTCATATGCTTTGCCACCTCCATCACACTAGAGAACTGTGAATGTGAGTACAGGTCCCTGCATATAACTTTTTGGGAATCATTAAGTATGAGAGGGGTAGAAGGAAATTGGTGATAGATAAAAACCAGGATTTTCAACAGGTTGTCCTCATGTTTAAAGGAGGAGGAATCAAGAGGCTAAAAACCAGTGTAACTGATACAAATTCATGGCAAGTCCCAGGTTAGAAAATTCTAAAATGATCACAAAGAACCAAATTGGGTTCACTAAGAAAGCATTCTATCCTTTGGGAGGCCAAGGCAGGCAGATCACGAGGTCAGGAGTTTGCGACCAGTCTGGCCAATATAGTGAAACCCCCCGTCTCTACTAAAAATAAAAAAAATTAGCCAGATGTGGTAGTGCGCGCCTATAATTCCAGCTACTTGGGAGGCTGAGGCAGGAGAATGACGTGAACCCTGGAGGCAGAGGTTGCAGTGAGCTGAGATCATGCCACAAAAAAAAAAAAAAAAAAAAAAAGCACTCTATCAAATTAACCTGATTTCTTTTTTGGACTGTCACATATATATCAGGAAATGATCACAGTTATGTCACACATGGATGTTAGCATCAATAATCAAATTTGGTAAAGTCTTTCATGATGTACTTGTGGATAACATAGACCCATGGGGAGGACTGGTAGCTAATGGAATAATTATATCTAAAGGAGGCTGATTAATGAATTATTGCACATAAGCAAAATGGTTCTATATCCTTTCATTTATCCAAAAATGTCTATCGAGCACTTCTTATAATCCAAGTACTCTTCTTGGTGCTGGAGATACAGTGATGAACAAGATAATATTCTGCTCTCATGAAATTTCACAACTAAACAAATAAACATAATTACAGATGTTAAATAAAAATAAGCATGCACATTATCTAGAGTGGGAAGGGAAGCCTGTCTGAGGTGTTGACATTGACCAGAGACCTGACTATTAAGACAGAAGCAACCATGAAGGGATCTGATGTAAGAGCATTCTAGACCAAGGAACTAGCAGGTATATGAAGACCTGAGGCTGGAGATATAAGGTTGACATGTTGGCAGAACAGTAAAGAGGCAGATGAAGTCCAAGAGGCCAGGTCAGTGCAGTGTTGAAGGCTATAGTGAATGCAAAGGCATTCAACAGAGAATTTTAATTTGGAGCATGATGTGACCTGATTTTTTAAATTAATCCTGTGCCTATGTAGTCACTGATTTGTTATTTTAAAAGATCATAGACTGCTATGTGGGTAAATTGATGATAATGGGGTGTGGAAGAAAGCTGGATCTAAGTTTGATTCAGTTCTAATCATTTTAATCAGAAATTCAGATGAGAATTCTGCAGGGATATTGGATTTAATGATTAAATTAGTACATACAGCTTAGTTAAGGTCTTATATGAAAGATTTAAGATTTATAATATAAGAGAAGTCTGGAAGTAATGTCCCAAATTAGTGGAAGAAATGTAAAAGGATAAACATAAAGTTTTGAGCTTAGGCTAAAAAAAAGCCTCATAAGTCTAGTATGAGTAGACAGAAACCTGGTTTATCTGGATTTACAGGAAAAAGACAGGTGTTGGTTAACTATTGACCAGTTTGAGACAACATTTAATTGTTTTCAAAATTCTAATGGAGTTTTGGGCTGCATAATAAGATGAAAACAACAACTCTTACACTTGAGTACGTATCAGAATCACTTGGAGAATGAAGCACACACATCCACACACATGAATGCACATAGACATCACTCTACAATTTTTTCTGGCATTATCCCAGATATATCTCTAAGAGTGGGGCCCAGGAGTCTCCATTTTTAAAAAGTTTAGGTCCACAAACCACACTTGGGAATCACTGTTATTGAGTTTCTAATACAAGTATTTGTACTATATTCTCAGCTCATTAATCCACACTGGGCTTTGGGTTCAGTTTAGGGACCATGGGTATAGAATGACTAAAAGGTAGCAGGATTTCTTAGAGAAAATAGTGGCAAGTCCCTTTAAGGTATGGTGTATATAGTTATTTTTTAATTCCTTCTTTGTTTCTCCCTTATTCTCTTCCTGGAAAATTCTTCTATTTTTACAGTGATGGAGAACAAATAAGTAAGTAGCTTATGTTTCACTATTTATATAGCTACTTTCTTATGTTTTACCATATAGAATATATAGCTAATTTTATATATTCATAAACTTTTGACAGTTAGTTGTTACATTTTCTAGAATTAAACACCCCCTTTCTTGCCCCAGGAACATAATGGAAAGAAACGTTACCTAGCGTAAGTCCGTGTGCATGCTGTAAGAGGGACATGTTGAGGAATCAGAATAGTTTTAATGAAAAATAAAAAAAGATAGCGTGGAGTAGGCAAACCACATTATATGAATACTGGGAAACATTGGGGTGGTTATATTGAAAAGGTAACTTTTAAAAAATGGTGAGCTAGGTGTAAGAACTAATCATGTGAGCCTCAGAAAACAGGATTAAAATCATTTCAGATGAGGAAGAGCTTTCTAATAACTATTAATATCTAAACATAGAGTGAATTACCTCTGAAAGAAGGGAGTTCTTCATCCCTGAAGAGATCAACAGAAGATATTGAGGGGACATCTACATTGAATGAGGATATTGACCAGGTGTTTGCTAAGATTCCTCCCAGCACTAATAGTTTGTGATTTTATTTTACCACTTCCATTGAGTTGATCCAAATGATCTGCCATCATACCCTGTTTCCAAAGGAATGCAATCATGGACTTAATCTTATTAAGGCAAGCTGTAGCTATAGTACAGCATTGTAGATCAATAGAAGGATTATCTTTAAACCATAGCCATCTTCCCATAGCATTCAATATAAATCCTTACATGTTTTTAAAGGGCTCTGACCTACATAAGGGATGAGCTTAGTGTAGGGACGGTTGACACCCAACCAAATGGAAAGAAGTAGACTTAGGCTACCACTGCTAAGGCAAAAATACATAAAATAAAAATCATTCTAACTGGCTTTAAATATACTTGTAATTCACTCAGACAGAGCTAACATTTTCTTTTCAATCACTGTTTTGGTTACATAGAAATGAAATTTCAAATCACTCTTCTACAGAAAATCAAGGTATTTAAGCTTTCTGGCATAATGTGGAACTCATTAGAATTTTATACTTAGATTGGAATTGACAAGTTTTAAATTTTTAGATTTTATTTATTTATTCATTTTGAGACAGAGTCTCATTCTGTCACCTAGGCCGGAGTATAGTGGCGCGATCTTGGCTCACTGTAACCTCTGCCTCCTGGGCTCAAGCGATTCTCGTGCCTCAGTCTCCCGAGTAGCTGGGACTACAGAAACACACCATCACTCCCAGCTAATTTTTGTATGATTTTTGTAGAGATGGGGTTTCACTGTGTTGGCCAGGCTGGTCTCAAATTCCTGACCTCAAGTGATCCACCCACCTCAGCCTCCCAAAGTGCTGGGATTACAGGCATAAGCCACTGTGCCCGGCCAGGTTTTAGATTTTTTTAAAAACATCTATGCTTATGAAACTTAAAAATGTATATCCTATTTGTTTGGATGATCTAATAAACTAAAATACTTGCTTCTAAAATAATACTATGATTTGATTATATATTGTATGCCCCTCTACATCTCTGTGATCGTAGATTTATCACCATTTCATAATTAAACAAACTGATGCATAAAAAGATCCCAGATTTCAATGGGAGTCTTACAGCAAATAAGAAAGAAAAAAGGAATTGGTCTGCTTTATGTGGGACCCTGTCTCATTGTCTGGATTATGATTTTTCCCTCAATTCTCAGTCCTCAACTCGGGGATTTGGACAGATTCCCAAGAATGACTGCCATAGGGAGCCACTGTTACAGATAGGAAAGTGTCATATCCCTTGGCATGTTGGGGTGTATAAAAGTGGAGAAATGATGCATCTTAAGCAACCATCCTTGTGCTCTTACTCAAGATACTAAGATAAAGCAGCACTGATTGGTTTTCTTTTAAAGACATTGTGGCAGACACTTGCAATGCACACCTCAAAACCATCTGCCCATCCTCAGTGTTAGCAGAACCTTGTTCAGGAGGCAACATAGCCAGTTTAAAACGCTGGTCTTTTTTGCTAGCTACTGGCTTCCCTGACTTTTCTTTAGAGGTGGCCATGTGACACAGTTAAACTCCTCGGAAATGTTGTCTTTCATAACAAGAAGATAGATGCTTTGTATACTGTCATGTGAGAGGTGATGTTTAGGATTCCTCAGCCATCCTGCAACCATGAGAGTTAGGCCAAAAAGTCTCAGCAATGCCAACCCAAAGTCACTGGAAATAACTAAGGAACTACCAGCCCTGGACTTATTTTTAAGTGAGATAATGAATGGTTTGCATGTTTTAGCCCAAAATAAGTTATGCATTCTGGGCCAGGCACAGTGGCGCGTGCCTGTAATGCCTGCACTTTGAGAGACCGAAGCAGGAGGATTGCTTGAGCCCAGGAATTCAAGACCAGTCTGGGCAATACAGTGAGACCTCACCTCTACAAAAAAAATTTAAAATAAATAGCTGAGCATGGTGGCATGCACCTGTAATACCAGCTACTCGGGAGGCTGAGATGGGAGGATCACTTGAGCCTGGGAGGCGGAGGCTGCAGTGAGCTGAGATCATGCCACTGTACTCCCGCCTGGGTGACAGAGTAAGACTCTGTTTAAAAAGAAATTATGCATTCTGTAATTTTCAGCCAAACACATTATAATTTATAAGCCAATTAGCATTAGTCATTCAAAATCTTTTGCTTGAAATGCTACTTGGATTAATTGTCAGAATAGCACAGCAGTTAAAAATCTGGAATCCAGGTTATACAGTGAGGGTTTAAAGTCAGTGCTACCTCTTAACCTTGCAATCATTAGCAATGTGATTAAACTCTCTGTGCCTTTGATTCCTTACCTGCAAAATGAGAATAATAATAGTCCCTACCCACACAGTTGTCACAAGGATTAAATTAGTTAACACATGTGAGGCATTTTGAAAAGTGACTGGGATATAGTAAGTGCTCAGTAAATGTTAACTATTGTTATTATACTAATGATGCTGTCATTGCTGAAAACTCCTGTGGAATTTTTCATTTGAAATTGCTATTGGAAACTGCCTGAGGATCACACAAGGAGATCATCAGACTCTTTGTTGGTAGCTGTATCTATTTTTTAAAATTACTAGACATTATTTTTTAGAGCAGCTTTAGGTTTACAGAAAAATTGAGCAGAATGTACAAAGAGTTTCCATATAGCCCTTCTTCTCCAGCCCCAGTTGCCCCTATTATTAACATCCTGCTTTGGTGTAGTATATTTGTTACAATTGATGAACCAATATTAATCCATTATTATTAACTAAAGTTCATAGTTCTGTTGTTGGTGGTGGTGTTTTCCTTTTGAGATGGAGTCTCACTCTGTCACCCAGGCTGGAGTGCAGTGGCTCAATATCAGCTCACTGCAACCTCTGCCACCTGGGTTCAAGCAATTCTCCTGCCTCAGCCTCCCAAGTAGCTGAGATTACAGGAATGCACCACCACGCCTGGCTAATTTTGTATTTTTAGTAGGGATGGGGTTTCAGCATGTTGGCCAGGCTGGTTTTGAACTCCTGACCTCAAGTAATCCACCTGACTTGGCCTCCCAAGCCATTGGGATTACAGGCATGAGCCACTGCGCCTGGCCTAAAGTTTATAGTTTACATTTGGGTTCACTCTTTGTGTTGTACAGTTTCATGGGTTTGGACAAATGCAGAATGTCATGCATTCAACATTACAGTCGCATACGAGACAGTTTCACCACCCTAAAAATCTCCTGTCTGCCACCTACTCATCCCTTTCCTGCTTGTTATTCCAGCCCTGGCTACCACTGATCTTTTTATTGTCTCTACAGTTTTGTCTTTTCTGGAATGTCATATAGTTAGAATCACACAGTATGTAGCCTTTTTAAACAGCCTTTTTCACTTACCAATATGCATTTAAGCTTCCTCTATGCTTTCTCGTGGCTTAAGAGCTCATTTCTTTTAGTCACTGAATAGTATTTCATTCTATAGATGTACAATTTTGCTTATCCAGCCGTATCTATTTTTGATCTAAAGTGGTATTAACAAGTTTGATTGCTCATCTTTACCAAAAACCTAATTTTGGTTTCCTTTTAAGGGTTGCCAAAAAATTAAATCCATCCTCTTAAGGCCACATATTAATCATTGGCTATTCAAAAGCTTATGCTATAAGCACTGAAGATAACAATACTTATTTAGAAATAATTTTTTCCCATTTGGATATTAGATACATTTTTATTTTCACTTTTCACATGTGTTTGGTGTGTAGTCTATAGATCATTTGGTAGATATATTTGAGCATGTCTTATATGCCAATAGTTGTGTATACATTGGGAGATTAAGGGAAAAAATCCTTCCTATTGAGGGTTTTAGAGTACAGTGTGGGAGACAGACATGTACAGGAACATCAGGACAGATAGTGGGGGCAGGAAGCACAGAGATCTTTGTGGATACATGAGAGGGTCTCTTGACAGAGACTGATGGGGCAAGGGGAGTGGGGAGTGGTAGGAATTAGCCAAAAGAAAGCAAAACCTTTCCTAGCAGCAGGTGCAAAGCAATGTGAGAACGATGTAGTAGAGAGGAACTTCAAGTTCAATATAGCTGAAGTACATGGACAAATGCAGATGAAGAAAGGAGCATGTCTTATATCAAACAGCAATAGTTGAATAGTTGAATTGTACTGAATACTTACTATGGGCCAGGTACTCTTCTGAGCTCTTGCCATATCTTTGCTTTCATCTTCACAATACCCTGTGAAGTAAATACTATTATTTTATTATTTCCATTTTACAGATGAGGAAACTGAAAGCTGGGGAGTTGATTTATTGAGTCTGAGCTGGAATCTCAACTCAGTCTGGTGCTAGGACACATCCTCTTATCTTCTATGCTGTAATGACTCTCAGGGATATTGTGTCATAAGGATTTTGATCCCAAAGGTAACCAGGGGAGACAGGAAGAATTTTACAACAGAAACACAACATAATCTGTGTATTTAGATCATGCTTTCAAGAAAATTTGCATCTTTAAAATTCCTTGCTTTGCCTAGTATATCCTTTTTTTTTTTTTCTCCAGATAGAGTCTTAGTCTGTTGCCCAGGCTGGAATACAGTGGTATGATCTTGGCTCACTGCAACCTCCACCTCCTGGTTCAAGCAATTCTCCTGCCTCAGCCTTCTGAGTGGCTGGGATTACATGCATGTGCCACCATGCCTGACTAATTTTTGATTTTTTTTTTTTTTTTTTTTTTTTTTAGAAGAGACAGGGTTTCACCGTGTTGGCTGGGCTGGTCTCAAACTCCTGAACTTAAGTGATCCACCCACCTCGACCTCCCAAAGTATTGGGATTACAGGTGTGAGTCACCACGTCCAGCCTTGACATACAGACAGAGATTGATATCTTAACCCCAATGATATCTTCAATAGTGTGATGTATCCAGCAGGTGGACAAAAAGATTTAATTGAGATAATGAAGTGCCAGGCATTTATTTCTAATTAGGCAAAGTGGCAGAGACTCTCTGCCTGAATCCTACATATTCTCTAGAGACTTCCTTGTGTTCCAGCAATGCCTCTGTTAGGTCTCTAACCTAACCTAAGATGCTATTTTGCTAGCTTGCTCTGGCTTGTTTAATGTTGTTGTGATTGTCTGAGAACCCCCAAAACTGCAGCCAAGAAAGTAAGGCCACAATGTCAGTCACTGGAAACATGCACCTCAGAAGACACCTGGTCTACAAGTCACTTTTCCAAGAGGTCAGTGGTTTTGGAGAAGTAAGTATTGTGGGTTATAGAGAAGATGTGGGTCTACAAGAATAAAGATATTCGGCCAGGCATGGTGGCTTACGTCTGTAATCTCAGCACTACGGGAGGCCGAGGTGGGAGGATCACCTGAAGTCCGGAGTTCAAGACCACCCTGGCCAACATGGTGAAGCCCCGTCTCTACTAAAATTACAAAAATTAGTTTGGTGTGGTGGCACTCGCCTGTAATCCCAGCTACTCGGGAGGCTGAGGCACAAGAATTGTTTGAACCTGGGAGGTGGAGGTTGCAGTGAGCAGCCTGGGTGAAAGAGTGAGACTTTGTCAAAAGAAATGAAGATATTCAAAAACCCTTGGAAGCTGTTAGATACTTTAAAAAATGTTTAGATACATTATGGCATCTTAGTGAATCAAAGAAATTTGCTGGTAGAATCAATATTCCATAGATGAGGGTCCAAAAATATAAAGACATAGGAATTCAGTGAAAAATAAAATCAAGCATCATTTTAGTTTCTAGTCTAGGCACTTTAAGGGCAAAGATGAAAAAAATGTTTTAAAATCCAGTGAGAAAAATAAACAAAGGGGATAATAACAGAGATATCTACATAATGTTATGGAGAATAATAGAGAGGAATGGTACTTGTTCTGTTCTGGGAGTTCACAAGAGGTTTTCTGGAAGAGATAATGCTTTAGCTGAGTATTAAAAGATGAGTCAGACATAATTAGCTTGTGAAGAAGGGTAGGATGGGCACTCCAGATTGAAGGAATAACTCCTGCAGAGGCACAGGGCTGGAAGCACACGTGGGAAATTAAAAGAGTATTACAAGCATTATAAAGGGAAAGAGGGAGTTATTGGGAGGTAACATTGGAGACGGCAGTCAAAGAGGGGCTGGATAATTAGTTTAGTGTTTAGTTCTCTAAATGATGGGGAGTTTTTAAAGACTTTCAGCATTTTAGATAGATTATTCAAGCTGTCATGTACAGTCTTAACTAGTTAAGGCAGAAGGCAGAAGGACTAGTTATGGGCAAACCAGGATGACTCTAAGAGCTTGGATTATGGTAGTAGCAGTGGGTAGAAATGAAAGGAAAGAGATACATTTAAAGAAAAACTAATTAGAATGTAAAATCAGCACAACATGGTGATAGATTGGATATATGTGAGGGTGGGTGGAGACGGAAAAGTAAAAGGTAACCAGTTCCAGTGACTGGTGAGGGTAGCACCACTAACAAAGCTAGAAAATTGAAGAGAAGAGCAAGTTGTAGGCTAAGATGTTGACTTCAGTTTGGGGCATGTTGTCTGAGGTGTCCACTGTACACTCAGGTTGAGAAGTCTAGGCTGAGGCTCAGAAGAGAGCTTGGGGCTACAGATATAGATTTGGAGTTCATCAGACTGCAGCGGGTGGTTGAAATTCTGAAGCTGGGGAAGGTTACCCAGGGACAACAGGAAGAAGCATGGCAAGATTAGCTGGCCCAAATTTTCCAAATGGATGTCTGGTGCCAAGTTAGGGCAAAGTCCAGGTGGCTTCAAACTAGTTGGGTCTAGTTATGAGAGACTGCCATAACATGCTCTGCTCAGGGATTCGGGAAATTGGTTTAGAGACAGAGCAAGTTGCTCCAGCAATAAGGAAAATAAATCAAAGGACCCAAGCCAAAAGCCTATAGCTAGTTATTTAAGGAAATCCCCACATTCTATCTCTCAGGAATATAGGTGGTTTACACCCTACAGGATGTTTACCTTTAATTTGTTCTTGCTTCATTAAAGTTACAGTGAGACAGGTGTGAATGTACAAGACCATGCCCTTTCTCAATGGTGAATGATTTTTCAAGGACAGAGTCCGACAATTTGCCGATAGTAAGTTCAGAAGCCTCTCCTGACCTGGTTAGGAAAAATTTGCAAGGGGCAAAGTAGTTGCTTCTGTTGCTTGTTTCAAGCCCTTAAACATGTGCAGATTATCCCAAAGACTACTGGGCAGATGCTGTCTTGCCCTTAGGAGTCGCCTAACCCTAGAGAAGCGTCATTTGGGAGACATCAAATTCCCTGAGCTTGTCCACATACAATAGCTTGTGAGAGCTCCTGAGGAAATAGAGATGATTAAAGAAATTATCATCGGATGGCATGCAGGTCTGTCTTTCCCACCTCCTATGACTTTTGCTACAAAGCAGATGGTGCTGTGGCACTTGTTAGAAGCCTGGGCCTAATTCAAGAGCATTATCTTTGCTTTCACTAAAGCTACTGAATTTGAGGGGACCTGGGGAGAATTAATATACCTCAATATTCCTCTAACATCTTTTCCCTGTGTGATACATCCATTTTCACCTGCTGCTTTCATATTGTATTCCTTTCATCCCTCTGTCTCATATTGAAAGCTTGCTGTGCTGGAATGCCACCTCTATCATTCTTAACAGGCTGCACACACCGTCAGAGTTTGGCAAATGACAATGCCCTTCTAGTGGAAATCTTTTCCCAGGGCCTCTGTCCCAAATGCTCCAGGCCCGCAGGGGTTAACTAGAGTCCCGCCCATGAGCCCATCTCTGGGAAGCTGACCTGCTTCTACTTGCCTGGCTGGGAACTTCTGCAGCCTATTTCATCACCTTCTTGAGTTGGGCAGGGGGGCCGTGGGACAAGGGTAAAAGCCATTGCTATCGAGAAAAAGCAAGAGTAGCAATTAGTGAAATTTAACAGTGCCCTTTAATAAATAATTCACCTCACTTTCCAACCATATCTACACTGTGCCTCTCCTCCAAACCCACTTACAGATCCTCTCCTGCCCTTGGAGTCATTATTGCCCTCAATTCAAGTGTCTGAAAGCATGACTGATGAAAGGTAAGACTCCATTCCTGGCTAGCCGCCACTGGCCACACCCCACGAAGAATCCCAACAGCTCAGTTTGAAGACTTGTCATTAGGTAAGAACCCAATTTAGCATCTCTATGTGTGGTTTGCAAGTTCTTTATACCTTGTTAGTCTAGATTTACGGATAGATGATAGATTGATAGACAGATAGATAAATAGTGTGATTTTTTATTGTACATGTCAATTTGGCTGTACCATGGTGCCCAGAATAATGAAACATCATTCTGAATGTTTTTAGGAAGGTGCTTTTTGGATGAGATTAAAATCAATAATGGTAGAGTTTGAGAACGGCTTATTAAACTTTATAATGTGGGTGTGCCTCACTTAATCAGTTGAAGGGTTGAATAGAACAAAGACTCATCTCCGTCAAGTAAGAAGGAATTCTGTCAGCACACAGCCTTTTGATTCCAACTGCAACTCTTCCCTGAGTCTCCAGCCTGCTGGCCTCCCCCATCAGATTGTGGACTTGCCAAGCCTCCACAATCATGTGAGCCAATTCTTAAAATAAATCTCTCTCTCTCCATATAGATAGATAAAAACTATCATCTATCCATCTGTGTATCTACATATGTGTGTGTGTATCTGTCTATCTATCAATCTATCTACATATCCATCCATCCATCCATCCATCCATCCATCCATCCATCCATCCATCTACCTGCATTAGGATTCTCCAGAGAAACAGAACCAACAAGATGTGTCTATATTTATGGATATACACACATTTAAAGGTTAAATATGTCACTGTTTTCTGGCCAGTTCTTATGAGAACACACTCAAGTACCTGGACTGTTCCAGCCCAGCTCTGTAAGGCAGTCCCCTCATTGAGGAATATGAGCCCCCTCTCTCTTCAGAGGAAATCGCCTCCCTGCCTTTCTGAAACACAACAGCCTCACTTTAACCATTTGCCTTTTTTGGCCTCCCCATATCTGTGTGAATAGTTATTATTCATCTGCTGGACCTTTCACAGAATGCTGGTTGTAAATAGCACTCATCATCCCCCCTATCACCACGCTGGTAATGAAGAGAAATGTGCTGGTAATGAGGAGAGCAGCCGCCATTATAGTAATGAAGAAAAATGGGCAGAAATGCCAGAGGAATGGCACCTCCACTATTTCCTGGTGTAACTGGTATGAGGTAATTGCTTTTTTTCCCATCCTTCCTGCCTTCATCTTCACAAACCACTTCCAAATCCCTTACATTCATCACAAAATAGAAAATTGAACTAGTGCAATAAATTAAAAAGGCAAAAGAGTTTAGCTTTGTGGTGCTAATCTTGAAAGAAAGAAATAAGAATGGTGACGGAATTAATAAAAAGGATAATCGTTTTGGGGATTATTCCTTTTTGTTGTTATTTTTGTCACTACAGACTAAGCCTTCTGTCAACTCCATATAAAGAGAGACTCCAGCAGGAATAACTCTGAATATGCTCTAAATACATATGCCACAGCCACTACCACTACTGAAATAGCACCCACTACATGCAGGAGAATAACACACGAGGCAGGTCTATTCTCACTCCTGCTGCTGGGAAACCCAGGCCTAAGATCAGCGTACAAATCAGGTTTGTATCTACAATGCCTGCTGTACCAAAATAAGCCTTGTTAGGGCAATATTTATAAGTCATGCCATTTTTCTGTTTTGCCCATTTTCAGCACTATACTCTGGTAGGGGTTACTTCAGGTCTAGTCCCTGGAAAGACTCTTTTTATTTTGTTTTATTTGAGATAGGCTCCGGCTCTGTCGCCCAGGCAGGAATACAGTGGCATGATTCTGTGCCTCCTGGGCTCAAGCCATACTCCCACCTCAGCCTCCCAAGTAGCTGAGACGATAGGCACATGCCACCACACCCGGTTAATTTTTGAATTTTTAGTACAGACGTGGTTTTACCATGTTACCCAAGCTGGTCTCGAACTCCTGGGCTCAAGCAATCCACCTACCTTAGCCTCCCAAAGTGCTCGATTACAAGCATGAGCCATCACGCCCAGCTGAAAGATTCTTAAACTCAGGATTTTATAAATCCATCAAGAGAATTAGTAATGACTGAGCCCATACTCTGAAAAGAATTGTGTGCAGATGCTAAAATTAACTTAGGTGTCTGCTATCATTTTAGAGATATGCCCACAGATTCTTTGGTACCTCTGTCCTACCCCATCCCTGTAAGTGTGGGCTGGACTTAGTGACTTGTTTCCAGGGAATAGATTACAATAGAAATGATGGGATGCCGCTTCCATAGTAGGTTTCGAAAAGACTGCAGCAAAAATGGAAACAACATAATACTATTTCACTGCATGTATATATCATATTTTATTTATCCATCCATCTATAAAATGTGGTATATACATGGAACAGAAAATTATTCAGCCTTAAAAAGGCATGAAATTCTGATGCATGCAACAACAGGAATGAATCTTTTAAAAATTTTTTTAATTTTTTTTTTTTTTTTTTTTAGAATTGGGGTCACACTATGTTGCTCAAGCTGTTCTTGAACTCCTGGACTCAAGTCATCCTCCCGCCTCAGCCTCCCAAAGTGTTAGGGTTACAGGCATGAGCCACCATACCTGGTCAACAAGAATGAGTCTTGGAAACATGCTAAGTAAAATAAACCAGACAGAAAAGGACAAGTATCGTATGATTCAACTTATAAAAAGAAAAAGGTACCTGGAGTAAGCAAATTCATAGAGACAGAAAGTGGAGTAGAAGATACCAGGAGCTGGGGATTTGGTGCATGGAGAGTTACTGCTGTTTAATGGGTATAGAAATTTTATTTGAGATGATGAAAAGGGTCTAGAAATAGGAAGTGCTGAGAGTTGCGCAACGATGTGAATGTACTTAATGCCACTGAATTGTACACTTACAACAGATTAAAATGGTAAGTTATATATATATATACACATATATATACGTATGTGTGTATGATATATATATTTACCTTACCACAATAAAAAATTACCCCCTCTCCAAAAAAGAGAAAAAGATTGAAGCTTAAGCTTTCATGTTAAATCTACCCGGCTCCTTTTCTCTTGGACCACTCACTCTGAGAGAAACCAGCTACCATGTCTTGAGGCCACCCAGGGAGTTCTGTGGAGATGCCCACATGGCAAGGAACTGAGACTTTCAGACGACACCACTGAGGAACTGAGGACTCAAGTTAACTGCTTTGTGAGCTTTCTGGAGGCAGAACCTCCAAGCCCATCCAAATTAGATGATGTATCCTCAGCTGACAGCTTGCCTATAACCTCATGAGACACCCTGACCCACGACCACCTAGCTAAGTTACTCCTGGATTTCTGACTCTCAACTGTGAGATAATAGTTTGTTGTTTTAAGTCACTAAATCTTGGGATAATCAGTTACATGGCAATAGATAATCAAATACAGTATAAATAACTCTATATCCAAACTCACAATAATGTTGAATAATATAAATGTATAATGTTAGATAATAATATTTATCTAAAATGGACTTCTACTCCATTCCACAAAGCAACTGGGGGAAACTTTAGCTACTGAGGTTAAGAAAAATGTCTATGTCCTGATCCTATTTCTATCCTTTCCTTGCTTTCATTTAGTTCTCTAAAATATGGCCATCCTCTCTCAGGTTCCATATGGTTCCCTTTCCCACATTTGTCTGTGTGGGAATGGGTATTTTTATTCAACTGCATAACATTCTTGGTATCTCTGCCTGCAGTAACTCAAAATGCATACGTCAAGTGCAGAATCTGTATTTCCACTGTATATTTAGAGCTCCAGATAGTACTTGGTTATTGCATAGACATGCACTAAATAGGAACTCCACAAATAACCCCTACTACCTGCTTCTTTTTTTTTTCCCTCTCACTCTTCCTAAATTCTGCCTATCTTTATTACAGTTATGATAAAGGCAGTTTGTATAGATTATATATAGCTGTGGAGCTAGTAATTGTAACAACCAAAACCACAACCATAACAATTGTAACCAACCATTTCACCACCGATCAATGTCTGATGGGTGTCTAACTACAAGCAACATATAAAAAGGAAGCCCTGGGAATCTGGTTGATCCAGGAATAGCGTTACCTATATGACTTCTGTTTGTTTGTTTGTTTTGTTTTTTGAGATGGGTCTCTCTGTGTTGCTCAGGCTGGTCTCAAATGCCTGGACTTAAGTGATTCTCCTGCCTCTGCCTCGAAGTAGCTCAAATTATTGACACTCACCCCTAATCCCAGCTCCAACTATCTGACATTTGAAGAATCATTCAGTGATGAAGGAAAGACCCAAACAATATCAAAAAACCGAGTTGAGGTGGCAAGACATGAGAAAAACAAGAGAAGACTTCAGCAGAGGACAATGTGTGTAATAAAGTTCACAAAAATGGGTAAGGAACTATGTTATGAAGACAGGCATCTAAGTCAATCCTCATGGGCACCATGGCTCATACCCGTAATCCCAATACTTTGGGATGCCAAGGCAGGAGGATCACTTGAGCCCAGGAGTTCAAGGCCAGCCTGAGCAACATAGTAAGACCCCATCTTTACAAAAAATTAAAAAACTAGCTGAGCATGGTGGTACACGCCTGTAGTCTTAGCTACTCCGGAGGCTGAGGTGGGAGGATCACTTGAGCTCAGGAGTGGAGGGTGCAGTGAGCTATGATTGTGCTAGTGTACTTCAGCCTGGGCAACAGAGGGATTCCCTGTCTCTAAAACATCAATTAATTAATTAAAATAGTCCATCAATCCATAAATACCGAATATGTTACAGGTCATTCCTTTGCTCAAGTTTGGGTCAGGTTTTTAATCTATTTTTTATTTTTTTTAGAGATGGTGGTTTTACCATGTTGCCCAGGCTGGTCACGAACTCCTGGGCTCAATCAGTCCTCCTGCCTCAGCCTCCCAAAGTGCTCGGATTACAGGTGTGAGCCACCATGCCCAGCTGGGTTTGGGTCAGATTAAGTTAGACCTCAGAAGGAATTGATATCATAGGACCTCCTATGTTGTATTAAGAAGTATTCCATTCTTTCTCCCTTGCAAACACCTCATGGGCATGAGAAAGTCATTAGGTATTGGCATCCTATAGTCCTTTAAGCATTTGCAAAGCAGTGTATTGAAGTAGGAGATAGTAGATAAGGGCCCTAGGTCTCCTGCCTTCTCTAGCTCTACAAGATGACCAGATAACCTTGGATATGCCTTTCACCTTTCAGGCTCTCCACTTTGTCTTCAGTAAAATGGAGTCATTCTACCCAAGATGTCTGAACTGGATCAAATGATCCATTGCGATTTCTTCCAACTATTAAATCTACAACTCGATGGGGCTGATTTCTGTTGCCTATAGGGTCCTGCCTAGGGCAGTCCTAGGGAGCCATCTTAGCATGGCCACCTGGATAGATAAAATAATTTTTTCATCTCTACACTGCATGTCCTCCAATCCAGAAGGGAAGCATAGTTTTTACTCTGAAAACTCAAGAATTGTGAGTTGGTTTAAGAGCAAATGGATAGTGAGATTGTGAGCACCTACAGTCAGTAATTTATTTCCAGAGAAATTCTTATCTTAGCAGGAAAGTAGCCCTCCAAGGGGTGGAAACCTGGCTGAACATTCCATTCAATGGGGAAGGCAAGCCTGGAAACTCTGCCTAGAGCAACAAGGGCATTCACAGAAAACTTGGTTTGGGGAATATACATGGATGGTGTCCAGCTATGAAGAAATAATTTTCAGAGGCTAAACTATGTCACTTTCACTGTTTTGGCTGATTCTGATGGCAAATGAGGTTAACTGGTGCTCAGAACATCTTCTGGGAAAGTGAAACAGCAAGCAATTGCTTATTTTTTTTATGAGTTTTTCCATTTCTCATTGAAAGGAAGAATTCTTGTATGGGAGTTCTTAACCAGTAAATGTGGGTAGATCTGGAAGCCTGATTTGATGGTGCTCACGTCAGTGGCCTGGGGTTGTTAAGTTCCCCGAGGAGGAATGGAATAATCTACTGGGAACTCCCCACCCCCATCTCTTGACCTTAAAGCTTTAGGGAAAATGAAAAGCAGCTTCTCTTTGACAAAAAAGGTTGGGAAGCCTTGCTGTGATGTATTACTGTTTCTTTAAAGCTTCCATGGAAATGAAAGATGTTCTCAAGCAAAGGTAGGTCAAATCTATTAAGAGAGTGGGTGAGGTGTTTCCCTCCTGAAAACTGGAGAATAACAGAAAAGAACTTTTTCTGACAAACCAACAGTATCCTTTTGTTTGTTGGAGTTTGTTTGTTTCACATTTATTTACTGAATGTTAGGGAGAAATACTTTAATTTGGGTATGAGAATAGCTAATTACTAGATGAAAAGAAGAAAGGATTTCTAAGATGGAGCCCCCCCCTCCCCCCACTGCCCCCATAGCTTACACATTGTGTAAACCTGCCTTTGATCCCATCCCACTTTCTTCAGCAATTCCTTTTCCATACTCTCAGCTCCTAGAGAGTCATCAGAAAGCTGAGCTCCAGCCGGACTTGGAGGCTCATGCCTGTAATCCTAGCACTTTGGGAGGCCAAGGCAGGAGGATCAGAGGGAATCAGGAGTTTGAGACCAGCCTGGCCAACACAGTGAAACCCCATCTCCCCTAAAAATACAAAAATTACCCAGGCATGGTGCTGAGCACCTGTAATCCCAGCTACTCGGGAGGCTGAGGCAGAAGTGCTTGAACCCGGGAGGTAGAGGTTGCAGTGAGCCGAGATTATGCCACTGCACTCCGGCGTGGGTGACAGAGTGAGACTCTGTCTCGAAAAAAAAGAAAAAAAAAAGAAAAAGAAAAAGAAAGATGATCTTCATCCAGTAACACTGGCCTTAAAAGGCATTTTATTTTTCTCTCCTGCTTCAAAATGGACCCTCTTACTAGAATTAGTTCCATCTTTGGGGGAGATGGGGAAAGAGAAGACCCGAGCAGATCTTTCTTCAAATTCTAATCACATTTTTGAATTAATATGATACCTGCCATCTGTTTATTTCCTGGAAGCTGGGAAGATTCATTTGATATCCAAAAAGCCCTTTAGAAAGCCTAAAAAAACACATGTAAAGACCGTGTAGTGATTTCCTATATCCAAGATTTCTGGGTTTTTTTTGTTTTTGTTTTTGTTTTTTATGTTCCCTGGACACTGGCAATGTTTTGGTCATATAGAGAAGGGAAAAATATTAAACCATTTTTATCTTAGCTGACCTTTACAGAGACAAGAAGTGATTTTGTTTGAATTCTCCGTTTTAGTTTGGGACACTAACAGCTGGGCAGGGATTTTGCTGAACACTTTGTGAGGTTTACACTCAACTTCCTTCTTCAGATTGCTATTTTATATTAAACCAATAGAGCACTGTTATTGAGACACCAGACTGCTACAACTTCAAGAAGATCCTAAACCAAGTAACTTTTTCTGGACCACTCGAGTCTCCATGAACGTAAAAGTCTAATATACTTGAAAAATCCATTGCAGCTCAGGAGACATTATAGTGGGATGATCTACAATCAGACTCTCTGGATTTGAAGAATCTTCCTACCACTTATCAATGCTGTAAGTTTGAGAGACAATAGAGGTTAAGAATACAGTCCTTCCTTTCTTCCTTCCTTCCTTCCCTTCTTTCTTCCTTCCTTCCTTCCTTCCCCCTCTTTTCTTTTTCTTTTCTTTTCTTTTTTTGAGATAGGGCCTTACTCTATCACCCAGGCTTGAGTGCGGTCACACATTCATGGCTCACTGCAACCCCAACCTCCCGGGTTCAAGCAATCCTCCCACCTCAGCCTCCCCAGTGGATGGGACTACAGGTGTGTGCCACCACCCCTGGCTAATTTTAGTATTTTTTTGTAAAGAGGGGATTTCCACCATGTTGCCCAGGCTGGTCTCGAACTTCTAAGCTTAAGTGATCCACCCGCCTTAGCCTCCCAAAGCGCTTGGATCACAGGCATGAGCTACCACTCCCAGCCTGAAGAATGCAGGCTTTAATCCCAGCATTTTGAAGGGCCGAAGCAGAAGGATATTTTGGGCTCAGAAGTTCAAGACCAGCTTAGGGAATACAATGAGACTCCGTCGCTACAAAAAAAATAAAATAAAATAAATAAAATAAAGTAAAATAGTACAGGCTTTGGAGCTAGACTGCTTGGAATCCTGATTTCATGATTTACTTGGTGGATGATCTTAGGGAAATTCTTCAAACATCTGGGCCACAGTTTCATGATCTGTGGCATGAATATCATAATGGCAATCTATCTCTACATGCTGAGGAGACTAATACAATAAGTTGATACATGTCAGATGCTTTGAACAACACCTAGCACAGAGTAAGTGCTCAATAAATGTTCGTTATAGTGATGCTATTATTCTTTCCCAAATTTTTGCACTTCTGCCAAAGCAATGGCAAAATCAATAAATAAAGGGAACTAACCAAAAAAACTCTGGGGAAAGTGCTGAATTTGGCAAAACTGGGAATCAGGCAGCTCATATTCTTTGGCATCCACTTTCCATTTTGCTGTCTCCTGTGAGTGTCCAAGCTCGTCCTGTAACACTGCACCCAAGCTCAAAATTATTTTCTGTGCTCTTCTTCACACCTACCCTCATCAATCAACTTTCACCTACGCCGGTGCTGTTCCCTGAGGACTTTTGCTCTGAACCAGATGAGAAAAAATATCAATCAAATTTGTTTTAAGGTATTAATGAATACTGACAATGTTATGCTTTTGAAATAGAACACGTGCATTTAAAAAATAAAGATTACCTTATTACCATGAGAAGCTACCAAACCTGAATAGGTAACATGCAGGGTGAGTAGGTATGATATTTTGGGGCAGGTCGAACATTTGATTCACCGTGAATCACAGATAAGCTGCTATTTAGACAACCCATAGAGCTTGTCCTAGAGTTAACTGTTTAATACATAGGGTTATAGACAGACCTTGGGGCTAAAGTGGAATGCGCTGTGCTTAAACACAATGTTATTAGGTTGACAGGCATGGCATCAAAGCCCTAGTGCTACTGGTGCCACAGTTCCCAGGGCCACTGTCAACAAGTCGTGACAAATTGGACAAGCCAAATCTTTCAGTCACATCTGATTTTCCTGAAGACACAGGTACACCTGCCAAAGATGTTCCAGGCAAGAAAGCCAAGACTGCAGGATAGAGCTAGCAAATAGAAAAAAATGGCAAAGGCCTAGCACCAACCTTCATCAATTAGTATAGCTCTGGGATAGGTAGCTTTCTGAATTAGAAAAAAAGGCCAAGGGTAAGGGGATTTGAGTTCTAATCTAACTTTACTATAGTCTTTAAGAAACTCATTGCACTTTATTTTTGAGGGCCCTAGTTGTAAAACTAGGGAAGAGATGACTGAGAGGACTATCTCCTCATCCTCCTCCAGTCAAGGGTTCCAATGGGATTCTGTGGAACCTTTAAAGCCCCACAGAACAATTTAAAGGCCACTACAATGGAAGGCAATGGAGTTTCTTAACCAATGGAAGCTATGGGGAAATTAAGAGGCTGAGTTTAATCTAAGGGAGGGGAAAGTCATATGGAATAAAGTGGAGAGTAAGAAGATTGGACACAAGATCACCAGCTAGAGGTTTTCATAGCAAAAACATAGTCATATAAGATAGGGTAGGCAAGTGACCCTCAGCACTGGCTGCACCCTCAGGAGATTTTTTTCTTTTTTTACATCGATGTCCAGGCTTTATCCCAGAGCAGTTATATGAAACTGTCTGGGTCTAGGGTCTAAGCTTCAGTACAAAAAGCTCTTCATGTGATCCTAATGGTGATCCAGTGGTAAAAACCATCAGTGCAGTTTTTGTTTTTGTTTTAGTAATTAAAAGAAAAAACTGTATGTAAAAGACTTCCCCTGAGAAAATTGCCAGCTAATTAGATAGGAGAGAGAAAGGTCAAGAAAGACTCTACAACAAACTAAGGAGGGAGATTGCCTAAGAGAATGGAAAAGTCATGACAGAAATCTTGGAAATGGTGGACAGCAAATGGTTTTAAGGAGGAAAATGGGTTTGAATTGAATTGGATAGCAGGATATCTGAATGATTCTATCACTTTACAAAGTAATGGTCAGCACCATTACAAGTACAATTACATGATATTACAATTACTTAATTGACCATTACAATTCAAGGGTCAATATAACCCTTGAGTTGACTATTCATTAGCTTTGTTCAAAAGCCCAGCTGAAACAAAACACTAGTGAAAAAAGATGAACTAAGAGGACACCATATATTCCACATTTGTTTTGTTGGCTTGTTTAATTTCTACTGGAGGTTATAAATTATTTGTATGTTTATGAAAGCTATGTACCTAATTCTCAGAAAAATACCACTACAAACACACATATAAAGTTTTGTACGGAGCCCACGCTAAGAATCTCTTCTTTTTAGAGGAATAAAAGGGGGTACCAAGCCAAACAAAGTTTTTATTGTTATCATTATTATTATTAGTTATTGTTATTTTAAGATGGGGAATTACAGACAGAAGGGAAATATAGGTAGGGAAGGTTAGTTAGAACAGGCGTGTATTATACAAACAGCTTTTTTTCTAACAATGAAGTCACTGCTGAGTCTCAAGATGAGGCATTATCTTTCCTAAATGCTTTGGAGCATTTCATGTGTTCTCCTCGTTCTTTATTCTTTGATTAAAATGTTAATGTATTATGTGTACCTGCCCTCACAGCATCCTGGCAACCACAGGAAAACATGCCAGCTCAAAACAACTATCTGCATTTTTAATAACGCCTAGTATTCTCTACAAATAGGATTTCAGAGTCCAAAACTTTTGATTTAGAAAATGAAACAGCTCTTGTTAATTCTAATAGAAAAAGGCAGCTTGATTTCCAATGCTCTGTTTTAATTTGGGTTTTACCAGCCGGTGATTTTATTGAAAGTGAAATCCGTATTCCTGTGTAGCTTAAGCATCTCAACTCTAAAATGGGAAAAATCACAGTTTCAGTAACAGAATTGAGAATGAGGTCCTGGCATCTTTCTTAAAAGGAATTTGGATAAGACTTCTCGATAAATGCTCACAAATTACTCACACCGTATGTCTAAATATACACAAACAGGTTTAGAAAACCTGGTTGGAGTCAACGAAATAATTAGGGATGTGGAAAATAAGTGGGGCTTCTTTATGAGGTTCTTATCCACATGGGCCACGTTTGCTCCAAGGCAGTGAAGAAGGGAGTAGGGGTGGTGTCAAGGTCATGACCAAGATGGAATTCATGTGCCCAAGTTCTTTCTATCTCCATGAAGAAGTTTTGCAACTAGAGATGAGGAAAATGGACTCAGACTGAATCTATAAAAGAGATTTTCATCAGACTATGGGAGGATAAAGATGGGACAGCAGAATCCCTGCAGCTTACTTGGAGTTTGGGCTCAGTTCTGGCTTACTTAGGGTTTGGCCAAACTTTAGTAGTCTATCAAACCTGCAGCTTACCCAGGTCACAATTGAGGTGAGCCCCAAAACTTCACAAGGAGCATTTTGAATCCATCAGTTGAATTAAACAAACAAACAAACAAACAAACCTGAAAGGTATCCCCCTATGGGCTTTGCCCTAAAGAAAATAATGGTTTGTAAGACTAGAGGTGGCATTGACTCATAATCCACCTGAGTTAACTCCCCTCACATTGACAGAAGAGGACTTCTTCATATAAAAATACTCTCGGCCAGGCGCAGTGGCTCACACCTGTAATCTCAGCACTTTAGGAGGCTGAGGAGGGTGGATCACCTAAGGGCAGGAGTTCGAGACCAGTGTGGCCAATATGGTGAAACCCCCGTCTCTACTAAAAATACAAAAATTAGCTGGGCATGGTGGCACGCACCTGTAAACCCAGCTACTTAGGAGGCTGAGGCAGAAGAATTGCTTGAACCTGGGAGGCGGAGGCTGCAGCGAGCTGAGATCGTGCCATTGCACTCCAGCCTGGGAGATAGAGTGAGACTTCATCTCAAAAAAAAAAAAAAATTCTCTATGGGAATTTTGTGTTCTCTTATCCTTAAGGGCCTGCCCATCTTAATCTATACCAGGACACAAATTTATCAACAGCTGGAGCCTGGATTTGAACCCCGGCCAATTTTTGGTGACGATCTAAAGCTTACCCTGCCTGTAGTAGAGAGGAGACAATGTTAGCATTTCTGTATTGAAGCTTTGAACCAGAGGATTGACATTAAGTTAGTCTGATACTGACCTCAACATTTCTTCAGACTGAAACTCCCAAATGAATAAAAAGACAATGCCTATGTCATTGCTCCTGTTGTTTCTGTTAGCATAACATCTTTGATGCATGTTTGCACACTTCTAGACTGTTGTCCTCTCTGGGCCATCCCAGTGGCTGAATCAATGGCAGAAGTTATCAGAGGGAGTGGCCTTCAGATTGCTGGCCAATAGAGGGAAAGAGGAGACAAGGAGAAGTCACAGATAGCAACTGCCTCTGGCACATAGCAAAACAATTTATCTTGAAATCAATGTATCAACTAGCTGCATAAATTACATAAATTATGTTCTGGTTGTCCACATCATCTTCAAAACAATAATCACAAAGATAATAATAATAATAAGAGCTAGGACTTAATCATCCAGCAGTGTCCTAAAAGTATTCATTCATTTAATCTTCATAACAACCCCATAAATACTGCTATTATCCGCATGTGAGGAAACTGAGGCACAGAGAGGTTAAGTAACTTGTCCACGTTAGGCCACTAGAATGTGGCAGAGCTCAAATACTAAAGATGCATCCTGTTGACAACATCATGTAGGTACCTGTGGTCAGCAAGGTAATGGCCCCTCAAGGATGTCCATATCTAGAATCTGTGGATATATTATATTACACGCCAAAGGAGAAATGAAGTTGTAGATGGAATTAAGCATGATAATCAGCTGACCTAAAATAAGATTAATCTGGATTTTCTGGGTAGAATCACAAGGGTTCCTTAAATGTAGAAGAGGGAGGCAGAGGAGTCAATGTCAGAGTGGTATAATGTGAGAAAACCTTGATTGGCCATTGCTGGCTTTGAAGATGGGAAGAGGCCATGAGCCCAGCAATGCAGGCAGCCTCTAGATTCTAGAAAAGTCAAGAAAATAGATTCTCCCCTAAAGCCCACAGGAAGAATGCAGCCCTGACAACACGTTAGTTTTAGTCCAGTGAGACCCATTTTGGATTTCTGACCTCCAGAACCATAAATTTCACATAATAAATCTGTGTTGTTTTAAGCCACTAAGTCTGGACTAATTTACATAGCAGCAATAAGAAACTGAGGCAGTACCTTATTCATAAGTTGCTTTGGATAACATAGAATTTTTTAAGTGAGAGCTAGAAGGCATCTTTAAAGTGGGTATAACTTAACTATTCTCACTTTAGAAGTGAACGGAAATGACTTTTCTGAAGGTTCCCCTCTCCTTGAAGCCTAAAATTACGTGATTCAAAACAAAGACCCCTATGAGTCTACTCATTTGAACGGGCATATAAATGACTTAGAAAAAATACAAGAGCATCTTGCTTATAATACTGCCTGTGTAGTAATGGATTACCTTGAGTCTAGGTTCAGCCTACACTCCTGGGAGCCTCTCAGAACTCCATCTTAGCCAGGTTCCTCCTAAGAAGGGGATGTAAGAAGGAGGCAAAATGAGGGGCCTTGGCATCACGTAGAAGTGGGCTTACATCCAGCCATGCCACTGACTGGCTCGACCTTGAAAAGCCACTTCACCTCCCTGAACCTTTTTTTTCTTTGATTCGTTGATTATAAAATCAAGTTTGATTTGCTTATAAAATCAATGGTATTCAACTCATGAATTCAAATCCAGGGTGTAGACAAAGTCTTCAATACACTTTAGTTCCCCTTCCTGTGCTTTCCTCCATTCTTCTTGAGTCACAGCCAAGGATGGTCATGCTTTTTTTCTGGTCAAGGAGTGAGAATTCTTTTTGTCTTGTGCAAACTCAAGGCAGAAAGTATCTTTATTTCACAGGAGGCTGAAAATTCACAGTAATTGGGGAATAACATTTAAGATATTTCCTTTGTTCTTTTTTTCTGTTTTACTTTCTCCTCTCTTTTACAACACAGGCACTGTTCCCTTGGCATTTGCAAATTTACTTTTTTACTTCTGCAGATGTAGGTGGATCGATTCAAGAAGAGAAACGGTAGCACAAAAGAGAAGAATTTTCCCAGTGCAGAATTCATTTCGGAAAGGAGTGTTTTTCATAATTAGCTCAACATTTGCATGTTTATGAAGTCCCAGACACTGTTCTACATATTTCACGTGGGTTAATCCATTTAATCCTCACAACACCATAAAGTAAGTACTTACATTAGTAGACAAGAAAACTATGAGGCACAGAAAAGTTAAGCAAATTATCCGAGGTCACATAGCAAAGTGGCAGTATTAACATGTGAACCTAGGCAAATGTAGCTTCAGAACGCAGGCTCTCTACCACTTCAACAGCTTATTTACCTCCTTTTCCCAGGAGCTCATTCTATAAAAATTGAGCAAGATAGATGGGAAAAACATATTAGAAGAAAATGAATCACGAAGAGCATCTGAAATAGGTATGGGCTGGGCACGGTGGCTCACGCCTGTAATCCCAGCACTTTGGGAGGCCATGGTGAGCATATTGCTTGAGCTCAGGAGTTCAAGACAGCCTGGGCAACATAGTGAAACCCTGTCTCAACAAAAAATATTAATAAAAGAATTAGCTGGGTGTGGTGGGTTGGGAGGCTGAGGCGGGAGGATGGCTTGAGCCCAGGAGGTGGAGGTAGAAGTGAGCCAAGATGGCACCACTGCACTCCAGCCTGGGTGACAGAGTCAGACCCCGTCTCAAGAGAAAAAAAATAAAAGTTAAAGGAAAAAAACCAGTCTCCAACTGATTTGATAAGAGATCAAATGACCCCACTTCATTTTAAAAATTTAGAAAATAAAAAAGAGAAATAGGTATGGAGCTTACACCATTGAAATCTGATGCTGTTTTCAAATATCCATAATAAAAACACTAATGTCTTAAATATGGGGAGGTAACTCAGTCTAACCAGCCTTGTTTTTCTAAGTAATGGCGTCAGAAAGCCAACTAAGAGTCCTGAGAAAGGGTTTGGGGTTTGCTATTCGTTCCCAGTGCTAAAATTCCTTGACCAAAAACAATCTCAAGATTTCCAAGGGTGGCCAAAATATCAAGCCTGCTTTCTCTGAGGGAGGAAATATTTCCATTTCACGGAGATGAAGTGGACATTTTCTCAGTTGAGTGTTTGATAGTGTTTCTTTACTGGAAATAACTACACGTCTTCTTTGAGAACCACACTTCTAGGTTTTTTTGTTTTGTTTTGAGACGGAGTCTTGCTCTGTTGCCCAGGCTCTGGAGTGCAGTGGCGATCTCGGCTCACTGCAAGCTCCGCCTCCCGGGTTCACACCATTGTCCTGCTTCAGCCTCCAGAGTAGCTGGGACTACAGGTGCCCACCACCATGCCCGGATAATTTTTTGTATTTTTAGTAGAGACGGGGTTTCACCGTGTTAGCCAGGCTGGTCTCGATCTCCTGACCTCGTGATCCGCCCGCCTCGGCCTCCCAGAGTGCTGGGATTACAGGCGTGAGCCACCGCCCGGCCTTTTTTTTTTTTTTAATCTAAAATAAGGCCACTAGTACTACTTCCTTCCTCCCCTTTCAATGCTAAAGGAGAAGAGATCAACTCATTTAGTTCTCTAACTTACCTAGAAGCTGAGCTAGGATTCGAATCCAGTTCCCTAACTCCTCTTCTGGTTCTCCTGCCACTCAGCCACATGGATTTCTTTCTCTTACACACAGGCTCTTTTTGGCCACGGTAAACACACTGACCTTTGAAATATGGAAAGAAAAGCGCTTTGAAATAAAACTGGCACAAACAGCAGTCAGACAGCCGTCATCTGGAGGCTGAAACAAAGAGGAGCATAGTTTTCAAGCTGTCTTCGTAATTACACGAAGCAGTTATCACTCAGGCCCCAGTCTGCGCATTGCCCCCCAAACAAACAGCCGAGGGCTGAGAGAGCACATAGGCCACTTTGTTGCGCCAGCATACTGGGGAGTGGAGAGCCCCCCAGCTAAAATCACATGTGGCTTGGAGTGTTTTCCAGGACTTCAGGCTTTTTCCTTTCTTCCTTCCCCATTAAACCCCTCTGCTCTTCTTGGCAAAGGCCTTCAGGTGAGGTAAGCGCCAATTAACAACAAAGAGCTTGATGTATTTCAAGTTTATGGCTTAGAGCTGTGTTCTCATGAAATATATTCTCCTCTGGTCCAGAAGCCTTGATGGGCAGAGAGCAAGAATTCTGAGTGTGGTTGAAATTTGGTTCATTTTTGCTACTGCCCTAAAAGTGATTTCCCTTTTGGGGGTTTGCTCAAATAGAAAGCAACGAAAACAAACCCAGAAAAGGGCAAAACCAATTCTGAAAACTTCAGCTGCAAAGATAACTGGAGCAGAAGGCTCAGCAAATTGGGTTTTTTGGGGAAAAAAAAATGGCCTTAAATTTCTTATGGGTTCTTTGGAAATAAATATAGCCAGACTTTGGAATGAGTAGGAGGGATGAGAATATCCAATCCAAAGGATCTCTAAAGCCTTTTCCAGCTTCCAAATTTGGATTTGATTTTTCTATCCTGGGAATGGTTTTAATCATGTTACAATCATTTGAGCGTTATCACGTCAATTTATAAAAAATATTTTTGTGAATTGTTTTTAGGCTACAGTGATATGAGATCTGACCAATAAAATGATCTCATTGGACATCTCAGAGCCCTTAAAGAGCAAGAGGTTTGGCAATAGGAATATAAATAGGTTAAAATATATTCCAAAACAATTCCTCTAATCATTAATTGTACTCCATTGTTTAATATTTTCAGAGCCTACTGAATTTAGCAAAGGGAAAGACAGATGCATATTAAAATGCATGCAAATGCTACACACAAGCCACATTTTAATATATTGTTTTGCATTCATAATTTTAGTCTTGTGATTTGTATTTTCATTTGCTTGGGAACAAAGACTTTCTTTTTTCCGCACTTGGGAAACAAGGCAAGACTTGTTTCTGCCAGCATCTTAATAGTATTCCTGAAAAAGCAGCAAACTTAATGGTTCAGGAACTACTCTCCACCACCTGCTTACTGGCCTCTAACAGGGGCTGCATTTACAATGCATTGAAAAGGTGAAAATACGCAATCAATCAGTTGCTTTGTTGCAGAATGGTGAGCAATCATATTTTTGTTGTATTAAAACTGAACAGAATCATTTTTTTAAAAAAATGTAAACTGCTTAAACGTACAGCCTCTTTTCAGCTACAGGGAGTGGCAGAGTGACTTGTGCATTCACCAAATTTCATTCCTTTTTAATCTGGGGACACATACAGACCGTATTGCTCAGCTTCCTTTTCAATTAGGTGATTTCTGGCAATGGAATGTGGGGCAAAATAATGCTTACAATCTCCATTCAAGTCTAGCCCCTTGAATCTATGGTGCATTTCCCTATACTTGTGCTTTTCCCGTGCTCCTGACCTTCTGGCAAGATACAGAGGATCAGGTGGAGAGCATCAAGGGCACTAGAGGAGCCTCTTGATGATGGGAGGCTGGGTTTTCAAATAAAAAGCATGGAACAGAATCTCTGACCCATCTGTCTCCTTTGACCAATGACTCACAAAAAACTATGACTCTCAATCACTGTGTGGTAGTTAGTCTCTAATGGTCCCTATCTGCTGTATTCATACCCTTGTGTGTCCACCTCCTACATGCTACCAGGATCTGTGTGACCAATGACATATGGTAGAAATGATGGGATGTTACTTCCAAGATTGAGCTATAAAAGACTGCAGTTTCCATCTTGGGTGCTTTCTCATTCGTTCTCTCTCTTGGATTACTCTCTCTGGGGGAAGCCAGCTGTCATGTTTTGAGGTCACTCTAACAGCCTGTGGAGATGCTCACATGGTGAGGAATAGGGACCTGCCTCCAACAGCCAGCAAGAAATTGAGGCTTGCCAATAATCAGGTGAGGAAGCTCGGAAAAAAATTCTCCAGCCTAGTTGATCCTGTAGCTCCAGTAAATAGTTTGAGTACCACTTTGTGAGAAACATTGAGCTAGAATTACCTAGTTAAACTGCTCCTGGATTCTTGACCCCCAGAAACTGTGTGAGATAAATGTTTGTTGTTTTAAGTAGCTAAGTTTTAGGGTAATTTGTTACACAGCAATAAATAGTACATAACTATGAACAGGACTGTAAGGTTCAAAGGGTGAAGACTTTGGTTTATTCTTGAAATTTCACCGCCTAATGAAGTGCCTGGATGAGAGCAGGCTTGAATAAACAATGAATGTGGTTTTCAGTAAGATTAATAGTGTGGTTCTTTACATATGATGTGCAAAGTCAACATGTTAGAGCAGCTACCACTTTAAGGCTAGACAGTGAGGTTACTACATATCTCATCCTGGAAGATGGAATCAACTGCACCTAGATTCAGAAAAATCTAGAATCACATTTCTATCAAATGCATAGATAACAGTTTCCAAAACGTTTGTATAAAGAAGAGAAAAACTCAGCTATCTAGTTCTGTTTGTGTGTTCAGATTATCACGCTTATGCTTGTACAGACTAGGTTCTCTTCTAATAGCTACACATGTTAATTTATTTAATCCTTACAACAATCCAGTAAAGAGCATGTTGTTATTCTTCTGATTTTAATGATGAGGAAACAATATGCTCTGGACTTGCATATTCCTAGGATCTTGAAGTTACCCATTATACTCCATTGCCCTCTCATTTTAACTCATCAAAGAGAACAGAGCTGAAAAGTACAGGAAAGGGTCACTGAATGGATGAAGTGGATGAAGAGATAGCCCTGTAAGAACAGAAAAGAATAATTAAAACTTTTAGATTTGACAAACCCAGGAAGCACTATGATCAAAATTTATGAAATCCTGAAGGAAATGCATTTATTTACCCAAACTGATACACATCACAGGAATGGGGCCCGCCTTGATGTTTATTAGAGATCATTTAGGAGAACCTGAATGCATGCTGCTTCCAAATGATGGGATATACGTTCTGCCTTCATTCCAGCTGCTTAGAGACAAGACCCACCATCCCAGAGACTGCAGTGAAGAGGAAAAGAATATCCCAAACCACAGGCAACCACCTCCTTGTGGCGCAGCCAAGAGCGGTGTGCTTGGCCTCCCTGCTAATTAGCAAAAACCCTCACCAATTCCTTCCAATGCTTGAAAATCAATGCTAGCCTAAAAAAAAAAAAAAAAAAAATCAGAACTGGGCCAAAGAAGCACTGGGAATGAGTAGACATCTCTGTGTCTGCCTCTCCTGATAGTCCCGTTTTTGCTTGTTTTTCATGGGAACATGTGTATATGGTGACAACTCAGGGTATGTAGTTGCCGCAGGCAGCTTCCTCCGTTTTCTTAGCTCTGTGTTGTGGGAAGGAATGAAAGTTGCTGTTTACAAGGAACACTGCCAATGGGCTAATGGGAATTTTTCATGACTTATGGATGTTTGCAGAACTGAAGGCTTTTGAAATCTGATTTCAAAGCTGACCTAAAGTCTTGGTGACACAGATAATGACCTGTGGAAAGAGGTAATCATGAACACAGAAAATCCTCACTTACTCCGTCTTTTAGGAATTTTGGTTGACGAAATATGCTCCTCTTAATTTTAGGTAGTAAGACAGATTGTCAATCTATAACAGTTGGTGTTAGGCAGAGTTTTAAATTTATCTTTCACTTCATGGGGCAATGAGTTTGCCAAAGAAATGAATGATGCCTTAAACTTTTGCTGGGAGAATATTACAGTTGGGTAGAATAATATGCTACAAAATGTGGAAAGACTGTTTACATAGGAAGAAATTGATATGTCAATTACAAGTTACTCTCAATAATTTATTTAAGCAGGCCCTGAAGGGTCTAATTCTCACAGGGACCAAGTTTGAATTCTTACACTTGAAAAGAAAAATGAATGCTTTATAATGTTCCCCAATTCCAAATGTTCACATATTATGCTGGTAATTGTTTTCTCCAAATCATTCTGAATTGATGAAGTCTTGCTAAAGACTTAAAGAGCCTGCATTTATATATCTTTGTAGTCCTTTCCAGCTGTGGCTCACAAAACCAATTACTTGGCATTAATTCATCATATATAGGCTTTTCCATTAAAAAAAGGATATATATTTTTTCAAAACAGCCAGTGACTGTCATTGTATAAACAAATTCAAAGTCCACTAACAAATGAATCACTAATGTGCAAAAGGCCTTGTTCAGGGCCATCCCCAGAATGAAGGGGCAGCTTTAATGGATTCCGGATATTCTCCTACACTTGACCCAGTATGTCACATGTGTTTGATTACCATCCTTTCCTTTAATTAGTTCTCTCATGCCCACACTAGGGATTGCAGAAGCTGGATTTAAAAATTGCCGGCCGGGCGCGGTGGCTCACGCCTGTAATCCCAGCACTTTGGGAGGCCGAGGCGGGTGGATAACGAGGTCAGGAGATCGAGACCATCCCGGCTAACATGGTGAAACCCCATCTCTACTAAAAATACAAAAAATTAGCCGGGCGTGGTGGCCGGCGCCTGTAGTCCCAGCTACTCGGGAGGCTGAGGCAGGAGAATGGCGTGAACCCGGAAGGCGGAGCTTGCAGTGAGCGGAGATCGCGCCACAGCACTCCCGCCTGGGCGACAGAACGAGACTCCGTCTCAAAAAAAAAAAAAAAATTGCCATTGGCTGGGCACAGTGGCTCACATCTGTAATCTCACCACTTTGGAAGGCCAAGGCTGGAGGATTGCTGAAGCCCAGGAATCTGAGACAAGCCTGGGCAACATAGTGAGACCCCATCTCTCTAAAAAAGAAACAAAAATAAAATTAGCCAGGTGTAGTGGCATGCTCCTTATAGTCCCAGCTACTCGGGGCTGAGGCAGAAGAATTTTTTGAGTCCAGGAGTTGGAGGCTGCAGTGAGCTATTGTCACATCACTGCACTCCAGCCTGGGTGACAAAGCAAGACCCCGTCTCAAAAAAAAAAAAAAAAAAAAAAAAAAAAGAAGAAGAGGAAGAAGACGAAGAAGAAAAAAGAAAAATTGCCATAAACTTTTTCTTTTCTTTGGCTTTTACCTGAATGTTCTCCTTTGCTTAGCCTCAGTTGGTAACCCTGAACCCCAGTAATGACCTTTACCCACTTCATGTGCATTCTAAGCTGACTTTTGATTCAGACTCATGCCACCCTAGACTCTACTTGTCAGTATAGGGAGTTTATCAAACTTTCTTGAAGGACTGAGTCCACAAAGAAACTAGGAAAAAAAATTCTCAGTTCTAAGAGCTGAGACTAGGTTTCCAAGACGATTACCAATTCCTTTCCACAAAGAATGCTGGTTTTCCTCAAAGATCAATGAGCAAATTTGATCACTGGCAGTAAGTTGATCTTTGGTATAGCATCTCTTGGGGTCTCCATAATTCTCAAAGAAAGATCTTTAAAAAGCAATACTTTATGTATCCATTCATGTATTTTTTAAATGGGTGGTTATAACAGGAAAGAGAAAGTGATTGCGGGTGAAATAAAGAGCTGTCAAATGGACAATGAATTTAAAGAATGATGCCAGGATCTCAGTGTAAGCTCTATTTTAAAATTTATACATATAAATATCCAAATACCTATTTTATGGAGAATTGGGTCCTCCTCTGTCCTCTCCTGATCATGTAACTTGAGTGAGTAACTTGCAGGCTCTGCACCTAAGGCAGAACAATTTAGAGGGATTTCATGGATTCACAATAGGTCCAAAGTATATTGCTTTCCACTACGCTGGGTAATCATTCATTCATTCATTCAACTTATATAGATGCTGTTGATGCCTGGCCATATCCCCTTGTCGTTGCCACTTTAGTGCATGCCTGTGGGACTTCTAACTTTCAGAACCTGCATTTCTTTGCCTGAGCCCTTTCTCTGGCCCAAAAGTTGCTTGACTGCTCCATGGAGCAGGCTGAAAGCACTGAGAATTAGCATCCTCCCACCCTACCCCAGAAGCCCTCAATCAGTGAGTGATGGAACTGGTATGTAAATATCCACTGAATGGGATAACTCTGGAGTGTGTGTTAATATTGGTTCCCCAGTAAGAATGAGCTCCAGCGGCCCACTCTTTCCTGACTGCCTTCCCTTCTGTGCTCACTAACGCACTTTCCTACTGTGCTGTTATCTTTATCTCCAGAGTAAACTTCTTATACTTGAGCCATTGTTTTGGGTCTGCTTCTGTATACAACTAGGATACAACTGACCAGCATTTACTGAGCTTCTACTGTGAGTTCAGTATTTAGTTGGGGAGAAGTACATCTGAATGAATAATTACCAAGTGATAATTACAATGATAGATATCCACACAGGGTTTTTCAGAGCATGCAGGAAGGAATTCACCTGGTTTTGTGGAGACTTTAGTGATAGAGGAGCTGGGCAGAGATGTGAGGTCAGATAATTGTGCAAAATCACTGTTGTCTTTACATCCAGCTGCAGAACCTTTAGACACTTCAAAGTCATTACGTCTCAACTGAACACACGATCACAACAAACTTTTCTTCTTGTGTATCATTTCCTGATTAATGGCATCTTCATTCACTTAGTTATTCAAGTTGGAAATATTTGCATTATCTTTCTTATCAGCCACATCACAAAACTGAAATGTTTCTTATAAAAAAATTAACCCTACACAGCTCAGTGTCACCTCGATGATCACACTGGTCTCTTTTTCCAAGCATGACAAGTACATATTCTCCTAAGGGGATATAACATTTTTATGTCCCTTGCAACATGAGCAGCCCTCAGCAGTCATGTTCTGTGCCCTACAAACCCGTCCTACTGAGCCACAGATGATTATGCTGAGGATTGTCACCTTCCTCGTGGACAGCAACCCACAGACTGGCCAGCGACCTATTAGAAAGCATGGCATGAAGAGATGGGATGGGCCCATTGGACTCTTTCTCTTGGAATTTCAAACAGTAAATACTGAGAGGATGAGGCAATAGAGTGGGAGTTAAAGCAGAAGAATGCTGTGAGACAGAATCATGGCCCTGAGGAATGATGGGAAAGTGAAGTTCTAAGGGAGTAAAAATTTTGAGTTGGAAGAAAGTATGAGGGAGATACAGAAGACAGAGGAAGCCAGTGAATGAGGAGAAAGGTGAGAAGCAGGTGCAGAAACAGTGCCGATGAAATGCCAGTGGTGGAACTCCCAAGTGAAGGTGCTGGCAACCTGGCTCCTCTGTGATTCCAGCTCTTCCTGGGGCTGGGTTTCCACACAAATACCCTGTGTGGATGTCTATCATTGTCATGATCACTTTCTAATTATCTATTCACATGTGGTTCTCCCCAGCTGAATACTGAACTCACAGTAGAAGCTCAATACATAGATGTCCCTACAACCAATGAATATTTTGCATATTTATCCTGACAACAAACCTATTATTTTTACAATTAACAACACTAATCGAGAAACTCCTAAATTTTCCCTGCCCCCTATCCTGTTTGTCTCCTACCAAATACCCCATTGCCATCTGAATGATCTACCTAAAATGCAAATTTAATCACCTAACTCCCCTGTACCTCCGCTCTGTACTCACAGGGCACCTAAATAGGTGCATTCTCTCCACCTTGGTGTCTTGTGCCTGCTCTCTTCTCTGCCTGGAATTCTTTCTCTCCCTTGACTGCTTTACCTGTGGTATTGTCTACCTATTAAACTGTATATCATTCTACAAGATCTGATCTAGATCTTCATCTTGGAAGCCTTCTATGGCCTCCCAAGGAGAACTGAGCTCTTCTACCTTTGCGCCTTTACTGTGACAGGGGCTATTTAAGCAACTGTTTGTTTATATTACTTATACTTTTATCAGTATTTCTCAAAATATGATCCAAAGAACAATTACTTCAGAAATACCTGCCTATAAAAATGCAAAGTCTTCATCCTCATTTTATTTTTACTATTTATTTATTTATTTATTTATTTATTTTTGAGACGGAGTTTGGCTGTTGTCATCCAGGCTGGAGTGCAATGGTGCGATCTTGGCTCACTGCAACCTCCGCCTCCCGTGTTCCTTGTCCTCATTTTAAATAGGCATCCCTGGGACCTCTGGGGTTACTAAAGTTTGGAAACCACCCCATTGAACTTTAAACTCCTCAAGGGCAGGCATCATCTATTACTCTTCCTTGTATTACCTCTATCTGGCACGTGGTAGGTAATGAACTGAAAAACAGTTCATTGCTTTTGAGCCACGGGTTAGCCTTCTGTAACTCCTGCTATGTGTAACCTTTTCAAACAAACAAACAAAAAAATTGAGACAGGGTCTCATTCTGTTACCCAGGCTGGAGTGCAGTGGCATAATCACAGCTAAAGTGATCTCCCCACAGCCTCCCGAGTAGCTGGGACTACAGGTACATATCACCATGCCCAGCTAATTTTTGTATTTTTTGTAGAGATAGGGTTTTGCCATGTTGCCCAGGCTGGTCTCGAACTCCTTGGCTCAAGAGATCCACCTGCCTGGGCTGGGATTACAGGCATGAGCCACTGCTTCTGGCCTTAGGTGTAACCTTTTACGAATGCAGGAGCTCAGAATCCAGCCTTTTTCACCACCCTATCTACCCTACCCCAGATCCTAACCCAGGGCCCTGGCACATGATGGACACTTAATAAACACTTTTTCACTGAGAAAAAGATGAAAGAAAAGATGGTCTACAGAAGCTGAGTGCTGTGCAGCAGGGCAGAAATGCAGCCAAAGCATCAATAAGATTAGCACAAGGACTGTTCAGTTACTCAGGAGGAGATGCTAAGTAAGAGCAGGAGCTGGCAATGCTCTGCTGTTCCTTTGTAGAAATCCTTGATGTGGGCTGTGAAATGTCAAATCCAGATTTGATTAAGCGCAACTCCAAATCCCTAAGGCAAGTGTGTATCCACGGTCTTAATGTAATTATTGGAGCCACCTCCGTCTGCTACATACTTTCAAAAGGGCTGAACTAGCACCCCATCCATTGATACCGACTGCTACAAAATGAGGCCTGCAATTAATTCATCACGTCCCAGGCAGATAATGCCTAAGAAGCTTCATCTGGCTCCTTCCTGAAAATTGAAGCATTAAATTGAACAAACAAACAAAAAATCCCTCTCATCTGCTGAAAATTCAGGAGGAAGGGCGGGTCCTAACAGCCACAGTGAAAATCAAAGTTTTGCTTCTTTTGTTGTCTGTTTTGGAACTTTCCACTTCCTCCTTCAAATGATAACCTATCAACTTTCAGTTCAACTATATTTTAAATTTTTTAAGGCAGAAGCCAATAAACAACACGAACTGTTACAAGGGCAACGGACTTCTAGTAGAATGAGTCAGTAGATACAAGTGGGGAACTTGGCTTCCTTTGCTTATACTCACTTGAGGTTTGGGCAAAAACATCAGGCCAAAACCTCGTCTGGATTCAGAGTAGGCACATTCAGGTCTATCAGATTAAACCCAAATGCCACAGCTTCACTGGAGCAGCCCAGATATTTCCCCACTGCATTCTCAGAGGGAAGAGGGATGAGGGCATCTGCTCCCAAGCTCAACCACAACCCAGAGCTCCACTTTGTTATGTGAAATTCAGAACACATTTGTTCCCGCTCTCTTTCTTTTTCTTTCAAAATTTTCTCCTGCCCTTTACTTAGGGTCTGGACGGAATCAAAATCCTGAGAGCCAAAGACACCAGGGGAAAGGCTGCTTTATTGTGAAATCCAATCTCAGTGAAAGCAAGATGGATCAGCAATCTTTTGACCTCACCCAGTGGCAAAGTCTAAACTGATCCACATGGTTTAGAGAACTCGGAAAAGATCTGATGAGTTGTCACACCGCTAACACTTGAGTTTTGTTTGTCATCCTATATAGAAATGATTCCAGAGTTTTTTCAAATTTCTGGAGCTTCTTAAAGCAAGACCAACAAGTGTCTGGGTGACCTTAGAACCAATCTATGTTTCTGGGACTCTTGAGATCAGCCCGGGCCAGATATTTAGAGGCTATAATGTCATACCACTAACACTTGAGTTTTGTTTGTCATCCTATATAGAAATGATTCCAGAGTTTTTTCAAATTTCTGTAGTTTCTTAAAGCAAGACCAACGAGTTTCTGGGTGACCTTGGAACCAATCCATGTTTCTGGGATTCTTGAGGTCAGCCCAGGCCAGATATTTAGAGGCTATAATGGACACTATTGGATCAATCTGCACTAGACTCACCACAGGAGATAGATCATTTCCAAACCAACGTCTAGCTTGGGGGAGGCGGGAAGTAAGTGGATTTTCACTATCTTTTGGTTCCCATTTCAAGAGCTAATCCCAGACATGGCAGTGACATTAAGGCTTGAATTCTTGCAAAAGCTGCCACTAGAAGGACTGGCTTAAATATCATAGCAGTTTTTATGCACAAATTATATTAGACGTAGATCGTACCTTTCAGGAACTTCCTTGCCTAAAAGCACCCATTGCCTCATTCTCTCTAGACCTACATATGAAATCTAAACTCACATAAATCCCTTCCAGCTTGCCCTCATCTCCCCTTTAATCTTCTCCCTATCCTTGCCATGCATTCTACCCTCTGGCCCGAGGACTGACAATTTTTTTTCTGCAAAGAGAGAGCCAAATAGTAAATATTTTGGGCCTCTAGCTCATGTAGTCTCTGTCATACCTACTCAACTCTGCTGTTGTAGACAAAAGCAGTCATAGACAATATATGCACAAATGAGCATGGCTATGTTTCAATAAAACTTTATTTACAAAAACAGTGGCTGGGCATAGTGGCTCATGCCTGTAATCTTAGCACTTTGGGAGGCCATAGTGGGTAGATCACTTGAGCCCAGGAGTTGGTGACTAACCTGGGCAACATGCAGAAACTCTGTCTCTACTAAAAATATTAAAGGTAGTGGCAAAAACCGCAACTGCTTTTGCACCAACCTAATAGAAAAATTAGCTGGGCATGGTGGTGTGTGCCTGTGGTCCCAGCTAGTTGAAGAGCTGAGGTAGGAGGATGGCTTGAGCCTGGGAGTTGGAGATTGCAGTGAGCTGAGATCACGAGACTGCGCTCCAGCCTGGGAGATAGAAAGAGACCCTGTTTCAAAAAAAGAAGAGGAAGAAGGAGGAGGAGGAGGAGGAGGGGGAGGAAGAGGAGAAGGAGGAGGAGGGGAAGAAAAAAGGCACAGTAAAGAGAAAGAGGTGTTATTTTAGAGTGCTTAGGAAAGGCCACTTTGATGAGGCCATATGGGAGCAAAGATAAACATAAAGCATGAGTTCAAGCTATGTGGATATGACAGGTAGGGAAAATATTCTAGGCAGAGAGAAAAGCAAGCGCACATGTTTGGTATATTGGAAGAAGAGAAAGGAGGCCAGTTGGGTTGGAGTCCAGGGAATGAATGGAAGTTGAGACCAAAGAGGTAGATGTGGTAAAATTTTGTATGTCCTTTCAGGCCGTGTAAAAGAATTTGATTTTTATTCTTAATGAGACTGGAAACCATTGAAAGAAGAGTGATATGATCTACCTTCTTGGTTACTGGGATGACCCTAGCAGCCATGTGAAATAGACTTTAGGAAGGTAGGAGTAAAAGCAGAGAGACCTAATAAGAGGCTATTGTACTAATCCACATGACAAATGATGTCCAGGGTGATCAGAGCAGAGGGGCTAAGAGTTGTCAGATTCTGAATATATATTGAAGGCAGAGATGAAAAGTAGAGTGTGAAGGAAGTATGGAGCCAAGGAGGAGCCAAAATTTTTTACCTGATTAAGTAGGAAAATGTAGTTTTCCTTTATTGAGATGGTGAAGACTATAGAAGAAACAGATGAGTGGAAGTAATGAAGATTTTTTTTTTAATGATGTTATGTTGGACCTCTCAGTGGAAATGTTAAGTAGGTAGTTAAGTAAGTGCTTTGGAGTTCAGTAGCAATGTCATGGGTAGAGGTAAATAGTTGGGAGTTACCTGAAATAGATGGTACTTAAAGACACGAAATGAGGTTGGAGAATCACTTGGGAGAAGTGAGAAAAGAAGAGATCAGGGACTGAGCTCTGGGGCACTCAAATGTTTTGAGAGTGGGAAGATGAAGAGCTAACAACAACAGCAACAAACTTATAAAGAGTGACTAGTGAGATAGAAAGTGAAGTGAGAGTGACCTCTCAGGGGCTAAGTGAAGAAAGTGTCTCAAGAAGGAGGAAATGAACAACTTTGGGAAGTATTGCTAACATATTGAGCAAGGTAAGGACAGAGACATGACCCAGACTGAGCAGCATGGGAGCCACTGTTGACTTTGACAAGAACAGTTTGAGGAGGGGTAAAGATAAAAGCCTGTGTAGACTGTATATAACAGAGAATGCGAAGGGCCTAAATGGTATCTTCGGTCTGGGATCTCAAAATACTTTATACTCTATGATAACATTTTTCATAATGAGAATTATTGACTTACATAGTGATCTTAAGAGCAATTTAAATGTTGAATCATTTATAAAATTGTTAATCATCTTTTACTTGTTTTTATTTTATTTTTGTTTTTCACATTCTACAACACAACACTAGGCACATAGTACATACTCATTAAATGTTTGTTAAATGAATATGAAATTGTAATTTAAGAAGGAAAGATTTCATATAAATGAATATGAATGCCATTTTGACTGCAAAAAGTGACACTTAAAAGCAGAAGTTTAAAAGGGTGGAATGAGTACTATGTGCTATATAGCATTGTGACACTATGGATATTTGGTTATACCCTGATCATGTTACTCCTCTTTCAGTTCTTTAAATTATACATATATCATCCTGTATAGTATATAGTGAGATCACTCAGGGGAACTAGTCCAATTTTACTAAAAATGATAGTGAGGCTCTGGAGGAGATAGGAAATTTGCCCTCATTCTGTAGATTGCGTATACTTGGTAAAAGAGTCCACAAAATTTGTATCACTGCTTTCTTTTGAGGTTCCAATGTTACTAATTCACCATAATTGTAAGAAAACTCCAAAAATGTTCACTTCCTTATCTTTTAGTTAAAGATCCACTCAAAAAAGTGAGAATTACTACAATGAGTTACTTTGGGATCTGAATAACATTGGATTGATTAATTCTCTCTGTTGCAATGATTATTTGAGCATTCAGTCCTTAGAGTTATGACTATTAAAGCACAGAAGCACAAATTATTACATGATGATTAAAGTGTCTTTGTGGATATACTGCTCAATAAAATTAACACTGAGATCTGAAACACCATGTTCAAAAGTCAAATGATTTTTCCAAGCGGAAAAGGGAGCCTCATTTTGGCAGATAAAAATTGCGATACTTCTATCTCTGAGTAAGGATTAGTGTAGTCAGTTATTGAAAATTAGTGATCTGACTATATTGTATTTATTTAATATAGGAAGAAGTCTTTATAAATGTTGGGTGAGTCATTTCATAAGACTAAAGCCAAGCAAAATTAGAGCCCTCCTGGTTGAAGGTATTTTTATTGCAATGAGAAGGTTTCTTTCTGAGTATTAGACATACAAGTGTGGTCTAACTTTGGCATGGAAAGTAAGTCATGAATTCTAAGGCAGAGACTCTTAATTTCTTGAATATGTAATGCCATAGACATATTTAGACACATTTACTATAAGATGCCAAAAACATACGCAATCAAGGAAATTAAGTAGAGGCAACTGAATATTTTTTTCCTTTACATTCCACTTGTCAATGATCTCAAGGACCAAATACCTGTTCTTTATACAAAGGGCATATACAAAGGTTTTACAGAAAAATAACCTTATAGAAAAACTCTTATGAGTTACTCTTTAGTCTCTAGTGAGTTTCCTGTTTTGTAGGTCATAAATTTAATAGGCTGTAATGCTATTCAAACAACACAGATACTTAACATACCATGAAAAGCCCATAAGCTATGGCAAATTATGAAAATATCTCAATGCTGTGGTCACAAAAGTGAACAATCTTCTTGACAGGAACTTCAAAGGTAAAATGAAATTACATTTCCCACTTATTTCTGAGGCATTGACCGGTAACCTTAGTCTCCTGTGATTTCACCCATGCTGCTTCTAGAGATGATGTTCTATCCAGCCAGTCAACAATTCTCAAGCGGAGTGGCTCTAGAAACTCAGCTCTTGAAAACATCACGGAGCTTTATCAGTGATAAGGCCAAGAGGTTGCAACTACTATTATCTTTGGACACACAAAAGAATCACCTGGTCCAGGTCAGAGAGCACTTTTCTGGTGTTCTTGGTGTCAGTATAATGTGCCATTTAATTAGGAGTCTGGTTTAAAGAGCGCACCTAGCAAAAAAGCAATCAAATGGCAAGCACACATTATCATGATTAATTTTGATAAATACAAATAACAGAGATTTTTCATTGTCATCTAATAATTATAATGATATATTCATTTTCATTTTAGAATTTGAAAAATACACAAAAAGATATAGAGAATACAATATGACAGTCAGCACTCAGCAGGAGGTTGTACAAACATGAATGAAGGAAGCTTCTGTTCTGTCTTTATATTTCTTATTTTTATACTTTTTAAGGGAAAGGGAAAGTTTAAGAAATTTTATTTGTTAGAATCTAGCATTTTATACTTTCTCTACTAAAAGTAACAAGTCAATTATCTTCTCCAAAGAAATTATGACCACCAGTTGATAAAGGGGATCAGATGTTCACTCAGTGAATTTTTAGTGATTACAGACAGGCACTGTTTGCATCAAATTCAACAATTGGCTTTTAAATATGGCATTTCCTGTAATCACTCTTGAAAACAGGGTAACAAGATAGCATGCATTCTGTATTAAATGGTTTCTCTGCAAACCAGGGTGTTCTCTGCCCTGCCTTGCCCCAGGTTTGAACAGTTCTGAACAGCCACCCTTCCTTTCTCCCCACCATTGTTCACATTCTATGCATGAATAAGAAATGCTCTCATTTCTCTCTTTCCTTGTTCTTTTGTTTCATCCTTCCAGTCTTCCTTTCCTCCTTCAAATATTTTCAAACTGGTAGTATGTTTTTTGAAAGGCAGTTTAGTATAGTGGTCAGTATAAAGGCTTGGAGCTAAAGAGCACTGGGTTTCAGTCTCAGGTCTGAGACTTGCTAATGGTGCTCCCTTGGGCAAGTCATTATACTTAACTCCAAGCATCAGATTTTTCACATGTTAAATGGTGATATCCATAATTACTTCCATGGTTATTGTGGAGACTAGGATAATAAAATTAAGAGACTGACCGGAGTACAGCATGAGTCATAGATACTATTATTGAAAAAAATTGACTTTGTAAAAAAACATAGGAAACGTTAAAATTATTTCATAGAAATAATATTTGTAAGGACATAATGGAGCCACTAACACACTGCAAAATGAGCTCAAGACTTTAATAGAATGGAATACAGACCTTTGACACCCAACTCCAGGCAAACCTCATTTAGCACGGACACCCAGAAAAGACTGAGATAGAAAAAATATATATATATATAAACAGCTGCTAAGCTGGCATTTAAAAATTGTATATTTCTGCTCTTCATTTGATCCAAGAGCATATATTGGAGAGAATATTTGGCCTAACAAGCTGAGAATGGGTGGTATGGGTCAATTAAGGTTATAAAATAACACAAAGAGTAAATCCTTATCAGAGCTTTCTGCTTTACAATAGATGAAAAATCGAAGAGAGATTTAATCAGCTTACATGGGCCTGGGTGTCTCTTCCTTACTCTTACAAGAAGGAATCTTGCTTTATTCTGGCTATTTCCTGAAGAGAGCCCTTCTCCCTCCCTCAAGTATTCAGGCTAATTACAATTGGAGAGGGAGTTTCCAGGCTGAATAAGAAATCAAAAGGGAAGGGAAGGGGGGCGGCAGTGGTGTGGATTTCAGAGAAAAAAATAACTTAAGAAAAAGTATGTTCTCAGAGGGGGGAAAATTAGAGAATTAGGTCACTGATTTGGAGCCAGGAAAAATCCACATAAGTGGAAATTGGAGCAATGAAAGTATTTCATATTAACACATGCAAAGGCTGAATGTGCCCAGCCCAGGGGATGTTCTTCTCCTTCCTGGACAGTGGCTAGAGGCTGAAAGACCTCTAGGCTTTTCTATGTCTTATTCATTCGCTAATCAGCACCATTCAGCCAACAGCACACGTGGTCATATATGCAGTGCCCTGGAAAACTAGAGGTCCACATAGCAATGGTTATAATCAAAACCACTGGAGACGCTCATTTCAGCTTCTAGAATATCAAGCTTCAAAGGCAGACATGCCTGCAATGAAAACCAGCACTTTCTTTTGCTTTCTCTCTTTTCCCTTTTTTTCTTTTCTTTTTTAAGTTCTGTTAAGTCTAGAGTTTTAGATTCAAGTATTTGACAATTATACCTCAACAGAGACAGAATACATTTTGCCTCACGCAAAGATACAAATGGTTAAAAGGGCAGGCAAAGTGTCATATGTCAGCAGACACTAGTTGAGGTTAAACTCTGCTGATGTGACTAGAATATTGACATCTCAGTTAAAGTCAATATCTGGAAATTGGTGATGTGGCTTGGAATACATATCTCCTTAATGACTTTCCAGTAAAATATGAAAATACCAAATAGTACTCCACATATCTGAGAATCGTAAACTCCTTTCCCTCATGCTTTCACCAAAAACTGTCAAACCTTATTGTTATCCAAATTTTAGTTGAAAATGGAATGAAGCACAAAATACAATCCTAAAAATCTTGCCCCCCACCAAGAAAAGCTGTACTTTCCCCTGGGCTGGGCACGTTCAGCCTTTGCATGTGTTAATATGAAATACTTTCATTGCTCCAATTTCCACTTTTGTGGGTTTTTCCTGGCTCCAAATTCCTTTAAGGCTAATTAGGTTGCAACTGAGGAATTACTGGGCCTAAATTTGGGGGTGAAGTCCTATTATATTGCTCAGGAAGAACAAGAGGAGTGCTCTTTTATTTGCCTGTTTATTCATTTGTCTCTGATTGCTGTGTTCTTCTTTACTTACCTTTCTGCAGCTTGCCCAACTTAATATGCATGTTGTAGTTGACTGGTAAGGGGCAATTTTCATTTTCTTTTGTTTATCTCACTAATCTGGGATATTAATGCCTTGCTAAAGTCTTATTACTCTGTTTTAGCTCAGTTTGACTTTCTAACTTGGTGTATAGCACTTATGATTCTGGCTAGATCAGTGATTTTGAACCCTAGTTCTATGTGACAATTTAAGGAAGAACTTTTGAAATACACCAATCCCTGGGCCCTGACCAATCAAGTAATATTATGTGGACCAGGGGTCTGGGAGCTAACCAGTACCCTTTAATACAAAAACGGCAAAACTCTGTCCCATCTGCTGTGTTAGATGTTTATTGCTGTGTAACAAACTGTCCCAATACTAATGGCTTAAAACAATGATGATTTACTATTTTCCATCATTCTGCGAGTCAGGGATTTGGGCAGGGCCTTAGCTGGCTGGTTCCATATGATGTCACCTAGAGTCATTCAGCTGCATTCAACAGTAACTGGATTGGGCCTGAAGGTCCAATAAGGCTTCACTCACTTGACTGGCACCTCAGTGATCTTCCACCTCCACTCTACGTGACTATGCTAGGCTTCCTTACAGTATGGTGATCTCAGGTTGGAAAGACATTTTAGATGATAGCTGGCTTCCAAAAGAAAGGACGCAAAAACTGCTGGCCCCTTCCAAGGCATAGCTTGAGAAAATCCTAAATCATTTCTTCCAATTTCTATTTGTCAAAGCAAGACCTGAGGCTAGGCCAGAAGAGGGGAAATCAACTCTTCCTCTTGAAATGAGGAGTAGCATGCACATACAAGGTCTGAGGAACTGCTGGTCACCACACTTTAAAGACTATAGAATACATGCCACCAGTTCCTGATCTCAAAGCCATGGCAGACATTTCTAACCCAACATGGTGGTTTCCCCTGTTGGTCCTGGGTATAGTTTGAGTTATTCTCAATACTACATGACATGGTTTGGCTGTGTCCCCACCCAAATCTCATCTTGAATTATAGCTCCCATAATCCCCACGTCTTGGAAAGGACCTGGTGGGAGGTTATTGAATCATGGGGGTGAGTTTTTCCCATGCTATTCTTGTGATAGTGAATACATCTCATGAGATCCGATGGTTTTATAAAAGGCAGTTCCCCTACACACTCTCTCTTGTTTGCCACATGTAAGACATGCCTTTGCTCCTCCTTTGCCTTCTGCCATGTTGTGAGGCCTCCCCAGCCATGTGGAACTGTGGGTTCATTAAACATCTTTTTCTTTATAACTTACTCAGTCTTGGATAAGTCTTTATTAGTAGCATGAGAACAGACTAATACACTGCACCTCAATGGTCACTGCCAGTAGATTGGAGTTGCCATGAAGGTTAAATTGTTTAACACATCTGCTCTATTGGAAAGAGCTGAAGTTCTATTCTCTCCCTGCTGTGGCTTATGGTCTTCTGAAAGACCAGGAAGGTGCCAGTAGGACTCATGGCCCTGCCTGTGAGGAAAGTCAGGCTCACGAGTTTTCACTGTAATCCTGTGAAGTAGGAATGGCAAGTTTTAAAAAAATTTTTTCCTGGTTTGCAAATGGAGAAATTGAGGTGGACTGAACTCAAGGCACCATTTTAGGTGCTACAGAGGACACAAAACTTACTTAGACATTATTGCAATTCTCAGTATCATTTTCTGGCAGAAGAAAGGCGTTTAAACAACTAACTCTAATACCTAACAGAATGAAATGAAGGTTGTCAGAGAAGTATGGACAAAATGATCCTGTAAGTCAAAGACAGGAAAAATTAAATCCAACAGGAGGGTCTGGCTGTATTTCATGGGGAACAAGGATGATAACAGGATAGATTCTTCAGGAAAAAATGATCTGAACATCAGAGAATTAAGAGAAACATTGGGAAAATAGAGCAAGTCATAATTGTTTTTTGTAAAAACATTTCCTTTATGATTATACTATAAAGAAAAAGATGTCATTTCATGCCATTATATATTTTGGTTGCCAAAATTATTCTCCTCCACCCCACAGAAAAAAAATTTTCTGGGTTAATTTATTCCTTTTTAGTGCTAAGCATTCCTGCGTAATTGTACATCTATACTATACTTTATATCTAATATTGTAAGTGTGTGTGTGTGTGTGTGTGTGTCTGTGTGTGTGTGTGTATTTCAGACAGGGTCTTTCTCTGTTACCCAGGCTGGAGTTCAGTGGCATGATTACAGCTCACCGCAACTTTGACCTCCCAGGCTCAAGCAATCTTCCTACCTCAGCTTCCCAAGTACCTGGGGCCACAGGTGCATGCCACCACACTCATTTAATTTTTTAAAAAAAATTTTGTAGAGACAGGGACTCACTGTGTTTTCCAGGCTGGTCTCAAACTCCTGAGCTCAAGCCATCTTCCTGCCTCAGCCTCCCAAAGTCCAAAGTCCTGGAATTATAGGTGTGAGCCACTGTGCTCAGCTAAAAAAATTCTGTATTTTAATAAAGTCAGTTTCATAATTTTAGTTTTGTTTTTCAAAATGAACATCCAATCAAACCTATTATATTTCACGATTTTACTATAAAATTTAAGACTTTGCTTTTAGTTAATTTATAAGTGACATTTTTCTGCTACCAATTATTTCTGAGTAATAAAATTAATGTATGAGAATTTACTATCATAGTGTGAATGCTTAATAAATGTTAATCATTTATTATTTTAAGTAAAATTGGTGTTTTAGAACAGCTTTAGATTTACAGAAAAATTATGAAGATAATACAGAATAGCCATATATAGTAGTCCCCTTTTATCTCTGGGGATGCATTCTAAGACCCCCATGAATGCCTGAAACTGCGGATAGTACCAAGCCCGATATATAGTTTTTTCCTGTATATACATACCTATGATAAATTTGAATTTATAAATTAGACACAGTAGGAAATCACCAAAAATAATAAAATAGAACAGTTATAACAATATACTGTCATAAAAGTTATGTGAATGTGGTCTCTCTCTCTCTCTTTCTCTCTCTGTCAAAATACTTAATGTTAATATTTTTGAACCACAGTTGACTGTAGGTAACTGAAACCATAGAGAGTGAAATTGCAGATAAGGGGGGAACTACTGTATTGGTTACAATTAATGAGCCAATATTGATACATTATTCTTAATGAATGTCCATACTTTGTTCAGATTTTCTTAGTCTTTATCTAAGGCTTTTTTCTGTTCCAGGATTCCATAGAAGATACCACACTACATTTAGTAGTCATGTCGCTTTAGGCTCCTCTTGGCTATGACAGTTACTCAGACTTTATTTTCATGACATTTGCAGCTTTAGAGAGCACTGGTCGGGTATTTTGGAGAATGTCCCTCAACTGGGATGTGTCTAATGTTTTTCTTATGATTATACTGGGATTATGGATTTTGAGAGGAAGGCTGCAGAGATAAAATGTCATTTTCATCACATCATATCAAAATTACATGCTATAGACATGGCATTCTTGATGTTAACCCTGATTACCTGGCTAAGGTGGTATTTGTCAGTTATTTCCATTATACATTTACTCCTTTTTCTCCCTTTCCAAACCTTGCTTTTTGGAAAGCAGTCACTATGCACCACCCACACTTAAGGAGGAGGAAATTATGCTCCACTTCCTTAAAGGCAGAATAACTACATAAATCATTTGGAAATCATCTGCATGGAAGATTTGTCTATATCTTTCTTCTTCTCCTCCCCCTCCCCATTTATTTGCTTATTTGTACCAGTATGGGCTCATGGATGTTTATTTTATATTTTGGGCTATCATTCAATAGTGCTTTGTTTTAATTGCTCAAATTGTTTCAGCTTTGGACATTGGGAGCTCTTTCAGTTGATTCTTCTTTCCTTTTAACACATTCTCATTCATGTAAGGATGCTTCTTGTTGATATGGTGCTTCGTTTGTTTGTTTGTTTTGAGCACTTCCTTACTTTCTGGCACCATGAGATGCTTCAAGCTCAGCTTGTACATTTCCTGCCCCCATCCTAGACCAACCATTTCTCCAAGGAGCTTTGGTTCTTTCTGTTGGAGAACAGCATCAGAAACCAGGATCTAGATGCAAGATGTGCTCATTCCTACTCTGTATTGTTGCCTCTAGGCCCCCTTAGCTGACAGAACAAGAAAATATGTGTGTATGTCAGCCCATGTATATTGATATATCTATAAACATTTCTATATGTAACTATCTACATCGGTATTAAGCTAAACATGAGTTCACACAGATGTCTCCAACTCTAAATCTGTTGCTACATAGATCATTCTGGCCTCCTCCCCTTACTCATCTGTAACCCCCCAATTTAACAGTGATAAAAGTAGCTTCAAATACCTGGCATCCATTTCCTTATTTCATTCATGTATACATGTATAGTGGCATCAGAATTGTTAACCAATACCTATCAAATAGAGCACAGTGCTTATGTATAATTTTTTTGCTTTAGTCATACAGACTTCACTCATTTCCAAAATTACTCAGTTCAGCATCCTTCCCCCAACCCCCTCAGTGAGGTTATTTCATGCATTTGTAATAAGCTAGGTTATTTTCTCATATTCTGCATTCCATTCAGCCTTCTAAATAATTTTTGTAATTTGCATACATTAACGGTCACTCTTTATGCTCTAAATTTCCATGAGTTTTGGCAAATGCATGGTATTATATAGTCATATTCACTATGCCACTATTATTTTTGTTTAACAAAGATTTATATGGTATTTACTATGGGATAGACCTTAGTCATTTCATTTCTATAGCAACCTTATTAGACAGATACCATTATCACATAATCTCTGCTTCAGGTACAAAAATTAAAGCATAGAGAGGTTAAGTAACCTCCTTAAGATCACAAAGCTAGCATGGGTAGACCTGGTTGAAAACCTAGGGCATTTGTCCTCCTAACCATTGTATTGTCCCACTTCCCGGGAGTCATGATTATTTCTTCTCCTACTTTACTCTCATGGTTTTCTTCTATTCATTTTTTCCCTCCTGAAAAAATGTTTCTTTTGCTACACACTGAATTTAACTCTTACCTGCTACAATTCTTTACTAGCCTTCTCAATTATTAGTGATTTCAGAAATTTTAGGAGTGAAGACAGATAGGAGCACCATGCTGAAATCACCCGACAAAAGCTGACAGTTACTCTGAAGCTACTAGCATGCTGTTCATGTAAGTGGATGCAGCTGACTTGCCTTTTCTGTTTTGGAATCAAAGGCGATTAAGTATCAAACTTGAAATCTAGAGGAAAGGCAATTTTAAAAGTTAATACAACCTTTCAGTCTTTTGCAAATGGTTTTCCTTTCCCTACCATTCTCAGGAAAAAAAAGAAAAGAAAAAAGAAAGAAAGAAAAACTCAAAAGTAGCCTATCTCTTTTAGAAACTCTAGAAGCTGTTGAAAAGTGGATCATATTTTGGAGAACTGGATTCTAATCACCTCTACGTATATTTGGGAGAAGACAGTGCCTATGTTGGAAATATTCATAAAAACTTTCAAGGTGATACAAGATCTGGATAAGAAGCTTTCACTATTCTCTTCTCAATGGATTTAGAGCAAAAATATAAGTTAAAAGAGTAGGCAAATTTATCCAAGCAAATATCACAGGGGTATTAAGAAAGAAGGTCATCCAATTAACTAATTACTTCTTACATATCCTGGCATACTAATCAAAATCAGTTGCTATCAGAAATCTGGGCTCAGAGAAAGCAGGCAATCCAAGTTGGAAATTCACTTGGCTTTTAAAATCTCAAAAGGCATCATTCACATGTGATGGCTATGGTACAACTAAATATTGACATGATATTTCTTGGAATTTGAAGACATTTTGCTTTTCATTGTACTCCCTATCCCTTCCTTGTTTCAGTCCTGTGTACATGTATAGTGATATCAGAATTGTCAGCCAATACTGAACTTGATCAGATACAGCACAGTGCTTATGTACAGTTTCTTTTACTCTAGTCTTAGAGCCTCCACTCATTTTCAAAATTATGTGGTTCAACACCCTTCCCCAACCCTTTCAGTGAGGTTGTTTCATACATTTGTAATACAGCAGGTTGTGAAAATTATGTGGCCAATTGGCAGCATAATTTCCTGAAACTTCAGGGAAAAGTTCCAATGGATAAAAAGGTGAAGGGAATTAATGTCTATTGAGTGTTTATTAGGTACTCAACAATTTTTATGTATGTTCCATTTAAACCTCATAACAACCTCATAGAGATCTTGTAGACCAACTAAGGAACTTATTGTTATTTTTAATGTAAAAGGAAGCTGTTAGATGTAAAAAAACACGAGACTATGGGAGATACTCAGTTTCTTTCCCACACCTGCAGATGGTAGAGTTAGGACTGGAACTCAGGCTTTAAGTTTTTTAGCTTCATATTCATTTGTTTCACAACATCTGTCATTAACCTCTGAGGTCCTGCACCGGTTCTCACCGGATCCTCCCACCGCCAAGCTGGTGGGAAATAGGTATAAGTAGTGAGAAGGCAGTTATATGGAAGAACAGTAAGAGAGAGAGGAGGAGGGTACAAGGTAATGAAGTCTAAGCAGGACACTGGCAGGCCAGGGAAGACTTGAAGAGGAGCCCATACATGGATAGGTTGACTTAAGGTCCCCAGTTTAATTCCAAGTTACTCTTCTTTTAGATCCAGTTCATGGAAAGTTTCCAAATGCCCATTAGGGGGTATCTCCCTTCCACTGGAGGCGTCATGCTAACCAGAGACCTGAGGTGTTCCAGACTTTCTTCAGCATGGCAATATTTCCTGTCTTTGGCCTATTTTCCTTGGGCCAAGCTCCTTAAAGGTCTTGGCTTCTCTGCCAAAGAGACCTGGGATCATCAGGCAATAATCCTCCAATTTATTGCCCCTGTTCTACATTCCTGATCCATGACTATTTGCAGACCTTGGGACCAGCTTTCCAAAACCCAGCATAAGCTGCTTTAATTTTATCATTGTCCTATAATTTCATGGAAATGGCTGCTGCAAAGCCAACAAATGACTAATAAAATCCCTCAGCCCACTCATTTTTAATGTCATTCTGGAACTCCAGAACAGAGACCATCTGGTTACAGTGCTTACTTTAATATAAAAGAGGAGCTGAATTGAAAATCATATTTCTGAGAGAACACTGAAACAAGTTATCTGTTTGTAAACCCAAAGCACCGCACAACAAGTCAAATGTTTCCTTGAGCAGTGATAAAATACTCTAGGTGCTACATACTCAACTTTGTCTGTATACACACACACACAAGCAGACACACATGATAGACAAACATCAGTCAACACTCTACCATTAATAATTGTTCCATTCATTGAGTATTATCCTTGTGCCAGGCAATGTACAAAACACCCCGGATTATTTTGCAAGAGTACTATTAGCACTGTTAGTATATTCATTTTATAGGTGAAATAAATAGAGGATAAGTAAACTTGCTCGAAGTCACACAGCTAGTAAATAACAAGGCCAGGCTCAGGACCAAGGTCCATCAGTTTAGTTTCTACACATGTGCCCTGAGCAACTGAGTTGTTTGACTTTGTGTGTGTGTGTGTGTGTGTGTGTGTGTGTGTGTGTAAAGATTACCCCAAGCAATAACTAATTTTTCAACTAGGTGAAATAAGTTTTTTTTAATTTTAAATTGTTTTAAATTGTGGAATAATTTTATTTATTTATTTTTATTTTCATAGGTTATTGGGGAACAGTTAATGTTTGGTTATGTGAGTCAGTTTTTTAGTGGTGACTTGTGAGATTTTGGTGCACCCATTATCGCAGCATTATACACTGCACCATATTTGTAGTCTTTTATTCTTCACCCCCTTCCCACCCTTTCCTCCTGAGTCCCCAAAGTCCATTTTGTCATTCTTATGCCTTTGCATCCTCATAGCTTAGTTCCCACTTACTAGTGAGAAGATGTGATGTTTGGTTTTCCATCCCTGAGTTACTTCACTTAGAGTAATAGTCTCCAATATCATCCAGGTTGATGCAAATGCCATTAATTCATTTTTTATGGCTGAGTAGTATTCCATATGTACCAGTTTCTTTATTGACTCATTGACTGATGGGCATTTGGGTTGGTTCCACGTTTTTGCAATTGCGAATTGTGCTGCTATAAACATGAGTGTGGAGGTATCTTTTTTTATAATGACTTCTTTTCCTCTGGGTAGATACCCAGTAGTGGGACTGCTGGATCAAATGTTAGTTCTACTTTTAGTTCTTTAAGAATTCTCCACTTCCCGAGCCAAGATGGCCGAATAGGAACAGCTCCGGTCTACAGCTCCCAGCGTGAGCGACGCAGAAGACGGGTGATTTCTGCATTTCCATCTGAGGTACTGGGTTCATCTCACTAGGGAGTGCCAGACAGTGGGCGCAGGCCAGTGTGTGCGCGCACCGTGCACGAGCCGAAGCAGGGCGAGGCATTGCCTCACCTGGGAAGCGCAAGGGGTCAGGGAGTTCCCTTTCCGAGTCAAAGAAAGGGGTGACGGACGCACCTGGAAAATCGGGTCACTCCCACCCGAATATTGCGTTTTTCAGACCGGCTTAAAAAACGGCGCACCACGAGACTATATCCCACACCTGGCTCAGAGGGTCCTACGCCCACGGAATCTCGCTGATTGCTAGCACAGCAGTCTGAGATCAAACTGCAAGGCGGCAACGAGGCTGGGGGAGGGGCGCCCGCCATTGCCCAGGCTTGCTTAGGTAAACAAAGCAGCTGGGAAGCTCGAACTGGGTGGAGCCCACCATAGCTCAAGGAGGCCTGCCTGCCTCTGTAGGCTCCACCTCTGGGGGCAGGGCACAGACAAACAAAAAGACAGCAGTAACCTCTGCAGACTTAAGTGTCCCTGTCTGACATATTTGAAGAGCGCAGTGGTTCTCCCAGCACGCAGCTGGAGATCTGAGAACGGGCAGACTGCCTCCTCAAGTGGGTCCCTGACCCCTGACCCCCGAGCAGCCTAACTGGGAGGCACCCCCCAGCAGGGGCACACTGACACCTCACACGGCAGGGTATTCCAACAGACCTGCAGCTGAGAGTCCTGTCTGTTAGAAGGAAAACTAACAACCAGAAAGGACATCTACACCGAAAACCCATGTGTACATCACCATCATCAAAGACCAAAAGTAGATAAAACCACAAAGATGGGGAAAAAACAGAACAGAAAAACTGGAAACTCTAAAACGCAGAGCGCCTCTCCTCCTCCAAAGGAACGCTGTTCCTCACCAGCAACGGAACAAAGCTGGATGGAGAATGATTTTGACGAGCTGAGAGAAGAAGGCTTCAGACGATCAAATTACTCTGAGCTACGGGAGGACATTCAAACCAAAGGCAAAGAAGTTGAAAACTTTGAAAAAAATTTAGAAGAATGTATAACTAGAATAACCAATACAGAGAAGTGCTTAAAGGAGCTGATGGAGCTGAAAACCAAGGCTCGAGAACTACGTGAAGAATGCAGAAGCCTCAGGAGCCGATGCGATCAACTGGAAGAAAGGGTATCAGCAATGGAAGATGAAATGAATGAAATGAAGCAAGAAGGGAAGTTTAGAGAAAAAAGAATAAAAAGAAATGAGCAAAGCCTCCAAGAAATATGGGACTATGTGAAAAGACCAAATCTACGTCTGATTGGTGTACCTGAAAGTGATGTGGAGAATGGAACCAAGTTGGAAAACACTCTGCAGGATATTATCCAGGAGAACTTCCCCAATCTAGCAAGGCAGGCCAACGTTCAGATTCAGGAAATACAGAGAACGCCACAAAGATACTCCTCGAGAAGAGCAACTCCAAGACACATAATTGTCAGATTCACCAAAGTTGAAATGAAGGAAAAAATGTTAAGGGCAGCCAGAGAGAAAGGTCGGGTTACCCTCAAAGGAAAGCCCATCAGACTAACAGCGGATCTCTCGGCAGAAACCCTACAAACCAGAAGAGAGTGGGGGACAATATTCAACATTCTTAAAGAAAAGAATTTTCAACCCAGAATTTCATATCCAGCCAAACTAAGCTTCATAAGTGAAGGAGAAATAAAATACTTTATAGACAAGCAAATGCTGAGAGATTTTGTCACCACCAGGCCTGCCCTAAAAGAGCTCCTGAAGGAAGCGCTAAACATGGAAAGGAACAACCGGTACCAGCCGCTGCAAAATCATGCCAAAATGTAAAGACCATCGAGACTAGGAAGAAACTGCATCAACTAACGAGCAAAATCACCAGCTAACATCATAATGACAGCATCAAATTCACAAATAACAATATTAACTTTAAATATAAATGGACTAAATTCTGCAATTAAAAGACACAGACTGGCAAGTTGGATAAAGAATCAAGACCCATCAGTGTGCTGTATTCAGGAAACCCAGCTCACGTGCAGAGACACACATAGGCTCAAAATAAAAGGATGGAGGAAGATCTACCAAGCCAATGGAAAACAAAAAAAGGCAGGGGTTGCAATCCTAGTCTCTGATAAAACAGACTTTAAACCAACAAAGATCAAAAGAGACAAAGAAGGCCATTACATAATGGTAAAGGGATCAATTCAACAAGAGGAGCTAACTATCCTAAATATTTATGCACCCAATACAGGAGCACCCAGATTCATAAAGCAAGTCCTGAGTGACCTACAAAGAGACTTAGACTCCCACACATTAATAATGGGAGACTTTAACACCCCACTGTCAACATTAGACAGATCAACGAGACAGAAAGTCAACAAGGATACCCAGGAATTGAACTCAGCTCTGCACCAAGCGGACCTAATAGACATCTACAGAACTCTCCACCCCAAATCAACAGAATATACATTTTTTTCAGCACCACACCACACCTATTCCAAAATTGACCACATAGTTGGAAGTAAAGCTCTCCTCAGCAAATGTAAAAGAACAGAAATTATAACAAACTATCTCTCAGACCACAGTGCAATGAAACTAGAACTCAGGATTAAGAATCTCACTCAAAGCCGCTCAACTACATGGAAACTGAACAACCTGCTCCTGAATGACTACTGGGTACATAACGAAATGAAGGCAGAAATAAAGATGTTCTTTGAAACCAACGAGAACAAAGACACCACATACCAGAATCTCTGGGACGCATTCAAAGCAGTGTGTAGAGGGAAATTTATAGCACTAAATGCCTACAAGAGAAAGCAGGAAAGATCCAAAATTGACACCCTAACATCACAATTAAAAGAACTAGAAAAGCAAGAGCAAACACATTCAAAAGCTAGCAGAAGGCAAGAAACAACTAAAATCAGAGCAGAACTGAAGGAAATAGAGACACAAAAAACCCTTCAAAAAATCAATGAATCCAGGAGCTGGTTTTTTGAAAGGATCAACAAAATTGATAGACCGCTAGCAAGACTAATAAAGAAAAAAAGAGAGAAGAATCAAATAGACACAATAAAAAATGATAAAGGGGATATCACCACCGATCCCACAGAAATACAAACTACCATCAGAGAATACTACAAACACCTCTATGCAAATAAACTAGAAAATCTAGAAGAAATGGATACATTCCTGGACACATACACTCTCCCAAGACTAAACCAGGAAGAAGTTGAATCTCTGAATAGACCAATAACAGGCTCTGAAATTGTGGCAATAATCAATAGTTTACCAACCAAAAAGAGTCCAGGACCAGATGGATTCACAGCCGAATTCTACCAGAGGTACAAGGAGGAACTGGTACCATTCCTTCTGAAACTATTCCAATCAATAGAAAAAGAGGGAATCCTCCCTAACTCATTTTATGAGGCCAGCATCATTCTGATACCAAAGCCGGGCAGAGACACAACCAAAAAAGAGAATTTTAGACCAATATCCTTGATGAACATTGATGCAAAAATCCTCAATAAAATACTGGCAAACCGAATCCAGCAGCACATCAAAAAGCTTATCCACCATGATCAAGTGGGCTTCATCCCTGGGATGCAAGGCTGGTTCAATATACGCAAATCAATAAATGTAATCCAGCATATAAACAGAGCCAAAGACAAAAACCACATGATTATCTCAATAGATGCAGAAAAAGCCTTTGACAAAATTCAACAACCCTTCATGCTAAAAACTCTCAATAAATTAGGTATTGATGGGACGTATTTCAAAATAATAAGAGCTATCTATGACAAACCCACAGCCAATATCATACTGAATGGGCAAAAACTGGAAGCATTCCCTCTGAAAACTGGCACAAGACAGGGATGCCTTCTCTCACCACTCCTATTCAACATAGTGTTGGAAGTTCTGGCCAGGGCAATCAGGCAGGAGAAGGAAATAAAGGGTATTCAATTAGGAAAAGAGGAAGTCAAATTGTCCCTGTTTGCAGACGACATGATTGTTTATCTAGAAAACCCCATCGTCTCAGCCCAAAATCTCCTTAAGCTGATAAGCAACTTCAGCAAAGTCTCAGGATACAAAATCAATGTACAAAAATCACAAGCATTCTTATACACCAACAACAGACAAACAGAGAGCCAAATCGTGAGTGAACTCCCATTCACAATTGCTTCAAAGAGAATAAAATACCTAGGAATCCAACTTACAAGGGATGTGAAGGACCTCTTCAAGGAGAACTACAAACCACTGCTCAAGGAAATAAAAGAGGACACAAACAAATGGAAGAACATTCCATGCTCATGGGTAGGAAGAATCAATATCGTGAAAATGGCCATACTGCCCAAGGTAATTTACAGATTCAATGCCATCCCCATCAAGCTACCAATGACTTTCTTCACAGAATTGGAAAAAACTACTTTAAAGTTCATATGGAACCAAAAAAGAGCCCGCATTGCCAAGTCAATCCTAAGCCAAAAGAACAAAGCTGGAGGCATCACGCTACCTGACTTCAAACTATACTACAAGGCTACAGTAACCAAAACAGCATGGTACTGGTACCAAAACAGAGATATAGATCAATGGAACAGAACAGAGCCCTCAGAAATAACGCCGCATATCTACAACTATCTGATCTTTGACAAACCTGAGAAAAACAAGCAATGGGGAAAGGATTCCCTATTTAATAAATGGTGCTGGGAAAACTGGCTAGCCATATGTAGAAAGCTGAAACTGGATCCCTTCCTTACACCTTATACAAAAATCAATTCAAGATGGATTAAAGATTTAAACGTTAGACCTAAAACCATAAAAACCCTAGAAGAAAACCTAGGCATTACCATTCAGGACATAGGCGTGGGCAAGGACTTCATGTCCAAAACACCAAAAGCAATGGCAACAAAAGCCAAAATTGACAAATGGGATCTAATTAAACTAAAGAGCTTCTGCACAGCAAAAGAAACTACCATCAGAGTGAACAGGCAACCTACAACATGGGAGAAAATTTTCGCAACCTACTCATCTGACAAAGGGCTAATATCCAGAATCTACAATGAACTCAAACAAATTTACAAGAAAAAAACAAACAACCCCATCAAAAAGTGGGCGAAGGACATGAACAGACACTTCTCAAAAGAAGACATTTATGCAGCCAAAAAACACATGAAAAAATGCTCATCATCACTGGCCATCAGAGAAATGCAAATCAAAACCACTATGAGATATCATCTCACACCAGTTAGAATGGCAATCATTAAAAAGTCAGGAAACAACAGGTGCTGGAGAGGATGTGGAGAAATAGGAACACTTTTACACTGTTGGTGGGACTGTAAACTAGTTCAACCATTGTGGAAGTCAGTGTGGCGATTCCTCAGGAATCTAGAACTAGAAATACCATTTGACCCAGCCATCCCATTACTGGGTATATACCCAAATGACTATAAATCATGCTGCTATAAAGACACATGCACACGTATGTTTATTGCGGCATTATTCACAATAGCAAAGACTTGGAACCAACCCAAATGTCCAACAATGATAGACTGGATTAAGAAAATGTGGCACATATACACCATGGAATACTATGCAGCCATAAAAAATGATGAGTTCATGTCCTTTGTAGGGACATGGATGAAATTGGAAACCATCATTCTCAGTAAACTATCGCAAGAACAAAAAACCAAACACCGCATATTCTCACTCATAGGTGGGAATTGAACAATGAGATCACATGGACACAGGAAGGGGAATATCACACTCTGGGGACTGTGGTGGGGTGGGGGGAGGGGGGAGGGATAGCATTGGGAGATATACCTAATGCTAGATGACACGTTAGTGGGTGCAGTGCACCAGCATGGCACATGTATACATATGTAACTAACCTGCACAATGTGCACATGTACCCTAAAACTTAAAGTACAATTAAAAAAAAAAAAAAGAATTCTCCACATTGTATTCCATAGCGATTGTACTAGTTTACATTCCCACCAGCAGTGTAGAAGTGCTCCCTGTTCACTGCATCCATGCCAACATCTACTGTATTTTTATTTTTTGATTATGGCCATTGTAGCAGGAGTAAGGTGGTATCACATTGTGATTTTGATTTGCATTTCCCTGATCATTAGTGATGCTGAGCATTTTTTCATATGTTTGTTGATCATTTGTACATCTTCTTTTTGAGAATTTTCTATTCATGTCCTTAGCCCACTTTTGATGGGATTGTTTGTTTTTTGCTTGTTGATTTGAGTTTATTTTAGATTCTGGATATTAGTCCTTTTTCATATGTATATATTGTGAAGATTTTTTCCACTCTGTGGGTTGTCTGTTTACTCTGGTGACTGTTCCTTTTGCCGTGCAAAAGCTCTTTAGTTTAAGTCCCAGCAATTTATCTTTGTTTTTATTGCATTTGTTTTTGGTTCCTTGGTTATGAACTCCTTGCCTAAGCTAATGTCTAGAAGGGTTTTTCCAATGTTATCTTCTAGGGTTTTTATAGTTTCAGGTCTTAGATTTAAGTCCTTAATCCATCCTGAGTTGATTTTTGTATAAGATGAGAGATGAGGATCCAGTTTCAGTCTCCTACATGTGGCTAGCCAATTATCCCAGTAACATTTGTTGAAAAGGGTGTCCTTTCCCCACTTTATGTTTTTGTTTGCTTTGTTGAAGATCAGTTAGCTATAAGTATTTGTGTTTATTTCTGGGTTCTCTATTTTGTTCCACTGGTCTATGTGCCTATTTTTATGCCAGCACCATGCTGTTTTGGTGACTATGACCTTATAGTATAGTTTGAAGTTGGAGAATGTGATGCCTCCAGATTTTTTCTTTTTGCTTAGTCTTGCTTTGGCTATGGGGGCTCTTTTTTGGTTCCATATGAATTTTAGAGTTGTTTTTTCTAATTCTGTGAAAAATTATAGTGGTATTTTGATGGGAATTGCATTTAATTTATAGATTGCTTTTGGCAATATGGTTATTTTCACAATATTGATTCTACCCATTCATGAGCATGGGATATGTTTCCATTTGTTTGTGACTTCTGTGATTTATTTCATCAGTGTTTTGTAGTTTTCCTTGTAGAGGTCTTTCACCTCCTTGGTTAGGTATATTCCTAAGTATTTAATTATTTTGCAGCTATTGTAAAAGGGGTTGAGTTTTTGATTGATTCTCAGCTTGGTCACTGTTGGTGTATAGAAGAGCTACTGATTTGTGTACACTAATTTTGTATCCAGAAACTTTGCTGAATTCTTTTATCAGTTCTAGGAGCTTTCTGGAAGAATCTGTAGTGTTTTCTAGGTAAATAATCATATCATCAGCAAACAGTGACAGTTTGATTTCCTTTTTACCGATTTGGATGCCCTTTATTTCTTTCTCTTGTCTGATTGCTCTGGCTAGGACTTCCAGTACAATGCTGAAAAGGAGTGGTGACAGTGGGCATCCTTGTCTTGTGCCAGTTCTCAGAGGGAATGCTTTCAACTTTTCCCCATTCACTATGATGTTTGCTGTGGGTTTGTTATAGACAGTTTTTATTATATTGAGGTATGTCCCCTGTATGCCAATTTTGCTGAGAGTTTTAATCATAAAGGGATGCTGGATTTTGTAGAATGCTTTTTCTGCATCTATTGAGATGATCATGTGATTTTTGTTTTTAATTCTGTTTATGTGGTGTGTCACATTTATTGACTTGGTATATTAAACCATCCCTGCATCCCTGGTATGAAACCCTCTTAATTATGATGGATTATCTTTTTTATATGTTGTTGGATTCAGTTAGCTAGTATTTTGTCAAGGATTTTAGCATCTATGTTCATCAGGGATATTGGTCTGTAGTTTTCTTTCTTGGTTATGTCCTTTCCTGGTTTAGGTATTAGGGTGATGCTGGCTTTATAGAATGATTTAGGGAGGGTTTCCTCTTTCTCTATCTTGTGCAAGAGTGTCAATAGGATGAGTAACAATTCTTCTTTGAATGTCTGGTAGAAATCTGCTGGACTTTTTTTATTGGTAATTTTTAAATTACCATTCAATCTTGCTGCTTGTTATTGGTCAGGGTATCAAATTCTTCCTGATTTAAGCTAGGAGGGTTGTATCTTTCCAGGAATTTATCCATATCTTCTAGGTTTTCTAGTTTATGCACATAAAGGTGTTCATAATAGCCTTGAATGATCTTTTGTATTTCTGTGGTGTCAGATATAATAAATCCCATTTCATTTATTAGTGAGGTTATTTGGATTTTCTCTCCTCTGTTCTTTGTTAATCTTGCTAATAGTCTATCAATTTTATTTATCTTTTCAAGGAATGAGTTTTTTGTTTCACTTGTCTTTTGCATTTTTTTGTTTGATTCTTTCAATTTCATTTAGTTCTGCTCTTTCCTTTCTTCTGCTGGGTTTGGGTTTGGTTTGTTCTTGTTTCTCCAGTTCCTTGAGGTGTGACCTTATATTTTCTGTTTGTGCTCTTTCAAACTTTATGATGTAGGCGTTTAGGGCTATAAACTTTCCTCTTAGCACAACCTTTGCTGTGTCCCAGAGGTTTTGATAGGTTGTGTCACTATTGTTCAGTCTGAAGAATTTTTAAGGCCGGGCGCGGTGGCTCACGCCTGTAATCCCAGCACTTTGGGAGGCCGAGGCGGGCGGATCACGAGGTCAGGAGATCGAGACCATCCTGGCTAACACGGTGAAACCCCGTCTCTACTAAAAATACAAAAAATTAGCCGGGCGTGGTAGCAGGCGCCTGTAGTCCCAGCTACTCGGGAGGCTGAGGCAGGAGAATGGCGTGAACCCGGGAGGCGGAGCTTGCGGTGAGCCGAGATCGAGCCACTGCACTCCAGCCTGGACGACAGAGCAAGACTCCGTTTCAAAAAAAAAAAAAAGAATTTTTAAATTTCCATCTTGATATCATTTTTGAGCTTATAATCATTCAGGAGCAGGTTATTTAATTTCCACATATTTGCATGGTTTTGAAGGGTCCTTTGGAGTTGATTTCCAGTTTTATTTCACTGTGGCCTGAGAGAGTGCCTGGTGTAATTCCAACCTTCATAAATGTATTGAGGCTTGCTTTGTGGCCTATTATACGGTCTATCTTGGAGAAAATTGCATGCACTGTTGAATAGAATGTATATTCTGCAGTTGTTGGATGGAATGTTCTGTATATATCTGTTGTCTATTTGTTCTAGGGTATAGTTTAAATCCATTGTTTCTTTGTTGACTTCCTGTCTTGATGACCTGTCTAGTACTCTCAGTGGAGTATTGAAGTCCATGACTATTATTATACTGCTTTCTATCTCATTTCTTAGGTCTATTAGTAATTGTTTTATAAACTTGGGAGCTCCAGTGTTAGGTGCATATATGTTTAGGATTGTGATATTTTCCTGTTGGACAAGGCCTTTTATCATTATATAATACCCCTCTTTGTCTTTTTTAACCACTGTTGCTTTAAAGTTTGTTTTGTTTGAGATAAGAAATAACTACTCTTGCTCACTTCTGGTGCCTATTTGCCTGCAATGTCTTTTTCTATCCCTTTATATTAAATTTGTGTGAGTCCTTATGTGTTAAGTGAATCTTTTGAAGGCAGCAGATAGTTGGTTGGTGAATTCTTATCCATTATGCAATTTTGTATATTTTAAGTGGAGCATTTAAGCCATTTACATTCAATGTCAGTATTGAGATTGAGGTACCATTCCATTCACCTTGCTATTTGTTGCTTGTATACCTTGTTGTTTTTTTTTTTGTTTTGTTTTTTTAAATTGTATTTTTGTTTTGTAGGTCCTAGGAGATTTATACTTTAAAGAGGTTCTGTTTTGATGTGTTTCCAGGATTTGTTTCAAGATTTAGAGCTCCTTTTAGCAGTTCTTGTAGTGGTGGCTTGGTAGTGGTAAATTCTCTCAGCATTTGTTTGTCTGAAAAAGACTGTATCTTCCCTTCATATATGAAGCTTAGTTTCACTGGATACAAAATTCTTGGCTGATAATTGTTTTGTTTGAGGAGGTTGAAGATAGGGCCTCCCCCCCTTCTAGCTTGTAGAACTTCTGCTGAGAAATCTGCTGTTAATCTGATAGGTTTTCCTCTATAGGTTACCTGGTGCTTTTGTCTCAAAGCTCTTAAGATTCTTTCCTTTGTCTTAACCTTGGATAACCAGATGACAATGTGCCTAAGTGATGATCTTTTTGTGATTAATTTCCAAGGTGTTCTTTGTGCTTCTTGTATTTGGATGTCTAGGTCTCTGGCAAGGCCAGGGAAGTTTTCCTCAGTTATTCCCCCAAATATGTTTTCCAAACTTTTAGATTTTTCTTCTTCCTCAAGAACACTGATTATTCTTAGGTTTGGCTGTTTAACATAATCCCAGACTTCTCGGAGGCTTCGTTCATATTTTCTTATTGTTTTTTCTTTGTCTTTGTTGGATTGGGTTAATTCGAAGACCTTGTCTTTGAGCTCTGAATTTCTTTCTTCCACTTATTCAATTCTATTACTGAGACTTTCCAGAGCAGTTTGCATTTCTATAGATGTGTCCATTGTTTCCTGACATTTTTATTGTTTTTTATTTATGCTATATATTTCCTTGAATATTTCTCCCTTCACTTCTTGTATCATTTTTTGGATTTCCTTATATTGGGTTTCGCCTTTCTCTGGTGCCTCCCTGATTAGCTTAATAACAAACCTCCTGCATTCTTTTTCAGATAAATCAGGGATTTCTTTTTGGTTCGAGTCCACCGCTGGTAAGCTAGTGTGATTTTTTTGGAGGTGTTAAAGAACCTAGTTTTGTCATATTACCAGAGTTGGTTTTCTGGTTCCTTCTCATTTGGGTAGGCTCTGTCAGAGGGAAGGTCTAGGGTTGAGAGCAGTTGTTTAGATTATTTTGTCCCATGGGGTGTTCCCTTGATGTAGTACTGTCCCCCTTTTCCTGTGGATGTGGCTTACTGAGAACCAAGTTGTAGTGATTGTTATCTCTCTTCTGGATCTAGGTACCCAGCAAGTCTACCAGGCCCTGTGCTGGTACTGGGGGTTGTCTGTACAGAGTCCTGTGATGTGAACCATCTGTGGGTCTCTCAGCCACGGATACCAGCACCTGTTATGGTGGAGGTGGCAGGGGAGTGAAATGGACTCTGTGAGGGTTCTTAGCTTTGGTGGTTTAATGCCCAATTTTTGTGCTGATTGGCCTCCTGCCAGGAGGTGGCACTTTCCAAAGAGCATCAGCTGTGGTAGTATGGGGAGGAGCAGGTGGTGGGTGGAGCCCTAGAACTCCCAAGAGCATATGTCCTTTGTCTTCAGCTAGCAGGGTGGGTAAGGAAGGACCACTGGGTGGGGGCAGGGCTAGCCACGTCTGAGCTCAGACTCTCCTTGGGCAGGTATTGCTGCGACTGCTGTGGGGGATGGAGTGAGGTTCCCAGGTCAACAGAGTTATGTTCCTAAGAGGATTATGGCTGTCTCTGCTGTGTCATGCAGGTTGTCAGGGAAATGGGGGAAAGCCAGCAGTCACAGGCCTCACCCAGCTCCCAGGCAATCTGAAGGGCTGGTCTCACTCCCACTGTGCCCCCACCAACAGCACCAAGTCTGTTTTCAGGCAGTGGGTGAGCAGGGCTGAGAACTTGCCCCAGGCTACCCGCCTCTAAGCTGCAAAAGCAAATATGGCTTTCCTTCTTCCCCTACCTGTGGAGTCTGCACACTGGATTCACACCCTCCCCCAAGTTCTGGCCAGAAGGGCTCTTGAACAGTTCAAATTGTCACAAAGTTCAGCTGGAGATTTTCTTCTCCCTTTAGCCTTTGCTCAGCATCTCTGGCCACCCTCCCAAAGGACCCCTGTGAGGCTAGGCAAAAACAACTTGCTAGGGGGCCCAGCAAGCTCCCAGGGCTTTTCCCACTGCCTCTTCTACTCCTGCATTTTTCTTGGCTCTCCAAATTGACTCAGCTCCAGGTAAGATCAGAATCTTCTCCCGTAATGTAAGCCTTCAGTGTTCCGAGTGGAGGTGTGTGTTTGGGGCCAGATGTTCTCCCTTTCTCACTTCCACAGTTTGAGCACTCACAGTATTTGTGGTGTCTCCCAGGTTCTGCAGAAGCCATCCGCTTCCTTCAGGGGGTCTGTGGGTCCTCTTGGGTTTCCTGATTTATTCCTGCAGTTGTTCTGGAGCAAAAATTCACAATGCAAGCCTCCACACACTGCTCTGACCATCTGAGTTGGAGCTGCAATCTAGTCCTGCCTCCCATCCATATGATCCATGATCACAAGGTAAAGTCCCACGATAGGCTGTCTGCAAGTTGAGGAGCAAGGAAGCCGGTGGATCAGTCCAAGTCCCAAAACCTTAAAAGTGGGGAAGCTGACAGTGCAGCCTTCAGTCTGTGGCCAAAGGTCTGAGAGCCCCTGGCAAACCACTAGTGTAAATCCAAGAGTCCAAAAGCTGAAGAACTTGGAGTCTGATGTTCAAGGGCAGGAAGACTCAGCAAGTCTCTAAAATTGTGGAATGATTTTAGATTTGCAGAAAAGTTGCAAAGATAGTACAGAATTTCCATATACTTTCTCGCTTAGCTTTCTCTAATGTTAACATCTTACATAACCATGCTACATTTGTTGGAACTAAGAAATTATCATTGATACAATTATGATGAACTCAACTACAGATGTTATTCAGCTTGCAGAATGGTTTTTATTTGCAATTTTTCTTGTAACTTCTGATTTGATCATCTTTTTTAAGCCTCTATGGGGTTTTTGTTTGTCTGTTTATATTGCAGGTGGTTGAGTGTAGTTTCCAATTGTGTTGAGTTATGTATTAAACCACCTCTGCCCTTGACTGACACTGGGGACCCCAAGAACTTTGCCACTTTCTCCTCTGCTAATCTTCTGTATTTTCAACTTCACCAGGTTTACTCTCCTTCCTTCCTTTTTTCCTCCCTCCCTCCCTCCCTCCCTTCCTTCCTTCCTTCCTTCCTTCTTTCCTTCCTCTCTCTCTCTCTCTCTCTCTGTTTTGTTTTGACACAGGATTTCACTTCTGTCACCCAGGTGGAGTGCTGCAGTGGCACGATTCTGGCTCACTGCAACCTCCACCTCCTGGCCTGAAGTGATTCTCCTGTCTCCCAAGTAGCTGGGACTACAGGTGCACACCACTTCGCTTGGCTATTTTTTTCTGTTTTGGTAGAAACGGGGTTTTGTCACATTGCCCAGGCTGGTCTCGAACTCCTGAGCTCAGGTGATCCAGCCGCCTTGGCCTCCCAAAGTGCTGAGATTACAGGTGTGAGTGGCCATGCCTGGCCAACCTCACCGGATTTCTTTACATGAATTTCAATCTTGTGATTCAACTTGGTTGCTCTGCCTCTGCTTTTAGCTATTTCTTCTTAACAAAATTTGTAGCCCGACTCAGAACTCAAAAGTTCTGAGCCTCAGTTTCTGCATGTCACATTGGTTTTCCTTCAGGACATATTTTATAATGGGAATTTAATTGTCCCTCTAGCTTGACCCTAAGGTTATTGTGTTCTTATCATAAGATTATACTCTTACTGTACTTATCTCAGTAATCACAGTTCATAGGAAGGACCCAAATCTCCTGCTCTGACAATTGATTTTCCCCATTTTATGGAGGATGTAGAAACCTAAAGTAATTGGTTCAGAATTACATAGCACATAACTGGAAAATTAAAAGACCCAGGGAACGAGGGAGAACTGGGTATCTAGGTATTCTTTAGTTGTTAGGACAAGTGCAGGTTAAAATAAAAAAAAAAACAACAGAAATCAAACATCATGGAAAGGTATGTTTCAGAAAAGAGCTTAAAAGTCTTTTCCCTGCCAAATGTCAGAAACACTTTAATCCACATTTGGAAAGGAATGCTGTCATTAGTTACAGCATTTGACCAGGCAAAACAAGTATTAAAATCAGACTTAACATGTCTGAAACAAATTTCCTTCCTTCCTTCCTTCCTTCGATTTTTTCTTTCCTTTCTTTCCTTTCCTCTGTCTTTGTTTCTTTCTCTCTCTCTCTCTCCTTCCTTCCTTCCTTCCTTTCCTCCTTTTTTCTGAAACAAGTCCCTTATCTTACCTTCCTGATTTATTACTGGATCTGCTGTATTCCCGGGCACCCACCTAGGAAACTCAGTGTCACCTTTTATTCTCTCCACACTGACATACAAACCAATTGCCAAGTCCTGCCAATTTTGCCTCTTCTGCTCTCATTTTTACTCTTGTCTTTCCATTTTTACTGTCATCATTTTTGTGCTTAGGTGATCTCATAAACCTGTTGATCTATGTGTTCCTACTATACATGTGGACAGATTAGGTTCTGATAGACAGTAACTGTCAGGCCTCTAATTTGCTCAGAAACTTCAATGACATTCCCATACCTACTGAGATCAGAATAGACTCCTTCCTCTGGCATTTGAGCTCCTCCATCCTCATGGCCCACTTTTCCAGTTTTATCTTTTTTTGAGACGGGTCTCACTCTGTTGCCCAAGCTGAAGTGCAGTGGCATGATCTTGGCTCACTGTAGCCTTCACCTCCTGGGCTCAAGCCATCCTCCTGCCTCCGCTTCCTGAGTATTTGGGACTATAGGCATGTGTACTACCATGTCCAGCTAATTTTTGTAATTTTTGTAGAGATGGGGTTTTGCCATGTTGCCTAGGCTGGTCCTGAGCTCAAGCGATCTGTCCACCTCGACCTCCTAAAGTGCCGGGATTACAGATGTGCAGTACCTCACCTGGCTGTAGTTTTTAGCTATTATTATTCCTTTACCATGTACACCATGAATCAACCATGCTAGTTTATGTTTTTCCTTGAACATATACTGCCACCAGCATCTTAGCATATGCAGTTTCTTCTGCTTGGAAGGGTTCCTCTATTCCCACTCCTAATCTGCGCTTGTTGGCATACAATATATCAAGCGTTGGCAAATTATAGCCTAAAGGCCAAATAAAGTCTTATTTGAACATAACTACACCCATTCATTTAAGTATATAGTCCTTTTGGCCAGAAGTGGTGGCTCACACTTGTAATCCCAGCACTTTGCGAGGTTGAGGTGGTGGATCACCTGAGGTCAGGAGTTTGAGACCAGCCTGACCAATATGGTGAAACCCCATCTCTACTAAAAATACAATAAATTAGCTGGGCATGGTGGCCACCTGTAGTCCCAGCTACTCAGGAGGCTGAGGCAGGAGAATTGCCTGAATCCAGGAGGCGGAGGTTGCAGTGAGCCGAGATCGCACCATTACACTCCAGCCTGGGTAACGGAGCAAGACTCCATCTTAAAAAGAAAAAAAAAGTATATAGTCCTTTATAGAACATGGGTGCTAAACTCTGAAATACATCCTTAGCCAATATTGATTTCTCTGTGTATCCAATTCAACATGTTTCAGCAAAAAATTGTTGTGTTCCTACCATGTGGTAAATGTACAAAATCAGAAAAGTTATGGCCCTTCACTCAAGGGGCTCACCACGTGAAAGTGATGACACAATTATAAAACTATACAATTCCTCTACAATATACCAAGTAGATGAATAGCAATCCATAGATGAGATACCTGTTAGCACAGAATAGGGAGTGGTGAACATTTTGGAGGGGATGAAATGCTAGGAAACAGATGATTAATAGCTGAGGGGGATTGGAAATTATATATAGAAGTTTATCAAGGTGACAAAGGGTTAAAGACACTCCAGAGGAACAGCATGTACAAAAGGGTTGGACATAACCATGCGTTCTCTTTAGGGAACCTCAGGTGGGCCCTTACAAAAGCAAAATGGAAAGAGGATGGGCTTGGAGGCAGACTAACCTGGATTTGAATCCTGGCTCTCATGCAGATTAACTGGGTGACTTTGAGCAAGTCTTCAGATTCTTTTAGCCCATTTTCTTTTCTAGCAGTATTTACATGAATTAACTGATATGACATAATTGAAACATTATGGCACATCATTTGACATAAAAAATGGCGACAAAAAAAAATTATTGTAGTTCTCATCAGTATGTAGCAAAACAAAAAAGTTTACATAGGTTAGCATGAGACAGAAAGAGTAGAGAGAAAGGCACGCAGGCCTCAAAATAAAAAGACAGCTGTTTTTTCCTCGGTATCTCATGGTCTCTATTGTTCCAACCATACCTGTTCCTTCCTGCATTATACATAGTGGTATGCTGATCTAATCCTTTCTTTCCTGTGAACTCCTGGAGGGAAGGGACCTTTCCTTATTCTTCTCTGTGTCTCTCAAAGTGCTTAGCACTGTGTCATGTATAGAGCAGGCCTCTAATGAATATTTGCTGAATTTTTAAACCTTAGATTATGAAAGTCACTTTCACAGTAATCAACCCATTCTTTTCTATGAAATTGAGACTGAGTTGTAAGGTGTTTCATTGATTTGAGCTTTCCCAGATTGATGATCCCAATTCTAACTTGTAGATTCCAAGAAGTGGCATTTGTTCGTGTTTCTTCTCTCTTTCCCTCACTCTCTCATTCAGGTTCACTTTTCCCTTTTAGAAACGTCCTTCAGCCTCCCTCCCGGTGGCCACTGCTCTTGCAGGCGTGGCTTCTATTTATTGTTACATTCACACCAAATTGCTCAGGATTTGTATCAGACCTTTTTCTGATAGGCTTGTGGGAAGGAAAATTAGAATAAACAGGAGCGGATTATTTTAGGTCTTGAGAGGAAGACAGTATGTTTTTGAATCCTTCCACAAAAGCAAGCCTCATCTGCCATATATATAAGGTCAGTGCTATGGGTCACTGATAGTTAACACAGATGTCAACTTGACTGGATTGAGGGATGACTAGATGGCTGGTGAGGCACTGTTTCTGGGTGTATCTTGAAAGGTATTGCCAGATATTTGAGTCAGTGGAAGGGTAGAGGAAGACCCACCCTCCAAGGGCGTGGGCACCATCCAATTGGCTGCTAACACAGATAGAGCAAAGCAGATAGAAGAAGGGATAAGCAGCTTGCTGAGTCTTCTTACTTTCTCTGTCTCTTCCCAAACGAGACCCTTGCTTCCTCTCCTCCTGCCCTTGGACATCAGACTCCAGGTTCTTCAGCCTTTGGATTCTGGGACTTGCACCAGGGGCCTTCCTGGGACTTTTGGGCCTTTGGCCTCATACTGAGGGCTGCGCTGTCAGCTTTTCTGGTTTGAGGTTTTTGGTCTTGGAATGAGCTATGCTATGGGCTTCTCTCTTTCCCCAGCTCGCAGACGGCCTGTCTTGGGACTTTGCCTTGTAATTGTATGAACCAATTCTCTCTATAAACTCCCTTTTGTATATACATATATCCTATTGGTTCTGTCCCTGTGGAGAACCCTGACTAAAACAGGGTCCTAGAAAGAACACAACTCATAATTATAGAGTAATATTATAGCTGTCATATACTGAAAGCTTTCTATGTGGTAGACACTTTGTGTAAGTTACGTTCATCCCTGATAACACCAATGCAAGTTACTATTCCACTTTACAGATGGGAACCTGAGGCTCAGAAAGGTAAGACAGCTTTCACTAGTCCACACAGGCTAAGGGGCAGAGCCCAGCTCTGTTTACTTTTCCAGGGTTCCTGACAATGCCCTTTGATTGCCCTGCAGCTGGGAAGGAAATAAGCTAATCTTTTAGGCTTCAGCTCTCTGCTGCGCATTCCTCCTTTCCAGCATTTTCCATGATGGTTTTCCTTGGAATACTGGCCTGAAAGCAAGGCTAACTACATAATTTGATGAGACCAGTGCAAAATAAAAACACAGCTCTTTGTTGAAAAAGCCGGAAAAAAAAACTACCCTCTTTAAAGTTATCAAAATATAAAACCTTTTCCATTATTCTGTCTTTTCTCTTGACTTATCATGGTTTATTATTTAATGTCATTCTAAGTAAAGAAAAATTAAAATTTTAAATTATTAGCATAAATTTTGCTGTTCATTTTTATATCGTGTGATGCCAGTTTTGAATGCAAATGCAAGAGCATATGCAGAATTACTGAAATGACACAATTTCTATTTTGCAGCTTGTATATGCATATGTATTTTGTTCTTTCCACAAGAGAGGAAAGGCTGCCCTGTTTTTATTTCCCTTCCTGATATAGTCACAATTCTACCAATACTCTCTATATCTGGCTTATTGATGAGTAAGAAGGACTGAAAGGAGAAGAAACTATGGCTTGAGACATATTCCCCTTTCCTTCCACATCGTTTTTGGCAAAAGTAGCTAATACAGGGAAGTCACATGGGTAAGAAATCATATCATAGGATTCCCAGATTGCCAACATTTCTTAGAATTCACTTGCCTTCTTTTTCTGTTCAAAGCACACTCTGGTTCAGACAGAAAGTGTGGGCTTTTGGGGCTGTCAGTATCCTCAGCTTACTCAGTTTTAAATGTTATCTCATACTCACTTTCCGTCTTGCTGATCTTGCCTGCTTCATGGGACCACCAGAATTATGTTTACAGGGCATCACAAACACTCTATGAGAGTAGAGTGGCAAGCAATGGCAGACACATATATTGTGCCTGTCTTCTCTGTTCATGTGCATGCTCCATTGTCTCATGAGACTCCACTTGCAAAACACCAAGGTGTACAATAAAATTATTGAGAGTTTCAAGTTGACGACACTAGAGCATTAAATCAAGCAAGTAGCCCCTTGAGCACAGGCCCTGGGTGACTGTGTAGGTCATATACCCATGAAGCTGGCCCTGCCTGGGTGATGTTAAGAGGTTGGCTCTAGGAGGAAGATTCTACAAGCCAAACTGTGAAAACTTCCTCTGATCTCTTATCACACTTAACCACTTACCAACTTTCTCTCACAGACTTTCTCTCACCACTGGGCTCTTTCAACAGATCCCAGTTGAAAATCTTCAACTCAATCAGGCTTTGAGAAGCAAAGGACAGCCTGGCATGCTGGCTTACACCTGTAATCCCAGCACTTTTGGGGACTGAGGCGTGTGGATTGCCTGAGGTCAGGAGTTCGAGACCACCCTGGCCAACATGGCGAAACACTGTCTCTACCAAAAATACAAAAACTAGCTGGACGTTGTGGCATGCACCTGTAATCCCAGCTACTCAGGAGGCTGAGGCAGGAGAATCACTTGAACCTGGGAGGCAAAGGTTGCAGGGAGCTGAGATTGCACCACTGTACTCCAGCATGGGCGACAGAGCGAGACTCCATCCCCTCGAAAAAAAAAAAGCAGCAAAAAAAATTTCAATGATAGAAAGAAATCCAGTTGCTTAAAACTCTATTCTTTGCCTTGTGTGCATTTTCCTTTTGTTTTTATTCAATATTCAGCAAGGATTGGCCAAGTAGCTTCTGCTATGAGGGAGATCTCTTTTAGGAATGAGAGTATACAAAAGTAAAGATGTTATATCTCTGACCTCGAGACAGCCATGGTCTGCTGCCTTCTGACACTGACACTTTGTACTAAATGTGTAATTTAAATTAAAAAATGTTCCAGGCAGCTCCCTCATTTTGCTCCTTTTTATCCCAGCAGTGTGGTTTCTGAGATAAATGTGAGGGCAGGTGCCCTAGGGTCATTTTCCTAGATTAGCCCTCCATGCTCTCTCTTTAAGAAGTGATTTTTTAACACAAACTGCACCCTATATTTAAGTAAATAAGGTACTCTCCTTAATCTTGAATGCTTGGCCAAAATTTTCAAAACTCTCTAACTATGGCTTTCTAACTTATTTCCAGATTTAACCTCAAAGAATTATACAAGGTTTCAAGTGTCTGTGGCTTCTCCTATTTCCCTTAACTCCTAGTCAACCATTTCACTGCATTGAACTTCTCTTATCTTGCCTTTTTAACTCCTTTTCTTAAGAGCATTCTTTTTTCATTTGTTCAAGAAACACTTTTTTAAAAAATTGTTTTAACTGACACAATAATTGTACATGTTTATGGAGTAGTGATGTTTCTATACATATAATGTATAGTGATCAGATCAGGATACTTAGCATATCCATCAGCTCAAACATTTATCATTTTTTTGTGTTGGAAATATTTAATCCCCTCCTTTCAGCTATTTGAAGCTGTATGTTATTATTAACTATAGTCCTCCTATGGTGTTATAGAACACTAGCATTTATTCCTTCTGTCTAACTTTTTATCCTTTAATGAATCTCTCCCCATTCCCCCGACTTTAGAGCATGTTTTTATCTCAGGGCTGAGGGTGGTGAGCACTTCCACTTCTACACTGGAATTTGCAAAAGATCAGCCATGAATGGTTATAGGTCTGTAGACACTTTAATATCACTACTGAGGTGACAGTTCCATTTTAAAGATGCTGGATTGGAAAATTATAGCTAAAATGACACTCTTTCCTGGAGTAGTGATGAAATTAGTGATGGGAGAGGGAAGAAATTACTCTTTGTTTAAAATCACTTTGTCTGCGACTTGGGAAATGGGATTATCATCAATTCTGCTTAATCATGGCCAAAGTTCTATTTATTTATTTATTTAGAGACAGAGTCTGGCTCTATCACCCAGGTTGGAGTGCAGTCACCTGAATCTCAGCTCCCTGCAATCTCTGCCTCCTGGGTTCAAGCAGTTCTCCTGCCTCAACCACCCGAGTAGCTGGGACTACAAGCACGTGCCACCATGTCCAGCTAATTTTTATATTTTTTGGTAGAGATGGGGTTTCACCATGTTGGTCAGGCTGGTCTCAAACTCCTGGCCTGAAGCTATCTACCCACCTCAGCCTCCCAAAGTGCTGGGATTACAGGTGTCAGCCAGTGTGCCCGACCACAAAGTTCTATGTATTGCTTATTAGTCATACATCCATTCACGCATTCATCTATTATTTCAACAGTTTCTTACAGGTTTACCCTGTGTCAGTTATTGTACTAAGCTCTGAGAATACAACAGTAAAAAAGACACGGCCCCTGCCCTCTAGGGAGTCCTCACAATGTAAAGGTAATGTAATATAAGAAGAATATGGGAAAGGCAGCAAATCTGTTCATGAGGAAGATTAGGGAAGATGGTGTTTTCTGGTTTTCTACAGAGATGAGGTCTTGCCATGTTGCCCAAAGTGGTCTTAAACTCCTGGGCTCAAGCAATCCTCCTGCCGTGGCTTCTTAAAGTGCTGGGATTACAGGCATGAATCACTGCACTGGACCTTAGGGAAGATGTTCTGAAACAAAAAAATAGCTTAGCATCTTGATCACTGGTTTTCAAATTTTAGGGAACTCTTTAATTCTATAGCTGTAAAGCAGCCAAGAATCTTCATGTTACACAACTATCACAGGTGATTCTAATGCAGAGGTCTTCAGAGTACTCTTCAAAAAAAAAATGTATCTTAGCTGCATTGTATTCCTGTATGTGTTATTCCTGAAAACCAAAATGCAGTATTATTTTCTTTTTGCAATGAGAAGCATAATTTGATAACTGCATTACAGAGAAAACCATCAGTCAGTTTTATTTTCCTCCCATAAAAAGAGTGTGAGATTTTTGTCATGATGTTCAACAATCATTTGTTGAGCTATCAAAGGGTTTGGCCCAAGACCCACCATTACTGTGAAGATTTGAGCCATGCCAATGGTCAAAAATATTTTTGTAGAAAAGAGTCATGAATTTTCTTGAGAATTTGAAAATGGATACATAAGAGAATGCATATAATTGTAATAAATAAATAGCATATGGATTTAGAGCACATTCACTTTAACAGAAAATTTCACTCCATTTCCTTAGCTTAGTAATTATTTCTCTAAAGATGTAGGTGTTTAGCAACATTTTAAAGAACTGGTTTTTAAAACACTGAAGCTGACATTTTTGAATTAACATTTTATTAGAACACAACCTAATTTATAAATCTGAACCATGAAGGACCCAGCAGATAATTATAGTCTTGAAGGCGCTTCTAATCTACCTTAATGGTATTATATCAACCAATCAACCAGGGACCATGTTTAAATTTTTAAACAGCCATTAAACAATTAAACAGCATAACAAATTATGTTTTGGATAACTGTCACAGCCTAATTTTTTGAGCATTCTTTAAAAAAAAAACTATAAATGGTTCATTAGAGGTACTTCTGAAGCCAAAAATGCTAATGCAAGTCACATGGAAATCCTAAAAGGAACTTGGCATGAAACAGGGAAGGAACTTGCTGCTGGAAATAGCAGATTAAACAAAAACTTAATCAATGTAGCTATAACTGAAGCGTATGTACTTAGACACAGCAGACTTTTACGGTAAACACACTAATGGTCTAACGTTCTATGTTCACATCAATTTTATATGCTTTCATAAATGCCTTTGTTTAACCAATTTTATGATCAATTAAACTATACCTTGCTATGCCACGAATAAAAAGAGAACTTCGTGAGTTTTAAAACACCAGGCCAAGTGCTGCAGAAAAAAAATATTAATCTTTGCATCCTATATCCTATCTTTGTTGACACAAATTCCTTTGTCCTACAACTGAAAGAAAACAGTTAGATGTTTTATAGTGATTGCCACTGTGCCTGTTTCATGGTGTATTTTTTCCTGAGCTGTGTTTGAGAAATTTTAAGGTGGTGCTTATTATTTCCTTCTTGGATTCCATTATTCTGTGTTCCAAGTAACATTACGTATTCATTAAATCCCAACATTTATGTGATGAAGATTTTATCACATTCTCTGCATTGCTTGTTCTTTTTTGGTGTTTTAAAAATACTGTTTTTCCGTTTACATGACTTTAATTCAATCCCACATAATAAAATCATCTTTGGCTGAGAGGGTATAAAGGCAAAATTCCTATAATCACACAAGACTATACATTTTATATGGCAGGCCTAACTGTACTTTTTAGGAAATAAAATGTTCTGGGGTTCTTTATTTTGAGGTTGAGCCAGATGGGAACATGGCCCAAGGAATCTAGAAAGAATTAAATCTGAAATGCTTAATCAGCTTCAAGTCTGTTTACCAGCATTGAAGCTCAACTGAAAAATAAACCCTAGTTGCAGGAACGTGAAATTTATTACACCAGTTCAATCAAAACAGTTGCTTAATTCAGTGACTATTTCAGTTAAATCATTTATGTGACTGGGCTAGAAGGCAGAGATTGAAGCAATAGGTGTCAGTGAACTTTGTTTCTGGTTCCAGTTGCCACTACCAGTTGTGTGGCTTTGGGAAAAGCATGTCACCTCTTTGTGCCTCCATTTTCATAAAATGACAGGTATGACATCCAGTAATCCCTAACATCTCTCCTAGATGGAAAATTCAATAAATCATTTAAAGCTGTTATTCTATTAGCATCATTAAAAGGCAAATCAGAAAAGAGGATACTGAGAAAGGACATCAAAGACCTTAGCCTGTTGACATGGATCTACTCCTTCTGGTATAAACTATTGACTTATCCCAGACCACAAAGCTTACTCATTCATGGGTTGACATCTTCGCAACATCCTCGGGTTAGGGATGAAATGAAACCTACTCCAACCTTTCTAAAGCAAATATACAAGACCTCATAGTGTAGCCGTTTTAAAACATTAGATTCATACCTGGGAGTGCGCCAGTGCTGTAGCCTCTTCCTCCCTGGGAGTATTGCAAAGGTAAACAAAAAATAAACAAGATAAATGGAGGATATGGGAGGGTGAGGGGAAACGCAGGAGAGTAGCTCTAATTACCATCTGCAAATGTGCATATATCTGCAGGTGCCAGGGTCTATGAATTCAAAATCTCCATAACCAATCAACCAAAAGGAGAACATTTTCACACATAACATGTGAAAACCATATTACACTTACATTTTTAGCTTGTCTTGCTATATATATATATATATATATATATATATATATATATATATACACATATACATATGAATTTAACAAAATGAGTTGTAATCTTCAGAATGTGACTATGGTTGCTTCAATAAATGCTAAACATAGAAATTTTAGGGCTAGGTTCACCCCTAATTTCATCCCAGAGGGCTATTGATATTAATATTTTCTGCACTGTATTAGCATGGAGTATAACTCTAAAATATTTCCTTGTGGGAAATGAATATTTTAAAGATCCAGCCCATTCAGTGCAACCATCATTTCCATTATAACTGATTTTCCTGTTAGACTGTGTATAGGTCTTGAAGCCTTAGAAATATCACAAGGTTTTTCACAGTGCAGAGATTCCATATTCAACATATAGTACACTGAAATCCAAATTGGATTTTGAAATGTAACATTTCAAAACCAGAAGCAAATAAAAACATATTATTCACAGAAGGATTTCTCAGAGGGCAATATGATAAAGAGGAGATGTCCTGGGTGGTTTTACTCCCAGTTCTAATATAAACTCTGTAAACTTGGGAAATTAACTAAATTTCAAGGAGCTCAATTCTGTCATCTGTAAAATGGGTATGATAATACTTTCCCTTCCTGATAACAAAAGTAGCGTTGAGATCAAGGGAGCAAATTGATGTGAAATATAATCCTTAGCCCACCCATTTTAGACCACGCTTTGCTAAATTTTGGTGTTCACCTAGCTTGGTCTATTCATATCAACACTGTTATTAAAATTGTCACTTGGGGGTTCAGTTATTTTAGGTGTCATTAACAGCAACTGAAGGAGGTTTTTAATGATATGAATGATTGAGAATGTATATACTATGGAATGAGAACAAGAAACAGTTCACCCTAAGTTAATTATGTAACAAATAAGTGTAGTTCTGGTGTTAGCATTCAATTTCTCCTCATTGGAGAGTTGGCCATTTCTCTGCCTTATGGGATCTGGAACCCTTCTCTTTCCATCTCCCAATTTTGCATATCTCTTAGTGCTTGTCCTCTGTGTTTCCTATAATTACCAGACTGGTTGGCATGGTTAGTTCCCTATATCTGGCCATTTGCTCTTTACAGATAATTTCTGGATTCCATGGAATTTGCATTGGCAAGTTCCACATTCCTGGTGTCCTTTGGGAAACTCTGGAATGCTGGTTCTTTCCTATCGGGAATGGAGTTTCTGCTGAATGTGCTTCCTGTTTTGCTTGGTTTTTATTTTTGTGATTATTATGTGTTAAAGGTTGTAGGGGATTCCCTTGGATGCAAATATCTACTGCCCCTGAGGCATTTTACTGTGAGGAACACTTAACCTGTCTCTCTATCCTTCCCTGTCCGGTACTCCATTTCTCTACACTGATTTGTGAGAACAGCGGGGGTTGGACAGGCCCATTTTGGGCAAGATAAGAAAAGCATTAACTTGTGTGACTTGACAATGGTTCCTCTGTTACACCAAATTTATGGAACCCAAGGTACTTCCTGGATCCCTTCTTCGTGACCATTATCATTATAACTGTCATTTATTAAGTATCTACTATGTTCCAAGTACTTCAAAGCTGTAATCTCATAGAATCCTCATAAAGATTCTGCTACGGGCAGGTCTTTGTTCTTAGAGCTCCCAAGATGGTGGCAGGCCACTCCCAAGATGGTGGCGGGCCACTCCCAAGATGGCAGCAAGCCTTTTGTTCTCTGACTTGGGGTTCTTGGCCTCACAGATTCCAAGGAATGGAACCTTGGGCCACACAGTGAGTGTTATTGCTCTATTAGAAGCCGTGGGTCATGGGAGAGAACCGTGGAACCCAGCAACTTGTGTTCAGCTCGATTAGGAGGAACCCAGGCACTTAGCCGCTCAGGAACAATGGCGAGCCTCTAGCCCGATTGGCAGCGGCAATGGGTGTCTCCCTGGATCAGAAGCACAGCAGACACCCTGCCAGATCCAGAGGCATGGAAGTCAGCAGTGGGTCTGCGATGGCAGCGGTCAACAGTGGTGGATAGTGAGCAAAAGCTCAGCTGGAGCTGGAACAAACATGGACCAGAAGCGTGTGCAGTTGCAAGATTTAATAGAGTGAAAACAGAGCTCCCATACAATGGGAGGGGACCTAAAGTGGGTTGCCACTGCTGGCTCGAATGCCTGGGTTTATATCCCGATCATTATCCCTCCCCTGTGCTCTCAGGCGATAGATGATTGACTATTTCTTTACCTCCTGCTTTTAGCCTAATTGATATTTTAGTGAGCTCTCTTTACTACCTGATTGGTCGGGTATGAGCTGAGTTATAAGCCCCGTCTTTAAAGGTGGATGGGGTCACCTTCCCCAGCTAGGCTTAGGAATTCTTAGTCAGCACAGGAAATCCAGCTAGTCCTGTCTCTCAATTCCATGAAGTTTCATATCTTACAGATGTGAAAATGCACACATAAAGAGATAACTTCCCTAAAGTGACAAAAGTAGGTGTGGTCAGGACCATGTTTTAATCCCAGTGTTATCTGCTTGGGCCAAAGCCCTTGATTTAATCACAGGCCTCCATCATGCCCATTGTCCACTACAACTGTAACCACTCAGGAATCAAATGCTTAACTATTTAATGTCTATTTTTATGGCAGTTTTTTTTTTAGCAAAGTTAAAGATTTTAATTAAAGTTCAATTAAATTTCCAAAAGCTACACTTGCCTTTGGTTACATCTTTTTAGCAATACAGTGGTGGAGTCTTCCACTTAATTCCTTAAAAAAAGTTAACATTGTGTGTTCTTAGCATCACAAGTTCTGAGTGACAAGCAGCATTAAAGGGCATTTATTTGATGTCTGAATTTCCTCTGCAACATCTAACAAGGCTCACCTCTGTTTGAACAAAGCATCTCATTCCCTCCTCGGAAAGTGGGGGCTGTAAGATTGAGTCTCTGGTTACTAGGCGAAAAATGTCAGTATTAGATTGGCAAGGTAGGTGTTGGCCCAGCCAAGTCACATGGAATCAGCATCTGGACATGTGACATACTTTAGTTACTAGGATTAGTGTTGAAAAATTTATTTTGTCTTTCCCTCATCTGTTGAGCGTGTTAGCCACTAAAATATAGGAATGTAAACTTCCAACAGAGTTTTCTATTCCACCCTTTGCATTCTTCCCCCAAGGGGAAAGAGTCTACCTTGGACTGGCAGGATTCCAAAAGACAGAGCTTTTCCAAAAGACATTATCGAGCCGTTATTGATGATTAGCAATGATAATAAGCTAATGTTTCTTTATACACTGTCAGGCACTGTGTTAAGCATTTTTAAGGCATTCTTTTATTTACTCCAATGAAAGTGAAATACCACCTACGGATGTGATGAGGACTAAATGAGATAAGACAGAGCACTTAAAACCACGCCTGTCTGGGCATACTGTAAGCCTCAGTGACTACAGCCATGATTGTAATCAGTGACTGTATTTCCTTACTCTTAAAGCAGAGACAGGAGCAAGCTGGTGGAATCGCCCTCAATATTAACTCACATTTTTTACCTGATACCATTTCCAATCTTCTGTGAAATCCTATCCAGACCCTGTACTGACTCCCCTGGCAATTTCAACAAGAAATATTCTACCTTTCACTGCCAATTTGTTTTGGTAGAGGCTGATCTGCAGTCTGAACATAAATGAAAGGGAATCCACCCGCAATAATAAAGAGTGAGCCTGGCCCATCATGATCAGAGACTGGCCCCTAACATGTTGACACAACGGCTGAACTATTTGAACACTGGAATGAACAAGTTGCAACAACTCCTGCAAGTCTCAGGAACTAATGTACGGACAACGACGCGCATTTCACTGACAGAGTCCTGATAATATATTGCAGGAAAACCCACGGGCCAGCCGATAACACTCAGCGTTAATTTGTTTACCCAAAAATTAGAGGAAGGAGAAGTTGGTGATTTGCAAAAAAAGAAGTTTTGGTAACAAGCGTAACGTTGGTGTGTAATTTTCCTAATTGAATTGCCAAATTTCTACCCACCACTGATCTTAATTTATAATAATGCTTCCATCTGTCTCACCTCCAGCATAGGAAATGGGAAGAGGGTGGTCTCTGCCTTAACATGGTAAGAAGAATATCTGCAGGTAGTAGGTAATCTTTAAATTACATGTGTGATACTGGGAATTGCATATAAGCAAATAAGGAAGCTCATTACTTTTCCAGATTTCAATTAACTGTATATTTGTAAAAATGCTTTCAGTTAGCAACATTTTGAATGGTAAAGGGATTGAAATTTACCTAAAAGAAAACCTTTTATAATGGTTTAGCAAATTTCAAGATTATCTAGGGCAGTCTGCATGGCCCTCAGATCATAGTGAATTAGTAATTTCTTGTGCAGAAATTGTCAAAAAACAGGAGGAAGTCAGGTGCCTATCTAGAAACATAAAAATTGGGAATAACACAAAAAGGAAACCTTGACTTCCTACTAGGTATATTAGGCATTTAATTTAAAACTTCATTTACTTTTTAAAAATTAACACAATACATGTTCACAATTCTAAAAACTCAAATACAACAAAACGTTTAATATAAACTTCTTACCCTCTCATTCCCAATTCCATTCCTTACTTTCAAACATTTCAGCAGTTTCTTCTATTTATTTCCATATTTGTATACTCTCTCTCTCTCTCTCTATATATATATATAGCTATTTCTTGATTATTTTGAAAACTTACTGACCACTGAATAATGACCTCCTCCAGGTAAAATGAGGATATCTTTCTTTTACATCAACTCCTGTCCCCATAGGCTTAATGTGATTATATAAAAATTTCTAGTTAAATCAGTAGAACTGGGACAGGCCACAAAGGCTGATCCAAGCCGAGAAATTGGAGAGAATAATGATTTTTTTCTTGGCTAAAGTTGTGTATCCTTGGAATTACTATCAAAGCAGCAAACATGCAATGCAAAAGATCCACCTAAGCATTAGGCTATATATGTATCAACTCTGGCTCTTAGTACCTCCCTTGCTTCCTCTCCCAAGGTGCAGCCTGGGTTCAAGGTCCTAGCAGTCCACACATTGTGAGGACTCCTCTAGATCAGACCAAGCAAGGCTCTGAGGTCATTGCTGCTGAGCTGGCCTTGGTGATGGTGATAAGCATTAGTGCCACGCCAGCACTCCAGAGCTAATACACTATTATAATATACTGATTGGGCTATAATGTACAGTTTTAAAATTCTGTCTAATTTTTTTTAAATCTATAAATTAAAAAAAATCTTCTTCTTTATGTTGATTTCCTGAATACTAAAAATAGTATAAGGGCAACAATTATTCTTGGTACTACTTATGTAATTTAATCATTAAAAGCTACATGTAGATCTAGTATCATGACACCAGAAATTTTCCGAAGAATTTTTTTTTTTTTAGTTTGAGACAGGGTCTCACTCTGTTGCCCAGGCTGGAGTGTGCAATAGCACAATCATGGCTCACTGCAGTCTTGAATCCTTGGGCTCACGTAATCCTCCCATCTCAGCCTCCCAAGTAGCTAGGACTATAAGTATGCACTACCATGCCCAGCTAATTTCTAAATTTTTTGTAGAGAAGAGGACTCGCTACGTTGTCTAGGCTAGTCTTGAACTCCTGGCCTCAAGAGAGTCTATCTATCTATCTATCTATCTATCTATCTATCTATCTATCTATCTGTCTAGTAGAGACAGGGTCTCGCTATGTTGCCCAGTTTGGTCACAAACTCCTGGCCTCAAGCAATCCTCTTGCTTTGGTCTACCAAAATGCTGGGATTACAGGCATGGGCCACTGTGCCTAACTTAAAAAAAAAATAAATAAAAATAAAAGTAGACTGTTTTAGAGCAGTTTTAGGTTCATAGCAATACTGGATGAAAGGTACAGAAATTTTCCATATACCTCCTTCTCCTACACGTGCATAGCTTCCCCCATCATCAACATCTCCCACCAGAGTGGTACATTTGTTAAAACTGATGAACCTGCACTGGCACATCATGATCCAAAGTCCATAGTTTACATTAGGTTTCACTCCTAGTGTTGTGCAGTCTATGGGTTTAGATAAATTTATAATGACATACATCTATCATTACAGTATCATACAGAGTAATTTCACTGCCCTAGAAATCCTCTGTGATCCACCAACGGTCTTATTATGTTTTTCCACAAAACTGCCTACAATCTTCTTTAAAGCTGTATTTAAAATAGTTAATGAATTTGACATTTCTGACAACCTTTATTGACTTTTTCTCTGTTGATCATAAAAGCCATAATATTTTTACTGAGAAAATACTCTCATATGTGCTGAGGTATTTTGTAACTGCAGAGTCAATTCTGCTCAATGAAGGATATTCTTAAGGGGGTTATTGAATTGTATAAATATTTTGGTCTAATTATTTTAAAGGTACTATATCATACCCTTTATTCAGAGTGCCTCCTTTTTTTCAAATACATTTTAGGAGACAAAATACATTGAATAAGTTTTTTCTATCTGCAATTATTTCAATGTTTTGCCAATTTTGATGCTGCAAAAATCATAGGCTTCTTAGTTTTATTTCATTCGCACATGTAATATAAATTACTATTTTAAAGTAGAGGTCCTTGAAAAGATTTTTCTTGCAAGTTGAGATATTTAAAAACACAGAATTTCAAAATTAAATTTTGTTCACCAGGCAAGTTACCATTGTTTAATTTGTTCTGTTCCTTCCTTGCTTTTGTAAGAATAAATTATGTCTTTCTATCTGAAAAATTTGTTTTTAATAACTATAATCACTAAAAACTTCGAGAGCCAGTTTGGTGCTCCATTTCTTTTGAATATTTTGATTAAAGTTTTTCTAACTATTTTTGAAAATTTAGAGTTCTCATTTTGGTATTATTAAATTTAGACTTCTCATTTGATATTATTATTAAAAAATAGTTCTTCAAAGGCTTAAATATTTATAAAATCTAATTTAAGATAAGCAACAAAGAGAGAAAATAGATACTTCCAGAATATAATTTTTTTGTTTAACTTTCTTAATGTCAGCTTCATATAAACAAATACGTTATGGTTCACTTCAAATATATATATATATATATAAATAAATATATATATAACTACTTTATATATTAAACTGCTTTATATATATTATATATAAATATATATTATAAATATACAAACTACATATATATGTATATATATGTGCTCAGACCACAGATATGTAACTATATATAAATATATAAACTACTTAATATGTGTATGTTAAACTATTTGTAAGTTTTGACAACTATAGCTTTGATTTTCCTGCTGCTTATTTAAAAGCAACTATGGATTATGTATGCACTATAATAGGCTTTGGCTCCGTGTCTCCACCCAAATCTCATCTTGAATTGTAAGTCAAGAATTGGGGTTTGAGAACCTCCACCTAAATTTCAGAACATGTATGGAAATGCCTGGATACCCAGGCAGAAGTGTGCTGCAGGGGCGAGGCCCTCATGGAGAACCTCTGCTAGGGCAGTGCAGAAGGGAAATGTGGGGTCAGAGCCCCCACACAGAGTCCCTACTGGCGCACCACCTAGTGAAGCTATAAGAAGAGGGCCACCATCCTGCAGACCCCAGAATAGTAGATCCACCGACAGCTCTCACCGTACACCTGGAAAAGCCACAGACACTTAATGCCAGTCCATGAAAGCAGCCAGGAGGGAGGCTATACCCTGCAAAGCCACAGGGGCAGAGCTGCCCAAGACTATGGGAACCTAACTCTTGCATCAGTGTGACCTGGATGTGAGACATGGAGTGAAAGGAGATCATTTTGGAGCTTTAAAATTTGACTTCCCCACTGGATTTTGGACTTACATGGGCCCTGTAATCCCTTTGTTGTGGCCAACTTCTCCCATTTGGAACTGCTGTATTTACCCAATACCTGTACCCCCATTGTATCTAGGAAGTAACCAGCTTGCTTTTGATGTTACAGGCTCATAGGCAGAAAGGACTTGCCTTGTTTCAGATGAGACTTTGGACTGTGGACTTTTGGGTTAATGCTGAAATGAGTTAAGACTCTGGGGGACTGTTGGGAAGGATGATTGGTTTTGAAATATGAGGACATGAGATTTGGAGGGGCCAGGGTGAAATAGTATGATTTGGCTCTGTGTCCCCACCCAAATCTCATCTTGAATTGTACTCCCATAATTCCCATGTGTTGTGGGAGGGAGGCTGTGGAAGATAATTTGAATCATGGGGGCGGTTTCCCCCATACTGTTCTCATGGTAGTGAATAAGTCTCGTGAGATCTGATGGTTATATCAGGTGTTTCCACTTTTGCATCTTCCTCATTTTTCTCTTGCCGCTACCACATAAGAAGTGCCTTTTGCCTCCCGCCATGATTCTGATGCCTCCCCAGCCATGTGGAAGTATAAGTCCAATGAAACCTTTTTCTTCCCAGTCTCAGGTGTGTCTTTATCAGCAGCATGAAAATGAACTAATACACACTATAACTAATTCCAGGTAAATTTCTGCTCTATGAGTTTCATTATTTGCTTTGCCAAATTTCATATCACATTATTACTGCAGAAGCAAACATTGTATCTTCAATGTGGAACCTTTTAATTGATTTTACAATAATATTCCTAATAATATTTGGCATTTTGCCTTTAATATTATAAAATGCAATTCCAAATGGTTCATTTTGATTGCATGAAAGAAACCTTTCTATTATTGGAATTCACTAATTTTTGTTTAACATTCAATGACATTGATATAAAATTGGCATAATTGAACTCTAGGAAGTTTATATTCTGCTAATGAAACCAATACTTAAAAAAACTTTCATCTTTAACATGTATAAAAAAGATTTGAAATTATAAATTAGCAAAATTAACTTACTAGTCGTTTGATCTAAATGAAGTCATGCATCATGGAGTGATAGGCAAATGCACTTTCTTTAGTAGCACATGTTAAATTGTCATCTTCCAGTACAGTTTGGTTTAATTAATAACTTTTGAAATAGATGCTGATATTTATTAGATTTGTGTCTTCTGGCTGTCATGTGATTAATGGTATTACTATGGCTTCTATGATAAGAAAAAAAAAGGTGATAGTGTGGATTAGTGTTCAGTCCACATTTACTTTCTCCCCTGATGGATGCTGGATTATTCATATGACATGCGTTAGCCAATGGAATGTGGCAAACCTGACAGGAGTCAAATATTTACATGTTATGTGATCTTACTTGTTTGCATTCTCCTATAAGCTTCCATGAAAAGATCATGGCAGGCTGGGCATGGTGGCTCACACTGGTAATGCCAGCACTTAGGGAGGCCAAGGTGGGCAGATCACTTGAGCCCAGGAGTTCGAGACCAGCCTGGGCAACACAGTGAAACCCTGTCTCTACAAAAAATACAAAATTTGGCCAGGCGTGTTGGCCTGCACCTGTAGTCCCAGCTACTTGGGAGGCTGAGGTAGAAGGATCACCTGAGCCCAGGAAGTCGAGGCTGCAGTGAGCCAAGATTGCACTACTGCGTTCCAGCCTGGGTGACAGAGTGAGACCCTGTCTCAAAAATAAATAAATAAATAAATAAATAAATAACCTGGCTGATTCCTTTCTCAGTCAGCCAAACCTCAATCTGCAGACTCTTGAGGATAAATATAAATGCCTGTTTGCGAAGCCACTGTGTTTCAAAATCGTTTATACACAACATTCTGGTGACAATGCTAATACAGATGGGAAATGTTGACAAACATTTTATGCAAGTTAGCTATTCATCCCCTCAAGTTTTCTGAAAAATGGAAATTAGGCACATCATTTTTAATTAAACATAAACTTTTCTTAGTTTAGTTGTCTAGGGCTAAAAGAGCTTATTGCAAAATAAAAAAAAATATTATCTAACAACAAGATAAATAGTTTTAGATTTCTGAAATAAACTAAATGACAAAACCACTGTAGGAAATGTATTAAGACCACTCTTTATGTGCTCTTCACATAAGTGCAGACTCTACTGCCCACTCATATTTGGCCTACCCTTAACCTATATTTCCCACATTGCCACTGCCTTACCTCCTGGGGACTTCACACATCTTGCAGAAACAGAACAACTAGGTGTTACACAGTGGCTAGCAGAGTCCTGGCATTCAATATTACCTCTGACTAAAAAATGTGAGTGTCAGAGTGCATTTCCTTTTCTTGTCAGCAAGAAATGCTGTCCTCTGAAGGAAAAAAAATAGTTATATTGCATCAAAAAGGGTAAAGGCAGCAGGATCACTTGAGGCCAGGAGTTCAAGACCAGCCTGGCAACATAGTGAGACCCTGTCTCTACTAAATGAATGAATAAATAAATAAATAAAATAAAGCAGGCATGGTGATGCATACCTGTAGTCTTAGCTACTCAGGAGGCTGAGGCAGAAGGATGGCTTTAGCCCCGGAGTTTGAGGTTACAGAGAGCTACAGTCACACCACTGCACTCCAGCCTGGGCAACAGAGTAAGACCTTGTCTCTAAAAAAAAAAATTAAAGACAAAAATTTAAAAAAAAAAAAAGGGTAAGGAAGAGAAAGATGGGTAATTGCTGGTGGTCATTCAGGTTTAACCATGTATTAAAGTGAGTATACTGGTTATTACAAATGCATCTCATGTGCTTTAGATGAAACTTTTAGCAGCAGCTGCAACTACAAAATAGAGGCCTATAAGACCATCATGGATTATTTTAATGCAACTAATAATCATAATTTGTTAAGAACTGATAAATACCAGACAAATAAAAAGGCAAATATGATTCTAGGACAAGTGTATGTTGGGATCATCCCAGGCAAACCATGATGGATGGTCAACCTATTTATATGTGACCTGTTTTTTCTCTCTGGATGCCTTTAGAATCCTATCTTTGGCTCTGGTGATCCGGATGGTCATGATAATATACTTGGTGTGTATCTTGTTTTTGTTTGTTCTATTATGTAAGGGCTCATGATCGTCATTTAAAAAAATTATCTGATAAATTCTTTCCCTCTGTTTTTTCTGGTCTCTCTAGGATTCATCCTTGTCATAACTCATGGATACATCTCTTGGACTGATCCTCAGATTTTCTTTTCTTTCATAATGTTTTCATATGTTTGTACTGTTTTACTTTCTGGGAGATCTTCTCGATTTTATTCTGCAAGTGTTTAATTGAATGTTTTAGTTCAGCTAGCATATTTTAAATTTCCTATGTTCATTCCTGTTCTGATGATTGCCTTTTTATAAAGCATTCTTTCTCTCTCTGAGGACATTAATTATGATGTTGTAACGATTTTTTCTACTTTCTGCACTATTTCTGTATTCTATGATTTCTCTGTTTATTTGGTTTGGTTCCTTATGTTTTTCTCTCAAACTTCTGGAGGTATATGTTGTCTCCCTGAATCTGTGAGGGACTAAATAGCTACCTGGACATACTCTGTGTGTGAAAGAGGTTTTTAACTGGTCAACTTTACAGTAGGCTAATCTGGCAGGGATCCAGTATTTTGCTCTGGGAAACCAAATTTTCAGTATCTGTAGATACTTTTTCTTGGACAGGATACTCTAATTTCCCACCTAAGCAGTATAATCTTGATGTCTAGCATCTTGAAATACAATCAGAGAAGGAGGTTCATTTTTACTTTTCCATGTATCAACCTGTATGTAATGCTTCATTTTTGCACCATTTTACAGGAGGACATCACATTTGCCTGATCTTGTGTGCCTGATCTCTCTGACTCCGGAGTCTCTTATAAGGTATTCAGAAAATGAGCATTGTATCTCTTGCAGAGTGAGTAAGGAATAGTCACTTGATGTTTAGGGGTAAAGGAAAGGATTTGGTATCTGGTTCTTCAGCAGATTCTCAACAAGTTTCCAGTACTGCCTGCTGTAGTACCTAATGCTTCTAATGTCTGAGCCTCTCCAAGTTTTGCAATATGAATTAGCTACTTCTTGTTGGGTTTATCCTCTATAATCTAAAGTTTCAACTCTTTCCCTATTTTAATCAGTATTATGGTCACAGTTTAAATCAGTTATCACCCTTCCGGTTTCTAAAATTAGATTGACATCTATATTTGCTTTTTTTCTCATTTCCCCTCCTTCTTTATGGATTTATAGATTATTTATTCTTTTATTTAACTTTGGTGAGGGTTTGGCAGGGAGCAAAGATAAATACACATGTTCACTCTGCCATGTTTAAGGGGAAGTTTGTGCTAGTCTACTGCATTTAATCATTAGCAAGGTTGCCAGATTTAGCTAATAAGAATACAGGAGGTCTCAGTATAATTGTTTATTGCTGCCATAACAAATTTCCACAAATTTAGTGGCTTAAACACAGCACACACTTATTTTCTTACAGTTCTGGAGGTCAGAAGTCCAAAATCAGTTTCACTGGACTCAAGCTGAGGTATTTGCAATGCTGGTTTCTTTAGGAGGTGCTGAGAGGAGAATTCATCTCCTTGCCTTTTCCAGCTTCTAGGGGCCACCTGTATTCTTTGGCTTGTGGCTCCTTGCCCCATCTTCAAAGAGTATCATTGTAATCTCTGCTTCTATCATCACATCATCTTCTATGACTCCTCCCGCAACTTCCGTCTCATAAGGACACTTGTGATTATACTGGGCCCACCAGACAATTTTGAATAATATCCCCACTGCAAGATCCTTAGCTTAATCATTTCTGCAAGTCCCTTTGGCCATATAAAGTAACATTTACAGGTTCTGGGGATTAGACATAGACATATTTGGGGCTATTATTGAGCCTACCATGCTCAGTTAAACTGGAATTTCAGATAAATGACAAATATACATGGGGCATAATTATACTAAAAATTCTTCTGTTTTTATGAAATTTAAATTTGACTGGACATAGTATTTTATTTGAAAACCTATGCTTAGAACAAACTTACGGAATAGTTGGTATTTACAGCTTAGCAGTAAAAAAGTTGACATTGGAAAGGTTAAATAACATGCCCAAGTTCACACATACTTTAGTGGTAGGAGAAAGTTTTAAATCTAAATCTGTTTGACCTCAAAGTTCATGCTTATTTCATCCATCTTTTCTTTGTTTCTTCCTGTATTTCTTTTTTTTCTCTCTCTCTCCCTCCCTTCTTTTCTTCTTTCATTTTTTAAATTATGCTTGCTGTAGACTGAATGTTTGTGTCCCTTCAAATTCATACGTTGAATCCTAACCCCCAATGTGATGGTATTTGAAGGTAGGGCCCTTGGGAGGTGATTAGGTCATGAGAATGGAGACCTCATGATGGGATTAGTGACCTTATAAAAGAGATCCCAGAGAGCCCCCCTTGTCCCTCCTGCCATGTGAAGTTACAACAAGAATATGGCAGTCTGTGAACCAGAAAGTGGAACCTCACCAGACACTGAATCTGCTGGTTCCTTGATTCCGGACTTCTCAGCCTCAAAAACTGGGAGAAATAAATTTCTGTGGTTTATAAGCCACCAAGTATAGGTATTTTATAATAGCAGCCCCAACGGACTAAGATAATACTAATACTTAAATACATTCTCCCTGTAAGATATAAACAGCTGCCCATACTTCTCTGACCACACAAGTTTGAATCTGAAACTTATGTTTCAGATCCAGTTTAGTTTCCATGAATTGATGAAACATTAACAAAGTAAGAATTTCATATGGCTTAACATATATATCACTTGGCATACACAGAGAACGAAGTGCTCTGATTAATAAAATACTATAGTTAATAGAAAATCAAATATAAATCATAAAAGGAGAACCGCTTTCCAAATATCTAGACAAAAACACATGATATTTAGGAGTATTTTTATATGGAGAATAATTTTTTCTTGGTGATCCAAGAGATATTTTAGGATCATAGAGGAACTCTGTATTTTTATTCCGAATATTAGTATGTTATAGATGTGCCAATGTAATGATAAGAGTAAACAGAGTATTCTATTAAACTCCAGTGAATACTAGAATTTCTTATATTAAAATTATTAGGATCTCATGTGTTCTGGTGATTTCTACTGTGTATATCAGAGGCAGCAAATATGTTCTATACTAGATAGTAAGTAATTTCAGCTTCGTGTGCCTAACAGCCTGTTGCATTTACTCAGCTCTTCATTTTATACTAGAAAACAGCTATAGATAATATACAAGCAAATTAGAGAAGCTGTGTTCCAATAAAACTTTATTGAGAAAATGGGCAGTTGGCTGGATTTGACCTGAGGGCTATAGTTTGTTGATCCCTAATTTATATGCGGATGGTCCTTAAATTTCTACCACATTTTCTAACATTTCTCTTTAATGATATAGTTATATTTCTAACATTGGCACCTTAAGCCTAAAAGATCTAAAACAAAAATCAGAATATTATTTCTAAATCAGATGGCTGTACTACCAAATCTATTTCTCTTATAATTTCTCTTTCATCTTTTGTTCTCCAAAGTTCACTTCTCTTCTTTGCTTTCCAACTCTTCCAATCAGTTCTTAATTTTCTCATTTCTACTTTCAAGATATGTTTCATATCTGTCTTTTTCCTTCATTTCCTTTGTTACTGTCTTAGTTCAGGTTTTCATTAACTTGTCTGGACTCTTACTGTGGTCTCACATGTAGCATCTCTACTTCTGTAACCTTTCTGGTTCTTCATAGCTACCCCTGCCTGTTTAATCTTCCCATAGCATAGGACTGAACATAACACTTCTTAGTTCAGGAGACATCATAAGCTCCCGATTGTCCCAAAGCAATGTTCAGTCTTTCATAATCTGGATCCACTCAACTTCACCAAATATTATTTCTCATTTGACTTCCTTATAAGCTCAATTCCAGCTGAGGTAGACAACTTACTTTATCTTTCACGTAAACTCTGTGCTTTCCATTCTTCCTATCTTATATATTTTCTTGTGTTATTTGCCTATTTGTCTAGAACTGCACTGGCCAATATGGTAGATATTAGCCATACAGTTCCTCAGTAGAATTAGCTACACATCAGGTGCCCAACAGCTACCACACTACCTCACTAGTATGGTAGATACTAGCCAGATGTAGCTACTGGAAAGATAAGATCCTCTTCTAGACAGAAAAGATATAGAACACTTTTTTTTTTTAAACAGAGCCTCCCTCTGTCACCTAGGTTGGAGTGCAGTGGCACAGTTTTGGCTCACTGTAAGCTCTGCCTCCCAGATTCAACTGATTCTCCAGCCTTAGCCTCCTGAGTAGCTGGGAACATAGGCGTGTGCCACCACGCCTGGCTAATTCTTGTATTTTTAGTAGAGACAAGGTTTCACCATGTTGGCCAGGCTGTTCTCAAAACTCCGGGACTCAAACAATCCACCCACCTCAGCCTCCCAAAGTGCTGGGATTACAGGCATGAGCCACTGCACCCAGCAGAACATTTTCATTACTGTAGAAAGATTTATTCAATAGCACTGCCCTAGAACTTCCTCCTCACATTGCCTCACATTTAATCCTGTGTGATTTCTATTGCCTAGAAATACTACCCTTATTTCTGGTATGCTATGGCACACCACCCCTTTCTGTCATAGCATTTTATTGATGTTGGGCTTATGGTGTTACTACCTCCGATCCTGGAATAGAGTGACTTAAAAATATGCTATGCTCTGTATAGACTGCTATTTTCATTTGTTTCTTTATTAAATTTCTTTGTTAACAATTAATCCCAATCCATTATATAGTAGGTATTCAAAAAAGAATTTGACAAGCCTCATTGAAATATTCTTTAAAGTTTCGTATATATGAAAACATTTCTCTAACAAAGAGTAATGACTTTGCTTCATAAATTTACCAGTTGGAATTAGCATGAAATTTGGGACAGGGAAACTGTTTGTAGGAATATTATATTTTAGAAAGCCTAATGATAAATCGACATGATTTCCATCAATTTATTTTCACTGGTTTTGGCAGGCAGCATAGTGTAATGAAAAGAAGATGGATGTGGGTACCAGACTACCCTACTTTAGAATCCTGTTTCATCGATTACTGAGCCAGCTTAGCCAAGTGACTTAATTTCTCAGAGCTTCATGGAGATGGTAATAGCTACCCGCCTTAGTTGAAACTCCTTGATAGCAAATGGTAGAAATAGAATCAAACTAGCTTTTTAAGAATAAAATGTTAATGGACTCATGTAACTGAAAGCGTCTTCAACATGGCTGGATCCGGGTGCTCAAATAATGTTATGGCTCCATTTTCAGGCAAAACTCTGATACATGATAGTGAGATGGCCACTAGCAGTTGCAGGATCATATGCTCTTTACAACTCAGGATCCAAGAGGAACAAAAGAACTTTTCCTTAACTCTAGCAGCATTCCAGGGGGTACTGTCATTGGTCTGTCTTTAGTCAGGAACATCCCTGTATCAACTGTGGCTAGGATATGAGCGGTCAGATAAGCCAAGCCTGGATTAAATTGATATGAGAAGGGGCAGGGAAGTGCTGGGTAAAGAAGGGCGGGGTCCCTGGCTAGGGCTCCATCCTTGAGCCTGTGCCCATGGACCTAAATGACGACAGGCATTTCTGTTTTCATGCCCAAAAAGTTGTCTTTTGGCCAGCCACGTTCCCCATCCTGTGCCCATAAAAACCCCGAGACCCTAGTGGACACACACACAAGTGGCTGGATGTTGAGAGGGGCAGAAGAACACATCAGCAGACACCAGCAGGCCAGTGATGGTGGAATGATGCATATGCCGAGGAGAATATGGCTGCGGGCAGTTGGAGGACAGTCCAGCCCCTAGGCGGCCTGACTCCAGGGGAAGACCACCTTCCCACTCCATCCCCCTGCTGGCTCCCCATTTATCCCACTTGGAGCTACCTTCATCACCCCATAAAATCTTATGCTCAACCTCCAAGTTCACATGTGATCTGATTTTTCTGGTACGCTAGGGCAAGAACCTGGGATACAGAAAACCTCTGTCCTTCCGATAAGGCAGAGGATCTAATTGAGCTGATTAATATAAGCCGCCTACAGATGGCAAAGCTGAAAGAGCACCCTGTAACCCGCACTCACTGGGGCTTCAGGAACTGTAAACACTCAACCCGAGACGCTGCTGTGGAGTTGGAGCCCAAAAATGCTCCCTAGGACCTGCCCATCTGCATGCACCCCCTAGGGGTTTAAGCAGATGGGCACCAAAGAAGCAAGCCACACCCCTGTTGCATGTCCCATGAGGGGGATAAGGTGACTACTCCCATTTCAAAATGACCACACTGAGGCCTTGGGCAAGGGGAACAGTCAGGCCCACCCAGGCCTATGAATGATATAGAATTGCTATAGAATGGAGGCTGGCTGTTTCTTTAAAGAAAGGAACACAGGACAATCAAAACAGGTTATGTCCTCTAATTTAAGAGGTGCTACATTGTACCACTCCAGAGGGCACTCTTACTGTATTCAATGTGAACAGTGTCTGCTTGAGTTGGGCAACATATAGGATCTCTCTCCATTATAGGTTTGGAGGCCTGCTGGAGATGGGCAACATATAGGGTCTCTCTCCATTATAGATTTGAAGTGATGGTTAAATGGTAAAATATAGATAAAATGCCAAGCAATTAGTAGATACTCGAAAAAATCTTTTTATATTTTGCACCAATCTTTTCCACTTAAACTGAGAAAAAGGCATATTATTCAACACTGATTAAGGTCTGTATTAGACCACTCCAGAGTTACTAGCACTTGTTCTGAAATAATAAAGAAATTATAGTTTCTTCTAATATTTCACCTCATATAACATTTTACAGTCAATGCAAAGGGTCATGACTCTACCAAGATTAAATAGTTTACAGATGGTCCTGCACTTAATTATTAGTACCTCTAGAAATACCAATATTAACCCAAGGTTGCTTTGTAACTGTGTTATAATTCAAATAATATGGTAGATGGAAATCTGGCCTCCATTGACCTTTACTTCAACCAGAGAAGTTTTCTATTTGTCAGTTTCACATTCAACAGATTGACATTTATCAGTTTATCAACAGTAAAAATTACTTTTTTTGCTAATGCAGAAATCTTCAAATACATAACATAAGAAGTTGAGACAATTTTTTTTCCTACATAGTCAAGTCCAGAAGTAGGCCATGCAAACTCTGGTATGATAGTTCCACTAAATTATTAGATACCCATGTTCCTTTTGGCTTTCTCTTCCTATATCTTTAGAGTCCAGCCCTATCTTCATATTTTTAAGAAGTCTGCCAGAGCTATGGCCATCAGGTTGACAATTCATACAGCCTGGAGAGAAAGGGAAAGAGCAAAAAAGGTACCTGCCATTTGATTTAGACCTCTTAGAAGAACTTTTTTGGACATCTCATATTGTATCTTCTTTTGGCTAGCTCTTTGTAATATAACCACACATGTAAAAGAAAAGTGCAGAATCTAGTTTTTATTGTTTTCAGTTGAGCATACTGCCATCCCAAATAAAAATTAGGGATTTGTTAATAAGAAAGAAGGGGAGAGTAAACATTGAGTTGGCAACTAGCATGCTTTATCACTTACAAATTAGCATTATTTCTAAGATTTTGTTTGCATAAAATGTTCTAATCTTTAAAGAAAAAAACCTAAACACTCTTGATGTAATCAAACTCTGGGACAAGAAGGTTCATCATACCATTAACTCAATGGTGTGATGCTCAAAGAAGGCAAAGTGGTGGCGACATTCACAGGTTAGATTTGAAAAAGTGTTAAACAACTCTGTTCATTATGAACATTTTGAATAAAAGTTATAGCCCATGGGCACCCTTCACTACTTCCCTAGGATGCTTTTGAAAATGGAGTTCGTAGATTTAAGCATGTTTTCATTCAGCAGTTCCTTATCACAGTGTGCCTGTACCCACTTGGACCAAGAGCGGGGTTAAAATGCAGCCAAACAGGAAGTGGGTGGTGTGTGCAGTGCCACATCTTGGAGCTGTCACTAAAGCCCAGGCTGCCCTCTGGGAGGTCCTCAACTGGGTACATGTTTCAGCCCATCCAGCTCTCATTCCTTTCTTCCCCTTCATGACCACAGGGTAGTGATTATCTCAGCAAGGCAAATGGCTCATTAATGTAGTGGGGAGCCAGATTGAACATTTGGAAAACACCCACGTATTTAAAGGGGCCAAAATGAGCTTTCTGCTCAAGCTGCCAGCTGGTTTGCCTGTAACATCAGCTTGCTCAGAAGAGGGGAGGAAATCATTTTTGCCAGTACTTATTCAGGTTGAAAAATTATGGCTTTATTTTTATTTTAGCAGTCTCTCAAGTGAAGGGTTGATTGCATGATCTCCTTTCTTCACTGCTGGCTTCAACCCTACATGTTCCTCAAGAGCCAACTTGTCTCATCTTCAAGTAGTTTGCCAGATCGCTGAAGGCCTTAGGAGTCTCTCCTAAAACATGACTCCATTCACTGATAGCACAGACCATGTATTTGGTATTCATCACACATTGCTTTGTTGGGTTAGTTGCCTTTTTCTGTTTGGGTCTCCCATCTCCCTAACTGAATTTAAGGCCTCTAAGGTCTAGGGAACCATGTAATTTATTATCCTAATTGGAACACTTTTGAGAATAAAAAGAGATGTTATTAATAATTACATTGGGACACCTCCCACAAACCTGAACTCTCTGAGCAAATTATGTGTGTCAACTCTATTAAGGTCAAAGGACATTATTTACTGCTTTTCTCTGATCATCCACAGGGTCTAGTGTAATTCACTTGCAAACGGACATCAAACTCTTAAAAATAGGTAGCTTAGCAAAGCAACAAACAATTCCGCTTACAACAGCCATAAAATAGGTGGAAGAGGTGAACAGGTTCCTACTAGTGGGAGATTTAATATTTCAATATAGGAAGTAACCACAAGGTAGAAAGATTTCAATAATCAGATAAAGACTGTTCACAGTAGAAACCAGTCTAAAATTTATGTTCTTACCATTACGAAGCCATGGGGTCCAAACAGGCACTCTTAGCACAAGAGTAGAAAGGAAAAAGTATTTTCAATGGGCATTTTCGTAAAGTGTATTCTTGTTTCGGAAGCATCAGGCATCCTAATCATCACACTGACATCCACATGGGACTGTGCAAAAGGAAACAGGGACAGAATCAGATAGAAAAATAGACTCATAATCAAGACATTATAAATTCTCTGCAGTTAGTGCCCTTCCCTAATATAAAGTTTCCATGTCTCCGATTCCCCTCCCTCTGCTCCTCTCTCTGTTTTGCCTACATCCTCAGATTCATACATGTCACCATTTCAGCTATGACATAAAGACATTTTGTCAGGCAGAAGAAAAGTTGGGACCTTCTCTCCCTGTGTCTCTTTCTTGGGAAAAACTTTTCTGGAACTCTTCAAGATGACTTCCTTTGATATTTCATTGGCCAGAATTGGCCTCATGACTATTTCTAAACCAGGCACTAACAAAGGGAAGATTAGGGACTTGTCTTGGACATAGCACCCCGATGCTGGTAAGGAGGGGAGGTTATCTTTTCCTGAGGCCTCAATTCAAACAGTCGCTCCAAATGTTGTTAAAGATAACTTTATTTTTAATCAGATACTGTGCCCAGAGTGGTAGATCAAGTTACAGTCCTCTTGTAATGTGGATAGTGACATCTGAAACATGAGTTCTCTATATAGTATACATTTTGTATATATCCCAGCATTTTTTATAACTTTCATCATTACTGTTGAAAATGACATAGGGTGATATTTGCCTTCTTCATTAACTCCTACTAAATACATCTTTCTATCTAAATTTCCAAATTTTTTGTTTATACCTTTTTTTTTTTTTTTTTTTTTTTTTTTGAGACAGAGTCTTGCTTTGTCACCCAGGCTAGAGTACAGTGGTTCAATCGCAGCTCACTTCAACCTCTGCCTCCCAGGCTCAAGCAATCCTCCCATCTTAGTCCCCAGAGTATCTGAGACTACAAGTATGCGCCACCACACCTGGCTCATTTTTGTGTTTTTGGTAGAGACAGGGTTTTGCCATGTTTCCCAGGCTGGTCGTGATTTCTGGACCTCAAGAGATCTGCCCACCTCAGTCTCTCAAAGTGCTGGGATTACAGATGTGAGTCACTGCGCCTAGCCTGCTTTATGTCATTTTAAAATATAACACTTGGAAATGCCTGCCCTATTTTATATGTATAGGCATGCTTTTCTTATATCCCTCTTCTACTGGACCCCATCACATTATAATACAATCTCCTTGAGACTTGACAGAGTCTTTCTAGGCTGACCATGTAATTTTTGAGAATGAAGAGGTCAGTGGCTCTAAGCAGACAGGGCACTAGGGCAACTGGCATAAATCAGGATTGTTCTGGGCAAAAGAAGATGTATGTCCCTCCCCACTTCCATTTAACATCTCCACAGTGTCCTGCACACTTTAGACACCATTTGAATATTGGCTTATGTGAACTTAAGTCACTTCCTATTGAAAAAGTATTTCAAGCTTCACTAAAGTCGCAATTCCATTGCTTTGTCCACAACAACTGGTTGTCCCTGTTGACCCATTGCAAGAAAAATTGCAGATCAAGTCCAGAACTAAAGATACTTCTTACTTCTAGCCTTAGAAAGAAGACTCTGAGGCTACTAATAAATGCCATACTGTTTCCCTGATTCCTTAGATTCGAATAGTTCCTATTGACATCTGAAACATGAGAAGATCCTTTAGAGAACCTCAGACTTAGAATTCTGGTTTATACACATGACACATTAAGAGAAAACTAACCTACAGTGGCATTATGGCATCAACAATCAGATAGCAAATGTAGTCTGACAAAGATTTATCCCGGCACGTACTGAATTTTAGAAATACGTTCCTTTTTTCAGGATTTTGGAAATCCTAGAAAAGACCAGGATTTGGAGTCAGAACACCTATGTTTGAATCCTAACCTCCATTACTCCTTCTCTTCAAATAAAATCTCATCTGAAAATCAGGGATAATCATAGTACCTCTATCTGTAGAGCCTTTGGGAGAATTAAATGAGATAATGTATGTGAAAGTGTTCCAAACACCAAAGCTCTGTATGAATGCATATTCTCCTTTTCATTCACTATTTAAATCAACTCTTAATTCTATCTCTCTCAAGCAGCCTGAGGCTGGGTCACCAGAACACAAATGTACAGTTACAAGGCTAAAAAAAAAACCAAAAAGCAAAACAACTCATTGTTACATGATCCTTGACAACAGTTGGACAGACTTTTTCTTAAATCAAATGAAGTGTTTTGGCAGCCTGTAAGTGTAGCCTAAAGTATAGCAAGAAAAGAGAATTATTTTCCTTAGGGAGAGTAATTTTAACAGAAGTTCAACTTACACATTTTTAATATCTGTACTTCGAATGTACTGCTAAATGCAAAATGAATATAATTAGTTATGAGATATCTTGCCCTCGGCTACAGTACCCATTAAGCTTCAGCATAATATATAATTCACAACCTATTCATACTCTGTGGTACATTTCAGGACTTCCTATACTGTAGTCTCTTAAAGCAAATAGTGTATATAGTTTCAGAACCTAACAGTTGTTCCTTCATAAGGGTTAGGAGTGGATGCAGCATATCTGTGGTCTTCAAATAATTTAGCCAGTCATAAAAATTTATTATGTACAGGCACTATACCTTTTCATGTATAGGTCACTAGCATGTAAATGAAACTGGCACAACAAGGTAAATGTGTATAAAATACATCACAGAAGAGATAGATTTCTCTGATGAGCTATTTCAGTGATGCAGTAGATAGCAAATGATGATTTTGGAGTATTTTAGAGCCCCAATGTAGAATTTTCAATTTCCCCAGTTTATCCTCCAGAAATTATCACTGTGATATACCTGTGATTGCTGAAAGGCTATCGTACATCTGTAAATGGGCATGCCATTCCTGGTACCTTCTAACTTTGTGATCACTGTCCCCATGCATAAAATATGGAGTCCTGCAGAGCAGCTAGAGAAAGGGTAAGTAGCTCAGAGTCTGTATCAATGGGGAGCTGTTTAAAAATTGATGTTATCAAGTAGGTTCACACATTAAACACCCAGAAAATGTTGGGCCTCCTCCTATGTGGTTTTCCTGAATTCTTGATGCAACCTAGAAGAACTAACGTTAAAAAGTAAAGAGCACAGTACAGACAGTAAGAGTTCTGTTTGTGAAGACTAATACAGGAAGTGATGCTATGTCTGATTCTAGAATATGGTTAGAGTTTCACAGACAAGAAACAAGATCTGTAACTTGATAATTATGTAAATACAGACCTATGTGCAATCAGTCTAGAAGCTCCCTGAAGGCAGGGATGGGTTACCCATATTTTGTCTAACACTTCTTTACATTCTTCTAAGGTGCGTCTTGGACACAATAATCATTGTGAACATACTTGATAACATCAAGTATTAAATTGGGGAAATCAAAAAATACTCCAAAATCATCATTTGCTATCTACTGCATTACTGAAATATCTCATCAGAACTCTCTTTTCTGTGATTTATTTTATACACATTTACCTTGTTGTGCCAGTTTCATTTACATGCTAGTGGCCTATACATAAAAAGGTGTAGTAAGTGTTTTTTATCTAGTTGAAAAGGCTTTAAAAAAGACTTTTGTAACTTGTAACTTTTTCACTGGTTAAGTAGCATCTTAGGAAACAGGGAGAAAGCATTTCAGTTCATTATTCTTCTTCATTTACTGAGTAAAAACCATATGCCAAGTACCATACCCCTGGAGAGGGTATAAGGAGTCTGAGTGTATTACAGCTCTTACCCCCAAGAAACCACAGCAGTGTGGCTAAGTGGAAACTCAAACAAAACAGCATATCAGTTGACAAAAATTTACACATATACATTAGATTCATCGTTGCTGGATATTATAAACCATTCCTGCCATAGTTGTGAAGGACCTATTTGATCTATAGGTCTAAAATGAACCTGTTTGATATCAGAAGCATATGGCAGTAATTGACTTTCAACAATTGACTTTCCAAATTATCTATACCTAAATAATCCCAGAAAAATTATTCAATTTCAGTTATTTCAATTCAGTAGTTTGTTAGGTAGCTGAATTCTTTTTCAGTTTATGGTTGTGGTTTGTGGGTCCAGCCTACAAGAGCTTAACTAAATCTCTAAAACTCCAACATGATTATATGAGTGTATATATACACACATAAATATATGAATATATGTAATTTATATGCATATGCACACACATATATCTGAAACTTGAAATATACCATTTTTGTTCTCTCACTGTCGAATTATGAAGCACAGATCTAATGGTCAGGCTTTTCACCCAGACTACTATAGCCAGCTGTCTTTAGGAGAGTGTGGCTGAGTCCTTGTTATGCAGACAAGAAAAGGAATATTTGAAAGTGCAATGGCCCTGCAAGTGCTCAGATATTCATTGCACACCATGATGATTACATCTGAGAATCTGTTCCTCCTTTATTCTATTTTTTCTTAAGAAATGGTCTTCTCTTTAGGAATGAATATGTGGAAGCAAAATGACTAGTTTATAACAGGCAGTACTCAAAAATGTTGTGAGTACAATGCAGAAACCTAACAGTGAAATTGCAAACTGAGAAAAGGAATCAAACAAGGGCAGAAAACAAGCGTTAAGGCTCGAGAATAAATTACGCATAGGACAAATTGGTACTCATTTTGAGAAGGAGAGGAGAGGTGAATTTAAACAGTCAAGTAATAAAAAGTCATTGTTCGGTAGAGGCTGTCTAGTGTAATGTTTAACAGCATGGACTGTATCCCAAGAATTGAGTCTGAAACCTGAATCTCCCACATACGAGTTCTGTGACATTGAGCCAGATCTTAAAGTCTCTAAATTTCTCTTTTGTTTTGTTTTGTTTTGCATGTAGGGAGAGGAGTATATACTTCCTAAGGTTGTGAAAAGGATGGTTCATAATAAAAGTATGTAGCGTTATTGAGTACATACTATGTGTAGGAATGTTACATGAATAAATTTATGAACCTTCATATTAACCCAATCTGGCAAGTACCTGCACTATTATCACTATTCCTATTTAGTATTTAAGAAAACTCAGGTTTGACTGGATTAGGTGACTTGTCCAAAGGGATACAGTTCAGATTTTTTTTGTTTTTGTTTTTGTTTTATGTAGCATAGAGACTTTTTTCAACTTTTAGATTCAGTGGGTATACATGCAGGTTTGTTACCTGGGTATATTTCATGATTAAAGCTGAGGTTTGAACATGGCAGAGTGATTCTAAAGCCCGTGGTTAAAGGACTATGCTGTCATATTGGCATGTAAAGTGCTTATCATAGCTTAGCATAGAGTAAGGCTTCCACATGCAAATCAAAAGAGAAACATTAAACATTAGCTGAAGAGGAAAACCAAATCACCCACCAGGAGGAAATTGACCTGGCCCTTTCTCCCAAGTGTATCACATGATATGATGTGTGCAGGTGTCAGATGATGCTGAGATGGCCGACAGAGCTCAATTCAGAAACAAGTGATGAGCTCCTTAACAAATTCCCTCAGGAGAGAACTGCCTCCCCTCCCCTTTCAAACGAGGCTGACCTTGAAGTTGTGCCTAAATTGCTCACCACAATCTCAGGCTCAACTTGCTAACTCATCTATCCAAAACACATGCATCCCCGACTTCTCCCTATTTCATGGGGTATCAAAAATAGAGACTTGAACCTCATAAAGTTAGTACAGGCCGGGGTGTTCACCATCTTCATAGCTGATTTACAGTTGCTTTATTAAACTGCCTCTGATCTGGTCAGCAGGCTATGAATGTGAACACCTAGTTAGAGCTGACCTTGAATCCCATTGGAACAGTAGACTTCTTTATTACATTTGAAAACCTAAAAATGTTCAAGGGGAGGTGGAAGGGAGGAGAGGCAGGCAGAGGGTGCTAGGTGCTTTGTTCAACCACCATGGTTCCCTCTGTCGAGATGGAAGATGGCTGTTGCTTAAAGCTTCTGCCCATCTTTGTCCTCTGGAAATATTTGTATTATACAAATCAAAGAATGGAACGCACCTGCCTCCTCCTCATTCTTCTCCCCTCCCCGACACTGGAATGAATGCATACTCTTCACACAGGACCCACAGGAAACCTGTTACCCCAAGTAACTGTTGCATTCTCATGTGTTCAGTCACAGGAAGAATTTCAGTTTCTCTCTTCCCCACGATTGGAGATGAGGCTGAGGTCACGGGAGAGAAAGAGCCCTGTCTTGTCTCCCAACAAGAGGGGTCTGTGCAGCTGCTGGGCCCACAGCAGACAGAAGGCACGCGGCAGCTGAGGCTCTTTAGAAGGCTTCCCACCCACTTCCTGAGTCTGGCTTTGATTTCTTAAAGGGCAGATGCACTTATTCCAGAGTCGCTCCCTGATTCAGCTGTCGGGGGGAGGGTGGAATAAAAAGCTAAAGCAACCATTTCCTTTTCTGTAGCTCCTTTGCTTTGTCTCAGATCCTCTTTTCTGAGTTATCTGCTACTAAGTCTGTCTCTCCTTCCGCTCAGAGCAGCAGTGGCTGAGTTTTGTCGAGTGCTAGATAATCACTGATCTTAATTATAAACAGCCTCAGCTCAGAGGAATGGTTTTGATAGGAAAGTCAACACCAGGACGCAAGATGGGTAGGTAGCAAAATGGAACCCAAGCCAGTTTTCCAATAAAAAACAGACAAAATATATTTATAAGTAAGATTCAATTCATCCTCCACGCAGTAGCAGCCTGGAGGCTCCTTGTGAACTGACCTCTGTCTACTGTCCCCTTTAAACTTTTTTTTTTTTGATACGGAGTCTCACTCTGTCGCCCAGGCTGAAGTGCAGTGGTACAATCTCGCCTCCCTACAACCTCCACTTCCTGGGGTCAAGCAATTCTCCCGCCTCGGCCTCCCGAGTAGCTGGGATTACAAGCACGCATCACCACGCCTGGCTAATTTTTTTTGTATTTTTAGTGGAGACGGGGTTTCGCCATGTTAGCCAGGCTGGTCTCGAACTCCTGACCTCAAGTGATCCGCCTGCCTCGGCCCCCCAAAGTGCTGGGATTACAGGCTTGAGCCACCATGCCTGGCCACCCCTTTAAATTTTATGCTTCAGTAATAGTGTTGATTTTACCTCCAAAATACAGAGCTGTTTCATGCTTCTGTGCCTTTGTGGACTCTTCCCTCTGCCAGAAATGCCTTCTTACTGTGTCTTCCTGGAAATATCTTATTTGACTTTTAAAAACTGGTGCAGACATCACCGCTTCATCTCCCTCCAGTGTTTTTCATTTAATTGGTCTGGGATGTGGCCTGAGCCCTGGGAGTTTTAAGTGCTCCCCAGGTGATTCTAATCTGCACCAGAGTTTGCCAATCACTGCTTAAGGCCAGCAGTTTTCAGACTTGAGCAGGCATCAGAAACAGCTGGAGGGCTTGTTAAGGCACAGATTGCAGGGTCCACCCCCTGAGTGTAGAATTCAGTAGCTCTGGAGAATTTGTATTTCTTTCTTATTTTGTTTTCTCTTTTGTTTTGTTTTGTTTTGTTTTGTTTTACTTTTATGTTTTTGGATCTTGTTGCATACCAAGTTTTTTTTGTTGTTGTTTTTTGTTTTTTAAGGGATTTGCTGATGTTTTTACTATTAGTATTCACATTATTTCCTTTTTTAAAAAAATTTATTTAAAACAGACAAAAATTTTATCTATTTATGGTGTACAACAATGTTTTAATATAGGTACACATTGTGGAATGGCTACATCAAGCTAACTAATATACGCATTACCTTACATGCATGTCATTTTATTTTATTTATTTATTTATTTATTTATTTATTTTTTGCAGTGAGAATTTGCCTTTCTAACAAGTTCCCAGATAAGGCTGATTCTGCTGGTCCTGGGATCAGGTTTTGAGAATCAATGCTCTATTCAAACTCGCTAGCTTGCACAGGTTCCTTACATTGCACTTGTCACCCTGCATTGTCATCCACTTATTTGCATGCCTATTTCTGTCTTTTGAAGGTAAGGACTTTAGCTTTTTTATCACATTACAGAGCACTGCACCTGGTGTATAGTAGATGCTCAACACATGATCACTTAATGAGTAAATATTCAGGGTCTAGTTGTCACAGAGAAAGAAAGTCATGTACAAAATTTATGTCAACTTTTAAACATAAATTATTTAATCCAATAAATATCCCATGCCTCTAAATTTAAATCTAGAAAGGAGTTCTCTAAGCCTCTATGAATGACATCTTGGATTTTGGTGACAGGATTGTGTTGGCAAAGTACTCCTCAGTACACGAGGATAAAAAGGCCCTGTGCAAAAGCAGATTGGATTACATTTACAACAACAACACCTCTTTTTAAACTGACATTTAATGATTATCTCTATCAATAAAGGCCTTTTAAGAGCTCTCCATAAAATGTTGTGAAAAATGAGAACATTTAAAATACAGACAAACAATGGGCCCCATTCATACAGCTTCTTCACATTATTTCTCCTGTATCATGGATCTCAACCAGGCTCACTCACCCTTCTCCAGTGAAGTTGGCACATGTTAACCATATTGATCGTCTGATTACAAATGTAGACTGTGGCAGGGAGTATTTACAAAAGGAACCCATTTGTCCCTGTTACTTGTATGTAGATATCGGACTTAATACACACTCAACTACAAAGCAATAGAACCAGGTAGTAAAATGTTACTCCCAAGGAGATTAGACTCCTATACAGAAAAATGATTTCATTGTTTCATATAACCATATAAAGTAAGTCCAAAGAGATGTTTTTAAAAGTTTCCTAATCCTTACTAATTTCTTAAATACCTACTCCTCAAGAAGAATAAATTCTCTCTCTATTCATTGATCCATAGAATATTTCTAAAAACCTAATAATGTGTTGGCATAGGTCTTTCTGAACCCAAAACCCAGACCTATGTCTTTCTGAACAAAATATGTGATATTGTGTGTGTGTGTGTGCGTGTTGCTTGCTGTCCATTTCAGCAGCCTTCTACTTTGATGACAACCTGATTATTCTGGAAAAAAGCAGTTGCTGTCCTTAGTGGTGCAGCATGTAGTTATTTGGAATTTCAGTAGTATCCAGGTAACATTTTTCATTGAGTCAGTGGGGAAACAGAAGATGAGAAACTCACCCTTCTGAGTTTCTGGTCAATATTTCTTGATTGGAGCTCTGGGTCTCTGGGTCCTCTCTAATTGTTACCTAGAGACTGGATCTTTAGATTATAAAAATATCAAAATACCTGGATATTGACTTTTTGAATTCAGTATATTGCAATTGAATTCCACTTCAACAATAGCAGGTGGCCAATGGGTTGAGTATGATCGAATCAGGAATGAAAGATTCTGTAGACTGTACCTTTCTTTTCAAAAATAAAATTTTGAAAAGTACAGATTTGCCTAAAATATATGGGTAATACATTCAGAGTGCAGACTGACCATGTTTAAGTTGTAAAGCCTGCCGTATGAGGAAGCAGAAACAGATGTAGTAGCTGTTCCCTGCTGGTATGTGCTCTATGTCTTTGGTTGGTTGGGTGGTTGGCTGGTTGGTTTGGTGTTTGGTTGAGTGGATGGGTGGGTGGTTGGGTGGTTAGGTGAGTGGTTGGTTGGTTGGGTGGGTGGGTGGGTGGTTGGGTGGTTGGGTGAGTGGTTGGTTGGTTGGTTGGTTGGTTGGGTGGGTGGTTGGGTGGTTGATTGGTTGGTTGGTTTTAAAATTATCATGACTGCCTTCATTTTTTTCTGTTTCTTCCTCCTCAATCTTAAATGACAGGACTATGAATGTACCCCTGGCAGGCTGTTCCCAATTCTTCAGGGCCCAAGTCAGGAGTGCAAATGGAGGCCTACATGCCTTATGTCTAAATATTTTAAAGTTATAACTGAAGCATACAGACTGCCCAATAAAATATATTTTATCCCCTTCCTAAACTAGTATATCTTCCTAATGACAAATTGTTTTAAATATAAAAGCTATTGTTTTTATACATTTGAAAATCTGTAAAATATCAAAGATGACTGAATTAATATTGTACATGTCTGTGTATTCAATTGATGGGCTGCCAAAGTTTGGGTGAAGAATTAAGTAAAAACATATATAATTTAAAAAGTATTTCATATGCATTTTTTAAAATGTATTTCTTTGCTTTTTTTTAAGTAAATCACAAGTTTGATTCTATTGATAATGATGATCTAAAGGATCAAAAATTAAAATGTGATTATGTCCAAAATATTCAGTTTGAGTATATTTTAATCAAAAACATAAAATAAAGCAAACCTGAAATATAAAAATGATTTTTTTGTTTTCAAAAAGTTATTTTTCTTCTCAAACATTCAAATTATTTTATAACATGAAAAGAGAAATATGAATTATAATTAAGAGGTATAACAAATATGAATAAAGATTATTAAATAAAACTTATATTTTATTTTCTTAAAAAGTAATTAAATATCATTAAATGTTTATAAAACTTAAACTAATCACAATTCCACAGGGCAATGTACATTTAGTTACCAATGTAAAGAACCGATATCTTGCTGGACACATGCTTTACAAAGGAAGAACTGGACAAGTTAAAATAATTTGTTTTTATTTTCTTTATCTAAGTGTGCCTGTCATTCAAATACTCCCTGTCTTCTTAAGCATTTTCTGACTTCCACATTAGCAGAAGCACAATCCACAAATCTTCATGGCATGTGGATGTAGTTTTTTGTTGTTGTTGTTCTTAGGACATAGGTCAACTGATTTGGAGAAGTATTTTCCTGGGGCCTGAATGGTGTGCACCACAGAAGTGAATGTTTTAGGATTTCAGTAATGCTGTGATGGCTCCGAGTGTAAGATTCCAAGTCATAGAGGCCCCTATGTGTTTGCTAATAAATGTAGTGTTTCTGGGTTTGCTATATGCAGGGCACTCTAGGGCTTGGAATTCATGGGGACTTTTATTCTCATATACCTCTGCTTGGCTCAGGCCTTTAGAGATTCTCAATTGGATTATAAGTGTAGCCTCATTTCTTCTAGACTCAATTTCTCCTTGTGGCTCAGAAATACACATAGGTGAGTGAAGAATCATTTTCTCCCTCTTTCAAACCCAGATTCTGAGGCTACTTGTGAATAAATGAAATAAAGCAAATAAAAATATTATCAAATATACCTGTGGCTAAGGAACCACTCAGCCTCTTTTACCCAAAGTTCACCATACAAAAACTGGAACTGCCTAATTTGGCAAGAACAGTTGTGGCCTGATTCCAATTACTGACAGGTGAATGGTATTCAAGACACAAACATTACTTGATGATTAGTGCATATCATCCTTTACATGATTAGGTTCAGCTGCAAAGCATAAAATCATAACCAATATTAATTGAGCATTCATTATGTGCCAGGTAGTTTGCTAAGAGCTTCGTATGTATGATCTCATGTGGTCCTCCCCATTGTCTTGGAAAAGGACTGAACCTTTAGGGAAGTTAAGTAGCTTGCCTAAGATAACACAGTAGGGAAGTAATAGCAATGGGATTTAAACTCAGGTTATCCAATGTGAAAGCCTGTGCACTTAAACACTATTCCACTCTGCTTGCCTCTGTGTTACTGGCATCAGATATAGGGTTGGGAAGGTCTGTGACCAGGTAAGGTCAAGATAGGGTAAACTGAATCAGCTGCCAAGTTGTACCCCAAGGGAAACAACTGCCAATCCAGTATGACAAATCCAAAGGAACACAATAGCCTTGTGTTTGATTTGAACTGATGTCACTTCCAAGGAACTAGGTTGGAGTGTGGACATCACAGCACGTTATAGAATCTTTAAGCTGGTGCTCGAAATAAACTCAATGTGCTGGAAAGGCAGAACTCCAGTCTAAGGGAAGACGGAAACAGAAATAACATTTTTGGGCACTTACTACATGCTAAGGCTTTCACACCTTCTGCTCATTTAATTATTGAAACAAACTTGTAAAGCAAGTATTATTTCCCCCATTTCCCAAATGGGAAAAGAAGTTGTGTAACTTGCCCATGACCAAATAGCTAATAAGAAATGGAACCAAGAAAAATAATCTAAATTAGCTTGATTTCAGATTTGGGGATATTATTATTATTATTAAACAAATCACATTGCCTCTCCAACACTTCGCTGGACCCAACTAAAGGACTAAGTTGGAAAACAGCAGCACAAAGTCGCACCCTCATACCTAGTTTCTTACTCATGTTAAATGATGCCAGTAAAATGCCCTGCAGGTTTGGGGGAAAGGCCTTGACTCAGGGCAGATGGATATGTCCAGGAGTAGCAGCCAAGACTAATTAATTCCAGAGTCCACCCATGGGTAGAGCTCATAGCCCCATACATCTGACCTAGGTCAAGACTGACTCACAAATTGGGCTGGTTTGAGTCCCAGGACATGGACCAAAGTGATGAGACAGATTAGGGCCAGCAAATACTGAGTTGTGTCCTGTTGGTGGGCTCTGCTGGGATGCTTAGCCTAATTGTGCTTCCAAGAGTGAGATCATTATGTTTTTTTCTTCTAACCTAGAAAACCCTTGTAGCTCTTAAAGCTATACCATATGATACCTGTCCATGACTGGACCTATACTTAACAGAAGTACCTAAGACTCAGATGGTCCTTGGAGCAGACAAGGACATCAAATTACTAACTGCAAGTGTGTAATAGAAATCTATTTACTTCAGGTAAAAACCTCTTTCTAGAACAACAACAACAAAAGATTGAATATTATGATGGATTTTTAATTAGGAAATGACCAGAAACAGTGATGAAAAAGGGGGCTTAGATAATATTAGAAGCACATTGCTTTGGATACATGAATAGGAAAAGTGCAAGAACTGGAACCTGTAAGCAAAAATCCATGGAATGTTCAGTTCAGCTGCTGAATTGCCCACAGCTGTCTGGGATATTCTCCTTTTGAACCAGGCTTCTCTTTGTCTATTGAGGTAATCTGTTCCTCTCTGTGCTCTTTTCAATTTCAATATCCATTGTCACTGTCATGGACAAAGTTATGAAGACAGCCTGACTTACACCTACTTGGTCATGGGCTCCAAAAATGAAATGAAATGTGTGTGTGAGGAGGGTGAGTCATTCTTTCCTATTGGAAGTTGCTAATTAATTGGGTGGTTAATAAAGAGAATATGAGGCTTTATATATTCTGGGCTAGAGGATACAGAATTCAAATCACTGCCACATGCCATTTCATGTCAACCAACATTTATAGAGCACCTACTATGTACAAGACACTGCAGAAAGTATGAAAACGGGTAAGCCACAGTCCTTGTTCTCAGGAAACTCAAAATACAGTGTCAGAGATAGAGGTGAACAACTAGCAATAAAGTCAACCCAAATAAAATAAGAGCTAAGACACATGTACAAAGGATGCACCATGAGGGCAGAGAAGGAGCCTCTGCTAAGAAGAGGTAGTGTTGATGGGTGTTAGATGGAGGGGAGAAGGTCATTCCAGGATGAAAGAAGAATGAGCCAGCCAAGAAGTCTCAGAAATTTCAGTCAGAGAAGGAAAAGGAGAACTGAGAAAGTGTCATGATAGCTAGTAAATATGCTCAAATCTTCCTATCCCCCAAATATCATCCATTGTCTGTGCTTCATGTCAACCCTTTGCCCAGTTCTCCTCTTCCCTGCATGGCCAAAGTTTTTACTGTTTTGTTCTTTTCTTGGCAAACTAAATCCTCAGCACCTTTATATGTAGTGAAAGGTATGCTCTTCCCTGCCTTCCCCACCTCACTCAGCTAAAACTTATTTTACTGAGAACTGCTGATACTCAAGATTCATGCATGAGGTGTGACCTCTCTTCCAATATGCCTGGGACACCACGTAATGATCACTGATATTCGTTGGACTGCTGCTATGTGCCAGGCGTTGCTACAATATGTATATAAGTGTTTCCTACAATATGTATATAAGGGGCCCAGATCTGAAGATGGCCCTCAATGATCCACACCTCCTGGCTACACCCTTGTGTAGTCCCCTTCCACATTGTACTGGGATTGGTCTGCATGGCCAGTGCAAGACTACAGAAGTGACAGATGCCACTTCCTAGTTTAGTTGTAAGAGATTATGGCTTCTGCCTTGATTGTTCTCTCTCTAGGAGCACTCATGCTGCAGAAGTCATTGAGAGCCCATGTGGTAGAAAGATGAAGCCTCCTTCCAACAGCCATGCAAGTGAGCTTGGAAGTAAATCTTTCAGCTCCTATCAAGTCTTTGGATTGCAGTCCTAGCTGAGAGCTTGACTGCAACTTCATGAGCCAGAGCCACCTAGATAAACTATTCTTGAATCTGTGATCCTCAGAAACTGTGTGAGATAACGAATATTTGCTGACTTAAACTTTAAGTTTTGGAGTAATTTGTTATGAACAATAGACAACTGATACAGTATGTATGTCTATATTATTGTTTTTTGAGTATAATTCACATAAGATAAAACACACAGATCTGGAGTGTTCAGTTCTGTGGGCTTTGAACATTGCATACAAATGTGTAACCATTACTCAAAAAAGATATACAATATTTCCATCACCCAGAAAAGTCCCTTGTCTCCTTTTCCAACTAATTCCTAGTCTTCTCTCCTATCAGAAAAAAGAAAACCCACCATTTTTGTTTCTATCGTTGTAGTTTAGTTTAGACTATTTTTGAACCTCACATAAGTGGATCACCCAGTATGTCTGTTTTGTATCCAGCTCACCATAATGTTTTTGAGATTTAACTGGGTTGTTGTATATATCAGTAATTTTATCCTTTTAAGTCTATTGCTGATTAGTATCCTATTTCATGAATATACCATGATGTGTTTATTCATACTCCTGTTGATGGACATTTGGGTTGTTTCTGATTTTTATTTATTGTGAACAAGGCTGCCATCATTGTACAAGTCTTTTTGTGGACATAAGTTCTCAGTTCACTAGAGTAAATACCTAGGAACAGAAATCCTGGATAATATTATAAATGCACATTTAACATTATAAGAAACTGACAAAGATTTTTTGAAAGAGTTTGTTTCATTTTACACCCCCACCAGCAATGTATGGGAATTCTAGTTACTTCACATTCTTTCTAGCATTTGGCCTCATCAGTCTTTTGATTTTTGTCATTTGCTGGGAGTGAAATGGCATCTCATTGTGGGTTTAATTTTCCTGATGAGCCATGATGTTGACCATCATTACTGGCCACTGACATACCTTCTTCTATGAAGTCTCTGTTGAAGTTTCATCATGGGTGCCACCTGGACTCTCTGCTGACAGGATGTTCCCTAAAATCACTGCTTGTTGAAGCACATCTGTATCGGCTTCTCCCTTGAGCCCACACCACCCTTTCCCTCAGCACCCTTCTCTTATACACAGTCTTGCCTCCCTCCCTCGCCATCTCTGTCTCCACCCTCCTTTTCATTCTAGGCTCAACAAATCTTGCCCTGAAAACTGCTGCCCCAGTAATAACCTATTAAATATCTACCCCAGTTCTAGCACTGGGCTCAGTGTGGGAAAATTAAAAACAGAAGAGTAGTGGTAGGCTGGTAAATATTTAACAGCTGGCTCTCTGGAAAAAAAAATTAATTAATTAAAAAGAAATTTTTGCTTGTGGGAATAAGTTTATCAGAGCTACATTTATTTTTTTTTTAGTTCTTTTTTTCTACGTATTTGGCTGATATATACATATATAATTGGTTTCTTAATTGATATTTTCATAACTTTTAAATTTTTATTGATCTTAATTGATTTTTAATTGACTAAATAAATTTTATTAAACTTACACATTAATTCTAATAATCTATATACAAATAATTTGCCTAGATTTTCAACATATTTAATTATATGTCATCTGGGAATAATGAGGGATTTACTTATTTCACTCCAATATGTATACCTTTCTTTTTTCTTTTTCTTTTTTTTTTTTTTTTTTGTGTGTGTATTTGTTTGTTTGTTTTGAGACACAGTCTCTGGAGTGCAGTGGCATGATCTCTGCTCACTGCAATCTCCACCCCCTGGGTCCAAACCGTTATCACACTTCAGCCACACAAGTAGCTGGGACTACAGGCATGTGCCACCATGCCCAGCTAATTTTTTTGTATTTTTAGTTGAGACGGAGTTTCGCCATGTTGGCCAGGCTGGTCTCAAACTCTTGGGCACGTGCAATTGGTCTGCCTCAGCCTCCCAAAGTGCTGGGATTACAGGCATGCGCCACCACACCAGCCTACTTTTATTTTTTCTTATTCTATTGCACTGTCTAGGATCCTCCCTACCAATGTTGAAATGAAGCAGTAAGAGTGAGCCTCTTTGTTTTGTTTTTTATTTCTAGAAAAATGTTTCCATTTCACCTTAAAATCTGATGTTTCTGTGGATGTTCTTTAAAGTTTATAATTTTTTAAAATTTCTAGTTTGCCAAAGGTTGGTTATTATGGAAAAAATAAATTTAAAACACCCTGATGTATATACCAATTTTCTGTGTGATAAATACTCCCAGCACAACCACTTCCAAGCTATCAATGTAACTTCACTAAAGGTGGAGCTGGGAAGAGATACAGAGTAGCCCACCTCATAAACCATGTTTCCACATGACAATTGTCTTTCATAATAAGCCCATAGGAGCCTTCCCCCAGCACCACTGGTAAGGGCTAACAATTAATTTGGAGGAATGATTGACAAATAAGAGAACAGCACAAAATAACATACAGTTAAGTCTTCTTGTGCATTGCAAAACTGTAGACAGATTAGAAGTAAAGAAAATGCCAAAAGCTGAAAGTAGTGGTTCTCACCCTTGTCTACAAGTTGGAATAATCTGGGAAGCTTTAAAAACATTCTAATACATGGGAACTACCCCTAAATATTTAGAATTGGTCAAAAGTAAGGCCAAAGCATTGTTTTTTGTTGTTTGTTGTTTTTCTTTCTTTTTTAAAAAACCTCATCAGCAGATTGGACCTAGATGATTTTAAAATCTAGCGAAGGTTTAGAACCACTGGTTTAAAGAAGGATGAAGGTTTTGACAAATTTGGATAACTGGAGCAGTGTGGGACGGTACCCAAGCAAAAGAAGTGGAACAAATAAATGAGTGGTAAATGCTTCAGGAAGATTGAGAAAACTCGCTAGACAGGAGCTAGGCAATCTTAGACGGAAGTGGCAAGAAAAATAAATGATTTTAAAGCTGTAGATAAAAGGTTCTTCTGTGAGAACCTGGCCCCATCTCCACAGAACTCTAGGTTTCCAAAGAAAGCGAGCCTCAGGTTCCCAGCAAAGGACCCTTATTTCCCATGAGGGCTGATGTGACATTGCCAAGTCAGTGGCCTTGAGAGTTGGGGACTTGGACAGGAAGATTACTCTGCCTCAGACCCTGGAAAGCCAGGAGAGAATTCAGACTTCTGGCATATTGAGCTTAAGCAGATTTTATTTAAAAGAAAATTCAGTCTGGTATGTCTTAGTTCTGGTAGGTCAGTATGCTTCCAACTTTGATGACCATGTGAATCACCCAGGTGTCTTGGTAAAATTCAGATTCTGATTTAGTGATGGGGCCTGATAGTCTGTGTTTCTAACCAATTTCCAGGTGCTACTGATGCTACTTAGGGTCATAAGGCTAAAGTTAACAAGGCATCATTTACTTTAGGGTTGTTTTACAAGAAAAACACCATGCTTAAATTGACTTGTGCTCTCATGTTTGGCTGGGGATTTGGGCCTATTTTACAGCAGAAATCTGCCCTTTATCCAGAGCCTGGGCAACCTTTAACACAAGCTCCCCTCTCCTGTCTTCTCTTTCTAAGTTATTTTTCTATTGACCTTCTAAATTGATCTTCTCAGTCCTGTGGGAAATTCTTATCTGGCTAACTAGACTTATGTCCAGATGCCCAATACTCATCACCTTTTGGGCTCCCACTTATGTGTAACACACGTGACACCTATTACAGATGTTATTATTTCCACTCCTCAGCTGAGGAACCTAAGGCTCAATGAATGATGGAAAGTTACCCCAAACCTCCAAGTTAGTGGCCACACCAGGATATAATCCAGGTTTGTTTGTCTCTCAAGCTACCATTCTTTCTGCTTTCAGTGGCTTTGAGTCCACCCAGGCCCAGCACAACAAACCACAAATCTGCTGACCTAGCTCCCAAACCTCAGCTGAAAACTACACCTCTATTCTGGGGACCTGCAATTTATTTATTTATTTATTTATTTATTTATTTATTTATTTATTTATTTTATTTTTGAGACAGAATCTCACTCTGTCACCCAGGCTGGAGTGCAGTGGTATGATCTCGGCTCACTGCACCTCTGCCTCCCAGGCTCAAGCAATTCTCCTGCCTCAGCCTCCTGAGTAACTGGGATTACAGGCACCCGCCACCACACCAGGCGAATTTTTGTAATTTTAGTAGAGACAGGGTTTCACCAGATTGGCCAGGCTGGTCTCAAACTCCTGACCTCAAGTGATCCTCCAGCATTGGTCTCCCAAAGTGCTGGGATTACAGACATGAGCCACTGTGCCCGGCTAGGACCTTCAATTTAAAGTGCATCTCCATCAGAAAGAGCAAATGGAGGTTGTTTCAGACATGATGCAAAACAATATACTTACTTACTGAGTTGAAAATAATTTGAATAGTCTTTTTCAAACTATCCTGATATAGTTTGAATATATGTCCCTGCCAAATCTCATGTTTCATTGTAATCCCCAATGCTGGTGGTGGGGCCTGGTGGGAGGTGTTTGGGTCCAAGGCAGATCCCTCATGGCTTGGTGCTGTCCTTGCCATAGTGAGTGAATTTTCATGAGGCATGATCATTTAAAAGTGTGTGGCACTGCCCCCCCCCTTGCTCCTGCTTTTGCCATGTGACACACCTGCTCCAACTTTATCTTCTGCCATGAGTAAAACTCCCTGAAGCCTCTCCAGAACTTGAGCAGATGATGGTGCCATGCTTGTACAGCCTGAAGAACTGTGAACCGATTAAACCTCTTTCCTTTATAAATTACCCACTTTCAGGTATTTTCTTGTAGCAATGCAAGAACAGCCTAACATGTACACTCTCAATTGAATTCAATAAATATTTACTGGCCGGGCACAGTGGTTCACAACTGTAATCCCAGCACTTTGGGAGGCTGAGGCGGGCAGATCACCTGAGATCAGGAGTTCATGACCAACATGATGAAACCCCATTTCTGCTAAAAGTACAAAAATTAGCTGGGAGTGGTGGCAGGTGCCTGTAATCCCAGCTACTCAAGAGGCTGAGGCAGGAGAATAGCTTGAACCTGGGAGGTGGAGGTTGCAGTGAGCCGAGATCGCGCCACTGCATTCAAGCTTGGATGACAAGAGTAAGAGTCCATCTCAAAATAAAAAATAAAAATTTACTGAGCATATACCAGGTGCTGGGCAGTGCTAGGCACCTAGTGATACAAAGAAGAAAAGAATGGAAGGAAATACAGATACAAGTACATTTCATGTTGGCCTTAATGCACTATCAACTTTTACTAGGAGTGTAAGAGTATGAGTCAAATAGGAAAAGGAATTAATTTTATGGGGAGGGCAGAAGGATGTTGTTCTAGGTATTTATTGACCTTAGGGGGTTAAACATCAGGAGTTATATCATCCCTGCCTTTTCATTAATAATGAATAATAGCTAATCATTATACTAAACCTTTATTGAACACTTGCTGTGTGATAGACGCTGTCAGTCACTTTCCCTGCATTACTTCATTTCATCCTCACAATGACCATAGGAGTCAGGTACTATTATTACCCCCTCCTCACAGATGAAGAATTGGAGAATTGGAAATGTTTAAGTAACTTACCCAAATCCCACAGCTAGAAATTGACAAAGCTCGAATTCAAACCCAAGTCTGTTTGATTGCAGAGCCCTATTCTTGATCTTCACATTTGAGAAAATGTAGCTTAATGAGGAGCCTAGCAGGGTTGGGATGAAAGGGGAACCATCATTTAATGAGCAGCAATTATGCATTAGGCCATGTGTGCAGGCCAGGATGCATCACACCTCATCAGGAACACGTCTCCAAAGACAGATCCTGGATAGCAAAATAAATTTATTGGGCGATACTGGGGAGACTTACATTCTAGGCTTGCTCAAGGCAGTTGGAGTATGGAAATATGATGAACATTTCTGTTACTCTCAAAATCTCCTGTGTCGGTCAGTAAATTGTATGGTCACCCCAGGCAATACTATCATGTAACACCACAGAAAATTGTGTCCATCCAGGTAGGAGAAAACATCCTGAGAGTTAAAAAAAATTGGCTATTCAGTTGTTCAGTCTTTTTCTTTGTCTGTCTCCATCTCTCTTTTCAATTTTCATTCACTGAACAATGCATTCTCCTGTGTTTCTCAGCACTTTATCACACCCTTAATGATTCTAGACCTTGTATATCCTCAGCCTTGGCTTCAGAATGTTGGAGACATGATGCCAATTCCAGTTCACAACAAAGCAGCATACGTAGTAACCCAGATTGTCTCCCGGCCACTGAATATTGACCCAATGCTGTTCATTGCTGTTGAGAGCACTAAACTTCTCTTCAAACCAACCAGCAGCTGCAGGAGTGAAAAAAGAGTGTGAGACAATAGCGTCTGAGTTTACCAACACTTCGATCATTCGAAGCCTTTACAGATAAATCATCTTCAAGAGAATAAGTGCTCCCCAAGTGTATACTTATGCTGGCGGTTGAAGGGATCTTGCCTGTAGATGCTCTGATGCTTCAGAAAAGAGAAAGGAAAGGAGGTCTGGGTCCCTTGTCCCAGCCTGTGGGGTCTCTAGAGAATTCGTCACAACCACTCTCCTACCCCCTAAAATATGGAGGTTGGGCTGAGCCACAGGCAGGCAGGCAAATCTACTGCAAGCTCCCTTACATTTTTCTATGGCGTTCCATGGGGTAAAGAAAGTTTCCCCAAGGATTTTGCTTCACTCTAACAATGGGACAGAAAAGAATTTAGGAGGAGAGCATAAGTCCATTTAAAACTGCATATAAATGATATATTGTGATCATATACATATAGTGATCAACATCTTGCTCTCCCACTTTTCAGAGCCCTTTCCCACACATGGGCTTGTGTGAAGCTGAGTAAAAGGAGCAAAGGTTTTGGGGTCCGGACTCGAGTTCGGATCCTGGCTTTTCCACTCACCATGTTGCTTACCTCTCCAAGCCTCAGTTTCCAATGTTTCCACTAAACAGCTTTGTTGTGAATGGAGTTAGATAATAGAGGTAACGCCCCCAAAACATGGTATGCACTTGAGAAATGATAGCTCTCCCATCATCCACAGCACATCACACACAGAAGTCATTATCCAGGTGTTTGTTGAAGAACTAGCTTCATTTTGCAGATGAGAACACTGAGACTCTGAGAGGTCAACTGACTTGCCCAAGGTCACAGCTAGCAAGAGGGTAGTTTTCTCATTACAAATCTGTGCCCCAAGCAATATTCTTTTATGCAACCTTTGGGTTTGGAGTTGTACTTCTAGGTAGGTCAGATACCAGAATGAAGAAAAATATTCAGGAAGGTCTGTTCTTTGAAATCAGCCTTTGATCTTCACCAAAACTGCCTTGCAATTTTCAATCATGAAACCTTTGCAAAGGGTTGTTTCCTCAGAAGCCTGTGTTCAAACCTCACACTTCTGTGAAATAACTGCTTTATGCCTTAAGACTGTCGATTTGTGTTTGAGTTCAGACATTTGGTAAGTGGAGGATGTTTTGAAGGTATTATCAGTCACTGTCTCATCCATAGACTGGATGAAAGGGTCGGCATCACAGTCACATGGCTTTGCTAAATTGTCCTGTGTCTTATCTTTGTCTGACAGCAGCAGAGCACACCAGATAGGAGGGCACTGTCAGAACACTCTTGAATACCTTAGCCTATGCCAAAAACAGATGAAGATATGGTTGAAGAAATACGGCTCAAGTAACTAAGAATCATTGCTACATCAACTATTGTAGCATGAAGCTGCATTGGCTGTGTTTATGGTCTCTTTTAGCTTAAAAATACTATGCCATTTTATTCCACTCCTCTGCTCCATACCAGTTTTATTGTTGACCTCTTGACCTCTTAAAAGTTTGGTCACATCTGGGGCATCCTGCAACAGCAGTGCTTCCTATTGAAAAAATTAAATTGAGGTGGGCCAAGACCTGGTCTGTCCAAAATATGTAGCCCTAAGCACCCTGCTCTTTGTAAACGATGATAATATTGCCGACCCAGGGACAGAGTTCTTTTTTGCGTGCAAATAAAGCTCAAAATCCAAGAGGCACTGGTACCATTTTTTAAAGGCCTACACCAGTAAAGACTATCTGCTCCTCCATCTATCCTTCTCTTTGACCTTCTAATTTTTACTCTTCAAATATCTCTTGGTCACCTGTTATATTTCAGGCACAGTGCTAGATACAAGGACTGTGGCTGAACTCTCATAGAGATTATAGTAGGAAAGATAGACAAAAACAAATCATTTCACAAAAATTTAAGAAGAGGCATGCTTCAAGGAGAAGGATGCCAGGAGTGGGCAGATAGGACATCCTAAGAGAGACAATTTAGCCAAATGCCTGAGAGAATGATGGGCTCTGGAATCTGCCCAAGAGGCTCAAGTCTTATTCTTCCTCTCACCATCCCTGTGACAGTAGCCAGTTGCTTAATCGCTCTGTGCCTCAGTTTCCCCAGCTATAATATGAAGCTATAATAGTACCTTCCTCTCAGGGTTGCTGTGGAGATTAACTGAGATAGCACATGTGAAGCATGTAGAACAACATCTGGTACTAGCAAGTGTTCAGCCTGGGGTGGGGAACATACCTGACCTGTGCTACCTGTGGACCTCTCTAAGCAAGTAAGCTGGGACATGAAAATAAATAAAGATAAGCATAGCAAACCACCATGACACATGTTTACCTGCGTAACAAACCTTCACATCCTGCACGTATACCCCAGAACTGAAAATACAAATTAAAATTAATTTAAAAAGAAATAAAAGTAAATAAGAAAGAGGTTGGGAGGTAGAGGAGAGAGAAAATGCAGAAAGGGGATGGGTAAAGGAAATGTAATGAAAAGGTAAAGACCCCAAAGCAGATGGGGTATGGCACTCTGGAAAAAATAAAGGCCGGTGGCTTAGGAGGATTGAAAGCCAGATGGGAGTAGCTGAGATGAGGCTGGAGCTATCAGAGAACCAGATCCTGGGGCACTTTGTAGGCCAGTTAGTTGAGGATTTTGGATTCCAAGAGCATCCAATAATTTGACCAATCATCCTTTCAACTGGAAATCCCTTGCAGAAACGTGAACATTACATTATTTATCTTTAAAGGAACACACTCTACTTGATAAGGAGGTGAACAGAGAAACCTTAGCAGTAAAATATCTTGGGCTTGTCTGTAAATGATGCCCTTCCCCAAGTGTCTCCATCTGTATTCTTAATCTCTGTCCCTGCAGGCCATCATTGCTGTCAAATATCAAACTACCCTCATAGAACTGATTAACTGATTTTCTTGTCAAATGATTACATTCAGATAATTATATTATGGCTTTTAGGGACATATGATCAATTTTTATAATACATCCAGAAGATTCTTGAAGACACTAAAATTTAATCCTTGTTCAATTCTATTGTCCACTATTTTTTGGTTTAGGGCTATAAAATATGCTATCTTCTTGATTTATCTTACATTTTTCAAGTTTTTTCTTCCTTTTCATTAGCTTTAAAATTAATTAATTCAAAAAAATTTTTGAGGGAAGGTCTCATGTCACTCTGTTGCCCAGACTAGAGTACAGTGGCATAATCTCAGCTTACTGCAACCTCTGCCTCCCAGGCTCAAGCTATCCTCCCGCCTCAGTCCCCTGAATAGCTGGGACCTTACGCATGCACCACCATGCCTGGCTAATTATTGTATTTTTTGTAGAGTTGGGGTTTCACCATGTTGCCCACGCTGGTCTCGAACTCTCTGGCTCAAGCAACCCACCAACCTCAGCCTCCCAAAGTGCTTGGATTACAGGCATGAGTAACAGTGCTTGGCTAGCTTTAAAATTAACTCTTAATAACCCCTGAAAGACATTATTGTTTTCAACAATGATGAAAAAAACTGATAAAATAGGTTGATCATGAATCTTGGAATCTTCAGTCCTGAGTTTGAATTCTAACTCTGCTGTGTGACCCTGGGCACACAGAGCAGTTGCAAAATAAAGTAAGAAGTTCAGTGCCTCTTTAGAAATCTTGCCCCTGGGAACAGTGGGTTGGCTCTTATGTATCCTGCAGAGGAGATGTTTCCCACACTGTTTCCCAAATTGCAAAAATAATTACAGTAGTACTTATATTTCATTGTAGTAAGGAATACCTAAGATAATGTTTATGAATACATCTATCTCTAGTGACTAGTAAGAGGGAAAGAAGGAAAAAAGAGAGGAATGGAGGGAGGGAGGGAGGAAGGGAGGGGGGATGGAGGGAGGGAGGAAGGGAGGGGGGATGGAGGGAGGAAGGAAGGAAGGAAGGAAGAAAGGAAGGAAGGAAGGAAAGAAAGAAAGATTTGTAGAGAGGAATTAATTATATCATGACAAAAGTTGCAGATGGTACCATGACTGAAATGATCTATTTAGAAATCATTCATAGGTTTCTCCTAATTACATCTTTTGAAATTATGGGGAAAGGTACATTTTAAAAATATATTTGATGTTATGACTTTCTCTCATTCTATTTTGATACTCTTGAGGAACAGGCACTCTATGTAACTCCTATCAGGGCTTAGTCTTTGGAATTTATGGCTCTGTTGATTAAAAAAAATAGTAACTTTAAGAAGTCTCCTTTTGGGAGTCATCTATAACTTTTCTGATGCATTTTTGTGACACGTGTAGCCAAGTTGCTTCTTTACATTTGTCATCTTCCAGAACTAAACTCACATTGTGATACTGGTGTCTCGCACATGACGTCAAGGGAAGTGATTATGAAGAATATTGGGTGGAAGAAGGGAAATTGAGACAGTTTAAATGTCATTCACTAGTTCATTTATTCATTCACCAAACATTCATTGGGCATCATCCTCAGTGGTACCAGAAAGTTTATTTTATAAAGTACACTTGGTTCCTGGCCAAAGACTTTGTAATGTTGACTAGAATAGAAGGTTACATTAGTAGCCCTGGTAATACAACAAGGGAGCCTGAAGTGAAAGTTTAAATGCTGCATTTTCAGGGATTGAACATTCAAGGGTAATAAGCTGAATTGACTAAGATTGTTCTTTTGAAATGATAGCATTGACTTCTAGGTTTCTGAGTTTCCTGTTTAAAATTTATGAACAGTATTGGTTGAACTCAAGAAAGTTCTTTTAAGATCAATGAAATCCAGTGGCTCCTCTGCTCTGAGGCTGCGGATGTAGGAATGCTAAGATAAGGTGTTACCTGACAGTGACAATAACAACAATAGACAAGTAGTCACTTCCACAGCCTTGAGTTGTGTCCAGGGTGTCTGACTGTGCAGAATTTCAATAGTGTTTTCCTCCTAAGCCAGAAGCTTGGGATAAAATGGCCCCAAACCCAGCATGTAGGATCTCAGGAGCCACATTTTTCCTTTTTTCTCCACTAATGGTACTATGTGGTGCGGATAAGAGTGTTGTGTGTTGTGTGTGGTTCCATTAAACCTTCTTCCACACTTCTCTTGATGATTTGAACACATCCAGGGAGGAATGGATATGTTTGAACACCTGTTTTGCTTTTTGAATCACTACTTTATGGTGCCCTGAGGGAGGAGGGATTAATACAGTGGAAATGCCTTCCTGATCTTTCCATTTAGGTAGGACGCTGAAATAGCACCTCTAATATGCATTCAGGAATACAAGTACAAATAAAGCAAGTCCCTTCTCTCAAGGAGACTAGTGGGGGAAAACAGACAATATAGTATATGATTAAGTATAATAAAGTATTGTGTACAGGAGGGTAAGGGAATAAGAATAGATGCTGAGTGAGCCAAAGGACGAAGACATGAATTCCGTTTAAAGAAGGGACAGGGAGTTAGAAACAACTTTCAAAAGGGTTGAAATATCTATTACAGGATTCCCGCCAAATAAACAGGCTATGTAAGGTATTTAATCCTTCCATTCCAGGTTGGGAGAGAGAGAGCAGTTGCAAAATAAAGTAAGAAGTTCAGTACCTCTTTAGAAATCTTACCACTGGGAACAGGGGGTTAGCTCTGATGTATCCTGCAGAGGAGATGTTTCCCACACTGTACTTATCTATGAAGTCAGTGCACCTCTGGAGAAGATCTGAGGTTCAGAGCTGACCATAATGTAAAGGGAAGAGAAAGCTAGACACCTGATTTGAGAGACCCTCCAAAAGACCCTTCAGCCTGTATGTTAGTGTTTATTGGTGCCACTTGCCAGTGCTTTAGAATTATTCTTTCTTTCCCTTTAAAAGCCATTATTCTTTTCTTTCATTCCTGCAATAACTGGGTCATCTGTTAATAAATACAATTTTTTTGAAGCTGTTAATATTTCAGTTAACATTTGGCTGCAAGGGTAATGAAGGAGGCATGGTTAGGGACAGAGAATAAATAGAACCCACAAACATCACTGTTCTAATAGAATGGAATTGATGTGTGTGTGATGTGTTCTTTCCTGGAGTAGCCCATCTATCAATCATATTCTGGAGACTAAGTACTGCAAAAAGAGTAGAAAGAGCAAGACGAAACTTGTGAATACCATTTTTAGACTTGAAATAGTACTAACATAAAGGCAAGTTATTTTATTTTTAAGTTAACTTACAGGGGATTTAGAAGGCACCACTCAAAACTATGTAAGGAGCAGCAGGGTTTAAAAAAAGTGGTCCATAAATTCAATCTTGAAAGAAAGACTAAGGGGGCCTGAAATCCCTTTTCAAGAATGTCAGAATTTCTAAAAGATCTTGAATTAAACCAGGGGTGCCAATTCAAGTATGGTTGTCTGCAATCACTTGTTTTAATATTTAAAATGTATAACCCTCGTTTATTTTTACCTAACCTCATCAATCTGAAGCACAGAAATATTTGTACCTCCTATTTAAAATTTTGCAAAGATTATGTTGTCTATTTCCGTATTGAAAAAGAATGTGTCTGTGTGTATGAGATATTAATGCTAAAACAGAGTGCTAACAAAATGCCCTCTGTAATATCTGAATCAGTGTACCACGACAGAATTGCTTAGCTCTATAATTTTCGGACTATATGCTTCATAGTCTTTTCTTTATTCTTAAGCTCTCTCTTCAAAGTCAGCCAAGGAGACGATGAAAAATTATTTCCTAAATCACAAGATCACTTTAAAAATATCTTTTCCATATACAGTGCCATCCTTTATTCACCATGCAATATTCAATTCTGCCTCTGCTGGCCTAGGACTTCCTTAGACATTTATTGGAAATCTGCCTGAAAGAAAAGACATAAAGACTTTAACCTTGATCCACTGACAGTAAAGTCATTAACCAGCTTCTCCAAAATGAAGACTTTGTCTTTGTTTTCCCCCTTTATGCATTCTTTAGAGTCTCCTTTTACTTATTTAATTTTTTTGACACAACTCTGTTCTTTCCCTGATCATTAATTTGGGAGACTTAGCTTTTATGGGGGGAAAAATAAAATAAATTCTAAATATTGAGCATTTACTATGTGCTAGGCATTGCGCTAAGGGCTGGGGCTATAAAAATGGACAAGTCCTTATTCTTCCCTCTTTTCATCCCCACTTCCATCTAATCCCTGAATGAGGCCTGTTTAGTGTAACTCTAAAATATTTCAACTCTCTATCTGCTTTTCTCCATTTTCCTCTGCTGCCAACATCACCTTTTGCCTGGTGCACTGTAACCATGCCACAACTGCTTTCCTGTTTTTATTCTTGTCCGCTTCCAACTAATTTTCCTTCCAAAACTCAAGTGATCCTTTAACATATAAATCAAATCATGTCACACTTGTGTGAAACTTCCTTCAATGGCTTGCTATTTTGGAATAAAATCCAGGCACTTGGCCCCTGCAGGATCCTGTAGGATCTGGTTCTTGTTCCTTCTCCAACCTCTTCCCCACTCCCTGCATCACTGCAGCTGCACTTCTCTTCCTTCAGCTGCTATTTCACTTCACAGACAAGTTTCTGTAGAAAGTTCTTCCACTCAGGCGTTACTCATACACAGGGCTCCTTCTCATCCTTTGGTCTCAACTTAAATGTCCCTCTTCAGAGAGGACTTCTCAGACTGACCATTTAAAGTTGCTCCTCTCTTGTTTGTTATTGTTTCTGATCTTCTTCATAACATGAATCCAATTTAGAGTGATTATATCAGTTTACTTGTATATTGTTGGTCTTTAATACTAGAATATAGGTTTTATGAGGGCATATATTCTTTCTTATTTATTTCTGTTACAACCAGTGCCTATTTATTTATTATTTATTTATTTATTTATTTTCTCAGTCTGCTTGCTAGGGAAACAACCAGTGCTTAGAAGAGTACTAGTACCATAGTAAGTGGTCAAAAACATTTGTTGAAGGAATAGATAGAGACGTCTTCAGTGCCCTGAAGACACAGTCTTCCATAAAATGGAAGTGCTGAAGATAAGCCCAGAAGGTTGGAAAGCCATAGGAGTATGCAGCCAGGTTCTATTGTTTAAAAACTTTTTATTAAATGAAGAAAACATTCCATCCTGAATACATTTCTGTGGAGCTTTAGCATTTTTAAATAAATATTCAAATATAATATCTCATTTTATCTATATAACAATCAAAATATTTTGTTATTTTTATTGTTCTACCTCATGTAGTTGAGTGATAATTCACCTTATAGACCATTCCTGAGGTGATTGTAACACGTGGGAGAATTGAGCCTATCATGGGAATGAACACACAAGCAGTGGGTCAGTGTGAATCACCACAGAAAGCTGAGGCTGCATTTCAAACTCCAGCAACACCACAAGCTCCTGAAATGAAGACTCCCAAGTTTCCTGATTGTCTAACTGGTTAGAGTCAAAGGTAAGCACAGAATTCGAGAGATATGCAAAATCCAGATGACAGGTATCAGGCATGTTGTAAGTAAGGCCATATTTGGTAAAGAGTGAGGTGGGCTTATGCCATATAAATAAAGCTCAGGCAACATCAATAATCAGAGGAGGAATTCATACAGAAAGGAAAATAGTTTCATAAGACAACGCAATGAGGATGCCGCTCAATGTGACATTCTTCATCTGTGCATTCAGACAATAAATATGAATGATTTATTGCCTAACCATATATTATATTGAGAGCTGAGACCAGCTGGACTTCCTGGGTCGAGTGGGGACTTGGGGAACATTCCTGTCTTACAAGAGGATTGTAAAATGCACCAATCAATGCTCTGTAAAACGCACCATCCAGCACTCTGTAAAACGCACCAATCAGCAGGATTCTAAAAGTAGCCAATTGTGGGGAGGATTGAAAAAGGGGCATTCTGATAGGACAGAAATGGAACACGAGAGGGGACAATAAGGGAATAAAAGCTGGCCATCCCAGCCAGCAGTGGCAACCCGCTCAGGTCCCTTTCCATGCTGTGGAAGCTTTGTCCTTTTGCTCTTCACAATAAACCTTGCTACTGCTCACTCTTTTTGTCCGTGCCATCTTTAAGAGCTGTAACACTCACTGCAAAGGTCCGTGGCTTCATTCTTGAAGTCAGCAAGACCACGAAACCACCAGCAGGAACCAACTCCAGACACATCTTGGGGGCTCCTCTGGGATCTCACCACACGGTGAGTACCATTGGACCCCTTTCGCTGCTATTCTATCCTATTTTTCCTTAGAATTTGGGGGCTAAACAGCAGGCACCTGTCAGCCAGTTAAAAGTGACTAGTGCAGCCACTAGACTAAAGACATGGGTGTCAGGCTTTCTGGGAAAGGGCTCTCTAACAACCCCCAACTCTTCGGAGTTGGGAGCGTTGGTTTGCCTGGAACCAGCTTCCGCTTTTCCTGCACTTCCAGGCTGAGCCAAGGGTCAACAGAGAGGAGAGCCATTCAGCTCCAGGGTCCCAACAAAAAGTTGGTTGACCCTGCAGCCATGAGCAGAGCTCTCAAAGTTACGTTGCCTAAGCAAGACTTGCCCATCTATCCTATCTATCCTGATCCTTGCATCCTGGGTCCTAACACCTGTCAGACAAACTTCCTCCTACCCCTCTTCTCCAAGGATAGTCCTGCTTCTAAAAACCACTTCCTGTCCCTGGTGCTCTTCTAGTTTCTCCTGTAAGGGTGATTTCTAATACAAGTTTTGGCACTCTGTTCCCTTCCTTAGGCACCCAGGCTCACCAATCAGAAAGAGCCAAATTCTTCAATGGGAAAAAGGCACCCTGGGGCACATAAATTTTGCCCAAACCCCCGTCGTTGGGGGGACCATCTGGAATTTTAGGATCCCTCCTCAGACTAGCAGGCCTAACAAAGGCTATTCCTGAAGCTAGGACAGGGGGAGTCTCAGAAATTTTAGACTCCAAAATTGGGGGGATATCCTTCCTATTCATATGATGAGAAGTGAAGACAAAAGGCTTCACTCTTCCAACCCTGGAGATCCCGTCCCTCCCTCAGGGTATGGCCCTCCATTCCATTTTGAGGCATATCGTCTTTATAGGACAAGGGTAAGGTCTCAATACCAACAGGAGTTAGGGCTCTAACAGGTTTTCGAGAATGCATTGGTAAGGGCCACTAAATCCAAGCTTTCTCGGTCCTCTTTGTGGCCTAGGAGGAAAACAAGTGTTTCCACTGTTGCTTCAGTGAGCACAACTATTCAGAACAGCAGGGTCCAGGGACTGTCGTAGGTTCTTGGGTGGGGTGGGCAGTGGGGGTGTGGAAACAGACCAAAACTGTGGGCGTTTTTTTCTTTCAGATGGGAAACACTCAGGCATCAACGAGCTCACCCTTGAAATGCATCCTAAGCCATTGGGACTGATTTGACCCACGAACCCTGAAAAAGAAGCAGCTTTTTTTTTTCTGCACTATGGCCTGACCCCAATATTCTCTCTCTGATGGGGAAAAATGGCCACCTAAGGGAAGTATAAATTACAATACTATCCTGCAGCTTGACCTTTTCTGTAAGAAGGAAGGTAAATGGAGTGAAATACCTTATGTCAAAGCTTTCTTTTCATTGAAGGATAATCCACAACTATGCAAAGCTTGCAATCTACATTCCATAGGAGGACCTCTCAGCTTACCCCCATATCCTAGCCTCCCTACAGCTCCCCTTCCTATTAATGATAAGCCTCCTCTAACTCCCCCACCCAGAAGGAAACAAGAAAAGAAATCTCCAAGGGACCACAAACCACCGCCCCCCCCACCCCTGGGCTATTGGTTATGTCCTCTTCAAGTTGTAGGGGGAGGGGAATTTGGCCCAAGCCAGGCACATGTTCCCTTCTCCCTCTCTGATTTAAAGCAGATCAAAGTAGACCTGGGGAAGTTTTCATTTGATCCTGATAGGTATATAGACGTCCTACAGGGTCTAAGGCAAACCTTCAACCTCACTTGGAGAGATGTCAAGCTTTTGTTAGATGAAACCCTGGCCTTTAGTGAAAAGAATGCGCTTTAGCTGCAGCCTGAGAGTTTGGATATACCTGGTATCTTAGTCAAGTAAATGATAGAATGACAGTCGAAGAAAGGGACAAATTCCCTACTGGTCAGCAAGCCATCCCCAGTGTGGATCCCCACTAAGACCTAGACTCAGATCATGGGGACTGGAGTCACAAACATCTGTTGACCTGTGTTCTAGAAGGACTAAGGAGAATTAGGAAAATGCCCATGAATTATTCAATAATGTCCACTGTAACTCAGGGAAAGGAAGAAAATCCTACCACCTTCCTCAAGCAACTATGGGAGGCCTTAAGAAAATACACTGCCCTGTCACCTGCCTCCTTTGAGGGTCAATTGATCCTAAAAGATAAGTTTGTTACCCAGTCTGCTGCAGATATCAGGGGAAAGCTCCAAAAGCTAGCCCTGGGCCTTGAACAAAATTTGGAGGCATTATTAAACCTGGCAACCTCAGTTTTCTATAATAGGGACAAAGAGGAACAGGCCGAAAAGGAAAAGCAAGATAAGAGAAAGGCCACAGCCTTAGCCATGGCTCTCAGACAAACAAACCTTGGTGATTCAGAGAGGACAGAAAACGGAGCAGGCCAATCACCCAGTAGGGCTTGTTATCAGTATGGTTTGCAAGGACACTTTTAAAAAGATTGTCCAATGAGAAACAAGCCATCCCCTCACCCATGTCCAGTATGCCAAGGCAATCACTGGAAAGCACATTGCTCCAGAGGACAAAGGTTCTCTGGGCCAGAAGCCTCCAACCAGATGATCCAACAACAGGACTGAGGGTACCCAGGGTAAGCGCTAGCTCATATCATCACCCTTACTGAGCCCCAGGTAAGTTTAACCATTGAGAGCCAGGAAATTGACTTCCTCCTAGACACTGGTGTGACCTTCTCAGTGTTAATCTCCTGCCCCAGACGGCTGTCCCCAAGGTCTGTTACTATCCAAGGAATCCTGGGACAGCCTGTAACCAGGTATTTCTCCCACCTCCTCAGTTGTAATTGGGAGAGTTTGCTCTTTTCACATGCCTTTCTTGTTATGCCTGAAAGTCCCCCGTCCTTATTTGGAAGGGACATACTAGCCAAAGCTGGAGCTATTATCAATATGAATATGGGGAGCAAGTTACCCATTTATTGTCCCCTACTTGAGGAGGGAATCAACCCTGAAGTCTGGGTATTGGAAGGACAATTGGGAAGGGCAAACAATGCCCACCCAGTCCAAATCAGGCTAAAATACCTCACCACTTATCCTTATCAAAGGCAATATCCCTTAAGGCCTGAAGCTCATAAAGGATTACAGGATATTGTTAGACAATTAAAAGTTCAAGGCTTAGTAAGAAAATGCAGCAGTCCCCGCAACACCCCAATTCTAGGAGTACAAAAACCAAACAGTCAGTGGAGACTAGAGCAAGATCTTAGACTCATCAGTGAGGCTGTAATTCCTCTATATCCAGTTGTACCCAACCCCTATATCCTGCTCTCTCAAATAACAGAGGAAGCAGAATGGTTCACTGTTCTGGACCTCAAGGATGCCTTCTTCTGCATTCCCCTGCACTCTGACTCCCAGTTTCTCTTTGCCTTTGAGGATCCCACAGACCACACATCCCAGCTTACATGGACGGTCTTGCCTCAAGGGTTTGGGGATAGTCCTCATCTGTTTGGTCAGGCACTGGCCCAAGATCTAGGCCATTTCTCAAGTCCAAGCACTCTGGTCCTTCAGCATGTGGATGATTTACTTTTGGCTACCAGTTTGGAAGCCTCATGCCAGCAGGCTACTCTAGATCTTTTGAACTTTCTAGCTAATCAAGGGTACAAGGTGTCTAAATCGAAGGCCCAGCTCTGCCTATAACAAGTCAAACATCCAGGCCTAATCTTAGCCAGAGGAACCAGGGCCCTCAGCAAAGAACGAATACAGCCTATACTGGCTTGTCCTTGCCCTAAGACATTAAAACAGTTTTGGGGGATCCTTGGGATCACCGGCTTTTGCTGACTATGGACCCCTGGATACAGTGAGATGGCCAGGCCACTCTATACTCTAATCAAGGAGACCAAGAGGGCAAATACTCATCTAGTAGAATGGGAACTAGAGGCAGAAAGATGCTTCAAAACCTTAAAGCAGGCCCTAGTACAAGATCCAGCCTTAAGCCTTCCCACAGGACAAAACTTCTATTTATACATCACAGAGAGAGTGGGAATAGCTCTTGGAGTCCTTACTCAGACTCAGGGGACAACCTCACAACCAGTGGCATACCTAAGTAAGGAAATCAGTGTAGCAGCAAAAGGCTGGCCTCACTGTTTGTGGGTAGTTGCGGCAGTGGCCATTTTAGTATCAGAGGCTATCAAAACAATACAAGGAAAGGATCTCACCATCTGGACTATTCATGAGGTAAATGGCATACTAGGTGCCAAAGGAAATTTATGGCTATCAGACAACCACCTGCTTAGATACCAGGTGCTACTCCTTGAGGAACCGGTGCTTCAAATACACAGGTGTGACTTTTCTCCAGAGGATGGGGAGCCAATCAATCATGATTGCCAAGAAGTTGTAGCCCAGACTTATGCTGCCCAAAAGGATCTCTTAGATGTCCCCTTAGCTAATCCTGACCTTAACCTATATACCAATGGAAGTTCATTTGTGGAGAATGGGATACGAAGGGCAGGTTATCCCATAGTTAGTGATGTAACAGTACTTGAAAGTAAGCCTCTTCCCCCAGGGACCAGCACCCAGTTAGCAGAACTAGTGGCACTTACCTGTGCCTTAGAACTGGGAAAGGAAAAAAGAATAAATGTGTATACAGATAGCAAGAATGCTTATCTAATCCTACATGCCCATGCTGCAATATGGAAAGAAGGGGAGTGCCTAACCTCTGGGGGAACCCCCATTAAATACCACAAGGAAATTGTGGAGTTATTGCACACAGTGCAAAAACCCAAGCAGGTGGCAGTCTTACACTTCCAAAGCCATCAAAAAGTTGAAGAAGAAAAGGCAGAAAGAAACCATCAGGCAGATGCTGAGGCCAAAATTGCTGCCAGGCAGAACCTCCCATTAGAAATACCTATGGAAGGACACTTGGTATGGAACAACCCTCTCCAAGAGATTAAGCCCCAGTATTCCCCGACCGAAACAGAATGAGGACTTTCACGGGGGCATAGTTTTCTCTCCTTGGGGTGGTTAACGAAAGAAGAGGGAAAGGTACTCATACCCAAAGCCAGCCAGTAGAAAATACTTAAGACCCTCCATCAAACTTTTCATATGGGTATTGAGAACACTCATCAAATGGCCAAATCCCTATTTACAGGGCCAGATCTCCTCCAGACCATCTGACAAGTAGTCAAGGCCTGTGAGGTGTGCCAAAAGAATAATCCCTTTGTCCCTTTGGGGCCTTATGATGAACAAAGAATAGGGCACTATCCCGGAGAAGACTGGCAGTTAGACTTCACCCATATGCCTAAGTCAAGGGCATTTCAATACTTGTTTGCCTGTGTTGATACCTTTACAAATTGGATAGAAGCCTTCCTCTGCAAGACAGAGAAGGCTCAGGAAGTTGTTAAAGTCGTTTGTAATGGCACACATACTCCCTGTATGACCATTGACTCCTGGACCCCCTGCAGCAGTGCCCCCAACACTAATGAATGCCTTCTCATTCCCTCTTTCAGTTACTCTCTTGAATGGTTCCTAGTAGATACAAAATGATTTTTTCTCTAATGGGAAAATAGAACACAGGGAGTCACTCAGTTTGCTCCCAACACCCCTATCCACCCACTCACCAGAGCTACCTTGGCAAGTACTCTAGGAGTATGGGAAAATGAAAACAACAAACTCACACACCTTTTTAACATACACAACCAGTTCTGTCTACCCAGCCATGGCATATTCTTCTTATGTGGAACTTCCACCTATATCTGCCTCCCCACCAACTGGACAGGCACCTGCACCTTAATCTTCCTAAGTCCCAACATTGACATTGCCCCAGGAAATCAGACCCTATCAGTGTCCCTCAAAGCTCAAGTCTGTCAGCACAGGGCTATACAACTAATACCCCTACTTATAGGGTTAGGAATGGCCACTGCTACAGGAACCAGAATAGCCAGTTTATCTACTTCATTATCCTACTACCACACACTCTCAAAGGATTTCCCAGACAGTTTGCAAGAAAAAACAAAATCTATCCTTACTCTACAATCCCAAATAGGCTCTTTGGCAGCAGTGACTCTCCAAAATCACCGAGGCCTAGACCTCCTCACTGCTGAGAAAGGAGGACTTTGCACCTTCTTAGGGGAAGAGTGTTGCTTTTACACTAACCAGTCAGAGATAGTATGAGACGCCACCCGGCATTTACAGGAAAAGGCTTCTGAAATCAGACAATGCCTTTCAAACTCTTATACCAACCTCTGGAGTTGGGCGACATGGCTTCTCCCCTTTCTAGTTCCCATGACAGCCATCTTGTGATTACTCACTTTTGGGCCCTATATTTTTAACCTTCTTGTCAAATTTATTTCCTCCAGGATCGAGGCCATCAAGCTACAGATGGTCTTACAAATGGAACCCCAAATGAGCTCAACTCACAACTTCTACTGAGGAACCCTGAACTGACCCACTGGGCCTTTGACTGGCCTAGAGAGTTCCCCACTGGAGGACACTACAACAGCAGGGCCCCTTCTTCACACCCATCCAGCAGGAAGTAGCTAGAGTGGTCATCGCCCAGTTCCCAACAGCAGTTGAAGTGCCCTGTTTAGAGGGGACAGTGAGAGGTGAGGCCAGCTGGACTTCCTGGGTCCAGTGGGGACTTGGGGAACTTTCCTGTCTTACAAGAAGATTGTAAAACACACCAATCAGCGCTCTGTAAAACGCACGAATCAGTGCTCTATAAAACGCACCAATCGGCAGGATTCTAAAAGTAGCCAATCGTGGGGAGGATTGAAAAAAGGGTATTCTGATAGGACAGAAATGGAACATGGGAGAGGACAATAAGGGAATAAAAGCTGGTCACCCCAGCCAGCAGTGGCAACCCACTCAGGTCCCCTTCCATGCTGTGGAAGCTTTGTCCTTTCGCTCTTCACAATAAACCTTGCTACCACTCACTCTTTGGGTCTGTGCCATCTTTAAGAGCTGTAACACTCATCATGAAGGTCTGCAGCTTCATTCTTGAAGTCAGCGAGACCACAAACCCACCAGCAGGAACCAACTCCAGACACGATATGACCTATAAATCTATTAGTAAAACTTTTCTGCAAACTTGAGAGTAATTTTATGTATAACACACTAAGCCTCAGAAACTTTGAAGATATGTTCTCAGGGTTCCTTGTAACAGGCAGATCTTGAACAAAAAAAATAGTTATTTCAACTTCAAATCTGGTGCTATTGTCAATATTAGGTAGAGAGGTTAGGACTTGAATTTCCTCAGAACTTGACAATTCCTTCAAACATTTGGTGATGTAATTTTCATCCAATCTAGTGGATTAGAAATATGTTTAGAGCACCTCAATAGGATCTTTTAATTTCTGTAAATAAAGTGTGCTTTCTGAATATATTGTACTACATTAAACCATGGAGTGGAATAAAGAAGATATAAATGCACTGGGCTGGAAATGGGAAAAGAATAATTTTAGGCATTTTCCTCATTCTGTTTAAACAGACTGAAGATTCTTTTTGGCAGGAGGCCCATGTTTAACCAGTGTTACTGAATATAGAATAATCATGGGTGGGGAGTATGTTTTCCTTAATTGAGTATGTTTTCTTGAGATAAATGTGGATCTCAGGCTCCTAACTAGTCAAAGCAAAAGTTTCCAAATTGTCTGAGGTTGTGAAAGCCTAGGAGGCAAGACTTTGTGCCCATGTGAGACAAAAAACACAGAGCAAGTATGCCTACAAGGAGGTTAAACTAGCATTGACGGATTGGACCACTTTCATTCCATTCACTAACCACATCCTCCCTAGTTCCTCTCACCTAACTCCTGAACATCTCTTACCACCCTCTGTTAGGTCATGTCCCAGGGAATAATCTGCAGGAGGCTGTCCATCCAGTGCTTCCTCCACTACTGATCTCTCTTTGCTATCTGCCTCACCCAAGACCTTGTCACATGCAAGGGGTTTGTGTTTAGGCAGTTTGGCCAGATAAGAAATGGAGTGACTGGTTGAATCCTCTTTCAGGAGCCTTAAATTGTCCTTACTCTGAAGGGACTAGTCCTTGAACCAAATGGGAATAAGTTGCCCCTTCTCCTCCCTCTGTCCCTATTGAACAAAGAGAGCAAAGGAGGCCAGGATGCCCACTCTAGCACTATTCTCATATATTCAGTGAATGACTTCAGTGCCAGCTCAGCTGCCAGAGATGAAAATGACAGATGTCCTTTAAACATTAGGTTCCAGGGAATCACTTGGCACCTGAGTTGACCTTGACTCCTCACAGATGATGTATTAGTTTCCTAGGGATGCCATAGCAAATTTTATAACCAACGAGGTGGTTAAATGACAGAAATTTATTCTTTCACAGTTCAGGAAGCCAGAAGTCCAAAATTGAGGTGTCAGCAGGATTAATTTCTTCTTGGAGTCTCAGAGGGAAGATCTGTTCCATGCCTCTCTCCACACCATCCAAGCTTGCTATCAATCCTTGGTACTCCTGGCTTGTGAAGCTTAACTTCAATCTCTGCCTCCATTGTCACTGGGCCTTCTTTCTGTGTCTTCTCACCATCTACTTCTTTCTGCGCCTGTCTCTCTCTGATTCTGTGTGTCACTTCTTATAAATACACCAATTATTGGATTAGAGCCTTCTCTATTCCAATACTGCCTCAATTTAACTAATTACATCTGCAAAGACCCTATTTTCAAATAAAGTTCTGAGTGGGCATGAATTTTGCCAGAAATGATGGCAAACATTTTTTCCTGTATTCACCATTCACAACTTGCCATTGGACCACTTGACAATGCAAACTGCCTATCTAGTAATGTCAGGGCAGCTAACAAAGTATCTTTTCCCTACATATGTCAAGGCCCGAAATTTCCAGCCTCACATTTTTCCTTCTTTGGATCAGGCTTCTTTAGATGTAAAATTGCTCCCTGACTTGGTCACATGTTAAAGTGTTATTCCTTATCAATATCTTAGTTTTCACTAATGTGATGAAGCTGAAGCACTCAATCATTCAAGTGGCCCAGAAAAAAGAAAATGCTAGTCAATTTGGATAGCCAGTTACTTGGTGCCTTGCTACTCAAGGTGCAGCCAGCCCAGGGGTCATCAGCATCAGAGACTGCTAGAACTGCAGAATCTTCCCAGGGTATATGCAAACTTACTATATCAGGATCTGCATTATATCTCCATCCCCCAAGATATCCACATGCCCATTAAAGTTGAAAACTGCTGCTCTAGTAAAGCCTTTATAAAGTTGGGCTGGGGGAAAGTGTGAAGGGGGCTTTAGCTGGGATATGCATAGAGCCTAGGTCATTGGATAGGACACCAAGGCCAGTTGAGGTTCTAGAGGGTGAATAAGGGCACCCAGGAAATCTTGAGATGAAACAGAGAAAGAGAGAGAAATGTGCAACAATAACTACTTGGAAAGGACACAGTCTAGGTGCTTTATTTTGTGCAGATTGTTTCTTTTAATGTTACAACAACCCAATGAGTTGGGTGCTATAACCAGCACTATTTTACAGACAAGAATGCTTAGGCAGAGAGGTTTAGTCAATATAAGGGTGGGCATTTCAGCCTGGAGAGTAGGACCCCAGAGCCCTGTTTCTTAACCACTATGCTCTCCTGACTACCAGAGAGTACAAGTAGATGCTAAAACATAAGCAAACTAACTACTTTAACACTTAATTTTAGTTCATATGCCTGTTTGAACTTGTTTTTCAGGTCACATTATTCTGAAGAAGATATGAATAAGCCTGGCATTCATCTGTTTCCTTCATTTGAATCAAGTCAGTCAGTTGCTCATGGAACTCAACCTCGAGTCTCTCAGATCCCCAGCCCAACCATGGGCTGTGAGACCTGAGTGCCTCTTTCACATCCAACAACATATAAATGACAACGACATATGACCAGACCATCCTGAGCCTGGTGTCTCTCCTCATAGGCCTGCCTTTCATGAGCATGCCTGGGGAGAGATGACTAATGCTGTTTCTCCAGTTTTGTCCTCTTCTGGGTCATGGGAATGATTTATTCTTACTCAGCAAACCAGTAATTGTGTGTTATATGTGAGTGGTAAGATTCTTAAGGAGATGTGGAATCTGACTGCCTGATGTGATTCTCAAATGGCCCCAACATTTTACACAATTGTTTGTAATTAAATAAAACCCAAATTACATTTGGGATGAGAAATGTATTTTTTAACTTCTTTTGTGTTTGGAAGGACAAGCAATTACCATGGCTGTTTCTGATTCATTTACACTTAGCTCCTAAAAATATTGCCCTCAGGAAGGATGGCTGTTTGTTTGCCATGTCAAGAACATTTTATTTGGTTTCCTTTTAGAGAAAAAATCCACATGCAGCCAATTTTAAACTGACTAGAGTGTCTCAAAGATGTTTGGAAATTTCAAAACTCTGTTTTGCCCCAAACACCTTCACAACCTAAGTGGGGCTCTGGAGAGAGATGCAAAGGAGATGGAATGTGGAGTCTCACGAAGAGAAGGTGCAGAAATCAGAAAAATACAGTGAAACTCAGAGAAACTCATGATTTCTATTAAAATGTTTATATTTGTTCATCTTGTATTGCTATAAATAAATGCCTGAGACAGGATAACTTATAAAGAAAAGAGGTTTAACTACCTCATGGTTCCATAGGCTCTACAGGAAGCATGGCTGGGGAGGCCTCAGGAAACTTACAATCATGGAAGAAGGTGAAGGGGAAGCAGGCACATCTTCACATGGCAAGAGCAGGAGGAAGAGACGGAGGGCCAGGTGCCACACACTTTTAAACAACCAGATCTCATGAGAGCTCTATCACATTAACAATACCCAAGAGATGGTGCTAAACCATTCATTAAGTACCACCCCCATGATCCAATCACCTCCCACCAGGCCCCACCTCCAACACTGAGGATTACAATTAAACAAGAGATTTAGGTGGAGACACAGATCCAAACCATATCAATGTTCATATTTTCTGAGGACTGATTTTTAAGTTGCATCTGAATTATACTTAATTTTAGTGATTATCAGTACTCTTATCATATAATATACATATACAATTATGGACTTTTTTTAACAGACGTTAATCACTGTGCATTGGTCTTGGCCTACAGAGTACAGGAAAAAAAATAACTGCATTGATACGACATCTTACTAGTTTATTTGATCCTGACTTTGGGGTTGAAATAGGGTAACTATTATTATCCTCTTTTACAGGTGGGAAAATTGAGCCTCAGAAAGGATACGTGACTTCCCCTTGATTACACAACAAATATATAGCAAAATCAGAACTGGAAGCTAGTTGTCCTTAACTCTCAGGAGAGTTTTCTCCCCCATGGCACCCACACATTGGCAGGCAGGTTGGAAAAAGAGGCTGGAGAAACTTGAACATGTAAGATTTGTCAATGTAAAGTTATCACCTTAAATACTTAGCATTAATTAACTGAACTCATTACTGCAATAATCTATAACGCCTTCATAGAAATCTTGATGACTTGCAACAAATAAACCAACTGGGTTCTGTAATCTCTAAAATGTCAGCTGCAGTGTATTTCACAAGACAGTAAGAACTGCAGATAAATAATTGTCTGTGGCTAGATGACACCCATCAAGTTCAAAGAGGGTAGAGCTTGCAGGAAGGTAATGTTCCCTCCTCTCTAAATCTCAGAACCATGTGGTTGTTTCTCTTATTTCTTTGTTTCTTTTCTAAGCAGAGAACCTAGAACATCCTGCTATTGTGATCAAAGACTACAGCTGGTCAAGTACCTTCATTACAGATTCCCCGCTAACTTAGCATAAGGTTTTATGTTTATCCGGCTAGGAGTTAGGCTGTGGTTTTACCATTTGCTGTAGCTGTGGTATCAGGGGCTAAAATTTCCTGTGCCCTTGCTTTCGTCTCCCCTGTTGTGCTTGAATTTTCCTAGAGACTCCTGACATAGGGACTGAGGCTTGCAATTCTTTGAGCTGTAATCCCTTGTTATTTACTTGGAGCATCGTTGCTGTGTTGGTACTGTGTCGGGGGAGAGAAAGAATTCTACAGCCCTGTGATTAGATCTGTCTTTCAGTGAGCCTGAGTTGGGTATTTCCCTTTCCCAGGTCGATGAGGCCCCTGGTAAAACCCCCGTGGGATGGGTTCTTGTAAAGTATTTTCCCTTGAAGGAAATCCTTCTTAAGGAGAACAGAGAGCTCTGGGCTTATTCCAACACGGCTATTTCTCCGCCCCAACCCCTCAACCCCAAAGGGAAAGAGGAGAGGATTTTTCTTCAGGTTCCATAGTGGAAACCTGATGTTACTCCTGGAGGTACAACTCAGGAAGGTATGGGGAGGCCCCTGTGATTGGGCCCGCTGGGAGTTTTTAAGTCTCAAACTTGTCCACACACAGCTTACAGCAGTTTGTTAATTACTGCTCAGTTTCCTGGCTTCTGCTCCTGGTAAACTGAAATTCTCTGTATCCATCCGTCTGACTCCCCTGTTCTCTGGGAGGCAGTTTGGCCTGTGATCTCAATTTTCCGAAGGTTCTAAGAAGAGTTTCCAGTTTTCAGTTTGTTCAGTTTTTTTTTTTCTTTTGTAGATAAGGGTGACAACTTCCAAGCTGTTCACTTGTCAGATCTGGAAACTAGAAGAGCGCTCAGTTTTTGTATACATTTCTTTTTCCCTGGCTTCTCCTGAGCCTGAAATCTTTCCAAATGGTAGTTGTGGTCCCAAGTCCAAGAAGTGATAAGAAAAACAATGGGAATTAAGATTTTAGATAGAACAAATGGAGTGAACTGCAAGGCAGGGCCCCAACTTTGTAACTGCGTCTCTCTTCTCAAGGTGTTCTGAATCCAAACAGGTCCATTGAGGGCAGCCCTGTCCTTCCAAAGCCCACTGCTGAATTTGGGTGATGCTAGTAACACAGAACAGTCTCTTATGCTCAGGTCAGGCACATTTACACACAGGCCAATTCTTTAGGGCTGACTCTTGGAAACGCAATTGAATTGTTCTGTGTTGTAGATATTTGGGTACAAAACACATTTGCTCCACATTCTCGAGTGTGACATTCGCAGATCAGTGAGTACCAGTGAAAAGGAAGAAGCATGACACACAGAAGTTTCAGAAAAAGGATGCTGGGTTTTAGGCAAAGCAGCAGAAAGGGAGCACTACGAAAGGCCCTGAGTTTACCAACAGCCACCTAGGCCTCTACACAAAGAGCCGGGAGAGAAGAGAAAAAGAGGACAGAGTGGCAGAAAGAAGACATTCTAGTCCTCTTCAGCCTTATTTTGGTATCTAAAGGATGAAAAATGAGAGGAGTGAACCTACTTCTTTAAGGAAGTTCTTCTCAAACTTTCATTGTGCCTCCAAATCACATGGGAAACCACGTAAAAATGCACATTCAAATTCAGTGGGTTGGGTGCAGGGCTCAAGATTCTGCATTTCTTTATTTCTTTCTTTCTTTTTAATAGAAATGAGGTCTTACTGTGTTGCCCAGGCTGGTCTGGAACTCCTGAGCTTAAGCAATCCTCCCACCTTGGCCTCCCAAAGTGCTGGGATTACAGGCTTGAGCCACTGCACTCAACCAGATTCTGCATTTCTAACAAGCACTCAGGTGATGTTGACAGCACTGGTGCTCAGACCACACTTTGAGGAGCAAGGGTCTAACAGACCTTCCAAAGGGGCATTTCTTAACTCTCGCTCTATGCTCACCTCTGAAATAACAGCAGCCACAGCCACTCACTTTGTTCCCTAAAAACAGCATGTGTATTCTTAGCCCAAGGTGATCTGCCTTCTGGGACAGCTGTTGGCCTCTTCTCCATGTCTGTAAGTCCTCGGCTTTCTTTTCTAAGCCCAATCCAAGTCTCTGTCCTTCATGAAAACTCCTCCACGACTTGGGGTCTTTGTAATCAGTGGCTCCTTTGGACTTCTGTACCTTTGTTGGGCTTAGCATTTTTACAAGCATCGGTTGCTACTGACCTTTTAAATTTGTCTCCTAACTAGATTTTAAGCCTCTTGAATACAGGACACACACACACAGAGTACGCCTTGTCACTGTTTCATTCCTCAGGCCAAAAACAGAGCCCTGCTCATTAGAAGATTGTGCAGTGTAGTGAAAACAGCCCAGGGAGATATGATTTCAATTCTCAGCTCCATCACGCAACAGCTACTGGACCCTACATGGAGTATTGCTCCTTCAGTCTTCATGGTAATGGTGGTGATGGTGGTGGCGGTGGTGATGGTGATGGTGGTGGTAGTGGTGGTGGTGTGCAGGTAGAATGTTTATACTTCACAGGGTTGTTGAGAGGAATGAAGAAAATAAAGTTAGCCAAGTGGCAAACCTAGCGCCTGGCACAGAGTCAGAATCAGCCCTCAGCACATTTAAGTCTTCTCTCCTCCAATTTCTTTTGCTTTTCTCCTTAATATGGGTTGTGAGGGTACATCCTCATCCTGACAGTCTCTCCTTGAAAAATATTATATCAAGTGTGACAATATTGGAAGATTTTCTTCCATCTCATTTAAAGGGCCCACAGATATTCAAAAGAAGAGTCCCTACATCATTAAAAAAAAAATACTCAGACTCATAGCTCAGAGTAGCAACACACATATCAATTTCTGATCTGATCAGGAAAAAGGGATATTTTAAGTCAGTGTAATCAAACCACATGAAACCAATTTTCCATGTGTTTCCCAGTGTTTGCCCTTTCCATCAAAGTTTTTTCATCTGTGTGGTAACTATCAATGTACCCAGTTGTCTCGGGTTGGGGTTTATGCCTGAGCAATGGACTGCCTTATGTTCAGTGGTAAGAAACACAAATGCATAGCCACTTTGGGAAAGTAACCTGCAAAAGCAAATTGCCCTTGCTTGGGCTGGGACTCACCAACAATGTATGGGAACAAAGATTGGTATTAGGAGACCCTTTTTGGGTAAGCTGTGCCAGACAGACAGGCTTACCAGATTGCAAAGGAGATACCAGATCAATCTCCTGGCAGAGCAGAGAAGGTGAAGTGCATGTGAGATGATGGAACAAGTCTAGGTTTGGCAATCCAGACATGCGGATTTAAATGCCAGCTCCTCTCTTGTTAGCTGTGTTACCTAAGGCAAATTTCTCAACCTCTTGAACTTAATCTATAAATATGGAAATAACATTGTCTACCTTATACTATTGTTTGAGAAATTAATGGAACTATATATCTAAGTCATGTAAAGTACCAAAGAATGTACATGATTGTAAGAGGAGCCCAGTGAATGTTAGCTCCCTTCTAGCATTTCAGGAAGAGATGGCACTTGGGTGTATTGCTGCGGTGGGAAATTAGAAGGGTCTTGCTGTCCTCTGTCTAGCAACACCTGAGATTGGGTGCCTGAGAGGGAGGGAGGACTAACAGATCCAGTTTTTGATTTCTTAAAAGGTGGTATCATTGTTATCCCTCTCCCTTCTATTCTCCTCCTTATTTTTCCACTACCTCTTTTTCTTCTCCTCACCTCTCCCCCTCCTTCTTCTTCATGTTCTTGTTTTTCTTCTTCTTCCTCCTTCTCTTCCTCTTCTTCTTTTTCCCCTTCCTCTTCTTCAAATTTGATTTAAAGGTAGAATTGATTCCTTTCAACTGAAATACGTGGCTTATTTACAGCTATTAATGATATAATAAACCCAGAAAATAATTAATGATTGCTTGCAAATTGAATTGGATTATACTAAACTGTTGGTTCCTCTGCAATACAGTAGCTTTACTTGGTCTTTATGAGCAAACTGTCATATGCTAGGCTTTCTTCACAGTTTGAAGATCTCTTTTGGTATAATTTAAATTCAGTTTATGAACTCTGGGCACCACCTCCTACAAAGCAAAGGAGAATGTATCCTTGGTTGTTTTTAACTTAAGGCAAGTTCATATGGGAATTACAGAGATGAAATATGACTACCAAAGTCCTCTCAGTGACAGGGGACATGAAAGCAGCAGTTAACCATACAGGAGAGGCTTGGCAGAAGTTAGGGGAGGAGTTTTCACATTTCCTTATATTAAATTTTGTGCCAGAACCAACCATTTAGGTGACCTAGAAGTGTGCAACTAAAAATTGATACTTGTTTTTTTGTCATAAAACAATATACCCCACTGCAACAAATTCAAACAATATACTCTATTATTATTTCTTTATTTATTTCTTCTGCTGACATAAATTGTTTGGGGGCAAGCTGAGAGAGTTTTCTTCAACAGAATTTTAGTCAAAACTACATTACACCTGCTACCAAGCAAAGCACTCTCAGGCTGCAGTTTCCCTAGCTGTCATGGATAGAAACAAGGTTATCACAGTGGAAACTATGCCCTTATTCAAGAGTAATTCACTTTATAGCAGCCAAGTCTCTAACTGCAGTCCAAGGATAAAGAAATCAAGAGCAGTGATCAGATGACATCCAAGGCTTGAAGCAGCTTAAAGATCTTCCAGCAAAGTCAGACTTTCTTGGGTGACTTCTCTCAAAGTCTTGGGGATTAGCTTCCAATGTGTTTCTATGAAAGGGAAATGTTGAGAAATAAAATAAAGTGGTGAAAGGTTAGGATTAAAGAGGATTTTGTTCAATGTTGAGCCCTGTGAAAATATCACATGTTCAGATGAATTTGAAAAAGTCCAGTAGACTCTTAGATAAAAAAGAAGTATGTGTAGATAGAGGTGGCTGGTCAAATGGAAGCATTAATACTGCTGAGATAGATGGTGACTGATTAAATGGAAGCAGCCACACATCCATTCATTTCTCTGAAAATTAGCAGCTGTTGGCTGATAGACACCTTTCCTTCACATGCTCTTGCTGAAGTGATAAGAAGTGAAAAGAGCTTGAGGCAGGACTATTTTGAGTTCCAGGCGATCTGTGTTGCTATGAGATCTGAGATTAGTGGTTAAGTTGGTGCCGGATGTCATCCAGCAGCTGATCATGAAACCTCTAAAAGTTAAGTTCATTTCTCAGAAATCATCTGAGCATGTGGGCTGTTCAAGAAGGTGATTGAATTGCTGTTTCTTGGGATTTCCCCACCCTCAGTCCAAGTGAACTAAAGGGATTAATGGCCTTGATCCTGTAAGCATTTTTTTTACGCACCATGTTAAAATGTAACATGTTCTGTCCTTTTGTTCGAGGAGCCACTAATTCAATTGTTGCCCAAAACTTTATGCTGATTACTTTGTAATTATACCAAAATACCATTTTAGCTTCTTATTAACCACTGAGTTAAAAGACATTTATAGAAGCATGAGATGTCAAAGTCAGGTGAATTAGTGAAAAGTAGGCACAAAAAGTTATGGGATTCATGTAGCCTGAAATTTACATCTGTGTAAACCTTTGGCAGTTTGGCAGCTAAGTCTGCAGCCTCTGAGGGTGGTAAATGGCAGGAACTATGCCCATGTGTGAATGGTAATTTGCATTCTATAGTTAGGAGTGCCTATTTAACTGCCCCTGGCACTATGTAATTTTCTGTGCCTCAGCTTACTCTTCAGTAACATGTGGTAGTTAGTAATATAGTACCTATGCCACAGCATGTTCCTCACATGTAGTATGTGCTCAATTAATATTAACTATTAGTATTGCTACTATCGTTGTTGCTATTACTACAGAAAAGGCCCATGCATCCATCTCAAATGACTCATACCAAAGACTGACTTTAGTAAAGAAGACCAGGAAGGTTAAGGATTAGCCTTCAGAGTCAGGCTTTCATAGTCACAAAGATAGTGATTGGGGGAGTAGTGATAATGGAGGAGCTATTAAGAAGGAACACCATTCTTGATCTGAAGAGACAGTACTTAGAACAAGTATTTCAAAAAAAGAATGCTACCGTTTCCTAGGTTGGTACACTGAGGCTTCTGGGGCTGGAATCTGCTTATTTATGAGATAGATTATGAGAATCATAGGTTTGTAAGGAGCCTTCAGGGTCACCTAGTTCAGCCACTGCTAGGTGAGTTTTCTTCAATAAGAATTTTAAACCTGCCTAAAGTGTTATCTGTGGTATCCACCCGCTTCTTCTGCCTTATCTTTGGTCTCCTTTCTTGTCCTTCTCAACCCCACACAATGTGTCAGCACACACAGTGAAACTCCCTGTCCAAAAGGAGAAAAGGCTAAAGGAATTCACATTGAAACAGTTGTGCTAGGCTTCATCCCAAGAATGTGTGCTGGTGTATGTGTGTGTGTGTGTTTTTAATAACTTTTCAAAAATAGAAAAAAATTTCCTAAATATCAGCTTAGTAATTTTCCCTGACACTAGTCATTTATAATGCCAGGGAAAAGACATTTACACTAACAAATGAGTCTTGATCACTCTCCTTGTGTTCTAGGAAACTGTATTAGCCACGGTTAAGTAGTAGGAGGGCTTTGAGAATGCAGTAACTTCCATTTAGATTGAAAATACAAGATCAAATAGAATATACTAAAAGTGTATAGGCATAAGTATAACAACCTTCTCTTGGGAATATAAAACCTTATAGCAATGCAAGAAATTTGGCTTAACAATTACATTTATATAAAATTTTAAAACTTTTTGTAGAAAGTAAGATTGATATATAGTAACTGGGTGAAGTGGTGAGTGAAAAAGCTAATGTGATCCTAGTGTGTCCGGAATGGGTGGGTTCTTGGTCTCACTGACTTCAAGAATGAAGCTGCGGACCCTCACGGTGAGTGTTACAGTTCTTAAAGGCAGCGTGTCCGGAGTTTGTTCCTTCTGGTGTTCCGATGTGTTCGGAGTATCTTCCTTCTGGTGGGTTCGTGGTCTCGCCAGCTCAGGAGTGAAGCTGGGGACCTTCGCGGTGAGTGTTACAGCTCTTAAGGCAGCGCGTCTGGAGTTGTTCGTTCCTCCCAGTGGGTTCGTGGTCTCGCTGGCTTCAAGAGTGAAGCTGCAGACCTTCGCGGTGAGTGTTACAGCTCATAAAGGCAGTGTGGACCCAAAGAGTGAGCAGCAGCAAGATTTATTGCAAAGAGCAAAAGAACAAAGCTTCCACAGTGTGGAAGGGGACCAGAGCGGGTTGCCACTGCTGGCTCCCGCAGCCTGCTTTTATTCTCTTATCTGCCCCCACCCACATCCTGCTGATTGGTAGAGCCAAGTGGTCTGTTTTGACAGGGCGCGATTGGTACCTTTACAATCCCTGAGTTAGTCACAAAGGTTCTCCACATCCCCACCAGATTAGCTAAATACAGAGTGTCCACGCAAAGGTTCTCCAAGGCCCCACCAGAGTAGCTAGATACAGAGTGTGGATTGGTGCATTCACAAACCCTGAGCTAGACACAGGGTACTGATTGGTGTGTTTACAAACCTTGAGCTAGATACAGAGTGCAGATTGGTGTATTTACAATCCCTGAGCTAGACATAAAGGTTCTCCACGTCCCCACCAGACTCAGGAGCCCAGCTGGCTTCACCCAGTGGATCCCGCACCGGGGCTGCAGGCGCCTTGCGCCCACACTCCTCAGCCCTTGGGTGGTTGATGGGACTGGGCGCCGTGGAGCAGGGGGCGGTGCTCATCGGGGAGGCTCGGGCCGCAGAGGAGCCCATGGAGGGGGTGGGAGGCTCAGGCATGGCGGTCTGCAAGTCCCGAGCCCTGCCCCGAGGGAAGGCAGCTAAGGCCTGGTGAGAAATCGAGCGCAGCGCCAGTGGGCTGGCACTGCTGGGGGACCCAATACACCCTCCGCAGCCACTGGCCCGGGTGCTAAGCCCCTCATTGCCCGGGGCCGGCAGGGCCGGCCGGCTGCTCCGAGTGCGGAGCCCGCCAATCCCACGCCCACCTGGAACTCCAGGTGGCCCGCAAGCGCTGCACGCAGCCCCGGTTCCAGCTCGCACCTCTCCCTCCACACCTCCCTGCAAGCTGAGGGAGCCGGCTGCGGCCTTGGCCAGCCCAGAAAGGGGGTCCCACAGTGCAGCGGTGGGTTGAAGGGCTCCTCAAGTGCCACCAAAGTGGGAGCCCAGGCAGAGGAGGCGCCGAGAGCGAGCGAGGGCTGTGAGGACTGCCAGCACGCTGTCACCTCTCATTAGGTTGCACAGACAGATGTGCAGCTGCTGAAAATAAGGATGTTATAATTTTCCTGCCCTCTTCCCTGGTCAGAGCATATCAGAATCTTGTAGGCCGGGTGTGGTGGCTCACGTCTGTAATCCCAGCACTTTGGGAGGCCGAGGTGGGCAGATCACGAGGTCAGGAGATGGAGACCTTCCTGGCTAATGTGGTGAAACCCCATCTCTACTAAAAATACAAAAAATTAGCCAGGTGTGGTGGCAGGCACCTGTAGTCCCAGCTACTTGGGAGACAGGCAGGAGAATGGTGTGAACCCGGAAGGTGGAGCTTGCAGTGAGCCGAGAATGTGCCACTGCACTCCAGCCTGGGCGACAGGGCGAGACTCTGTCTCAAAAAAAAAAAAAAAAAAAAAAAAAAAAGAATCTTGTAATCTGATAAGAACACCATATTCTTCAAAGGGCTATAGACACACTGAACCCCAGTCTGAGAATAGTGACCAGAATTGGAAAGGGACGCTAAATGAGTTCACTTGAGTAACAGCTGAAGATTCTGGAAGATACTTAGAATAGGGTCAGAGATACCTTTAAATATCCAAGGACAAGGACAAGGATGTACCTGTATGAATACAAAGGTTAAAACAAGCACCAATATATGGTACATTAAGCACTAATGTTTATTGAGAATGTATTACATGTCAGGCACAAGCCATGCAATACATGCATTAATTTATGAGGAAACAGACTCTGAGAAATAATTGTCCCAAGTTGATGGAGTTTGGATACAAACTCAAGCAGTCTGGCTCTAGAGCCTATGTCTTAAGTATTAGCTTATCTTGACAATGCAGCAAAATATAGTTCAACTCAACAAAAGAAAAACTCCCTAACTGCCCAGGATGTTTAAAGGTGAAATACATTATCTTACTCAAAAAAAGTAATGAGTTCCCTGTCACTAGAAGAATGTTAGGGGAGGTCATATAACCACTTGGAAGGCTAAAGCAGAGATAGCTAGTTTTCTCCACTATCTATGTTCTCCTCTTTTTCCTGGTTGTACACTTGGACTGCATGTGCCAGTCTCCTTGCTGTTAGGTGTGGGCTGGTGGCTGAGTTCTGGCTGATGAAATGTAAGTGACAGTGGTACCTGCCAAATCCAGGCTGCCCTTTAACTGCCCCTTCCACCCTACCAACCCTTTGTGTGAGCCTCACCCCCTTGCCCCATCTGCTGGCTGAAAGGGGAATACTTTGGTTATCTAGAAGAAGGAAGAGCCACAAGATGGAAGGAACTTGTATCCCTGAATGGCATAGCCTCTTCCTGCTAATCTGCAATGAAATAAGACATAAGTGAAAAATAAGCTTCATTGAGGTGAAGCCAATAAAATTTTGAAGTTTTTGTTAAAGCAGTCACCCTGTTATGATGAATACAGAGGGCAGAATTTAAGTACTTGATGAGAGATTAAACTCATTATTGTTTAATGTCTACTCATCTTGACATTCTTTGACTTTTGGATCAAGAAGCAAAGCAGATTTTGAGAATATCCTAATTAAAAAAAAACCTTATAACCCCCAATATATTCCTGGACACACATAAAAACCTGTTTGCTTTCACACTATAAAAATCAATGCACTGAAGGAACAGTTCCTCTTTCTCCTTAGAGACTATTCTTCAATAAGTTCTCCTCTAATTGAATAGGAAACCCAGCTACAGTTAAATTAGGAGGAATGTGCATGGCTTACTCTGAGTCTGGCCCTAAAGACCTTTAGACAATGGCACTTGTCTAGTGAACTTACAACTGAGCTGGCAGGTCACAGCCTTGCTTAGCTGCTTGAGAAGTATTTGTAAACATGGGAGGTGTCAATGCACCCCATCTCCCAGAGCATCATGGCAGCTCTGAGCTCTGCTACTTATCTACCCTTGTACTAGGTAGGGTTATTTGTCATAGGGAAGAAAATCTGATTCTAGTGAGCTAACATAATAATAATAACAAAAAAGTTGAGAGGTAACTCAAAGAAAGGTGAATTACCAGGCTTTCGAAAGGACAGGGACCAGAGCATGTGGATGTGATGTCTCCAAGATGCTACTGTTGGAATGGACCATCTTCAAAATGTCTTGGTCCCTGTATCAGGTAGCTAAATATTCCAATTCCTGGAAAAGAACGTCTGACTGGCCAGCTCTTGACTGAATTAGTATTCTGTTGCTGCTGTGACAAACTGTGACTAACTTAATGGCATAAAACCACCCAAATTTACTACTTCAAAGCTTCTGTGGGTTAAAAGGCTGAATGAACTCAACTGGGTCCTCTGTTAGGGGCTCATATGGCCAAAATCAAGTTGCCAGTAGGGCTGAGCTCTGTACTGGAGTCTCTGGAGAAGAATGTTCTTCCAGCATCATTCAGGTTGTTGGCCAAATCCAGTTTCTTGTGATTCTAGGACTGAAGTTCCCATTGCCTTGCTGGATGTCAGCCAAGGACCAGGTTTTGCTCCTAGAGACTGCCTACATCCTTCCTCATGCTTTACCTGTAATCCTCCCCAGCATTGGTGAACGAATCCCTCTTATACATTGGGTCTCTCTGACTTTTCCTTCTGCTGCATCACTGATTCCAGCAAGACAGTGTTCTCTACTTTTAAGGGCTCAAATCATTATGTTGCACCCACCAGGTTATCCAGAATAATCTTCCTATCTTTGTTTTGTTTTTGTTTTTAAACAGTCTCACTCTGTAACCCAGGCTGGAGTACAGTGGTGCAATCTCAACTTAGTGCAACCTCTGCCTCCCAGGTTCGAGCAATTCTCCTACCTCAGTCTCCCAAATAGCTGCAACTACAGGCATCTGCCACCAGGCCCAGCTAATTTATGTATTTTTAGTAGAGACGGGTTTTTACCATGTTGCCCAGGCCAGTCTCAAATGCCTGATCTCAAGTTGTCCACCTACCTCAGCTGTCCAAAGTGCTGGGATTACAGGTGTGAGCACTGCACCTGGCCTAGTCTCCCTGTCTTAAGGTTTGTAACTACATCTGCAAAGCCCTTTTTGCCATGCAATGTAACATATTCACAGGCTCCAGGTATCAGGGCATGGACATCATTTGGAGGCCGTGCTGCCTACCACACTCACCCTTTCACTGATAAGCCCACCAAGCTGGCCTTCCATAAGCAGAAGTCAATCCTCTAAGGGAAATCAAGGTGCCACTCCTAAAAGAGGAGTGAATGGGGTGCTGAGAAGATGACAGCAATAGCTCTCTTTTACTTTACTTTCCAGTTAGAACTGACATCCACAGCCAATCTCTGAAATAAGCAGATCCTTAACTTACAGGTATCTGAGCAGCTAGGCTCAAGACCAGACAATTAAGAAGTATGAAAAGATGAAAGACAATAAATGATGGGTTTGATCTTCCTATGTCACTCTGAGCAGTGAGTCGGGAAATTCCTTTCTTCAATAAATCATTAACCAACACCACATCAGCACCATCACGTAAGGCACTTTGTTATGGGCTACAAAGTTCCAAAAAACTCCATGCTCTGTATTTGAAGAGTTCATAATATAGGTCAGTGGTCTGCAAACTTTTGAGGACACAAAAATTACCTGGGAATTTGCTAAAAATGAAGATTCCTAGGCCCACTGCTATGGTTTGAGTGTGGCGCCCCCTTCAAAATTCATGTTGAAGCCTAATCATCAAGGTAATGATATTAGAAAGTGGGGCTTCTGGGATGTGATTAGGTCATGAGGACTCCTCCCTCATGCACAGATTAAGGCCCTATCTAATGGGGTTGCGAGAGTGAGTTTGCTGTTTTCAGCTCTTTTTCCATGTGAGAACACAGTGTTCCTCCTCTCTGGAGGACACAGCATCAAAGTGCCATCTTGGAAGCAGAGATCAGCCTCCCCCAGATAATGATACCTGCTGGGGCCTTGATCTTCGACTTCCCAGACTCCAGAACTGTGAGGAATAAATTTCTGTTCCTTAGAAATTACAGTCTCAAGTGGTCTGTTATAGCAGCACAAAACACACTAAGACATCCACTGCCAGAGACACTGTTTCAGATGATGTGGGTAAAGGCCCCACAAATCAACATCTAATATAATGTCAGCTACATAACAGGTGCTCAGTAAACAGTTTTGATGAATGAATGATTATAATTTTTTTAGAGATGGGGTCTTGCTCTGTTGCCCAAGGTGGAGTGCAGTGGTATGATCATAGCTCACTGCAGCCTTAAACTCCTGGGCTCATATTATTCTCCCACTTTAGCCTCTTGAGTAGCTGGGACTACAGGTGCATGTCAGCACACCCTGATTAAAAAAACAATGTTTTGTAGAGACAGGGTCTCACTTTGTTGCCTAGGCTGATCTCAACCTCCTGGCTCCAAAACTGTTGGGACTACAGGCATGAACCACCCATGCCTGGCATGAATTTAACTAATGCATCCATTGATTCTAATGCAGAAATCCATTGATTCTAATGCACCATGAAGCACCTGTGGAGGAAAGTTGACCATCTGGGCAAAAAATCAGGCAGTTAGTGGAGATCAATTGAATAGGGTGCTTTGGCTTTGTCATTCAAAACATTCAGGCAAAAAAAAATCAACACCCCTTATTTATGAAGTTGATTCCTGCTTCCTTTTAAAGAAACTGAATTTAGTCTAAAATAAAGTAAGAAAAAAATCTGGAAGCAGAGAGGAAATAAGAGACATATCCAGGAATTTTAAGCAGAATGAGGTCATAGGAAGTTGTTGTTTTCCTGCATCTTTTTATTTTTTTTTTTAAGCAGGAAAATTCCACCCATGAAACAGATCAGTTGATCTTGCACCTGTGCTCCTGTGTCTGGCACTTATCTGGGTCAAGTTGGGAGAGCAGCCTCCGGTCCTGGAAATAAACAACCAACCCTGTCACTGGGACATACAGCATGTACAGCCATTCTTATTGCCAGACGTCCTCACCCAGCATCCATCAGGGAGCAGGTTCCATGCCATTTAGGCAGCATACCAGATGGACAAAATCACACAGGGCCATCTGACCAAACTGCCTTTCCCTTCACACATCCATCTCCCAGGTCCAGATCCTTGAGGTACCTCCCTTGGTGTTCTTGTAAATGTATCCAATATGATTTGCTTTCAGAAGGGTTAAGAGAGCAGGCTTTGAATTCAGATGGCCTGGACTCTACTCTTATTGGAATGTTTCTAGGCATGTGCCTTAGGATAAATTACATAACCTGTCTGTGCCTCGGTTTACTCATCTGTAAATGGAAGATGCTAGCAACACCTACATCGTAGGGTTCCTGGGAGGATTACATGAGATAACGCATGTAGAGCACAGTGCCTGGTCCTCTTAAGTGCTATAGAATAGGTGAATGGTGGTGAGATATCATCTCCCAGCATTCTGGCCTTTTCTCTTGCACCATTCTAGGACAAGCCCTGACTTCAGAGTTGTACCGGGCAATTGCTATATAGCTAGAAATCCTGGTCTGGGGATGATTCTGTCCCACCACTGCCCACTGTGGGTACAGTGCTTTTAACCATGCACTCCCACAGGTGAGCACACGTAGGCTACGAGTGGCCCTCAGCCTGCCTCATCATGGACCTGTGTTATAATAAATATGTTTAATTGTGCTGTTTTCTTATAGAGGAAAGTCCTGATGTTAGTTGCCTTGAAGTCAGACACCCAGAGAGAATCACAGGTTTTCAGATTAATTCATCGCTTGATTCTTATCCCTGAAGTCATATCTCTGGATCTCTGGTTCTCACATTATAAATTTCAATGATTCTTTTTCTATATGGCCATGTCATTCATATCCTGTGTAATATGGGGAAACTGAGGTATGAATGACATCATTCAAAAAGCACCTGCAATTTTTCTTTGCCAAGCACTTACAGCTTTTTCTCATGTTGCTTTCAAAAAGTCATTGAAATATTGTTCACATATTTTGCAGATGAGGAAATGAATATTCAAATGCATTAGGTATCTTGTCCAAGTTCTTACAGCCAGAAAGTAGAGAAATGAATTTGAATTACAAATCTTCTACCTCTTGGCTTATGCTCTTTTCATGACACTGGGAATAAATGTCTGAACAAGCATGACTTCATGTTTCAACTATTTATCAAATACTTGTTTTCTACTAAGATCTTGCACTCACTCAGTGGGATCCCCTGAAGCCTGCTGATTATTTGTCCTTTGGCATTTATCACTCTCTGTGGGACCTTACTCTCCTATGGTAAAGTTTTATTGTTATTAAAAGTATTATTTGACAATAAATGTAGAAATCCTACAGATCATACTCAACAACATGTCTAATGTCAGCACACAATGTCTAACAATCATTTATGAATACTTTATGTCAAACATAAGCAATAACCTAATTAAGGAAGGTATTTTTAATAAATTGACACTTTTTGACATAACCATATTTCAAGTGGCTCCATTGTTTTGTTTATTTATTTATTTATTTATTTATTTATTTATTTTTGAGAAAGGGTCTCACTCTGTTGCCCAGACTGGAGTGCAGTGGCAACATCATAGCTCACTACAGCCTCGACCTCTCTGGGCTCAAGCAATCCTCCCATCTCAGCTTCCCAAGTAGCTGGGACTACAGGTGTGTACCATCATGCCAGGCTAATTTTTCGTATTTTGTAGAGACGGGGTTTTGCCTGGTCGTCCGGGTTGGTCTCAAACTCCTGGGTGTTCCGCCCACCTTGGCCTCCCAAAGTGCTGGGATTATAGGCATGAGCCTCAAGTGGCTACTTTTTAGGGTTGAAATTTATATTGACTGTCAACTAGCTTCCCTAGTTAGTATTTGGGATCTGCTAACTAATTTATATTACCATCCAACTTGTCAACATTTGTTGAAATATAACTGTCCTCACTTTTTTTGTGTGAACATTGAATACACTTTCAGACTAAATTTGGTTTATTACTTAATGTCTTATTCTTTATTAGAGTTAATAATATTTCTTAATACTTTGCCTTCCACAAATGAATAACTTGTTTGTGATGGCTACCTCTTTTTTTCTCTTAGCCTGTCACAGGTATTATGGATAAAAATTAGCACGGCTGGGCAAAAACAATGAAAGAAATACACTTGCCTGGGAAAGCTGGGGAGGGGTAAATGAATATAATTCAAAATACCATATATTTATTCAACACTGTTGGAATATATGTCCTGTTGGAAATGTAAAAGTGACATATGTTCTCTTCCTGGGTCTCAGACTTTTAGGATCTAGTTGAGGGAACTGGACTTATACACAAAATACAATTCAACAACATTATGAGCTAGAAAATCCATGAGCTAAAGTCTTTGGCAAAGACATTAGGTAACATGAGGAGTCAGGAAAAGGAGAAATTACTGTGGGCTGGAATGGTCTGGGAACATGAGATGGAGGAAGTGGCTTGTTACTGGAGAAAGGATGAGGTTCAAAGAGATGGGAAAAAAAGAAAGAGAGAAGAAAGAAAAGAAATGAGGAAAAACAAGTTGCCAGAAAGAACAAGGAAGAATAGAGGCAGGTAAGCAGTGGATTTTGCCCTAGGGAAGGTAATATAACTAGAGACGGCAGTTTCTAACAGGCCATGATGAATAAGATACACTTTAGCCCTCATTGGTACGTGCAGAAATTCAAATTTGGAAATTCAAGCTTACATGACAGTAAATATATGTTGGGAAAAAAATAACCGGTAAACATTTACATCAGCTCTTTTTCCTAAAGAGAAACCTATTCCATGCTATGAAATATTTGTCACAATTCTGTTTTCAAAATACTTGCTCTACTTTTCCAAGCCACAAGAGGAAACATTTTCTCTGCCAACACTCTCTGACCTTAACCAGTTTCTCCACTACGTCTACTCTTAAGCTCTCTTTAGAGCTGTGTGTATCTCGTCTTTATGTAAACCTCCTAGATGATATACTTATGGAAATATTCAGGCAACTTTTTCATGAACTTTACCAGGAAAGACATTTCTAGCAGGAGAGCATGAATAGAAATGGACTCTTCCCCAGTCTCTGCTGGGTTCTGACTGTGGTCACTCTAACTATAAAAAGTGTGTAAAAATCATGAGCAGATTATTTCATTTCCTTGGGGTCCCTAAAAATTTCAAGGTATCTGTATTAGCACAGGAAGATTTAAATTGATTTCTCAACACATTCAGATATCTTATGAACTTTATTAAGATAAATTTCCTCCAGCATTCAGAAACTCATATATTACAGAATAAAAAATAAAGCAGAAAATTAGTGTACCTGGCTAAAAATGAGAGCAGGGTTCTATTTCATTTTGGAAAGTCACTAAGACAGTAATAATACCATTAATGATAAAATGTTAACATTAGTTAATTATTAGATGTGTTTTTGTATGCCAGCCACATAATATATACTTTTATATGTATCACCTACATTTCTAGATGTAAATGTGAGGGAATTATAGTAGTATCTACCTCGTATGATTGCTGGATGATTTAAATGAGCTGTTGTCTCAAAAACTTGGTATAGAAAGCAGAAACTTTTAGTTATTAAGATTCTTACTATTCCAATATTTGAATAAAACAGTGACCTGCTAAGAAACCCCAATAATATTCTGATACATCAAAACCTTCTGGCATTAGATGTTTCTAATCTAACATCTTCATATTAATTTTTTTATGTTTTGATTATCTACATTCAGTAGTGAATGTGTTTCTAAACGCTGGATGCATTTTTAACTAAATGTGTTTTGTACCACATTTTGACAACTTTTGTTTTAACTATGATTCAGCTTATAACAAAACAAAACAATGCATCTTCTCTCCACTGTTAATAAGGTTAATGAAAAGTTGACTTATGAAAAAAATCCTAATTTATGCACATTCTCATTGTTTTCCTTGCTAAGGATATTAGTACTTGACGATTCTGTAACAAAGAATTATCATGGGATGAAACTTTGATGCAAATATCTTATCAATACAATGTGCTTGATTTTACCTAGATGAGATTTTTCTTTTCTTCTTTCTTTTTTGAGACAGGGTTTTGCTGTGTTACCCAGGCTAGCCTCAAACCCCTGGCCCCTGGCCTCAAGTGATCCTCTCACCTCTGCCTCCCAAAGTGCTGGGTATTACAGATGTGAGTCACTGAATCCAGCCTCACTTAGTTGGCTTTCTTAGTGAATTATTTTATCTGGTTCTAAAACTTTTTGATAATACTCTCAAATATTTATGGATTTTATAACATAATTTATGGATTACGTAGTTATGAATTTCATAAATGATTTTGTGATATTGCCACAGATCATCACCATTATACAGGATGTATAACATAACCATGGTTTAATATATTTTCATAAACTATAGACCAAACAAAGACTGGTCAGGACCAGGGCACGCATGCATTTTATATGTGTGGTGCCTATTGGAATATGCCAGGCCTCCTGTGAAAAAAATCAGTAAGTGCTTATCTCATAGGACCAACGGCCCAACATTCCTGAAGTCACTACCACACTTTGCACTTATCTCCATGTGGAAATAGATAGCCACTGTTGAATTCTGGTGAGAACGACACGTCTGAAATCTCTCAGCTTCACAACCCCTATTACAGCCCTCAGAGAATCTTCTCACATAGCGCCAAACAACAACTTTAGGAAGTGATGTTCCTAGAATGAATCAATTTCTAAAATTAAAAGTGAAAACAATGACAAGGAGAAGGGAGGGTCAGAGAGGAAAGGCTGATGTTACTAAAAGACAAAAGACAGTATAACCTCTTATGAGGATGGTCCAGACACTCAGGGAAATGCAGGAAGAAATAAAAGATAGGAGTTTGAACCACACTGTGATGGCTAACTTTATGTGTGGACCCGACCGATCTATGGGACACCCAGATAGCTTGTAAAGCACTATTTCTGGGTGCGTCAGTGAGGGTGTTTTTGGAAGAGATCAACACTTGAGTCAGTAGACTGAGTAAAGCAGATGGTCCTCACCAATGTGGGTGCACATTGTTTAATCTGTTGAGTGCCTGGATAGACAAAAAAGGCAAAAGAAGGGTGAATTCCCTTTCTCGTCTTAAGCTGGGACAGCCATCCTTTCCTACCCTCAGACATGAGAGGTTTGGATTCTTGGATCTTTGGTCCCAAGGGCTGACACTGGTGGCCACCTCTGGTTTCAGGTCTTTGGCCCCAGATTGTAAGTTACACCATCAGCTTCCTTGGTTCTTGGGCCTTGAGACTCAAGCTAAAATACACTACCAGCTTCCCTTGTTCTCTAGTGTAGGGACAGCAAATCATGAAACCTTCTGCCTCCATAATCATATAAGTCAATTCCCGTAATAAATCTGTGCTTATATATCTATAGCTTTCCTTTTGGTCTGTTTCTCCAAAGAACCTTAATGTACACACTATATGACCTAACCTGTAGTAATGATAACCTTATGCAGGTTTGAATAAGATGATGGTATTCTCAGTATCTGGGAGGTATGGGCTAGAGTGATGAACCACCGCCATGAGCCTAGGACTGAGGAGATTTCTGAAATGTGGAATATTTGGTGTCAAAACCAAGAGATAATATAGCCATGTGGAAAACATGTAGAACTATCGTATGATTCAGCAACCCAACCACTGGGAATTTACCCAAAGGAAAGGAAACCAGTATATTAAAGAGAATCTGCACTCCCATGGTTATTGCAGCATTATTCTCAATAGCCTAGATATGGACTCAACCTAGGAGATTAGATGAATGGACAAAGAAAATGTGGCATATGTACACCATGAAATACTTACCAGCTATAAAAAAGAATTAGCCAAAGCAGTGGTGTGTGCCTGTCATCCCAGCTCCTTGGGAGGCTGAGGTGGGAAGATCTCGAGGCCAGAAGTTTGAGACCAGCCTGGGCAAAATAATAAGACTCGGTCTCTAAAACAATTTAAAAATAGGCCTTCCTTAAAAAAAGAATAAAATCATGTCATTCACGGCAACATAGATGGGACTGGAGGATATTACTGTTAAGTGAAATTAGCCAGGAACAGCAAGTTAAACCCCACATATTCTGATTCATATGCGGAAGCTAAAAAAACGTTGATCTCATAGAAGTAAAAAGTAGAACAGAGGATGCTGGAGACTAGAAAAGGTAGGGAGAAGGAAGGGAGAGGGAAAAATTTGTTAACAGGTACAAAAACAAAATTACAGTTAGTTAGGGAGAATTAATTCCAGCATCCTGTAGCACTATAGGATGACTATAGTTAATAATAATACTTTAATTAGTCTCAAATAGCTAGAAGGAGGATATTGAATGTTCCCAACACACACAAAAAAATGATAATGTATGAGATGATGGATATGGTAGTTATCCTGATCTGATCACTCTACATTATATGTATCAACACATCACTATGTACCCCACAAATATGTAGAATTTTTATTTGTCCATTTAAAAAAGATAACAAATTTAAAAATAAAATAAAAACTAAATTAGTGTTCCATGTAAACCTGGATGAACTGGTCACCCTACGTCTGCCCATCTAGATGGCTGGTCAAAGTTTCCCAGGCTCCACATCAAGTTGTTCCACTGCTCACTGGAACTTCCCTAGTCAGGTTGGGCAAATAGTAATTTACAGCAATAGTGAATTTATCACTGACATTTCTTCAGTTCCCCTCTTTGGCATCTGCTTCTTCTTTTCTGTAATGCTGTTTGTTGAAATGCCCAACATTCTTTTTCTTCCCTAGAGCTATTCAGGGTGACCTTTCTTTTCGCATTTTCCCATGCCACTTCCATTATATCAAAATAAAACAGTCCTGTGTGGCCACTGCTCATGACCTTGTTTCCTGCCATGTGAAGATAGGATCGGCTGCTCTTTCTTCTCCTCCTTTTTTTTCAGAGACAGGATCTCTCCCTGTCACCCAGACTGGAGTGCAATGGCACAGTCGTAGCTTGCTGCAGCCTCGAACTCCTGGACCTCCTCAGCCTCCTGAGTAGCTGGGACTACAGGTGCACACCACCATGCCTTCCTAATCTGATATATATATATATATATATTATATATATAAAATATATATATAAATATATATATTTTATATATTATATATATAATATATATATTTTATATATAAAATATATATATTATATATATATATTATATATAAAATATATATATTATATATATATATATATATTATAGAGATGGGGTCTTGCTCTGTCACCCAGGCTGAAGATCAGCTGCTCTTTCTAATCTGTGGTTAGATAAGATCTGTCTCCCAGGGGATAAAATACTACCTGGAATAAAGGTATCTTTAAAATAATCCCAGAGAAGAAAACATTTTTATAGTATGACAGAGGCAGAGAAAACAGAGAATATTTGTTAAGGCAGGACTTTCACCACTCCCAGTACAATCATCTGTCTGTTACCTGCATACCTTACACGGGCTGGCACTGCTGGGGGTACAAAGTAGATGCCAAACTTCACAATGGTTAGATTCATGTTTAAAAAGCCATTGGATCAAACCTTTGTGAAAGTTTCCAGCTTTTTTCTGTTCCAAATATGTGTCCATTATAAAAGAATCTCAAGAGCATAATTGCCAAGATAGTCTATGTCCATGAGTATTTCAACATCTCTCATGAAATCTGTTCCCATCATTACTCAAGATATTGTATGAACAGTATTCCACATAAACTAGGTGCTCAATAATGATTGATTGGCCAATGGAGGGTCATTATTTAATGCACTACAATCTTTTATGCAAGGGGCCCACAGGAATCAGTATGATCCCATAGGAATCCTTTTCTTTTCCATTGAAAAAGAAACAGATAGTGGCTTGTATTAGGTTTCTTGTGTGTGTTGTGAGGTGGAAAGATATGAAAAGAAATTTGATCAGAGCATAAATCTGAGCCCATGGGATAGGAAAGAATGAGGGAATAAGGAAGAAAACACAGATTATAGACAGGAAAATCAAACCTATTAAAACTGATAATTTTCGAATACTAAAAATGTACATTCATTTGAACAAAAAGATTCTATAAAGCAAGATTTCTCTGTTCTTACCAGCACTACCATGCCCAAACTACCTTAGGAAATGAATAGCAGAGTCAAACTTAAAAGCACCTGAAATTTAAAACAAAAACCAATTTACATTTTATTTAAGAAAAGCAAACAGATGGGCCTGCTAACAATGTCAAAGTCTCGTTTACAAAGAAAAAAACAAATCTGGAACCTGAAGTCAAACGAGTTCAAAATAAAAAGCAAACCAATAAACAGAAACCAACATAAACAGAAGTTACTACCATCTCCCTCAGCCTGTGAAATTCTGGAACTTCTCTTTCTTTCTCGCCTTCTTCTTCTCTCACCTGGAAGACGAGCAGAGTGAACACATCAGGGGTTGTCAGTTCCCCAGATGGCACCACATTCATAAACCACCGACTCCAGGAGAATGTAGGAAGCTTAGTTAAGGCCAAAGTTCTCTTTGGATCTTCCTCATGGGCTTCAAGGCAAAAGAAAAAAAAGTTTGCTTGAGAATATCTTCATATCTATTAGTTTGAACCATGCAAAATTACAGTTTTTATAGGTAAAATGAGTGCATATTGGCAATTTCAAATGATTAACCCTAATACATTATGCTTTTGGGTATAGAAATATTCAGATCTTAAACATATGCTGTTACATACAAAATCAGGTATATTCCTGCTTCTATAATTAAAGCAAAGAGAATTTCTTTTGGTCACTACTCCTTCTGACATGAGGTATGAACCAAGTTCAGGACCCCTAAAGGTCTGGGTCTGGGTCATTTCTCCACCTCTAACTTGTGCCGCTTTCTTGGTCAGTCATTGTGTTCTGAGCTGTCTCATAAAACATCTGCTATGACTTTACTTTCTCCTGATAGGGTGGCTTTCCATCGTTGGCACTTCGTTGGCCTTATTGGTATGCTTTATACACTGGTTCTCGTTTCCAAATTGGCATTATTATTGTTATGATTCCTGCTGCTCTCCCACATTTCCCATCTTTCTCCTGATCTCTCTCACCTGTACATTTCTTACATTTTCTCCTGTGCTTCCTTCTTCCCATCATCATTGCCCAAGTGTGTCTTCTTTCTTCTCCTTGTCACATTTCCTTTGCCCGCTCTCACATATGCAGAGATGGCTCTTGGTTTTCCTTCTGAAATCTCATAGTTTGGAGGTAAACTTGTTAGCAAGGCCACTGAGAAGAGAACAAAAGGGAAACATAAGAGAAACCAAGTCACTATCTCTCTCATTTCCTGGTTTCTAGAAGTAAGACCCAAAGAACTCACTGTTTCAGTGCTTTCAGCTCAGGCCAAACTAGGGTGATCAAACTGAGCTTCTGAGTGCTGATCAAAACCTATAAAACCAAGTAGACAGACCATCTACAAATCTTCACTGTTAAATACCATAAAGAATGAAAAGGTCACTAATTGGTAAGACTATATGTGTGATAATTAAATTTATGCATCAACCTGGCTAGGCTAAAGGATGACCAGGTAGCTGGTAAAACATTATTCTGGGTGTGTCCATAAGAGTGTTTTCGGAAGAGATCAGCATTTGAATTGGTGAACTTAGTAAAGCAGACGGCTCTCACCAATAAGGGCAGGCATCATCCAATCTGTCGAAAGCTTGAATAAAACAAAAAGAGGAAGGGAAAATTTGCTTCTTTTCTTCTTGATCTAGTATATCATCTTCTCCTGCCCTTGGATGTGAGTGGGCCTTCAGACTTAAACCAGGAGTTACACCTTTGGCTTCCCTGGTTCTCAGTTCTTTGGACTTGGACTGAATTACACTGCCAGGTTTCCTGGTTCTCCAGCTTGCAGATGGCAGATCATGGGACTTCTTGGCCTCCATAATTGTGTGAGTCAATTTCCATTTTATTTACATATCCAGTTATGCATTGCTTAACAATGGAGACAGGTTCTGAGAAATGCATTGTTAAGTGATTTCATCATTGTGCAAACATCATAGAGTGTAACTACACAAACCTGGACAGCATAGACTACTACACATCTAGGCTACATGGTGTAGCTTGTAACCTCATGATAAGTATGTATAACATCATGATAAGTATGTATGTATCTACCATATCTAAATGTAGAAAAGGTACAGTAAAAATATGGTATAATCTTATGGGATCACCATCATATATGCAATCCTTTGTAGACTGAAATGTCATTGTGTAGTGCATGACTGTATACGCACACATACACAAACACACACAAATATACTATTGGTTCTTTTTCTCTGAAGAGCCCTAATACAATATGTTATACATTTATATTGACTCTATTTCAAAATTTATGGTTTTGGTGAAACATATGTGGAGATGGGGCATAGGTGTGTGAACTGGGATAGTGTCCTGCTGATGAATGGGTGGGAGGCATCATTTGGGACAAGCCCAGGGCATCAGCTTATAGATATCAAGAGCTCAACAAGAGCACTTTATGGCAAAACCTCCCACAAGACCTCTCAGAAGTTGAGAAACTGCTAAAAGTTTCTTTATGACAGATGACATTTATGGATAAAATAGGGATTAGCAGGATTCTTTAAATACTTTCGAACACTAACCTTCATTTCTACCAGGCAGTGGGGCCCCAAGTGCAGGGCCATAGGAAGTACAAGTCTGGGAGATACTAGGCTGCACTGTCTGTAGAGAATCTGAAAAAATAATAGAGTCACTGAAATGCAGTTTGGTATAATTATTGCCATGCATCATAATTCTAAATCATACTAGTGGTCAAATACTCTTCCCTGAAAAAACATTTTCTTGGTTTGAATTCTAAATAATTGTTGTGGTCACCACTGAGCTTTTAAATATATAAATACTTTCAAGTTTGCATATTTTTATTACCTGTTCCTTAACAAACATTGAATTCAACATGAAAATGATTATGGGAAACATTCGGGTATACAGTCCCTGACTCTTAAGGACTCAGGTAAATACTTAGGGTATTTCATGGCCCTAGTCTTTGGGGTACCACATGTTTCTTCTTCAAATCACAGATTCAAAATCAAGAATGATAACACAGTGATTGTGTAGACAAAATAAGTGAACCAAAATTGCTTGCTTCTGTCATTCTATGGAACCACTGAGAGTTTTTACTTGTGCTTAAAATTTTGAATAGTAAAACAGAGTGTCAACTTCATGCTGGAATATTTTTGGCTTTTTAGACACAATTTTAAGTACATGAAGTATTTTTACAAGACTAAGTAACATCACTGAAATTACAGCTTTCTTCTTTTTAAAACTGGTATTTGTTATAAAACTAAAGAGCGAATCAAGAAAAGCATAATTATTACTGATTATTACAGGATTATTACTGAAAAAGAAATGTACGGAATAGAGGAGGAAGGAGTTAACAAATGATCCACTCTGGGTGTTGAAAACACCAATAAGCCTGCTTCCAGGAAGTGCCTAAGACAGAGCTGGCTCAGCTTGCTGGGTCACAGCATGTAAGGAAACTGCTGGGCTACATGCCACCATCCTCAGTTGTCCAGATAGATAATCCCATAGCCCCATGGGGAAATAATCTTTAATTATGATATAGCTGACACCATTCAAAGCACTATGCTAAGTCCTTTATGTGAATTAACTTTTGTCAAATTTATTTTTCATAAATAACCCAAATATGTATACCACTATTATCCTACCTTAAAGAGGAGAAACTGAGCTCCTAAAGTTTAAATATCTAACCCAAGTTAAGACTGCTAGTCACCCTAGGCTATTAACTCAGGCAGTCTAACTCAGGTATAATAACATTATGCTACTGTTTGCAGCTTTGACTATGCCTGAATTATAACGTCATGCTATCTAACTAAAAAGCTAAGGGAAATAAAATGAGCCATAGGGCTCAATTTCATAAAAGGAGAGAAAATACTGGGGAAAAGTGATAATGCAGAGTTTAAAATATTTTTGTAAAAGTGCCAGAGATTGAGTATAACAAGTGTGACCAAAAAAAAAAAAAAAAAAAAAAAAGGAAGAAGGTAAAAAAAAGAGGGAGGTCTGAGAAATAGAAATATCAGAGGAAGGAAATAAAGGAGGGTGAGAGTAAATTCTCTTTTAGCATTCAGATTCCACAGATTCCACAAATCACATTTCTTTTTTTACCAACTAAGGAAAAATAACACTTGACCTAACATTTCATTGCAGTTAGCTAAAGGATGCTAGAAAAACTATGTTGCAGTGGTTTGCTCTAATTTCTTCAGGAATAGAGAAAAGTGACAAAAAGATCAGAGAAGAGAAGAAAGGAAACTATCAGAAAAATACAGAATTGGAGTAGGATATAACATATTTGGGTTGAAGGTAAAATTTTATATTGTAATCTTAAGTATCTTGCTACTTCAGTTTGGTCCCTGGAACAGCAGCATCAGAATCTGCCGAGGGCTTGTTAAAAAGGCAGAATCTCAGGTCCCATCCCAGACTCACTGAATCAGAATATAAATACTGACAAGATGCCCCGGGATTCATATGCACAGTAGAGCTGGCGAAGTTCCATTGTAGCCTGTGATTGTTTTCTGCAACTTAGTATTTCTGAGTTTTCCCAAGGAAGAAAACCCAGGCCTTAGCTTCTGGCAGACTTGTGTTTCTCCTTTACTTACTAGCTGCATGACTCATGAGCAAGGAAATCAAACTTTATGTGCCTGAGTTTCCTCATCTATAAAATGGAGACTATAATAATCATCTCCTAGGCTTGTTTTGAGGATGTTCAACAAATGCTCCTTTCATTCCTCTATTTACAGACCTGCCGCAGACAATTCTGCTAGCAGCCTTTGTGCTATTATCTGTTTTCTAAACTTAGTAATTGAGTGTGATCTGGAGACTAACTCTGAAATAAATAAGCTGATTATTTATTTATTTTCTCAAAACAACAGAATACGATTTAGCAAATTACTTCTTAAGATATTATTTTACATTTCTATATTCTCCTACCCTGAGTTGATGTGTGAGCAATATGTCACTTTCATAAAGCCAGGTATACATTATGGACAGGTAAGTAAAAAACATATTATTTATTCTACGTTTTTGTCCAAAAATTTTAAATTTCAACTGTTGCGCGTGTGTTGGTAATGTAAAACAAACTCAGTACAGTAGTATTCAGTACAGTATTTAAGCCCCTGTACTTAAACATATTCCTCGTACCAATGAAGTTACATGAAAAGCAAATTTGTGTGAGATATCGTAGATGGAAGTAAATTAGTCTTTATGTTCCCCACAAATTGAAATGCATTTCAAAAACTCTGTGTGTGTATGTGTGTGTGTGACAGAGTGTGTGTGAGAGAGAGACAGAGAGATACGCTTTGGTTGCCTCCATAAGCTGGCTGCTATGATTAATAAGACCAAGTTTTCTAAAGAAAATGAGATCATAACAAAAGCCCTCTTTATGACTATCTTTTATCAGGGGCAAAAAGGAAAGAGACAAAACAGCATGAAATGATGAGACCAAGTGATGAAAATTCATTCACAATGATTGCTTTCAAGAGTAATTTCTCTTGGGTAATTCAGCAGCCTGTTACTATGGCTCTCTGGAGTGATAGCTAATGTAAATGAAGCCTCTAAAAGTGGATTATCCTGACAAGAATATACTCAGCCAATAATGCAACAGAAATCCATTCAAAGCATTCGGGAAAAATTCAAAAGAATAAATATTCTTTTTTTTTTTTTAAAGTTAATGACCTACGATCCATTTCTTCCCTGACTAACAAGCAGCAAGCACTTAAAAATATCCAGCCAGGATGAAATAGAAACCCACCTGACTTGTTAATATTTTTGTTTGGTCCCAGGGACTCAGATTCTAAGCCAAATTCTTTGAATGATCTTGGCAAATGTCTCGAATTATTTTTGCCAACTTTTCTTTATCTTGGAAAAAAAGTTTCATGAATGGGTGTCAAAATTGATTAGTTTTAAAAACCTTTCTTGCAGATACGTATGGCACCCTAAAACTGTATTAGAAAAAAAGTAAGTACTCTGTAGTGTGAAAAATTCTTAAAGGACACCCTCTTTTACAAACTCACAAAAACAGCCTTTGGAATACCCACATGAAGTAGCTGTTGTTATTGCTTTCTATATACCTACATCTTGTCTATTATAAAAAGACTGGTTTTTGGCAGGTGTGGTGGCTCACACCTGTAATTCCAGCACTTTGGGAGGCCAAGGCGGGCGGATCACCTGAGATCAGGAGTTCAGGACCAGCCTGATCAATATGGTGAAACCCAGTCTTTACTGAAAATACAAAAATCACCCGGGTGTGGTGACGGGCGCCTGTAGTCCCAGCTACTCGGGTAGCTGAGGCAGGAGAATCACTTGAACTCAGGAGTCAGAGGTTGCAGTGAGCTGAGATCATGCCACTGCACTCCAGCCTGGGTGACAGAGCAAGACTCCATCTCAAAAAAAAAAAAAAAAAAGACTGGTTTTTCAACAGCTATTCCCACCCCTCTGCATGGAAATATTCACCCAGTCAATTGTTTTCCTAGTTTGGGTAATGGCCCTCTGGGCAGGACTGGAGTGGGGCACACAGGAGAAGCTGCAAACTATGTTTAGAAGCATGTCTGGGAAATGTCATGCAAGAAAAGACATATTTAAAGGTAGGCTTTGCATGAATGGAAAAGGAGAGTAATTCTATGTAGAGCAGAGCCTCTTACTTGCAGTGAGAGAAGCAAAAGTGGGGAAGCAAGAGGAATTATGCTTTTCATCAGCCAAATTTGCAGGTAGGAGGATTGGCTCAGTCATCTTGGCTGAGGCTCATGAAACCAGGTGTAAAGAAAGTGGACTAGATTAATTTCATCCATTACAGGAAGAGGAGCCGTGAAAGATAATCCAGAAATCATTGGGATTTGATGGTAGAAGGTATTTTGGGACTATTCCATTTGAAATGAGAAGGTACCTGACATTCTTTGAATTCCTTTCAAGCAAAGGATTAAATTTACCCATGAGTTGACTCAGAAAAAACATAAAAAGTATTGTTGCTCTGCTCAGAGTTTTATCTAACTCATTCTCACTTCTTATTCCATGATGAAATGACATAAATGAGGTTTTTTATTGTTGTTGTTGTTGTTTTCTGGACACAAGGCAAGGTAGCTACCTGGGCAGAGCTGTTTTATTTCTCTATGCCGTGGAGAGAAATTGGTTAATTGGCCATGGAAGGCAGTCATTAAGATGTTCCCATGCGAGTGAACTTTCCAGGGTTCCCAGCTTCTGCATCCTTCCCTGTCCCTCAATTCCATTGTTGGTGATGACAATGTCTCTCCCATCAGCCTCATGAAGTTCTCTCTCATTTATTAAAATTTGCTTTCAGGAAAAATTTTGAAAATGTGTCCAGTAATGCCTGATTGGCCCCTTATCCTAAAGGCTTAAACTGGAGGAAGGAAGCTAAACTGAGAAATCTTGCAAATCATTGAGCCAAAAACGTATTAATAGCAAGATCTATCATTTATTGACTAGTATGTGGCAGGCAGTGCCCTTTTATTTAGGCAGGGAGAGTTGATGGGGGGGGCGGGGTTCACACATCTTAAAGAGGTGCTATCTCCTCCTATATAAATCATGTAAGTCAAGAGAGTAAGGAATTGTCTTTGTTTGGTTATATTCAGGGGATTAGAGTATACAGTAGAAGATCCCAAGAAACCTTGGGATCATTTTAGACTAAGAAATGCCAATACCGCCGGGCGCGGTGGCTCACGCCTGTAATCCCAGCACTTTGAGAGGCCGAGGTGGGCGGATCACAAGGTCAGGAGATTGAGACCGTCCTGGCTAACGTGGTGAAACCCTGTCTCTACTAAAAATACAAAAAATTAGCCGGGCGTGGTGGCGGGCGCCTGTAGTCCCAGCTACTCGGGAGGCGGAGGCAGGAGAATGGTGTGAACTCAGGAGGCGGAGCTTGCAGTCAGCCGAGATTGCCCCAATGCACTCCAGCCTGGGCGACAGAACGAGACTCCGTCTCAGAACAAAACAAAAGGAAATGCCAATACCAGCAGAAATAGAGCCAAATCATGAACATAAGCTAAACAAATGTTGGCAGTGTAGCCTAGTGGTTAAGAGAGCAGACTCTTAACTAGAACACTGCACTCCATGTCCTCACTGTAGACCCTCACTGTGGGGTTCTAATTAACCCCTGTTACTTACCAGTGGCAGTCTTAAGGCATTCCTTAAGTTCGTTGTGCCCCAATTTGTTCATCTGTAGAAGGGGTAGGATGACAGTAGTGTTTACTTTATAGGCTTACTGTGAGCATTAAATGAGTTACTACTGTATTTGTAAAGTGCTTAAAATGCTGCTCCAAAAGAGTTTGTTAAACACTTAAGAACTGATTTACTTGCATCTAAACTGACAGCTCTCAATAACTGGAAATGATCAAGCATAGGCCCTGGAATATAAGCAGGTCTACATGAAGGCAAAAATGTTCGTTTCTTTTGTTCAGCCCTGTGCCTAGATCAATATCTAGTGATCATGCTCAAGAAATATTGTTGAATGAATCAATGAACCTACCGAGGTAGTTACATAAAAGAGTTCTGCATGAGTACAAATCTGGGCAAAGTGACCTCCAAGGAAATTTCCACTTTTAGATTCTGTGATTTCCTTAAGGAACTGATAAATTGGTGTGATACAATGTAAAAAAATGTGCCTATATGATTTGAGAAAAACTTATTTTCTCTCCCTCTTTTTTCCTTCCTTCCTTCCTCCCTCCCTTCCTTCCTTCCTCCCTCCCTTCCTTCCTCCCTCCCTCCCTTCCTTCCTTCTCTTTCTTCTTTTCTTTCTTTCTTTCTTTCTTTCTTTCTTTCTTTCTTTCTTTCTTTCTTTCTTCTCTTCTCTTTCCTTTCTTTCTTCCTTTCTTTGTGCCTTTCTTTCTTTCTTTCTTTCTTCTCTGTCCTTTCTTTCTTCCTTTCTTTCTTTCTGCCTTTCTTTCTCTTTGTTTTTCTTTCTTTCCTTCTTTTTTCCTTTAAGCAGACCATGTCTGTTAGATGAATGCCTTTTTCTAGTTAAAAGGTTAAACAGGAAAGTGAAGCACAATTATCAAGGGTCTCCAGTCATCTCCACATGTTCTTAATCATTATCTTCTTTTACAGTTTCATATCTCCAGGCCTTTCATTGGGTCAGGTTGGCATTTCGCTGCCCTTTATGTGTGTGACAAGTGAAAATAAGGAAAGAAAAAAACTCAAGTGAAGAAAATCAGAATCTGCGCAGCAGTTCCTGGGCGTTTCAGCTGCTTCCCACATCACCTGCCTCATCAAGCCCCAGCATCCATCTCCTTGCTCATCTTACACCCTGTGTGCATGACAGGCCCACCATTCATTTATCAGAGCAAAGGCTCTCCCACTATTCTGGTTCACCCCCCTACTTAGCCAGATATACAAGAATATCTGCACGGATGACCTGCCTCACCTGGGAGCTCAGAGGAGCTCAGATTCCATTACTATCGCACCAAGGACAGATCTCCCAGCAAGAATGACAGAAAAGACTAACTGCCCCCAAAATCTCCCTTCCAAAACACAGTTCTCTTAATTCTCCCAAGAAACCAGAATGTGACTGCTCACCTCTCTAAGGACCTGAAAACAACTGGCCATTTCAGCTATTTAAATCAACTTTAAAAAATCCAACCGCCAAAATATTAAACCATTTTGGTTGGAATGATAACATAACTAACCTGCTGACAGCTGCTTCTGCTAGGTGCAAAAATGGAAAAAAAAATACTTCTAATCAGGTCAAATCACTCTACCTTTGGGATTCTAAATTTACTCATATTCTCAAAGAAATATATTCAGTCATAGTGGGGAAAATAGGATTATTCCTTTAGCTCGATAAGCAACCAGAAGTTCTTCCTTCAAATCTTGACATTTAATCAATCAGAAATTGATTTTTGGAAAACTGTTTCCTATGAAGCTATCTCTGCCTGAAGGATTTTTCTTTTACAATCCAGACTATAGAAGGAAATTCACAACCTGGACTTTCACCTCCATTGGTCAGAGTTTTACTGACCAATTCCCACCTCTGCCTTACACCTAACGGAAGTTTATGCCTGTTTTCTCTTCACATACCCCAACAGTTACAAATGGTTGTTATTATTAAGCATCTTTTATTTTGTGGCCTCTGATTACATGGTCCCCTAAATTTTGACCTAATCACAAAAGATTGGTAAAATTTCTTAACATATTAATAATATTTTGTTTATGTGTCAATATCTTAGCATGTATCAATTAAGACAGAGGTCTTAACGTTCTCTTTTTGAAAGAGAATATTAGGATTCAGAGATATTAAGAGATTCTCCCAGGATCACAGTTAGGTAACAGAGCTGGATTTTAGTCCAGGTCTGTCTACAGCTCTAACGTATATACACCCTTTGTATAACATGTCACGAATTCAGCATAAAGGGATCTTCAGTGATCTAAGTCAGGGGTCAGCAACCTTTTCTAAAAAGGACCAAATAGTAATATTTCAGGCTTTGTGGACCCTATGGTCTCTATCATAACTGTTCAAATCACCATGTAGTGTAAAAGGAGCCATAAGCAAAATATAAACTAACGAATGTGGCTGTTTTATGGGATTTTTTTTTAACTCTTTATTTACAAAAGCAGGTGGCAGATCAGAACTCACTTATGGGCCATAGTTCTCTGACCCCTGACCTGAGAAAATCTTATATTTATGGACAACATTTAGACTGTGACTTGCCAAGTAAGAACAAGAAGCTCTGTCAACTGAAGGTCAAGGCTGGAGTTCTGAAAGCAAAGAGCTGTCTGGTGTTAATGATAAGTGAAATAGTTAAAGTTAGAAGATCCCAGTTATAAGAAGCACAAAGAATAATGACCATAGACTCCTGAACAAGAATGTCTGGACTTCTGGCTTAGGCACTCTTGTTGTATGGTCCAGGCCAAGTTACCTAATCTCTCCAGGCCTCCATTTTCTTATCATTAAATGAAGATAATAAAAGTATTTTCCTCAGAGAGCTGTAAGAATAAACTGAGCTAACCCATGTCAAGCACATAGAATAGGGCCCAGCCTATATTAATTTATCAATAAATGCCAGCTACATATTAGTTCTCTATATTTTTATTCATTATCATAAAATGTTTATCTACAGATTGGCATTGTAAGGATGGAGTTAAAATTGTATGTATGTGAAGGGAAATTATTCCTGTTACTATTGATCTGCATCACATTACCCCAAATTTGATGGCTTAAAGTAACAACATTCATTTTGCAAACAAATTTGAAATTTGAGGAGGGCTTGTCTGGGAAGACTTGTCTCTGCCCTATGTGGTATCAGCAGGGGGAGGCTTGACGGACTGGCACATGCCCTTCCAGAATGGCCCACTCGCATGCCTGCCAAGTTGGTGCTGGCTCTTGGCTGGGAGCTCAGCTGGGGCTGAGTGCTAGGGTCCCTGGGAGGTTCCTTGTGGCCTGAACTTCCTCACCACAAGGCGGCTGCGGTGCGAGAGTGAGCATTTCAAGATAGAGCCAAGATGACACTGTATTACTGTGTAAGACCCAGCCTGGGAATTAATGTAGCCTCACTTCCATCCCACTCTATTTTTAAAAAGTGAATTATTAAGGTCACCCCATATTCAAGGGGATAGGAATTAGACTTCATCTGTATTAAGAAAAATGTTTTTAAAAATTGTAGACATGTTTTAAAATTCTAAAGTCCACTTACTGGCTGCAGATTATTTATATATACATGCAAGATACACTCCTACATTCTCTTCTTAGAAGGCTCAGTTGCAGGTACAGATGAAGCTCTTCAAGTGAGATTTCTTATGTATTTATCCTCTCAATCTGAAGACTTGTAAACTAAGAGACAAGTTATTTGCAACCTACATACGCAATATTCAATGGTAAAGTATACATAGGACAGCCACTACAGACACTCTTGTTTTAAATAGAGGAAAATGAGAGCACATAACAGTCATTGGCTCATAGCAACTCTGATATCCAGACAGCAAACACAAGCAGGTCTTTTTTTAGGTCTCAGTCCTACTGCCTGGATTCCCTACTGCTCTTGGGTCTTCCCTCCAGGTTCTTGGTTCTTGGACCTCTTTTCATTTAATACTATTTCTGTTCCTTTAAGTTCAAGCTGGCAAAATATGATTGTACAATTCTGTTTAAAATTCCAGGACTTCCTGTGATTCTTATTGGGGAATACTCCATTAGACAAGAATCTCTTTGACATAAGCCATTCTCTACCTGAGATCCCTGTAAGGCTGTGATGGGACCACATAACCTTAAAATTATTAGAAGACTCATTGTTTACTGAGAGAATATGCCTAGCATATGCTTAGATCCTTAGAGGAACTCTGTTTCAAAGGGCTTATGAGACATTACCTTATATCTTTCTAAGGTACAAACAAAAGGTCTTTGGCTTTTGAGTTTGATCTTTGAGCTGACACCTTTTCTTAATTTGAGAATCCCCTGCTCTATGGAGAGACTGACAAAGAGAAATAGTTTTATATTTGAATGTAACATCTTGGATCTTTAATAGATTATCTTAAAATTTTCCTGAAAATGTAACAGTTCCTTTTTTTAAAATTCATTCTCCCTACACACTTATTATATATGACTAAAAGAAACTCCCTGGCATTTTCAACATTCTGGTTAGAATTTTTCTTAGCCCAATCTACCAGTTTATTAGGTATATTTGTATTTTCCACGTCACTGTAGGTGACAATCTTGCTAAACTTTCTGCCACTACATAACAAGGATCCCTTTCTCCAGTTTTCAGTAACAATCTACCAATAGCCTCCTCAAGGTCTACCAAGCTTCTACTAAAAATCTCTTTCAGCCCCTTCCAACTTCTGCCCACCAACTAGTCCCAGAAGCAATACCCATGTTTTAGGTTTCATTATAGCAGCATCTAGTTTCGAGTTCTCAGAACCTGTTTCGATCATGTTTCACTGTTTCCAAAACATCCCAAAACAGTAGCTTAAGACAGTAACACTTATTTTGCTCACAGGCTGTACGGGAAGCATGGCTGGAGAGGTCTCAGGAAATATACAATCATGGTGGAAGGCAAAGAGGAAGGAGGTATGTCTTACATGGCCAGAGCAGGAGAAAGAGAAGGGGAAGGTGCCACACACTTTTTAGAAACCCAGATCTCATGAGAACTTACTCACTATCATGAGAACAGCAAAGAAGAAATCTGTCTCCATGATCCAATCACCTCCCACCAGGCCCCTCCTCCCACACTGGGGATTACAATTCGACATGAGATTTGGGCAGGGACACAAATCCAAACCATAACAGTTGGCAACCCTTTTTTAAAGAAAGTAATGACATCAACTCCTTGGGGATGTGGATTGGGGGAGAATATTGGAGAGGATCCAGGGGAAGTGAAGATATCAAGTTCTTTATACATAAATAGATCTATCTTTTTAGGGAAGTAGAATATGTCATTTAGGATAGGGAAAGTTGAAGATGTTACTCTATTCAGCTTTAGGGAAACTCCAAGATGTAACACTATGTCCTGTGAATATTAGTCTTGTGGAAAGTGCTCCATTGGAAGAAGACAGAAAATGTCCTGCTGCACAGAGATCCATATCTTCATGCCACGTCTTGCAAATGCAGTCAGGGAGCTTGCTCTAAATTCGTGTTGCCTTTTAGGAAGTTACAGAGCATATTTCTTTATATCTTCTTTATTTTTGCCCTTGATAGGAGACTGCCAGGGATTCAGTTATTATAATTTTACATTTATTTATCCTTTTCTGGGAGCATCTCATACCTTTTTTACTAGAGAGGCCAAGGTCACAATTAAGATTAGGGAGACAATACAGAGTCAAGACACCTGAATTTTGCCACACTACTCTTGGGCCACTTTAATTGGTGTTTCTGGGCCTCATTTTTATTACTATTATTATTAATTATTTTATGGTGTGTATAGGAGCTGGAAGATAGTGACTTCTATTAGAATTTATTCTTATAAACAATGCTGTATGGCTCTTGGATTAAGAAGTAAATAGAAAACAAAAAGGGTCTTTGAACTGCTGTCTCTTCTAGGTCTTCTCAGAGTGCTACTGGGAATTAGATGGGATTAGATGGGTGAATTTCCTTTTTCTTTTGTTTGAGAGGTCTAGATTTTTGAAGTATCTAAACCATCTTTAGATCTAAGTTAATCTCCAAAAAGCTTTATTGCCTGAAACATTCCAGTTCTAGGAAGTTTGCATTTCTCTGAGTGTAAGGGTCTGGTCTGTAACTCCTTGAGATCAGGAATGTGTCTTTTTATCCCCATAGTTCAGCGCCTACCCTAGTGTCTTCCCTACAAGTGATCATTGAATGAAGAAAGGAATAAATTCCTTCTTCTCTAACATACATCAGAGACCTCTGACCCTTATTGGGTCCCCCTTCCCTATTGATATACCTCTCCATCTCCAGACATCCACATGGCCTCCTAGGGGTATGGGATTCTTCACTCTTCTCCTGGTACAAGCTCCTTGCCTGAAATTTTTCTGACCCACCCCCATTTCTAACCGTCACAGGTTTAGATTTTCTGAAGCAAACATACAGACAGAGTTCGAGTTACAAGACATTTAATAGGAATCGACTCTTGTGAAAGGAAGAGGGGAAGATGTGGGACTGGGCTCAGTGAGAAGCCAAGCTGTGACACAATGAAAACCTCAGCCCACCCTGCACAGAGCTCAGGAATGAGTGTCACGTGTTAGAGCTGACCTGGGTCAGGTCAACATTGCTGGGTGTTTCTGCTTCTGCCTCGTTCAGTTGTCAGATGCAAGCTGACCTGGGAAGGGTTTGACTGGGCAAGATGGCTGTCTGCAGATGAGGTCAATCAGAAGGGGCTGACAGCCAAAAGTGGTTTGCTCATCTCACTACCCACAGCTGGGTGGCAAGTCCTTCAAGAGGGAGCTGGATGATGCTTCTCCACCTCTACCACACCAAACAAAGCATTTCTTTCTTATTCTTTTTCTTCCTGTCTCCCTTCCCCCTCCCCCCTCTCCCCTTTTCTCCTCCTCCTCCTCCTCCTCCTTCTTCTTCTTCTTCCTCTTTTTTCTCCTTCCTCTTTCTTTAGAGACAGGGTCTTGCTTGGTTGCCCAGGCTGGAGTGCAGTGGCAAGGTCATAGCTCACTGCAGCCTCAACCTCCTGTGTTTAAGCAATCCTCTCACCTTGGCCTCCCAAGTAGCTGGGACTACAGGCATGTGCTATCATGCCCGACTAATTTTTTAATTTTTACTAGAGACAGTCTCACTATGTTGCCTGGGCTGGAGCATTTCTATTCATGGGTTTTGTTCCTCTGGAGCTGTGCTGTTCTCTTTGATAACATGAATATGGATTTGTATTTACCCCCTTCTGGCCATCTTAACTAATGGCCCAAAGGAAGGCCAGTGGTGAAGATGTTTCTCTACAGGGAAGTTTCTAAGTGTTTCTCAGCCTACATGTGTGAGTGTATTAATGGGAATACTGGGGATAATTGGATAGAATGTATGAAATTAGGATTGGCCTAAACTATCTGGTCCAAAGTTTATCCTAGTGGCCCTAATAACATCTCCAGTGATGGTCTTTCCTGAGGTTATAGAATGAGCTATAGGAAAGAGTGATAGTACAGGAATGAGAGGATTGGATCGTCTTTTCTCTTTGTTCTATTCCTCTATGATTATTTGATTTCTTTTTTTTGTGATGGAGTCTCACTCTGTCGATTATTTGATTTTTGTTTCAGATTAAGGCCAGCTTTCTTTGACTGAGCAGACCCACGTATATGGGAAACGGCCACACACCAAATTAAACCATTCACTGACACCCGGGCACACCCATTTTCACCACTCTGCTCTTGCCCGTGCCATTGCCTTTGCATCCAAGGGATTCTTCCTTCTGTGGCAATCTGTATGACATCCTTACTAAGAAGGCCTCCCTCAGTGCCCTTGGCCCTCTCACAGCCCTTTCCATGGCCTTCTCCACTAGACTGTGAGGAACCCAGTGTCTGGAACAGTTCATGGCATTGTTGTTAGTGTTGTCATTTTGTTGTTAAGCCTTCTGCTGTCAGTGGTCATTTCATATGTTTGCATATTTACGCCCTGCCTCTTTTTGGTATGCAGTGTGGACCCTATTGCACGGCTACTTGTGTTTCAGTGGCTTTGTCCTATTCCACCTTCTATGCCACTTACTCTGAATGCCTGGCACATTGGTAGGTGCCCAATACCAACTTGGAAAGTGAATGAATTTGTTTTCTCATTACCTTTTGAAATGCCTATACAGATGTTCCTCCACTTATGATGGAGTTCATTCTGAAAAGCTCATGATAAGTAGAAGATATTATGTCAGAAATGTATTTTATTGTATTTTTTATTTTTTAATCTTTCTTTCTCTTTCTTTCTTTCTTTCATTCATTCATTCTTTCTTTCTTTCTTTTTCTTTCTTTCCTTTCATCTTTCTTTTAGTAGAGACAATGTCTCACTATATTGCCTAGGCTGGTCTTGAACTCTTGGGCTAAAAGCAATTCTCCTGCCTTGCTCTGCCAAAGGGCTGAGATTACAGGCATCAACTACTGCACCTAGTTGAAAAATGCATTTAATGCTCCAATAAACCCATCATAAAGTCAAACCATCAGCAGTCAGTGACTATCTGTATACCTTAGGACTAAGTTAGAAGTTGGAGATGGTAAAGTTTCTAAATTAGTACAAGCACAGGAGCTCTTATTCCTGCCATTTTATGAAAGTCATGTGAGTATTGGTGACCATCACTAATGGGGCTGGTAGAAACTTTAGGACCAGTCTGTCTTAGTCAGCTGGGCTGCTACAATAAAAAACCATGGACTGAGTGGGTTAAACAATGGACATTTACTTCTCACAGTTCTGGAAGATGGGAAGTCCAAGATCAAGAAGCCAACATGGCTGGATTCTGATGAGGGCTTTTTCTGGAATGCAGATGATCACCTTCTTGCCTTGTCCTCATGTGGAAGAGAGAGCAAACTCTCTAGTCTCTCTTTCTTTTCTTAAAGGACAATAATCCCATTATGGAGGCCTCATGCTCATGACCTCATCTAAACCTAGTTACTTCTTAAAGGCTCCAACTCCAAATACCATCACACTGAAGGTTAGGGTTTCCACATATAAACTTCGGAGGGACACAAACATTCGGTTCATAACAAGTGCATTCTACAGGACTCCAGGGAGTGTGTTGGCTACCCTTCATCCCACACAGCTGCAACAATCCTAATCCACTGATATCAAGTCACCATATATTTGAAATTCACTCAGTTCCCAAGAAAATATCTGCTTTCATAATCATTTCTCAGCTAAGGAATGAAAGCTATGATAAGAAAGTCTAGCACTTAGTGGGAAACAAACTTGAATTAGGCCAGGACCCCTTAAATATTGTCACTATGAAATCCAAGGGCAGTATTTACATGCTTTTCCTTCATGATGACCTTAGATTTCGCTTCTTTATGCTGCAATCAACTGAAAACATTCCACTGTTGGTAATCCTTTATCTTCTAACAAATCTAATTTAGTAGATCTTGTTACTCCTTATTTTTGAAAATATTAAACTAAACAATAAGTGATCTTTCAGGGAAATTCTGCAAGGGAAGTGGCTTCTAGAGAATGCCTCTTCTCCAAAAGGCCTAGTTCTATTTCTGATATCTAATCAGTTCTGCTCCCTTTAAATAATTACTGAAACTAGTTTATTGTTTAAATGACCTCATTTGAAAGTGGGACTTTCCCCTTTGCCTTCTTCCCTTTTAATTTCTGTTTTTAATTAATGTAAGTGCAGTCAGAACTGACGGTGTCAACCTTTCCTGTAACTGTGATTGCCACTTGTGGACATTCTGTACTCATAAGAGTGATTCTCACAAGTTCTTTAAGTTTTTTGGAAGTGCAAACCCAACAGGAAGAAAGAATAGGACTCCCTGCATTCTATTTTGCTCTGCAGTGAAGATGCATTGTTGAGTAATTTGCTTTACATTCAGATATACCCAGATTCCCATCTTCCCAATCCATGTGACTTGGCTAAGTTACAACTCTTTATAAGCCTCAATGCCTGCAACTGAATAAGAAAGTGGTAACCATCTCATGGGGCATTGGGTAAATGAGATAATACTTATGAAGTATGCAGCACACAGCCAAGAGCGTAACGTGTTCAATCAATGATATCCATTATTATTACATGTCAAATCACATCTGACTTCTGTGATTCTACTGGGGAAAAGGATGCAAAATCCTCTTGCCGTTGGGGTGTCAAATATTTTAGTACTTATTTCCAAATTCATTGGAGGGGTCTTTCCCTGAAGTTTACAGATGTGGAATACACCATTCAGGCAGGCTTTCTTCAGTAGTGCAGGTCATTTCAGGGGTTCTCCACATTCTAGAATAATTTTTTTTTTTACCCACTACAGACACATTTACTGGCAAGGCCCATGATAACAAAATGAAATTAATACAGGCTTTACAGTCAGAGACCTAGGCGACCTTGGGTAATTCATTAATATCTCTGAGCCTCTATTTCCTCAGCTTTGAAAGAGGCATAAGAATTGCTCTGAAGAATAATCATGAGTATAAAATAAGATAAATGAGATAACTATGTAATATGCATTAGTTTAGCACCAAGCCATATACAAAGGCACAATAAAGAGAATCTAATATGTTTCCTTTATTCCCACTGCTATGAACTGAATGTGTGTGTCCCCCGCCCACCGCAAATTCATATGATGAAGCCCTAATCCACATTGTAAAGGTATTTGGAGGTGGGGCATTTGTGAGGGAACTAGGTTTAAATGAACTCATGAAGGTGGAGCCCCCATGCTGAGATCAATGCCCTTATTTAACAAAAATCAGAAACAACAACAACACAAAGGAAGACAGCATGAAATCTCTCTCTCTTTCTCTTTTCCCCTCTCCCTCTGCCTTCATCCCCATCGCCATGCACCCGCAAAAGAAAGGCCATGTGAGGACATAACCAGAGCCCTCCCAAGACCCTGACCCTGCTGGCGCTCTGATCTCAGACTTCCAGCCTCCAGGACCATGAAAAATAAATGTTGGTTGTTCAAGCCACCCAGTCTATGGTATTTCAGTGTAGCAGTTTGAACTGAGATACCTATTAACAGATGTTCCTTTCCTTCTTCTCCCTCATTTTTATGGCACATTACCAGTGTTTGGTACTAAATACTAGCTGTTAATTCTCCCTTAGTAGAAGACAATAGAGTAATGCTGAGTTGGTCTCAGCTGTGGGAAACCTTTTGCCCAGAGAGAAAAATTAAGTCTCCTAACAGAAAGCTGGCACTTTCCCTTACTGGGCATCAGCGAAAACCTGATTCCCATGGGTAAAGTGAGTAATTGCTAAAGGGAAACAGATCATGTGCATTTACATAGTCAGAGATGTTTTATGGGATTAGGTGGGTGATGAAGAGTAATCATTATAATAATTTTACAACCCAGACATAAAAGAGAAAGAGCAGAGAAAGACCAGTTCTCTTGTGAAATATTTGCCATTTAATATCTTTTTATCTTTGGGCAAGCCAACTTATTTTCTTACAAATAAGCAGTAACTAGACACAGATATTTAAGAGGAGAAATGGACCTTAGATGTTCTGTGGCATAATTTTCCTTTCACATAGGGGAAAACCAGGACCAGAGCAGCGGATGAAGATGCCAAGATCAGGCACTGCCAATTGTTTTGACTACCTCTAGGGAGATCCTCTCATGACTCACACATTGCCTCTCTCTTGAAAATGAGTAAAGAGTTGCCCAACCAAATTCTTGAAATAAGGTCAGTTATAAATGCCTATAGCAGCTACCTTCTTTTTTATTATTTAGAAAATGATCATTGGAACTTGTTATCAGAAGACACAGGCTGAGAGGGAAGGGATGTATTTTTTCACATGTCAAGGAACCAGGGGTAATATAACATTCACATTCTAGAGAAAGGTCAAATAATAAATTGCCATAAAATACAGACTGCTCATGAGCTGTTTTGAAATCTTGGCTTCTTGTCAAAAAACTAAAGGTGGAGGAGAGTAAAATCCATAACTGTGTGCTTTTTGTGTAGGTGTGTTGGACTGAATGTACATATGATTGGATCATAGAGATGATCAAAGAAGTGTATACTATTCCTCAACAGAAGAGGACAAAAAACGAAATTGACATTTGTTGACATTTCCTTGGCCTTAGAAGTGTTTGTAAATGACAGAGTTAGGATTTGAACCCAGTTCCAGCGAGTTTAAAGCCCAGGTTATTTCCCAATAAGCCAAAGAAATTTCCAATGCCAACCTATTCCTGGCATCTTTAGCAGCAAGAGTGATTATAGTTTCCACAGACAGAAATTGTGTACAGAGTTGGGTGAAAGAACAGTAGCTCCAACATGCTTGGCATCAAGGCTGTGACTGCACGAACTATTCCAGGAAAACTAGTCATCACAGGTGATTGAAAAGAGAAGATATCTTTTAGCAGACTAAAATCTGCAGGCATCTTCATCACTCCTTAATGCAGACAGACAAAACTGATTGGCTAGACTAATAAGATCAGACTTTGTTTTGGAAACTAAATGTCTATTAAGACACGCGAGAAGACAAGATTTCCTAAACATAGACTATGAATAGACTATGAATAGTCAAGAGGGAGGTCGAGGAAAAGGGAATTCCCCTTAACATGGCAGATCAAATATTTAAATTTTAATGACATATTAGATGGAATATAAGAAGTTTTTGTGTTATGAAATAAAAAGAACTCATTCTTTTAAAAAATGGCAATCCAATATTTATACACGTTCTTCTATCTTATAGCATGACTGAATTCGAAGTGTTCTTGTTCATGTCTCCTTCTCTGAGAAAGAGTAAGTGCCTCCACAAACACATTCACTGGGAGTCCAGAAGTGGAGAGTATCGTGTTTTCACTGTTCAAGGTCACGTAGTGGTTCCTGGCCCAAACAAGTAGGAGCTTTCTAAAATTAAAGGCAACTATCCATAAAGGTTCCTTCATCTGCTGTCTCCTAGTCCATTGGCAGGACTTGGCAGGGAAAGCCCTCTTCTTGATAGAGATATTGGACCTCCAACCTATCTCTTCATCTTCTCCCATACATCTCCTCCATACAGGGTTGTCAGGTCAGTAATCCCTACTGGCCATTTAGAAGGTGACATTTATCAATTATAATTAGGTGACTTAGGAGGCTTACTCAACTCCCCAGAATCTCAGTGTCCTCATCTGTGAAACTGGAAATAATAAAGCCTATTTCATAAACCTAATTCTTCATATTAAATGGGATAACATATATAAAGCACTTAGCACATGCTATGACCCCAGAAGATACAGATTCACAGAGCAGATGGAGCACTGCTGTGTCTCATGATACTCAAGCTTGAATATCAAGCTTGACTCCCATTCTGCTAATTCTCCCTCTGGCTACTAGGACATCTTGACTTTCAGGGTCTGGACTCTGGGCCTTAAGGGAAAGCTAAGACTCGTCCTTGTATTTCTACTTTATGTAGGTAGAAGCTGATCTGCATTAGGGCTGGTTGCTCCCTTCTCCCCATCTCAAGCCCCAGAATCTCTTCTTGTATTAATCTCTCTCCCAAAGTTCTTGCTGAGGTCAGATTTCATAGTCCTGCTTTTTCAGCACCTGTTCTTAATTAGTTCAAACTTTTGCAGGTTTTCTTTCAGGCCATATTTTATTTGTTTCCTCAGAAACTCCTCTTAGACTACATCCTTTATCTCCAGACACCTGGGATCCACATTGATTCTTTTATTTTCCACAATTTCTAACCCTGAACAGCTGCATGAATGTAAGCAAGCTTCTAAGCATAGATGGGTGGGTGGTTGGGATGTGTACACGTTATTCATTCATTCAGTCATACATTTATTATTTATAAACTACTTATTGAACACTTCCTAGTGCTTGGAATTTTTTTAAAAATCTCAAGCGATATGCATATCAATACAAAATAATTTCAGTTCTCAAGAAACTTAATCTTGGGAAGGATAAACAAAGACTTATAATACAATATGGTGCAAGATTTACAATAAAGCAGTGGTTCTCAGCATTGGCTGAATAATAGAACCACCTGGCTATATTATATAGTGATGCTTGACTCCAACTCAGACCAATGAAATCAAAATCCCTGTGAGTAAGACCTGGGCATTGCTATGTTTTGATAGCTTTCCAGGTGATTCCATTCTGCAGGGAGGTTTGAGAATCCCTTGGATAGAGGGAAGTATGGGCTGCCTTGGGACCACAATTAAGAGGTCCCTACTCTAATTGGTAAGGTGCTAAAGGCTGCAAAGGGAAGATGACATCTGAGCTAAGTCTTTTTTTTTTTTTTTTTTTTTTTTTTTTGAGACAGAGTCTCGCTCTGTCACCCAGGCTGAAGTGTAGTGGCATAATCTCGGCTCACTGCAACCTCCGCCTCCTGGGTTCAAGCAATTCTCCTGCCTCAGCTGCCCCAGTAGCTGGGATAACATGCACCCGCCACTATGCTTGGCTAATGTTTTGTATTTTTAGTAGAGATGGGGTTTCACCATGTTGACCAGGCTGGCTCAAACTCCTGACCTCAAGTAATCTACCCACCTTGGCCTCCCAAAGTGCTGGGATTACAGGCATGAGCCACCACACCCGGCCCTGAGCTAAGTCTTGACAAATGAGTTGCCCAAGTGAAGATGTGGGAAAGCCATTTCAAGGGCAGAGGAACAAGATGAGTTCATAGAACTGCCTGTAATTTTGGGTACAGTTTAGAGAGTGCTAAATGCTAAAGCATTTAGCCTGTCTCTGGCAGGCAAAAGGAGAGTCATTGAAGGATTGTTAAAAAGGAAATAATATGGTCAGTATTATATACATCTGAAGTACCAAGACATCAGTTGGGGAGCAAATTTTACTTTCATTGCATCTTGCCCCAGCAGAACTATCTCCCTTTAATAAGACCTTTAAAACTGTTGGCACCTCCCTGGCTTCAAACATTAGAAACAGGAAACTCTACCCATGAGCTAACCTTCACCCCATCCTTTCCTGAAACAAAGAACATCTGTTCTCCCACTTGGATGTGCCTGGAGTAAAGAGGGGCGCCTAAGTATTCTCAGTTGACTACAGAGAAATGATTGGCGTCACGTAGATTAGTCATACATACATGCAGATGATGACATAGTCAAATGTATTGAGACATTTTAGTTCCAAAAAGTAAGTGTTTTGTTTCTGATACAGTGCTGTCACCCTTGGCCAGGGAAACCCAGGGATCATAGCTGCTACAGATAAATTATGATTTATTCCTTGGAAGAGGGCCTGAACTCAAAAGAAATTAAGTAGTAATAACACTTGAAAATTCTCTTTCTCCAATTTCAGTATGCAAATCTATTTACATATCAACCAAGCCTTTGGGACAGGTTAGTTATTGTTTGTGGTGGTAGTGGTTGTGTTGTTTATGTTTGAGTTTTGTGTTTTTCTTTAATTCTGAGATACATTATCAATTTAATGACAACTTTGCAGGATAAAAAAGGAGGAGGAGAAAGAAGGGGAGGAAGAGAAAGGGGAAGAGGAGGAGAAGAAGGGAAAAAAGAGAAAAAATGATTAAATTTAATTTGTGTTCTAATTGTGAAACAATCTAATTTCAAAAATGTTAAAATCTGTGTGTTGGGTTAGAGATGGGAAAAGTATGCTGTATAATAAAAAAAAAATCCCCAGGAGGAAAATGAAATATTTTTAGAGGTACTAGGAATTTTATAGTCAATGGGATCCAAAGCTGTATTTTTAGACAGAGAAATCTGAGGCACAGGTAGACGAGAAATTTTCTTCAAATTCTCGAGGGAATTACTTAGTAGTGAAGCTGGAATCAGAAACCTCATTTCTCAGCCTCAAGTTTGGTTTGCTTTCCATGACACCCTAGAATATTCCAACTAATATCTGAGAAGCAAAAAAGCATCTCATCCTTTCTACTCATATTTCTGGCTGAGGGAACTATTCAAAGAGATAAAGTACATGAATAAATAAAAAATGTGTATCACAGCTAAGTACATCTTAGCAAAGAAATAAGCAAAAGACTATGGTGCCTCAGTTCTCAACACTCTCTTTTGTTCATTTATTTAGTGGCTGTTATCTTGAGTAGGTGATTCTTGCATATCAAATTGCATTTTGGTGTGTCAAAGTGACTGGTTTTACTTGTTTGTTGGTTCCTAAAGCTAATTATTATTTTTAACACCTTTTGATATGCTAAATCAGGCTAATGAGACTAAAATGGGATTTCTCATGGGTTTATTAGTCATCAACACCATCTTACATATGTGTATATATGTTTTAATGCTTTCAAAGTGTAAATAAATGATTATACTTGAGACTCATACAAATATCATAAAGCAGCTTTTTCCTTAGTATTCCTCCTAGAAAATAGATATTTCATTGGCAGAGTCGTGGTGAAAGATGTGGTGTCATACAATAAATTTACTTCAGCCAGCTGTGCGAGCTTAAGTTACCCAGTTCTTTTCTGCCTCAGTGGCCTCTTCTGTAATATGGACTGATAGGGGATCTCACATGCCTGTGTTTAGAATTAAGTCGGATAATTCATGTAAAGTGCTTAGCAAGTCACCTGGCCTATTATAACTAGCCATTATTGTTTGCTAGAACATTTATCTGTTCACAAATTATGCATTGATTGCCTATAATAACTAAACTTGAGGAATGCTTATTACGTACCACGTACTATTCGAAGCACATCACAAGTAGTAACTCATTTCATTTTTATAATGACTCTTTGAGGTAAGAACTATTATTACCATCTCTGCTTTACAAATGAGGAAATTGAGGCATAGAGACGTAAAGTCACTTGTTCAAAGCCTAGCATCTGGGAAACAGTAGAGGTGGGACTCAAACTCAGAAAGCCTGGCTATAGGCTCTGCTCTGCTGTCTCCCGGGATTGGCCACATGCTAAGCATTGGGGCAACAGCAATGAGGCCCATAGGGTTTCTGCTCTCAAGGAGATCACTATAAATCAGCCCCGGGAGATGATCCCTAAAAGAGAAGTACGTCGTTTGCAAAATGACAGCACAGACGCACGAGTTCTGAACTCTTCCTCAGAGTTTGGGGAAGTTGTTTAGCCCTGCTTTCTGCCCTCTCTATGGGTCACACACATACTCCGAGTGAAGAATGACGGAGTTACCCATCTTCTGGCTCCTTCCCGTGACACTGGCTACCCTATGCTAAAAACCAGCCCCCAGATTCCACATCCCTGAATGTCTTATTTACAGGTTCTGTCATTTTCATGATAACCTTTCTAATGTTCTAAATTTCCTTTCTGTGGGTTGTCAAGCAAATTCATTCTCGGCAGTCAGTAAGAACTCCTTGTTCAAAATGCCACACATTACAGAGTCAATGATTCTAAACACATTTTTTTTTAGTGCATCCAACTTATAAGCTGCAGTGCTAGAAACAAATTCACACTCCCTTTACACTACAGTGCCATCTTTTCCGAGGGTGGGGCTCGCGTTTCTTCACCATCCAGTTTCTCATACGTAGATTATGATTTCTGCTTTTGCCAAACAGGACATTGTTTGACCAAGTCCTTATGGGAGGAAGCACAGCCCAGTGAGCAGAACAATGATTTGAAAGTCCTGGGTTCTATTTTCAGCTCCTCTGTTGACTAGCTGCGCATTCAGCCCTAGGAAGGTCAAAAGCAGAATGGCCTTGCTTTGACGACTTTCTCTGCATGTACAGCTCTAGATGGAAAATATATCAGGCATCTGGCTCTCAGCCTTGAGGAGCTGGTCTTTGGAGAATACATGTGTAGTCACACTTTGTTTTCATTTTTAAAGCAAAAGAACAAAACAAACTCTCTAGGGGGAAAATGGGCTGGTAGAGAATGGAAGAGAGAAACCTAATAACATTTTAAACAATCCAGGAGTTAAGGGATTGCTTGAGTCATTCAGATCAAAGAAGGCTCTTTGGCACAAGTTGGAGTCTCCGGCATTTGAAAATGGAAGAGGCAAAGAGGAGGAAGCTTTGAGAGACTTTTTCAAACCGGGACGGTAGCAGATACTCAGAACTCTGCCTGTAGGGACCAGGCGGGGAACTCAGGCAGGTTAAGGCCTGTGGGCAAACTGGAAAGCCCAGGCCACCTGTGAAGTGGTCTGCTGCTAGTGATACCAGATGCTTGTTGTGGAAGAAGGAAGTTACTCTTGCCAGAACAGCTGAATTTTCAAGAGAAACTGAACATTGAGATTTTTGTCATTAGAACCCCTGATTTTTTTACATGATGAAATCTAATCATCATTTTTAAACTTTTAAAGGGGCACTGAGCAGGCAAGATCAAACATATAGCCTAAGCAATGTACTCCCCATGTCTCTTCTATATGTAGATGGGGTGTGGTTCCTTAAGGGCTTTAGTTGTATGTTCTGTGAATGAATAGAGGCTAGATTCCAGACAAAAATGATTAGCAGTGACTCAACTTTAGCTGCACTTTGGAATACCTGGGTGTTACCTGGGACTGCAGCCTGAGCACTGGGATTTTATAAATGCTTCTCAAGTGATTCCAGCATGCAACCATGAATAAGAACCACTATGTTAGGATATTGCGAGAAGGTTTAAGCATTACAGAAAGTTGGGTTTTAACTTGATAAGATACATAATCTTATCAAGACACATGTGATCTCTGAACATGGATCAGGGAATTGACATTCAATATAAATGGCATTTTCTTTTCTTTTTTTAGACTCTTTTGAGAGTTCCAGTTAAAAACTCTCTAGCATCATTGCTGATGGCCGTAATTAATATCTTTGGGTTCATTAGCAATCAGCTAACAACAGACATCCATTGGCAAAACAAGGGTATAGTGGTAGAGGTCAAACACAACGAAAGCCAAAGGACAAGTGCAAGCCCTGAGCACAGATAAGTATTTACAGGGAAAATTAACTTTTTTTCTGATGGCCATGAAGCAAAATAGACAGTAGAGCAAAGGGAGCCTTTTACAAGAGCAGTTCAATCTTTGTCCACATTCTAATGGCTATAAAACTCACCATGAAGCTAGCAAATGGTGCATACAACTAATACTTTCAGTCTTTTCTTCCTTATTTCACAGGTCTTATGCATTATAAATAACACGACTAAGTCTCAGCGGTTGTATCCATGGCTAGTTCTTATTTCAGCTTTGGTTCCTCTTGCTATTTACTATGTTTCTCATAAAAGATGTTAGTGTGGATTGAGTATATGAAATCATGTACAATGGAATGTTAAATGGGGCATTCCCTCTTGTCTAGGTATATCAGAAGAGGCCCAATACACTTGGTGCCAAGGAAGCTCACCTTCTAAAACCAGATGGTAGCTTGCCTATAAAAGGATACACTAAGAGGTTCTACCCAAGTTATCACATTGGCAGCCTCCAGCTTATCAAGAGAGACTTTAAAGAACTTGGCAGTGGGGATCTTTCTAGAGGGCGTTGTCAATTTAGGAAGCATCTTCGTCTTCATGCCTCACCTTTCCGATAAGTTTGTTTCTTCCTTAATGCAAACAAAATGAGAGACACTTTGATGGGACCACTTGCAGAGCTTGACATGTGTCATCTGGATTTTAACAGACAGATATCATTGAGATATCTGACTCACACCTGAAAACACTGTAACTAGAACTACTCTCTCTCTCTCTCTCTCTTTCTCTCTCTCTCTCTCTCTCTCTCTCTCTCTCTCTTTATGCCTAAAACAGAGCTATGTGGAGGCTAAGCAGGACTTCCAAAATTTGAAACAAATAAGGAACCTGTTCAAAGAAGGCAGATTGAGGCATCTTGAAAGAAATTGCCTGGCAGGGTGTCATGACTCCATTAGGGGGAACGTACCATTTGAAGCCAAGAGAATAAAGAAGTCATGGATGACTAGCTTGAGAAGGCGTAACTGGAGTCAGGGAAACAGTTACTGAGAGAGATGTCCTGCAATGTAGGGAAAAAGAGGGAGCTTCCCCAAACTCAACACAATGCTCTATGAAACACACATCAGTTGGGATGTTCACTAAACTCAGAGGATCACAATGACAGATTATAAGAGCGCCAGTCAAGTTAGAACTTCTTATTCCATCTTACGACCTTCCTCTTCCTCCCCTACACTCCTCTGTATTCTTCCTCTTGCTCCCCCACAGCCTCTATACTCTGAGAAGCAGTCTCTTGCTCTGCTCCTTCTGTGAATTGTTAATTCAATTATTTCAAATTTCTCACTTCATTCTCTGTCTAGTGGGTGTGAGTCCTGGGTGTCTGGGGATCTCATATGTGATTTATTGTGGTCAGAATGCAAAAATATAGGCAAAATCATAACATAGTAGTTAAATTTATAATTATTTGGATTATTGAAATACATCTATAAAAAGTATTTTATAATTTGTTTTGAATACTTTGTCTTTGGAGAGGCCAGAAATCACAGACAGGAAAGGAGGAGGAGATAGAGAGAGGAGAAGATGGGGAAACCAACCTGGCCTCTCCTCCTACTCCTGGATTTCCAATCTGATAACAGAGTTGTGAGAAAAGACAGAGCTTAAGTTTACATGGATAAGACTTTTGACTAGACTTTTTACTACCTTGGAAAAAAGCTTTTTTAAAAAATTTATTACCTGTTGGTAATCAGAAAAGCCAAGAGAGAACTACTCAGAGTTTTATTAGTTAGAGGAACCTGGGGATTGAGGGTGAGTACTCAAAATGTCAGGTTTGGAGGGGCAGAAGCAAAATTTAAAAAATTGTTTATACCTGCAACCTGTCAAGTCCAGTTTACACAATAATACAAAATAAACCAATTTAACTTGAACACATAAAATGTTTTCATGATGTGGATTCAATTTAACAAGGGCACAACATGATACCACAGTCATCTTTCAAAATTCTCATCTTTAGGATTCAGCTTTGGTACCTTAAAGATATATTGGGTTACAGCAACATTTCTGCAGGAAGCTAATATGTATTCCTTAAAAAGAGTTCCATGATCAAAGATATTGGTGACAAACTTGTTCACTCAAAAAATAAATAGAGGCCAGCCATGGTGGCTCATGCCTGTAATCCCAGAACTTTGGCAGGACAAGGCAGGAGGATCACTTGAGCCCCAGAGTTGGAAACCAGCCTAGACAATATAGCAAGACCCTGTCTCTAAAAAAGAAATAGCTGAAAGTGGTGGCATGTGCCTGTAGTCCCAGCTACTTGGGAGGCTGAGGTGTGATGATCATCTGAGTCCAGGAATTTAAAGCTGCTGTGAACTATGAAGGCTCCATTGCACCCCAGCCTGGGTGACAGAGCAAGACCCTACCTCAAAAAGTAAAATAAATAAATAAGTAAGTAGGGTTTTTTTTTGTTGTTTTTTGTTTTGTTTTGTTTTTAACTGTAGGTCTCCTAGAATGTTTTAATGTGTGTTGTAAGGGAACAATTCTATAAGAAAGAATACCTGGTGGTGGCATTTTCAAGCTCATTTGTTCAAAGGCTGTTATTATTCCCAAATATTTAGGCTTCCATTTATTAAATATTTGCTGAACATCTACCATGTGCAGGCATGGGGGATGGGTGTTGGGGTTTAATTAAATATATCAAATGGGCTCCTCTCACTCAAAGATCTTATGATCTAATGGATTGCTTATTTTAGTCCTCATCTTAGTTTGAAAATCTCTTTGGAGAGATCTGTTCTATGCCATTTTTCAGATTTCTGCCACTGCAAAACTATTTGTTAACACAAAAATACAAATTACCTGAGGAAGAAGTTGTGTTGTAAAATAGATGTGTTTTTATAAAACAAAATTTAAAAGTGCATTCACAACCAAGCATAACAAATATGCTTTGGTCACCTTTCCTTTCTGTCCTTGATCAACTTCAGCTGATTATGGAAAATTCTTGATAAAGTTATAAAGTCATCCACCTCTTTTTTCTCTAGGTCTAACTCCTTTCCTTGTATTGGACGTCAAATCCCCACATTCTACTCTTTCTGCTCCCTCAGAAAAGATCTGACATCAGTCATTCGGATTGGTGTGGGCTTCCTGTGAGATATTTTGACAAAGGTTTTCTTTATGTGTTAGCACTGAACAGTTTTGGCAATTTTCTTCCCCTTCACCAGCCTACTACACATGACCACACAGGTGTTTACATATGTACATACACACACGTGCACACTTACCTTCCTTCAAAACAGGCCAAATGCAACATCTTGTCTCCTTCTTGCAGGCAAAGTAGGAGACCTGTGTTGAGTGACAGAATTCCTTTACCTTCTGGGCTATAGCATCCCAGAGAATGTCCTCACCTGGGAGTTTTCTATGCATGGCTTTCCTTGATTCCCAGGAAGATCTACATCCAGTTAACTTAACTATGGCAGCTGAATCCTGACAATGGTGTGAAGGAAAACATGGTGGATACAAATGAGCACCATGGGTACAGCTTGATGATGTCCAGCTTTATGCATAATGTGGACTGGCAGGGCCTTTGATCATGCCTCAATAGCTGTGAAGATAGCAGATGGCAAAAGAAGTGGTAGGTTCTAAGTAGGTTCCCCTTCTCTACTGGTTGCCACAGACTCAAAAGGAATTTTTACTACAGGAAGGGACCCAAATATTCTAGCCTAGCCTCTATACTCTGAAAAGCAGTCTCTTGCTCTACTCCCTCTGTGAATTGTTAATTCAATTCTTTCAAATTTCTCAATGGATTCTCTGTCTAGTGGGTGTGGGTCCTGGGTGTCTGGGGATCTCATACATGATTTCTTGCGGTCAAAATACAAAAATGTAGGCAAAATTATAACATAGTAGTTGAATTTATAATTATTTGGATTATTGAAGTACATCCATAAAAAGTATTTTATAAGTTGTTTTAAGGCCTTGACCTGTTCAACATATTTCTTAAATGTATCTCAATTCCTTCTACATTTTGCTATCATACGTATCGCCATTTATGTCTAGGCTACCATCATCTAAGACCACAATAATAGGTACCAACTTATCTTCCCACTTTTGTCCTCTGCAATTGAAAAATAAATCAGGGTTTTTACTTCTGACCAAAATGGAGGTCTCAGGTGTTTGACTAAAGGTAGTATAGCACTGTGATGCTAAAATAAGGGAAAGCAATGACGTGACATTGAGTGATTGTGAGTGGCCAACCATCCCCATTCTCCTAGTTTGCTTGGGACTGAGGGAGTTCCCAGAACATGAGACTTTCAGTGCTACCACTGAAAATGTCCTGGCCAAACCAGGATAAGTTGTTCATCTGAAAGCCCTGTGTTTTTACCAATTGACAGCTTGTAGAAAGTTTCCAGTCTGTAGTACAGGAAGGAGAGACTCTTATATAGCTTGCCAGGCTTGAGTTGAGGAGATAGAAGCAAAAATTTAGAGAGACAAGGAGGCTAGAATTTGAAGGGTGAGTAGTAAAAGGAAGAAAGCTGCACAAAGAGGGAGACAGTAGACTACAGATGTGCAGAAGGGTCCCTTTCAGTTAATTGAGTTCTGATCTCACCATTCATGAGAGATGTCTTAGTCTGTTCTGTGTTTCTATAATGGAATAGCTGACACTGGGTAATTTATCAAGAAAAGAGGTTTATTTCAATCATGCTTCTGGAGGTTGGGAAGTCCACAAAGCATAGCACCAGAATCCACTTGGCTTCTCGTGAGGGCCTGTGCTGCAATAGAACATGACAAGAAGTAGAAGGGGAAGCAGACAGAGATCAAACACAAGAGGCACCCCACTCTCCTAAGAACTAATCCATCCCTGTGAGAGCTAATTCAATCTTGTGAGAGCAAGATGGCACTTCTCACAATCTTGTGAGAGTAAGAACCCACTGACCACCGTGAGAATCGCACCAAGCTTCCCATGAAGGCAGAACCCTCATGACCCAAATGTCTCCCATTAGATTCCACATCTTAAAGTTCCATCTCCTGGCATTGCTGCACTGGGAATTAAGGTTCCAACATGAGTTGTGGAGGAGACACTCAAACCGTAGCAAGAGGCAACTATCTGAGACTGGGGAAAGAAATATCAGAAAAAAGTAAGTGAAAAACCCATGGACCCTCACACAGGGCTGCAATTAGTTTGTGATCCCAAAAGAAGGAAAGGAAATTGTCATAATCCAATAAACATTGGGTAGAATATTCAGAGGAGCCCTGTGTTAGTAATGAGGATAAATTAGCCTTAGGCTAAAGACTATTCTGGACCCATCCTAACAAAGCTTACAGGATAGGATCCAATTGCTTCCAAATAACTGTGTTTCAGAAAAACAAAAAACAAACAAAAAAAAACTAACATTACTTAAAGAAATATAACAAAATCCATAAATCAAGGAGCAAGTCAAGAAATAGAAAAAGAATCAGAAATGATGGAGATGCTGGAACTAACAGACAAAAATCTAAAACTATTATAAATATTCCCTACATGTCCAGTAAGGTAGAGGAAAAGATGAGCATAATAAAGAGAAAAATTGAAGATATTAAAAAATACTCAAATGGAACTTCTAGAGAAAACAATTATAAATGAGTGATCAAAAAATAAACTACAGGGTTTTATAGAAAATTGGACACTGTAAAAGAAATATTGGTGAACTTGAACATAAAGCAAAAGAAAATGACCCCAAACAAACACTGAGAGTAAAAAAAAAAAAGACAAAAAACCCCCAGAAAATCAGTGAGATATGGGAAAATATAATTGTTATAACCTACAAGTAATTGAAGTTCAGGAGGAGAAGTGGAGAATGGAATATTTTGAAATAATGATGACTAAAAGTTCCAAAATTTGATGAAAATGATAACCCAAAGACTCAAGAATTTCCATGAACCTCAAGCAGAAGAAAGGCTTTTAAGCAATAAAGGAAGCTAAGAAAAATCATAGTAAAATTGGCAGGAGAGTGGGAAGAACAGTGAAAAAAACATTTTTTAAGAGCAACCAGAGAAAAAAGATAGGTTACATGGCAAGGAACAAAGGTGAGAATAATGCCATCCTTTTTGTCAGAAACTATTTAAGCCAAATAATAATAGGCATCTTTAAAATATAAAAATGAAAAAAAAGTTAATCAAGAATTGTTTATACAATGAAAATATCTTTCAAAAATCAAGTCAAAGACAGATTTTCAGACAACAAAAGGAGGAGATGACTCATAATCACCAAGTGTGCACTTAAACAAATATTAAAATAAATTATCTAGGCAGATGAAAAATGATAACAGGTGGAAAATTTGGGCCTACACAAAGGAATGAAGAGAGAAATGAATAATATGTAGATAAATGTAGAACAGATTTTTTATTCTTTTCCAGCCTCTTTAAGAGATGAATAACTCTTTAAAGTTAAAAACAAAAAAGAACAAATTCTGGAGTTTGTGTCATACATAGAAGTAAAAAGCATGGCAACCTAGCACAAAAGGTTAAATAGGAAATGGATGGATACTGATGCAAGGTCCATATACCATGAGTGAAGTCGTATAATATTACATGAAGGTGAACTGTGATAAATTTAAAATGCATATGTACTGTAAACCTCAGAAGAACCACTAAAAATAGTTATGTCTAACAAGACAATAGTAAAAATAAAATAAAGTAATAAAAATAACTAATAAAAATAATAACAGGGAGAGAGGAATAAAAAACAAAGAGAAGACAAGTAAATAGAAAACAAATAACCAATATAGAAGATTTAAAACCAACAGTATCAATAGCTACACTGCATGTTAACAGTCTAGACACTTGAATTAAATGGCAGATACTGGCGGGATTGGATTAAAAGGCAATACCCAACTATATACTGCCTGAAATATAGTACTTACCAAGTGGATTTTTAAAATTAATAATAAAAGAATGGCAAAAGATATACCATGCAAACACTAACCAAAAGAAAGCTGGAGTAACTATATTAATATATGACATCTTATAGTTCCAATATTTATAGTTGGAAAATTAACACCTCAATCTCAGTAATTGATAGCAAAAGTAGACAGAAAAATCAGTGAAGATACAGAAGACTTGAATAACACTGTCAATCAACTTGACCTAATTAACATTTATAGAACACTCCATACAACAAGAGGAAAATCTACATTCTTTCCAAGGTCATTCAGTAAGATAGACAATATCCTGGGTCATAAAACAAGGCTCAATCAATTTAAGAGAATTAATGTAATACAAAGTATATTCTCTGACCACAGGAGAATTAAACTAGAACTCAATAACGCAAATATATCTGCAGAAAACTCCAAATATTTGGAAACCAAACCATAGGTCAACGAGGAAATCACAAATGATATCAGAAAAGATTTTCCCTGAATGAAAACAAAACACAATATATCAAAAATTGTGGAATGCAACTAAAGCAGTGCTTAGAGAATTTATAGCATTAAATATTTATGTTAGAAAAGAAGGCTTTCTTAAATCAATGATCTCAGCTTCCACCTTAGAAAACTAGAAAAAGAAGAGGATATTAAGCAAAAGTTAAAAATAAAAATAAAAGCTACCTTTATTGAACACTTACCAGGCATTATCTTAAGTGATTTATGCTAAGTGTCTTTTCCAATCTGGTCATAACATTATGAGTTAGTCATGATTAATATCCCACATTTCAGATGAGGAAATTAAATCTTGCTGAACTTCTGTAACTTCCAAGTTTATGTAGTTAACCAAGAGCCAGAGTTATTATTTGAACTCAGGTCTCTATGCTGTTGTAACTTCAACATCCTACAGATTGAGTGTATTTATACCGTTAAGCATATTTTATTATCTTCAGGTTTGATATTTCTTTGTTGCATATATATTATACATATATATAAATACTATATACACATACATACACGAATTCTTCATTTACCTAGAACCAAAAGGACCTTCTCCTAGCATGCTGGAGAATGTCTAGAGACCAGACATTGCTATTATCATCTCTGAAAACTGTGGCATCAGTGAAATGACCTACCATGAAGGATGTCACTGGGAAGTCTGTGATGGCAGTCCATGAATAATTTGCACTTGTTCCTGCCAGTCTTTCAAGCTACATGATCTCGAGTCATGGAGATATGGGTGAGCAACTGAGTATCACAGTGCTCTCCATGGCCACCATAACTCACTCAAGTCTTAATATCTTCTCGCAAGGATAAACCCAGCCTCCTTAAAACAAAATCAAGCTCATGTTCTTTACATGAGAAGCCAAATTCATCTTTCTCCAAGCACAAAGTAGTAAAGAGTGCTGGACATCTGATTTCTATTTGTAGAACTGCCAGGCAATTATTGTGTGTCTTGGGCAAGGGACTTGATTTTCTAAATCCTCAGTTTTCTCTGTTGCAAAATGGAAGCAAAAAGATCTCTCCAATGTCCTCTCCTTGTTTGCTGCTTTCTGCATCTTTTCTCCTACACAATTGACAATTTTAACTGCCTTATCGGTATAACTACTGAAGAATCAGTTCCCAATATCCATGAAGGTAAAAGTCAGATATTATTATTCATCCACTCCAAATCCTCCAATGACTTCCCATTTCACTAAAATAAAAATGTAAGTCCTTACGATGTCCTCACAACATAGTTTCTCCCATCCCTCTGTACAGCCTATTATTTCTTTGGCTTTATCTATTATTCCTTCCCTCTGTATTAGTCAGCTGGGTTCCCGTGATGAAATACCACTGACTGAGGAGCTTCAACAACACAAATGTATTTATTTATTTATTTTATTTTATTTTATTTTATTTTATTTTTGAGACAAAGTCTCACCCTGTTGCCCAAACTGGAGTGCAGTGGCAAAATCTTGGCTCACTACAACCTCCACCTCCCAGGTTCAAGCAATTCTCCTACCTCAGCCTCCCGAGTAGCTGGGACTACAGGCATGCACCACCATGCCCGGCTAATTTTTGTATTTTTAGTAGAGATGGAGTTTCTGTATGTTGGCCAGGCTGGTCTTGAACTCCTGATCTCATGATCTGCCCACCTCAGCCTCCCAAAGTGCTGGGATTACAGGCGTGAGCCACCATGCCTGGCCACAAATTTATTTTCTCACAGTCCTAGAGGCTGGAAGTCTAAAATCAAGGTGTCAGCAGATTTCATTTCTTCTGACGCCTCTCTCCTTGACTTGTAGATGACTGCCTTCTTGATGTGTCCTTACATGGTCTTTCCTCTGTGCACGCACATACCTGGTATCTCTGTGCATGCCCAAATTCCCTTTTCTTATAAGGACATCAGTCAGATTGGATGAGGGCCCAACCTGAAGGCCTCATTTTAACTTAATCACATCGTAAAAGGCCCTATCTCCAAGGACTCTTAGATATATTAGAGGTTAGGGCTTCAATGTGTGAATTTGATAAGGGGAGGGACATAATTCAGCCCATAATACTCTCACTTACTGTGTTCCAGCTAAACTGGTCTTCTGCATGGTCTTCAAACACACTCTTGTCTCAAGGCTTTTGCACTGGCTATTCCTTCTCCCTGTGCCGCTGCAAAGAACGATCATGTTTGCCGCAATCTTGTAGTTTTAAGGACCTTTTCATAACCTAATGCACATGTCAACCCATGGCCAGAACCCTATGTAAGATTTATCCCCAATTTTTTTTTTGGCCTCCTTGCTCCTCTCTTTTAATTTGTTCCCTTTGGCTTCCTTAAGTATTAACTCTAACAGATAACAGCTTTACAGTTTGGCTTCCCTTGTTTTATTCAACTCAGTTTCAGGTTATTATAATGTCTTCATTTCCGATGTGGCCGCCATATTGGATGGTGCTGAATCACCCATTCAAAAGAAATGTGTTAATGCCAGTTTATGTGCCAGTCATCGTTAGTATCTGGAAATACACAGGAAAATATTAGGGTTAGGATTAATGAAGACTAATGAATTCAGTAGTGGTATACACAGAGTATCATCAGAGCCCAAAAAAGGAACATTTATATGAAAGAATATCAGGAAGGCGTCTGGAAAGAGTTGGTACTACAGCTACAGTTTGAAAAATGAGCAACTTAGCCAGGTATACAGAGGGGAAGAGAATTTTCTAGACTCTGTTAGCATCATGCATGAAAGTATGGAAGCATGAAACAGTATGATACATTTACAGAAAAGCGCATGTAGAGAAGTATGAGATAATGGGGCTTGATTGATAGAAGGCTAGAGAATAAAAATCATGTGTGCTAAGATAATTTATCTTGAAAGGTCCAGGGAGCATTTTAAAATTCTTAACAAGGGAATCATTTGGTCGGATCTCCAATTTAGAACGTTTAGTATTCCATCATTGAAGACAGTGACATGTAAGAGTGAGTTCTGGATGAAGGAAGCCAGGTAGGGAGTTACTGTAGTAATTCTTCTATGAAGAAATGAGGACTAGAACAAGAGCAGAGGCAACACAAATATAATGGAAGGTACGGCTATATGACACAGTAAGGAAATTGAATCTATAGAATTGGTGCTGGGTTTAAACATGAGAATTGAACGAGAAGAAAACTCTAAAATAAATCCCAGGTTTCTGGGTTTGGCAAAGAAAGAGATGATGATATTATTCATCATTAGAAGGGAGAGAAACATTAACTTGCAGACACATTGAGAGTAGTGAAACTTCCGTAAGAGCTGTCCAGTGAACAGGTATTTTTATACATTTTGTCAAGGGCAAGAAAATTTCCCATTGATTGGGGCCTATTTAGTTGCCTTCTTCTTCTTGCAAGAGTACTATTTTTCTCAACACACCTTGTAATCTTAGGCAAAGGGAAGAAGGCTTTTATTTGGAGTTGCTTTTATATGAGACCAAGTATAACTAAAAAGATATAGCATATCCTCAACCCCACCCAGCCCCCATTCATTGCAGCACCTCCTAAGGTGTAGATGTCCCCTGTATCCCAAAAACGTGAGTGGTGACTAAGTGTGATGTGGCACAAACGTTGACCACACTAAAGTGACCACATAGTACTTCGCTGCTCCCACTGGGAAACAAAACATAATACAAATATACAATGCTTCACAGAGTAGCAGGTGATTCTTTTTTTTTTTCTTAAAGTCAGATTTATTGAGGTATAGTTTACACTAAACAGTTTACTTTTTGTAACTTTTAAGTTCAGAGGCATCTTTTGACCTCAAAAACCTAGTTAAGTAAGCAAAGGAGAACTTTTTTTTTGTTTTCATTTCACTGATGAGGAAGCTGATGATTAAAGAGGTTAAATGACTTGTCCCGGGTCATACTTAGTCTTGAGTAAGCAAGATTAAGTCTTCTGACTCTTAATTCTGCTTTTTCCAAGATATCACAGAGGATCTTCCAGAACAGCTTACTTAGAAAGGACATATAATCTGTTCCTCATAACAGTTTTATGGTAATAGGAATTTAATCTTCTAAGTAATCAACTCAGGCTTTTCCACTTACCAGTGAAATTGCAGGAGGAAACTATAGAACTTGAAACACTATCTTCCACATTTCTGTATTGATCCTGTTTGATGGTTTGTGATATTAAGGGAATACATGACTATCATCTAGTGTTTCAAGACCAAGCCCTTCAAAGTAGAGTAAGCCACAACATAAAAAGTGCTTAGTTACCTTCTTGGCTCTAGAGAGTCATTAAATCCAACCTTTCTCTTCTGTCTAGCTGCCTAGGAGTGGCTTCTGTTTTAATCATCATCATCATTATTTGTATTAGTCTGTTCTCGCATTGCTATAAAGAACTACCCGAGACTGGGTAATTTACAAAGAAAAGAGATTTAATTGACTCACAGTTCCACAGGCTGTACAGGGAGCATGGATATGGAGGCATCAGGAAACACAATCATGGTGGAAGGTGAAGGGGAAGTAGGCACATCTTCACATGGCAGAGCAAGAGAGACAGAGTGAAGGGGAAGGTAACACTTTTAAACAACCAGATCTCAGCCGGGCGTGGTGGCTCACACTTGCAATCCTAGCACTTTGGGAGGCCAAGGTGAGTAGATTGCCTGAGCTCAGGAGTCTGAGACCAGCCTGGGCAGCATGGTAAAAACTCGTGTCTACTAAAATACAAAAAATTAGCCGAGAGCGGTGGCACATACCTGTTATCCCAGCTACTCGGGATGCTGAGGCACAAGAATTGCTTGAACCCAGGAGGCAGAGGTTGCAGTGAGTTGACATTGTGCTACTGCACTCCAGCCTGGGTAACAGGGTGAGACTCTCTGTTTCCAAAATATATATACACACACACACACATACACACACACACACACACACACACATACATATATTTATTTATTTATTTATTTATTTATTTATTTGTGTGTGTGTGTGTGTGTGTGTGTGTGTGTATGTGTATCTGTATGTGTATGTGTATATATATAAACAACCAGATCTCGTGAGAACTCTATAATGAGACCGCACCAGGGAGATGGTGCTAAACTATTAGAAACCACCCCCATGATTGAATCACCTCCCGCCAGGTCCCACCTCCAACACCGCAGGTTACAATTCAACATGAGATTTGAGTGGGGACACAGAGCCAAACCATACCACTATTTTATCATTTCTATTAAGAGTTCCCTGCATTTCAATCTGGCCTAGAATACCTGCTGAGATCATATTCTTATGGGTATTAAGTGATAGTGTCATAAATTACCATCTGCAAAATACTATTTCAGAAGCTGTAATTCTCTGTCAAGTTCTCTGTTATATTGCTACACTCTGCAGATTTTTAGAAAGTTAAATATTATATATGTATACTTCTGCATTAATGACTTTATTTTGATTCTTGTGGTATCTCAGGAATGTAATATGCAAAGTTTGTATAGATGTTTTTCTTTAGTGTAATGAATTATTAGGATATGACTCTTTTGTAAAAGGGAGAAAGAACAGTAATTTGAATCCCTGCAGAGATAGCAATGTATTTGGAGACAATTTGAAATGTTTTATCTTTATCTACTAAAAATTCCAGGTTGAAAAGAATAAAATCACCTCCTCTCTCTAAATGCTTTACTCTGGTAGTATTATTATGTAATTATTCACAAAAAGGTGTGTTCTTGTTACACAATCACTACCTTCTCCTTGGAGATTTCAAAAATAAATAGATGAGAAATTATGTCCCTCAAAAAAGACCACAAAAGTTTATCCAGAAAACTTTCCCTGTATTGATTTTTCTTTAATAAATGAAGCTACATGTTTTCATTTTTAAGAAATATAAAACCTTAACTTGTTCTTCTCTCTTGATACAGTTTAGGAGGTCTTGCATGCATTCTCTAACCTCACCTCCTTCCCCTTTCTCCAACTACACTGTCCTCTTTCAGTTCACTGAACACTCCAAGCTCATTCATGCCTCAGGGCCTTTGCATATCCAGATATCTCCTTCTGCTCACTCCTTATTACCACCATGGTCCATTTGAACTGGATCCTCCCA